>NC_000009.12:123220552-123845552 GCF_000001405.40 Homo sapiens | reverse complement strand
GACTACAGGTGTATGCCACCACACCCACTTAATTTTTTGGGGGGTGGGTAGGGAGAGATGAGGTTTTGCTATTTTGGCCAGGCTGGTCTTGAACTCCTGGCCTCAAGTGATTCTTCTGCCTCAGCTTCCCAAAGTGTTGGGATTAAAGGCATGAACCAGTATCCCCAGCCTACAATCCAAATCAAGTTGATTTTTATATATGCTTATAAGGAAGGAGTCTAACTTTATTCTTTCAAACGTAGATAGTCAATTGCCCCTGCACCTTCTGTTGAAAAGTATTAATTCTCCATTGAGTTGTTTTGGTTTCCTTGTTGATTTTTTTTTTGTTTTTTGGAGACACAGCCTTGCTCTCTTGCCCAGGCTGGAGTGTAGTGGCACAACCTTGACTCACTGCAACCTCTGCCTCCCGGGTTCAAGAGATTCTTGTGTCTCAGCCTCCTGAGTAGCTGGGACTACAGGTGCGTGCCAGCATGCCCAGCTAATTTTTTGTATTTTTGGTAGAGATGGTGTTTCGCCATGTTGGCCAGCCTGGTCTTGAACTACTGGCTTCAAGTGATCTGTCCACCTCAGCCTCCCAAAGTGCTGGGATTACAGGCATAAGCCACCGTGCCTGGCCCCTTGTTGAAAATTAATTGACAATTGTAATTGACAATTGCAAATATTTATTTCTGGACTCTGAATCCTGTTCATATCCTAATGCTGTACTATACTGTCTTGATTACTGTAGATTTGTAGTAAATTTTAAAATTGAGAAGTATGAGTCCTCCAATTTTGTTCTTTTTAAAGATTGTTTGACTATTCTGGGTCCCTTGCATCTCCATATGAATTTTAGTATTAGCTTATCAATTTCTGCAAAAAGCCCAGCTGGGATTTTGGTAGGGATTTAATTGAATCTGTAGATTCATTTGGGGAGGATTGTCAGCTTAACAATATTGTGTTGCAATCCATGAATATAGGATATCTTTCCATTTATTAAGGTAATGTTTAGGGTTTTTTTCCCCATAATGTTTTGTAGTTTTCAGAGTATAAGTTTTGCAATTCCCTTGTTAAATTTATTCCTATTTTTCTTAATCTTTTTGATGTTATTGTAAATGGAAATTTTGAATTTCATTTTTGTATTGTTCTTTGTTAGTGTATAGAAATAGAATTGATTTTTAAAAATATTGATCTATTATCCTGCAGATTTGATGAACTAGTTTATTAGTTCTAATAGGTTTTTAGTGAATTTCTTAGGATTTTCTTTGTGTAAGAGTATGTAATGTACAAATCAAGATAGTACTACTTCTTTCTTTCTATTCTTGATGACTTTTATTTCTTTTTCATACCTAATTACCCTGGCTAGAACCTCCAATACAGTGTTGAATAGAAGTGGCAGAAATGAATATTCTTTTCTTCATCCGCATCTTAAAGAGAAACATTTAGTCTTTTGGCATAATTATGATATTAATTATATCATTTTTTTAGATGCCCTTTATCAGCTTGATGAAGTTCTGTTTTGTTTCTAGTTTGTTTAATTTTTTTTATTATGAAAGGATATTGGATTTTGTCAGATGCTTTTTCTGTGTCTTTTGAGATGATTGTGTGATTTTTGTTCATCATTCTCTAGATACGGCTTATTACATTAATCTATTTTTGGACGTTAAACCAACCTTGCATTCTTGTTTTTAAAAATTCTATCGTAAGTACTTTATTTTAACTAGAAGATACAATCTCCAAGGAGTTTCATGGTTTAAAAAGCTACAATTACATCATGTTGTAATTACGTAAAACACAGTGCTGTAATGGAACTACTTGACTTTGATTATATACATTTTTGCACAGCCCTATGGAATATATGCAAAGGAATATTTTCTCCCTTTGCTCCAATTAATTGTTCTTGTATAGAAATTGCTTTATATTCCAGTATATCCAGAATGGTAAAATAACAAGTCCATCCATGTTGCTAAAGGTCACTCCAAGCATATAGGAGATGGGCCATACCTGCCATAGTCTTTCTCCACTCAGTGGTATTGGCAGTGCTTCAAGTTATGCTCCTACAAAACTAGAAATTGTAATGATCTGGAGACTATTCTCCCAAATGGCTGTAACACCATTTCTACTGAAAACTCTAAGCTATGCTTTTGAGATTTGGTTCTAACAAACATAAGGTACAGTGGTAAAAGTAGACAAAATGACTGCAAATAAAAATGTTTCCAACACCAACTCTTTTAGCTCCATATAGAACAAAAATTACATGGAAGGAGAAACAGGACAAAAGAAGGTAGATACAGCATTTCAAAAATCAAGTTACCTTGTGTGATAATGAACTTTTTTAGGGGATGCATTTGGTTTCACTACTAAATATAATACTAGATTGACAGCAGCTACAAAACCAGAACATATGCACAACCATGTCAAGTGTGTTTACAATATTGAGAAGTTCTCCAAGAAGAATGATGGAATGAAGACACTTAGGATAATTGAAAATATGCATAAAATATGGGTATAAAGTAGTTTTTTGATGTCAGTATCTTTCATGGTATTTTCTTGAGTGGCTATCTCTCTCGCTTGGGGAAGGGACTTGGGGAACTACTGCATCCTACTATCATGTGGGAAGGGCTGTCCTGGCCCTAATGCAGGCACCCAACCTTGCATTCTTAGGATAAATCTCACTTGGTCATGGTGTGTATTCCTTTTTTTGTGTTGCTGGATTTGGTTTGCTAGTATTAATATATTGAGTATTTTTGCATTTTTAGTTTTCTTATATTTGTTTGCTTTTGGTATCAGCATAATACTGGCCTTATAGAATGAATTGGAAAGTTTTTCTTCATATTTTAGTTTTTGAAAGAGTTTATGAAGAATTGGTATTCATTCTTCTTTAAATGTTTGGTAGAATTCTCCAGTAAAGTCATCTGAGTTCATCTGTTTTGGTGGGAAGTTTTCAAATTAGTAATTCAATCTCTTGCTATAGGTCTATTCAGATTTTCTGTTTCTTCTTAAATCAGTTTTGGTAGTTTGTATTTTTCTAGAGATTTGTCCATTTCATATATCTAATTCATTGGCACACATTTGTTCATAGCATTCTCTCTCTCTCTTTTTTTTTTCTGCTAAACCAGAAAACCTAGACAAATTCTGAAAGAGCTGTAACATTAATATTTTCTTGCTCCTCTGTATTTCTGCAAATATGGTCCTCATGGTTTTTTCTTTTACTTCTCACCTCTCATACATTGTACTTGCAGCCACTGCAAAGTAATTGTCATTTTCAGATGCTGTTTCTTTGTCTGAAATGTCTTTTCTCTTGCCTCATTGGAGGAATTGGCATTTATCTTCAAGATAATTTTCTTCATGCTGCCTTCCCTGATTGTCCAGACAGACTCAGTCTTTCCTTCCTTTGAATTCTGGTGTACTTCTACACATCTGTCAACATACTTGTTTCTTTCAAAGGGCAGCTGAGCATCCTGTTCACCTTCTTTTCCCTAATGAGAAACATGGGACTTAATACAAATTGTTTCTTGGGAATTGCATGTTGAATAAATGAATGAGGTATGAAACATTTCTTCTGAGCTCTCAACCTGTTTGGATGCCTGAAAAGTATCTGAAATTCAAAATGTCTGAATTCTAACTCATGATCTGCTCATTAAACTGAATGAAGCTCTGGTCCCCTTCCACTGAGCAGCACATTTAAAAAATCAGGTATGCAAACTAAAAACCTACTGCCTTCATCCTGGTCACCTGCCTTCCTGCTCACCCTCTATATTCAATATATCAGAAAAATTTGATTGATTTACCTAAATATCTTTAAAAACTAGGTATTTCTTCTCAACTATCATTGTCCTAAACCTCTTTCTCACCTTCCCCCACCCACCCTGCACCAATTCCTTCAGGTCTCACTTCAGACATTAAATCATCCTTAGGGGGGAACCTTTTCAGATCCCTAAAGTAAGCTTGTTCTTACACTGTATAGTCTTGTGGCAGTTATCATAGCTTATAGTTACATTACTTGTGCAGTTGTTAGTTTGCCTGAGCTTCTGTACTGGACCTTAAACTCTGTGAGGGTAGTGATCACCCAGTATTTTCTTCACCACTGTATGACCAGATCTCAATATTAAGAAGATTTAGTGAATATTTATGGAATGAACAAACACTGAAAATTAGGTAATTTATGTGGAAATGCCTTTAAAATGAAAATTACTGGAGAAACATTATTTTGATGATCTCTTAACATTTAAAATAACTGTGATTAGTTTATTGAATTTATAATTTTTTGTTTGAGTGAAGAGAAATTCTAAATTCTCATGGTATTTAAGGGTGCATCATCTTGGATAGATCCACTTATTGCTGATTAGTCTTTGTTTACTGGAATTATGGAATTGGTATAACAATAACAAAGTGTACGGTAGGGTCTCTCTGGAAAGCACTATACTACTTTCTAAATGACATCACCTTGGTAATTATCACATTTGGTTTAAGATTTCACTTAGCACAAAATGGGTTGCAGAAAGTCAAACTCTCGTATATATTTAAGTAAAGGTGATGACTTTCTTCACAATAGGGCAGAGATGAAATAGCTTCCACATTTGTTATTCTGAATGGAGCCTTGGGATGAAATTCCAAGCAGCAGAATGCCACTTAACATTCTGCATGCTATTTTGCTCTTTAGTAGCATAATTGTAAAATGAGGCAATAAAACCAGAAAAGATATAATATTTATACCTGTGTAGGCACTTCACATGATAAAATGTCACACGAGACTGTTTACTCCATGCTGGTTATTTGGATAACGCCCCACCTGCCTAGTAACAGGCGGTGCTGAGTCTTGCATAAATCTTGGAAAGAAGGTTAGGGTTAATATAGTGAGTTCTTCAGTAGGAAAAAAAATACAGCATATGTGATAATAATAATGGCGACTCTTTGATTACTATTTTTGTACCGGCACTGTGCTAGGCCCTTGGGGACAGAGTGTGACAAAGAGGGAGATAATATAAGTGAGTACCTTTCATGTGTCAGCTATTCTGCTATACATTTTACTTACAATATTTGTAAAACTTATAATAACTCTGCCAGGTAGGTGGTGTTATCTCCATGTATATATGACTGATTCTTGTTTATCTCATAAAAAATTCTAACGACCTCATTGGAGTTCTGTTATAATTATCATGTTTAAACTTTGGTGCTTTTTTTTAAGTTTAAATAGTCTTTTTTTTTTGAGACAAAAAAAATTAATGAGAAGAGACAAAGAAACATCAAAGAGCTTTTTCCTCTGATTGCTGTGTTAGAACTTTTGCCTGAAAATAGGTTACATTCCTTCTGTTTTCAGCTGAATCCTCATTAACTTTACATTTTAATGATGTCCAGGGCAAATTACACCATTTATGGTCAGTACCTTAAAGGGATGCTTAAAGGGGACTTAAAAAAATTTTTTTTGAGTGGTGGATGTATTTACTCCAGGAATATAAATTGATCCAGAATTCTTGAAAAAAAAAAAAAATAGACAAAAACACTTGAAACATGGGGTCGATGTTCCATTTCTAACTATTATAACAATTTAATTCAAAAGAAATTATTTTCACCTTAAAGTAAATTAATCATTAAAGAACATTTATAATATTTGGGAGTATGCAACTGGAACCAGTGTCCTACATTTATTTTTGAAAATAGTTTCGGTTTCTCATTTACTTGGATTTAAATTCAATTCTACTGCTTAGCTTCAGAAATAATTCATAGGTGGTAGATGCTCAATAGGAATAAATGAAGACAGCTTCTCCCAGTTATGAAAAAAACAAGGGTGATTGAAATGCTAATATGTTGATAGACAGATTGTATTTGCACAAGAATGAGGGAATCTGCTGTAAGGTGGAACTCTTCACAGGATTCCAAATTATTCAATTTAAAAGAACAATATGAACTGTGGAGCTGTGCTTTCATTGTAAGCTTTGAATGCTTAATTATTATTAGATGATAAATTGGAATAAAGTGTCGTGTTGTGTCAAATACTGTTTATTTCCTTAACAATTATTGGATAAGTGGATTAAGGGAAATTGGCCTGTCTGTCGCGGAAACTGTAATTATGAGAATGCCCCATCTAACATCATGTATTTTATAAGGTTTGTACTCCTGTTTTTTAAATGTGTTTAATTGAATCCCTTCTGTGTGCCAGGCAGTGGGCTAATGTCCTTGTTAAGGCGTTTTTGAATACAAGGGGTGGAATTTCACTAAAACTAGCTCAGGAAGGGCAGGGATAGAGGTGGAGAGGTCTGTTGTACAGTGAAGGACAGGAAGCAAAACCAGCTGGGCTTCATGAGGACCAATTGGAACCGGAAAGTCATGCACCAGGGTGGCTTCATCTCTTTCATCATGGCTTTGCCTCTGCTGGCTTCCTTCGTTCACCACTTATCTTGGTAATGGTTCAAAGTGGTCTATATGATCTTTCAAGCTTGGCTTCCCACCGTTAACAGACACTTTTTGTCTGTACCCAAGGTCGATTCGAGCGTGTGGCTCAGCCCAGACCTGGATGGTCCCCGTGGCCTCCAGGTGCTCTGCTGCACTGCCCCTTCCGCGTGAGCAGAGTGAAACATGTCTGCATGGAAAAAGATATGGCTCTTGCCCATGTGTGGCTTTTTGTGGAGATGATAATACACCTAAAAAGATTATTTCTACTTAAATGTGCTATGGACTTCCCTATAAATAAAATATTTCCGTTATCTGCTGTATTTGCAAACTGAGGAAACAGTGGGAGGGTTTGGGCACTGCCACTGAGTGAGGGTGAAGTGATTTTCTTTCAGAATGAGGTTTTCCTAGGTAGGGCTTCCTGAGGGTCTAAATCCATAATTGGATCCTACTTGCCACTGTACAAGGAAACTGAATGTAGAAGGAAAAAGAAATTTTCTTTGTTAGGTTTTCTTTCCAGGTACCGCCTTGAATGATTGATTGGCCAACATATCTAATGCAATTTAAGGACATTTGGGAAATCTTTGGGTCTGATCTATTGTTACTAATGATTCTTGATATGGCTATTTTTTTTAAGTTGTCCAAATTTCAGTTTTCTAAGGATTCAGTTAAAGCACTAGCAGATTCTGCAATTGCTCCTCAAGTATCATCATTTTTCTTATAACTGAGTATTGAAATGGAGCAAAGCTCGTGGCTGTAACTTAACGTTTGTTAAGCTTCTATTTGCTTTATATATATGTATATACATATTATATATATACACGCACATATACACATACACAGACATATACATATATACACAGATGAACAAGTATGTGTGTATTTTTTCTTATTCTTCCTGGAGCCCATAAGAGATTAATTATTGTCCTCATTTTATAAGTGTTACAAACCAACGCACAGAAAGATGAAGTAACTTGCCTTAAGGTAATACAGCTAGTAAGTAGTGGATTGTTGATTCGATTCTAGGTCTGTACTGTGCTGCCTGTGTCTATAATAGCTCTGCTTAAGGTTAATGGTTAGGTTGTGTTTCTGGAATGCTCAACTTCTCTGTTGGAACAAGGTTTTGCATCAGTATGGGTTGGTTAAAAGCGTAAATTCTGGTTCTGGTACAGCCAGTTTATAAGCTGTGTGACGATAGGATGTACAAGTTGTTTCGTATTTTTAATTTATAAAATGGGATTATTAATGGGTCCCATCATAGAGGTTTCATAGGAGGAATGAAAGAAATAGTACAGTCTTTTTGCCACAACATGTGCAGGAGCAGTGTCAGAATAGTGTAGAAATTGCATTGGTTTATATGTTTTATGCCATCAGGTTGGATTAGCTGAAGTCAAAGTAGACTAGCACTGTTTTTCTTGGTCTTTACATTTGGGCAGGTTCTCCACTTTCTCAGTTTTTTTCCTTTTCTTTAGGAAAAGAGGTGCTGACCTTGAGGTTTAGGTTGAGATTGCCATGATAGAGTCAGGGCTCCCAAATTGTGCTTTTAGCCTTCTTTATATAGTGTTGAACAATAATTTTAAAATAGTTTGGTGTCTCAGTTTTCAGAAAAACTACATATGTATAACGTTTTTATTCATACCTTATCCCTGGATAGTAGTATCTGGTTGAACAGTAATTTTAAAATAGTTTGGTTTTTCAGTTTTCAGAAAAACTACATATATATAATGTTTGTATCCATACCTTACCCCTGGATAGGTATCTGATTGTTTCTGGGTTATGCTAATGCAACAGGACTATTTTGAAGTTGTGTTTTCTCCTTTAACTTGACCTGGTTTGTTGAAAGATGGTCGATCCTCTTGGGGGCAGGCAAGGGGGTGCTAATTGTGAAGTATCTTTGTTGAGTGATGAGACACTGGTGTCTGTGAATGTAGTGGAATGGTGGGATCGTTTGATTATTCTAATTGCAGACAATCTAGGAACATAGGAAAGCAGCATGCAAAACATAAGATGCACAGGCTTTATCCTCGGTTGGGAGGAGTTTAAATCCTGACCCTTTCTTGGCCAGTAAACTGACTTGGACAAGGCACTTGACCTTTTTGGATCTCAGTTTTCTCATCAGTAATATGGAATTACTATCCCCTTCCTATTTTATTATCTTGAGAATTTAATGGCATAAGAAATGTAATAATATGAGGTATTCAGAGTACTTTCCTCGTAGTAGGTATTCAATATATGTTTAGTAAGGGAACTATAGAAGATAACAAATGTAGTTGTATTGTAGCCTATTTTATGCAATAAATATTCCAAAACGTTTTATATTACTATTTTTGTAAATTATCTGTTAAATGAAACAGAAAGGGAATGAACTTCTTTTGAAAAAGTCTGGGAAATTTTGTAATGTGAATAAACAACTTTTATTTGTAAGATAACATTAAAAATTATTTATAAAAATGTATACCTGTATACATTTTTCTGTATAGAAATTTGTTATATGCAGTAACATTTTAGTATTTCCTCAAATTTGAAATGAATATCATGTGATATTAAGTCACTTAAAAATTCTCTAATATGAGATATGAAAAACTTAGACTCAAACTATAATATATTTTACTTAACCACCTTTTTGGCTACCTTTCTTTTGGTATTTTATTATATATCCTTTTTATTTTTGTAAAAAAGTATATTAGCTTTTTTCTTCTTAACCGTATTTTTCCCCTCTATAATTTGACTGAAGAAATGAACTTGTGTTACTTTTTCTCTCATATTAAGCCAAGTCTGGTGAATAAAATACCCATAGTCAAGAAATTTGTGTGAGCTTGGCTGCACTGTGAACTCCCTGATTTCCTTCAGTCTTGTTAATTCATATGTGAGCCCAGGGGTATTATTGCCCATTAGCCTTTCCTCATAGTTATTTTATGAAAGTGCACAATTAATGTGAGAGTGTCGTGAAACCTTTGGAGACAGTGCCCTGGACATACTGAGGTAAATTTTGTTCAAAATCAACAGATAGCACCCTACTGTAATCTGCTAACAGCTTGTTTATCTAATTGTCAATAAAATTTCTGGTTCAGGAAAGAATTTATGTTATCCTGAAACTTAACATACCATGTCCCCGGAACCAAGGAGAAATAATAATAGTAACTGCCAAACACCTACTGTGTGTCAGACACCCTGCTGGATACTTTACACACAGATCTCTCATTCTCAAATTCTGAGATAGCCCTTCTTCCTCATTTTATTGAGGGAGGTTGAGAAAACAACCCCTAACCATCTCACTTTTGCCAGGCTTCATAGCTGAAGCTCTCCCCACTTTTATATAGCATATATACCATATACCACTTTTTACCATATCCTCAGGAAGCCCAAAGGACCTAACAGAAGTCAGAATGTATTTTGATGGAAAGTTAGTGATTCTTTTCTACTAATTTTTTTCTATCGGAGTGAACGAAGTGTGTGGTGGAGGAGTGTGTTTTGAGAGTTTTTGCAGTAGAAAGGTACTCAGGTTTTTTCTTTTTTTTTTTTTTTTCCTGGAAATCAAGAGGAAAATGCAGATATCCAAGATAAAGAGTTAGGTAAACGAATAGTAGTTTGTGGATAGGGTCTAGATGAACTAGACTTCTGGAAGGATCCTTTGATTTTTGAAATGTATTATTATGATTGGATAGTTGTGTGTGTGGCAGTGGTGAGGGCTGTGATGAGTGTGCTTGACCATTATAAAACTACCTTCATTACTAGAGGGACACAGATTCCCCCCACCTCTACCATGATTGTATTGTTGAAAGCCGCCTTTTATCATTTTGCTGCCATATGTGTTTGTGAAAATCAGCTGCGTTGTAAAAATTCTTACTTCCTGGAAACCAGAAACCCATTCAGCTAGTGTCCCTACCCTGACCACTTCCTCTTCGTTATTTCTAAATGACAGTGCTATTCTGGTAGCATTCCAGGCGTTCATCTAGCTAGGATTCCTTTTTCACGTTTGCTATTTGGTGCATTTTCTCCTGTTTTATTTGGTTTCATTGTCCTGATTAGTTCACCGAGTATAATAGAAGAGACATTTGCTTTTTTTTTTTTTTTTCCCCTCTAAAGCAAGTTATTTTAGAGGGAGAGTTTACCAGTGATAAGAGCTGTTTATGTCCTGAGCGATTGATTTGTAATTAATGTTGCCTGGGCTCTTGCCTGTTGGCAGAATTGGTAACAGCTTGCAGTATTTTTTAAATTCTCTTTTCTTTTTGGTATTTTGACAATGTCATTCATATCTCATGAAAAACTACCTCAGACAGGTTAAATGTGTTAAAACATGGAACGAAAAGGATGGAAGGAGACCCAGTGCTGCCTAGAAACCTTGATCTTTTGCCAAAGTATTTAAACAATTTAGTGTTTTGGTTTCCTAGCTCCAAGCTGCTTCTCAAATCCCTTGCTAATTAATCCAGTTAATGCTTTGTAGACTTACTATATGCGGTGCTTTGGCTTGCTCGTCTATCATTGAGAAGTCCGTTTTGTTTCTTGGAGAAAACCTAAGCTCTGTTCTGGTGCAGAGCTATATACAGGGCTTATGACGTGTGAGTAGTTTGGGGCCTTTAAAACCCGTATGCATGTGTATCTATGTAAGCATATATATACGTGTTCTCTGCATTTCATAGTCCTTAGGCTTAAAATTTTAAAATAAAGACACAAAGTAGAAAATAGAAATCAGGTATTTCACACCAAACCAATGAACTGATTGAAAGCTCCCTCTGCTACTTGCTTTGTTAATTGTGCAAATTATTTGATGTCTCTAAGCCTCAATTTCCTTATCTGTAAAATGGGGGAAGATAATTTATTCCTCCTCATAGTATTGTTGTGAGGATGAAGTGAGTTTCTTATATACTTAGCAAGTGTCCAGAACACAGTAAAGCTCAGTAAATGATGACTGCTTTTATGATTCTGTTGTGACCCTTATGTGTTGAATAAATTAACTTCTTTTGGTGCTTGCTGAATTGTGGAGGAGGTAGATTCCTTTTATCTATTTTCTTTTGGCAAAGGTATCAAATGTCTCAATTTGTATCAAGGATTTAAAAATCAAGCATTTGTTCATTTAACAGTAGTGATAATAAAAAATAGACAACTGTATTCTATTTGAGCCTGTTTTTTTTGAGACAGAGTCTTGCTCTTTCGCCAGGCTGGAGTGCAGCGGCGTGATCTCAGCTTCCTGCAACCCCCGCCTCCCAGGTTCAAGCAATTCTCCTGCCTCAGCCTCCCGAGTAGCTGGGACTACAAGCATGTGCCACCATGCCCAGCTAATTTTTGTATTTTTAGAGAGGGGGTTTCACCGTGTTGGCCAGGATGGTCTCGATCTCTTGACCTTGTGATCTGCCCATGTTGGCCTCCCAAAGTGCTGGGATTACAGTCATGAGCCTCTGTGCCCGGCCTGAAGCTGGTTTTAAGACCCATTGATGTGAGTTATCAATACAAAAGATCTTTCTAAAGTCTGAAAGGTGAATATCTCTCATTTGCTTACTAGAAAGCTTAGGTGCAGAAAAATATATAGGCTATTTCTTTTTCCCAGTTAAATAATTACATCAAACATGGAGGCACATTCAGGACTATTTACTGCTAGTGAAGCTCATGATGACTTTTTTTTACTAACCATTTCTGAAATTCATGTATTATGCCTAAAAAAGCTCAGAGTAGGTCTTGGGAATTAGGAATTGGCAGGGTTCTCACTTGATCATTATAGGAAATTTCACATTTCTCCCCCCTAAGGAATTTGTGGAGAAAAAAATTGTCTGCCAAAAAGTGTAAAATTCTGATTTTTTTTCCAGCTATTTGTTTTTGTTTTTATGTTTAGAAAAACTTTTTTATAACATGAAAAACAGGAACAAACAGGAAAATGCAGAAATACAAGTTAACAGTTTGATGGATTATCACAAAGTTAAAACATCCAGGTCAAGACATAGAACATTAGTAAGCATCTTGCCAGCCATCCTTATGTGTCTTTCCAAACACCATTCCCTCAATTAGAGAACCATTACCTTTTTGTTTTTTTTTCTTTCGTTTCCTTTTTTTTTTTTTTTTTTTTTTTTTTGAGATGAGGTCTCACCATCGTTCAGACCGGAGCGCAGTGGCGCAATCATAGCACACTGTAGCCTCAAACTCCTGGGCTCAGAGGACCCTCCTACTTCAGCTTCCTGAGTAGTCGTGACTACAGGCATGGACCGCTCCCCCGGACCCCCAACCTGGCTAATTTCCTGCTGTGCTGCCCAGGCTGGTCTTGAACACCTGGGTTCAAATGGTCTTCCCACCTCAATCTTCTGAGTAGCTATGATTACAGTGTGAGCAAATGTGCCCAGCTAAAACCATTATCTTAACTTCTAATAGCATTGATCATTTTTACCTGTTGTTCAACATATATACATGGAGTTATATAGATGGAGTCATGAGTGTATTTAATATTTTACTTGGTTTCTTTTGCTCAACAATTGTATTTGTGAGATTATCCTTGTGTGCACCTGTAGTTTGCTCCTTTTCATTGCTATACACTATTCTGTAATATGAATATGCCACAATCGATCCATTCTACTGTCTGTAGAGATTTATGTTTCCCCTTTGGTTTTGGTTATTTCAAATAATGGAGCTATGACATTATAGTAAATATATCTGGTGTTTGTATACTCCCACTTTTGTTTGGTATGTACATAGGAGTGAAATTTCTGGGTCATATTGTTTGTGTATGTTTAGCATAAAATGCCAAGTTTTCCAATGTGGTGGAACTGATTTGCATCCTCATCTGCTGTGTGAGCTCCTCTTGCTCTATATCATCACCAACACTTACTATTAAAGGTCTTTTTAATTTTAGCCATTCTGAATGAATGGGTAGTGTATTTTGCTTTGGTTTTAATTTGCATTTTCCTGATTACCCATGAAGTTGAACATCTTTTAATGTACCTGCTGGTTATTTGGCTATGTTGTTTTGTTGTTATTTTTAAGGAATTCTTTGTATACTCTAGATACAGTTTCTTTGGTTATGTGTTATAATTTACCTTGTACTCTGTGCCTTATCTTTCCACTCTTTTAAAAGTTAATATTATTTTTAATTGACATCATAATTTTATATATTTATAGAGTACAAAGTGATGTTTTGATATATGTGTACAATGTGGAATGATTAAATCAAGTGAATCAACATGTCCATCACCTCACTTATTATTGTTATTGTTTTTTTTTGGAGATGGAGTCTCACTCTGTTGCCCAGGCTGGAGTGCAGTGGCATGATCTCAGCTCACTGCAACCTCCGCCTCCAGGGTTCAAGAGATTCTCCTGCCTCAGCCTCCCGAGTAGCTGGGATTACAGGCACTCACCACCATGCCTGTCTCATTTTTGTACTTTTAGTACGGACAGGGTTTCACCATGTTGGCCAGGCTGGTCTTGAACACCTGACCTCAAGTGATCTGCCCACCTCAGCCTCCCAGAGTGCTGAGATTATTATTTTGCCATATGAATCTTCAGTAGGCATAGCACTATTTATTGCAAAGATCATCCTTTCTCTACTTTTCCACATTGCCACTTTCATTAATCAAATGTCCATGTATGCAGGGGTCTCTTCCTGGTCTCTTTATCTATTTTACCACTACCAGCTGAATGAATTATTGAAGCTTTATAATAAGTTCTAATACCTAGTAGACTAAGTCTTCCCATTTTGTTATTGTTAAAAGTTTTTTCTTGGTTATTATTGGTCTTTGTAGTTTCATATAATTTTTGAATTGGTTTGTTAATTTCCCTTAAAGTGCCTTGCTAAGATTTGTATTGGGATTTCATTGAATTGATATAAATGTGAGGAGATTTGATTATTTACATATTTAGTCTTCACATGAAGACTATATAATGAACATGACAGATTCCTTTATGTAATGTAGGTCCTTTTGTCATTTCTTTCAGTTATTATAGATATTCGTGTATAAGTCTTGCTTATTTTCATTATATTTATTTCTGGGTATTTAGTGTTCTCTGCTATTGTAAATGGTATCTTTGAATTTCATACTCTAAATATTTGTGGATGTGTTGAAATACAGTTAAATTTTGAAACCTGACGTAGTATCCAGCACATTTGCTAAGCTGTTTTATTGATTCCAATAATTTATCTGTAGATATTGTATTTTTTTAAACACAATCATGTTGCCTGCAAATAATAGTTTTATTTCCTCTTCTAATCCTTATGCCTTCCTTTCTTGTTCTTATTACGTGGGCTTAAGACCAGCAGTATAATGTTTAATGAGATTGATGATGGCAGGATTTCCTATTCTTTTCTGGTTTTTTTTTTTTTTTTTTTTTTTTTTTCATTTTTGAGATGAAATTTCACTCTTGTCACCCAGGCTGGAGTGCAGTGGGATGATCTCGGCTCGCTGCAACCTCTGCCTCCCGGGTTCAAGTGATTCTCCTGTCTCAGCCTCCCGAGTAGCTGGGATTACAGGCGTCTGCCACCACACCCAACTAATTGTTTTGTATTTTTAGTAGAGATGGGGTTTCACCATGTTGGCCAGGCTGGTCTCAAACCCTGACCTCAGGTGGTCCGCCCCCCTCGGCCTCCCAAAGTGCT
This sequence comes from Homo sapiens, assembly GCF_000001405.40. Taxonomy (NCBI): domain Eukaryota; kingdom Metazoa; phylum Chordata; class Mammalia; order Primates; family Hominidae; genus Homo; species Homo sapiens. Next base: position 123,830,614 of record NC_000009.12, on the reverse strand, counting down.
GGGATTACACTTGTGAGCCACTGTGCCCGGCCCTCTTTTCCCTGTTTTGAAGGGAAAACTTTCCACATTTCACCTTTCAGTACCACGGTGGCTATAGGTTTTTTTAATTGAGTTTTTTGATTGATTTATAACTCACATATAGTAAAATGAACAAATCTTAAGCATACAGTTTGAATTTTGAAACATGTATACACCTGCGTAATTAACACCTCAGTCAAGATGTAGCTCAGTTTCCCATATACTCTTCTCTTTATTTCCAATTCCTTTACCCCACCAGAGACAACAACTGTTCTGATTTATGTTACCATAGATTAGTTTTGCTTTTCTTAAACCTTATAGAAATGGTATTCTATAGCATTTCCTTACAGAAATGGAATTCTCTTGGTTCTGGCTTCTTTCACTCAACATAAAGATTTTTTGAGAATCATCCATATTGCTTCACCTATCAGCAGTTTATTCTTTTTACTGGTAAGTAGTATTCCATTGTATAAATATTATAATTTGCTTATCCATTTGGATGAACATTCAGGTGAGACACAGTTTTTAAAAATAGATAACCTTTATCAGATTAAGACATCTCCTTTGTGTTATTGGAATAAATTCAAGTAGGTTGTCATGTATTATTATTTAATATATTGCTGCATTCCTTTTGCTAAAATTTTGTTTAGAATTTTCACATCAATGTTTAAATGAGGGATAAATTTCCTTTCTTGCATTGTCTTTAGATTTTAGTATCAAGGTTTTACTGGCCTCAAAACGAGTGTTTCCTCTTTCTCTATTCTCTGGAAAATTTGGTGTGATATTGATATGTGTTGTTCCTTAAAAGGTTGGAAGAACTTACTAATGAAGCCATAAGAGCTTGTAGTTTTCTCCATTAAACATGTCTTAATTATGTGTTCCCTGTATTTAATAGTTATTATACCTATTCAGGTTTTCTATTTCTTCTTGTATCAGTTCTTTTTTTGTACCTGTTTCCTTGTTTTTTATTTCTTCTTTTGCCTTTTATTATCCATCTGTTTGATTTTCTTTTCCTATCTTCAATATTTGTCACTTTACTTTGAATCCCTTTTAGCTATTTCCTCAGGATTTTTTGAATTTATCTCCTTTTACCTTCTGTTTCTCTTAAGGCATTATCTGTTGTGGTTTGTTGTTGTTGTTGTTGTTACTGTGTTTTCTCTAATTGGTTTTCATATTGGAGATGATTTTTTTCTTTTAAGTCTGAATTTTTTTTGTGAGTTCATCACCTCATTTTTACATTTTTGTAATTCTGATTTGTGTATTATTTCATGTCATGTGTAATTTTCTTAAAGTATTTTAACTAATTTGAAAGGAAGGTTATGGTTTTTATTTTGTGTTGATGTTTGTCTATCATGCCTTCATTGTCTCTAGGGACATTAGTCTGAATCTTACTCTGCTTTTTCTAATCATAACTTCCTATAGGATCTTACATTAACACTCATTTATTGCTCATTTATATGTGAAATTAGTTTTTCTGAACCTTTAGGAGGAGAAGTAGGTAGCTGTTATACTTCACTGAGCTATCTCTTGTAAAGTTTTCCTGTGATGCTTAAAAGCATATGATTTGTGGCCTAATCTTGCCTGGCTCCGTTCCCTTCTCCTGCCTTTTCCTGAACTTTTTCTTTATTTCAGTTCTGTGGTCTCTATACTGTTCAATTTTGATTTTACTTCCAGAAGCTTCACTTTGCTGTAGGTCCTTGTCCTAGAAGAGATCCCTATCTTTGGGAACTCAGAGTTTTAGAAACTGTATGACAGTTCTGCAACCTTCTTGTCAGAATCTCAGTTTGGTTTTTGATATTTTCATTGGGTATAGAAATCTAGCTTGGCATTTATTTTCTTTCAGGATCTTTAAAATATCATCTCATTGTCTTCTGGCTTACATTGTTTCTGCTGGAAAGTCATCTGTAAGTCTTATGGGTGTTCCTTTAATGGCAATTTTTTTTTCTTTTTTTTTTTTGGCTACTTTTAAGTTTTTCCTTTTCATTTTTAATTTTTAGCAGTTGCACTATGATTAGTGTAGGTGTTAATGTCTTTGCATTTGTCCTGCTTGAGGTTTAGAGTGTTTCTTAAATCTGGGATCTGATTTTTTGGTATGAATTTTGGGTATTTCTTAACATTACTTATTATTTCTTGTAAGCCAATTCTCTTTCTATCTTTTTTCTGGGACTCCCAATGACATACAAGTTAGGCCTAGTCACAGTAGTTCATATATAACTTACTCTCCCTTCTCTTTTTCAGTGTTATCCATTTGGGCTTAATCTGGATATTTTTTTCTGACCTATCTGTTCACTTGTTTTTTTCTTCAACTAATCTATTGTCCACTGAGTTATTAATTCATTTTTTTGTTCTAAAATCTAATTTATCAGTTTTAATTTTATGCAAAACTCTCAATCTTTTTAAACTTTCTTCCCCTCCCTGTCTTCCATCTTATCTCCCTCTCTCTCTCCCTTCCACGTCTTTCTTTCTTTCTCATATTGAGCAAAGTTATTTCAGTCTGTGAAATAACTGTGTCTGAGGCCAGTATTATTTGAATCCCTTCTGGGTCTGTTTCTATTGCTTTGAATCTCTGTTGTCACCTTTCTTTTGTCCCTGTTTACTTCGTAATTTTTTATTGAGTGCCAATTGTTGTATATTCAAAACCAGGTATATTTTAAGGTCTAGGGTAATATTATCCTCCTCCAGAGAGGATTTATATTAATTTTGTTTTTTAAGGCTAGTCATGCTAGCAATTGTCTCATCCCCTTGCTCCATCCTTCCTTCCTTCCCAATTAGGGGTTTAGGTGATTTGAAGATGGGCTTAGTCTCTGAGGATTCATCTATTTCCTTTTTACCCATCTCATGAGGTATAATTATTTGAGGTCCAACCCAAAGCCTAAAGCACTTACTGGGACCTCTTCTATTCTGTGGGCCCTACAAAAAATTACAGTTTTGTCTTCTTCATCCTGTTGGGGATTTGAAACCTCTGATCACCTTTGAGCCCCTTAGTTGCCTCTTCAGTAATCAGCCCATATCCTTGGGAGAAACATGTTCTTAAATGCTAGAATTTTGTGTCTGTGTGTACATGTACATGTGTGTGTGACAAGGTCTCACTCTGGTTGCCCAGGCTGGAGTGCAGTGGCATGATCATGGCTCACTGCATCACCAGCCTCGACCTCCCAGGGTCAGGTGTTCCTCCCACCTATATATATATATATATATATATATTATATATCCATTAATGAAATTATTCAAGGTCACAACAAAATCTTTTTCCTGAGGCCACTAAATAATCTTATTCTAGTTCTTCTTTTCTTTCAGACTTAGGACTTTAGGCTAACAAGTACCCTGACATTATAAGGCAGGTATACAGGAACTATAAGTGAAAGAGAAAAGAGGCCAAATAGGATGCATGTGATGTGGGTGTATATGTGTAATATAGACTGCAGAAAACCTATAATTAATTTTTTATATGCATGAATAACTACATATGAATCCTCCCACATAATTAGTTGAGTTGTGTTGAGTTCTTTTTCAATGGAAAAATATTTTTTCAGGAATTTGTCATACATTACAAGCTTTGATTTTTTTTAAGCTCTCTACATGTAGATGTATACTTTTAAATCCACACTGTATAATTAATCATGGGTTTGTTGGAATTACAGAAGTTATTTTCTAGCTTTAAGTTAGGTTTACATTATTGCTTATTTCTAGAGTCATACTTTGTATTTCCTCGTCTGTTTCTATAGTGCTTTGTACCATCATCAGTTTAAAAGAAGAGTTTAAAGAATGCTTTTTGATAGGCCTCCCACTAAGAGAATCTAGTTGGTGCTTAATCCTCACACCTGATAAATGGGTGAGATGCTTGTCCACAGGGCTGTGCAGAAGTTGCAGGTTTTGGGAACATGGCAGATGGGACAGAGTGGAGAATAGGTTTAATTAGAGGGGAAGCCAAGGGGTATCTTGAACCAAGTCTGAGAGGCAAGGTGAAAAGGGGAGAGCTAATACTGAGAACCTCAGCCAAGAGAATCAAGGGTATCATGGAATGTGGTGTGAGGAATGGTTTGATACAAGTATTCTGGAAGTAAGGTGGAGGAAAGGAAATGTGTATTGCAGCAGTGGCTTGAGGGGCATGGGGGAGAACATGGTGGCTTATAGGAGTCTTTCTGGCCCAGGACATTAGGAAATACTTTTTATTTATTTTATTTTTATTTTTATAGAGACAGGGTCTCGCTCTGTCATTGTGCTGTAGTGCAGTGGAGTGATCACAGTTCATTGCATCCTCCACCTCCCAGGCTCAAGCAATCATCTGACTCCAGCCTCCTGAGAAGTTGGGACTACAGGTGCAAACCACTGCACCTGGCTAATATTTGTATTTTTTGTAGAGATAGGGGTCTCACTTTGTTGCCCAGGCTGTGGAAATAATTTTTAGAGTCCATAGTTCACATCAAGGATCTTTTGTATTAGTTAACTTCCCCTAGCTTATGCTGCCTGAAGAAATTAACAAAAAGGACCCCAGAAATCTCAGGGGACTGAGAAAAACAAAAGTTCATTACATTCCTACAGTACCTTTTGGTTATAGCTCTGCTCTAGGGTCAGCTTTGACTCTCACTCAGGTATCCAAGCTGAAAGAGCAGCCCTCATCTGGGACATCCTTTTCTCATGGCAGCAGAAAAAGAAAACTGATGGAACCATGTGATAGCTCGTAAAGCTTTAGCTGCAAATTGGCACAGGCCACTTGCATTCACATTTCTTTGGCCACTGCTTTCACAGAGAAGGGCACTGTAAGTCACATGCCAACAGGCAAGGATGTATAATTTTCTCCAGGAAAGAGGGGTGAAAAATCGGATACAAAATTACAGTCAACCACATCTTCCTTTCTGGATGAAACTTTACATGTGATAAATATACACTCTTACAGAATTAGATACAATTTACCATTTTATATTGGCTTTTAAGATATGCATTTTCTCCCAAGTTAAGGTCTGAAATCGTGATGCATCTTACGGTAGATGGGGTCTTATAATCACTGCAAGCCAGGCAGCTGTTGTGATGTCATTGCCTAGGCATGAGAGAACTTGGCTGCTAGTCCTGGTGGTAGGATTGGACACCTGCAACCATTGACATTTCAGGATCATTTGAGAAAGGAATATGAGTCCTGACTTTCATTTGAAAATTTTCTGTTGACACCCCCTAGTAAGATCAGCATCCATTACAGAATGGGTGTCACCAGCTTGAGAAAAAAAATCTCAGAGGCAGTAGTTGCGCTTTTCTTCTTTTTTCTTTTCTTTCTTTTTTTTTTTTTAAAAGAAGAGCTGTGTCATCAGTGTTCCCAGGAGCATTGGGAACACGAATACTTTCACTAATTGATTGTGCTTATGTTTTACTTTTTATGTATGTATAGTAGTATTATATAAAAAATCTAGAGAACTGTATCAATAAGTGTAAGTTAATTTTACGTGATAAGAAACCATGGTACCAAACTTTAATTGCTCTCTCTTCTTTTTTGTTTTGGTGTTTCATGACTAATGGTGCATTTTATTCTCAGTGGCACTTAGACTCTGAAATATGGTAACTTGCTTCTTGCCCACTTAAAAATATTCATTATTTATTGGGTAAATGGAGCCAAGCTTTCTTTCTTAGAAGGCCTTCTTATAGGACATATTTTAAAATGAACTTTGAACTAATTTTACTCATTCTAGCTTTAAATAAAATTTATAAGAGATAGGTAAAACCTATGTTCTTGAAATGAAATTTTATTCTATTGTTTGGTACCACATAATGAAGTTAATCTTTTTCTCCAAAACAGTAAACTTTTAGTAAGGAGATAGGTTTTATTTTATTTTCTAATCATTTAATCTTACACTAGAATCGATAGCTAAAGCTTTTTTCCCCAATAAATTAACAGTTTACAGTAGTACCTTAGATATAGATTGGGAGGTATGCTGGTGTTATTAAAAAATCAGATGAACTCTATAAACACCCATTTGGAAAAATAGCTATTTTGACATCTTTCTTTTCTTTACTTTTTGGCTTTCTCAGTTTTGAAGCTACCCAATGTATTTTGAGTTTAAATTACATATATTGGTGAAAAAAAAAAGTTAACAGTATGTAGTCCATTGGTGATTTTCCAAATCCAAAAATTGATTTACCAGCAGGTACTATACAAAATTTCTTCACATCGCATTCAGCAAACAACTACTGAGATATTATGTTAGAATTTACAAAGATGAATAGAACACCACTGTCCCGCCTTCAGAGAACTTTCAATCTATTGTTGGCAAGTGATTGCGAGTTAAAGGTCTTGTTACCCCACTCTGGATTTGAGTGGTACTGGGGTTTAGAGTGTAAGAGCTTAAGTTTTGGGGTGTTTCTAGATCTGAGATTAAGTCCTGGTTCTGCTCCTTTGTCAGATTCTCCCTACTTTACCTCTCTGAGCCTGTTTCTTCTGTAGGGTTACTGTGAATACCTAGCACATTGTAGATGTTCAGTAAATGTTAGCTGGTGATAATGAGAATTATCACCTTGATAATTCTCATCTTCATTTCAGTGTTATGAAAGAACTTTGATTTTCATGTCAAATAGACCTGGCCAGATTTCAGTTCTGATGTTTATTAGGTGTGCGATACCACAGTGCCTACTGAATGGCTCTTCTTGACTTTCTTCTCATAGACATCTCAAATTGAACTTAGGATCATTCTCCTAATTTTGCTTATTCAACAGGGTTCCCCTCTTAGAGTTTCTTGTGCCAGAAACCTGGGAATTGTTCTCTTTTCCCTCCGTCTCTCTTGGTGTTTCTTCTGTCTTACATACTCACTCACCTTTCCCATTCAGTTCTATCATCTTATCTCAAGCCGGCTGACTTCCTTCTGCTCCCACGCTATCACCTGCATCAAGTCCTGCACCACTTCCCACTCAGGCTACTGTGGTTACCCAGCTAATCTTATATTTCATTTTGCCTAATTCCAGTCCATTCTCCACAGAACAGCTAGAGTTATGTTTGGAAGACACATGGGATCTTTTCGCTACCTTTTACTCCTTTTTGCTTAAAGCTTCTCAGGGGCTTCCTTTTATACCCGAATGAAGTCCTCAGTCCTTAGTGTGCCCCATGAGACCCTGTGTGACTTGGCACAAGCTTCCTTCTCTGGCCTTATTTCTTACCTCTGGCTCCCTTGTGCTCAGTGATCAACATATTGGGCTTCTGTTCTTTCTTCTTTTGACCCGCATTCCTTCCTGCCTCAAGTCTGCCTATAGTCAGTGCTGTTCCATCTGCCCAGACCACTTTCCTTTTCCCTACTTTTGCCTATCCAATTCCTTTGCATCCATCAAGGCTACTCGTGGGATAATTCCTGGGGAAGCCTTTTAATTCTTCTCAAAGTTGAATCTCTTTGTTAAGTATTTTTATAAAGCATGCTGTGCTTTTTCTTTTTTGCGTTTACCTCCCATTTAATGTTTTCCTTCCATACACTCTAGTTTTTTGACGGTATAGACTGTGTTTTATTCACTGCTCAGTTGTTCCCGAGTTTAGCACAGTACCTGAGACATAGTAAGTACACAATAAGTATCTGTTGAAAGGATGAGTAAATAAATGAGCATTACTTGCCTCATAGAGTTGATGTGAGACTTAAATTGGGACACAAAAGGTGTCTTACTGTATATTAGATAGCACACAGTGGGTTTGTAATATTCTCTTCTTTTCTTTTCTCCCTGCCCCCTGTATCGTAAGCGTTAAGAAAGGCCCACAAGTAGTTGCCAAACAATAGATTGTGACCTGCTGGTGGGTAATAAAACCAGTTTAATGGGTCTTGAAGTGAATTTTTAAAAATGAAATGGAATAAAATAGCAATTATCAGAGAAAATAACATATAGTAAGGACAGGTATAGTTTTCTGAAACTTTCTGTGTGTGAATGTGTTTATGTAGTAGGTGTCATATGTATCTTAATGTGGGCAATGGTTAAAAATTTTGAAAGCCACCATTGTAACAAATAGCTCAGTGTCATGTAGCCTTTAGGCAATCCTGTGTTTGAGTTAGTGCAGCTAAATGAGGATATATCCCATTTTTAAAGAAATGTAATTCTGCCTTTGCTGACTTAGTACAAGGTTCAGGGTCCTAGAATCCTCCTTAGTCGTAAATGCATCTACAAAAGCTCCTGTGATTACTAATTTCCCCCCTTCTATAGAGGCTGTATCCATTTCTAACCTGTGTATTTTCAAAGTAATTTTTACTTCTATATGTTGTATACCATGGCCTTTTCCACTATGTTGAAAAGATATCTTCAATATTGTTAATATTTAGTGTTGGGACACCTGTCTCATATAAAGTTTATAGTGATGGTAGTAACATTATATTGTGTTTATCATAAAGAAATTCTCTGATAGCTCAAATTATTGCTCTTATTAAATTTTATTGCTTTAGTGACTTTATAGGCTTTAGTATTATCAGTTTGATAGAAAGCCAGTGCTATACAGATATATAAAAACTCAGATTATATATGGGGACATAGAAAGCCAGACCCAGACAAAAGGAAGCCAAAGCGTCTAAGGATTAAGACAATAATAGTTATGATTGTGGTAGCTTGGTAAGTGATTTCATTTTTCAGTTAATTCTTTACATCAGGTTGGTAAACATTTGTGTTACTGAACTATGATTTTCTTCTTTAAGGCCAGTGGTCAGTTGAAAACCTTTGATGCTGTTGATTTTCTCAGCATTAATCATTGTTTTATACTCCAGTCTCCAAGGATGCATAAATTATAATAGCAACAAGGGGAGGGCTGGAGCCGGGTGGTTGCTGCTGCATTATTGTGTCCACAGGGATGGTATTTGTGTGCTTGTCCTCTGCATATTGTTGGACTGAGGAACTAGATCCTGTCCTCCGCAAAGCTGGAGACAACAATGAATTATAAACAGCATCAGAAAGCAGTGCTGTTAAGTGGTCTGTTTGAAACTGTTAGAGTTGATGGAGTAACATTATTCTGGGACTCTTATGAAATCTCATGAAAGCTTAGGTTGTCTCCTTTCTTATAGTTAATCTGTTTTGTAGACATTAATGGCAAATGTTCAAATAATACAGATTGTTACCTCTAATCCACCATAAGGAAAGATTGTGGTCAAGTCACATAATTCAGTTTTCACATTTTCTTACAACTGGTTTCTGTTAGCCATGACAGACTAGTAAGCTAGATGCTGTCGTATTCTTAGAACAGAAGCTACACAATGGTTTCTTGTTTATTCTTCACATAATTTTTTTTCATTTTGAAAATGACATTTATTTTGGAAAATTTAGAAAATAAAAAATGTAAGAGATATATATATAATTTTCCAACACTCAGATATTTCCTGTTACTTTATTATATTTCAGTCTATTGTCTATTTATATGTAAGAGAATACTGCATATTTTTTTCTGATGAATTTGAGATGAAATGAATATTTTTAGGGAAAATACACATTAGTCAAGTTAACTCAAAAAGAGATTTTAAAAAACTTACCTGGAACAATATTCATGGAAGAATTTGATAAAGTTGTCAAAACAGTATTCCTAAAAAGTTGCCAGTTCCAGATGGTTTAGCTTGTCAGTATTCACATCTTTGCAGATAATGCCTGTGCTATTCAAACTGTTCTAAAATATTTTTTCAATGGTATGCTTCTTCATTTTACTAAGTTGTAACCCAAATATGAAAATGTTAAGGCAAAAGGTAAGACAGAAAAGAAAGTGCAGGCTAGTCTTAATTATGACAAGGGAACTGACATGGATAAGCAGTGATTGCGCTATTGCTCCAATGATTTTTTGAAGCTCCACAAGAAAATCAATTTTGTGATATGAACAATTGCTATTACATTATTTGCTATGGATAAAAATGACATAAATTAAAACTTTAATCCTACAAAAGATGATCACATATAAGATATGGGAAATAACAATAAAAAAATTTAATTTTTAGTTGTCAGTACCAAAAAGAAAAAAAGTACCCCAAAACTCAGTGACTTAACACAACAATGATTTATTATCTCTCATGCTTCTGTGGATTGGCTGGGCTACCTTGGGTGGTTCTGCTCCATGAGATGTAAGCTGGGGTCAGTCATTCAGCAGGGAGCTCGCCATGTCCAAGATGAATTCAGCTCACACGTCTCATACTTCACCTGGGTGCCTGGAACAGTAGGACTCTGGTCTGGGCCTTTCATTGTCCATGTGGCCTCTCTGCATTCAGAAGTCCAGCCTGAGACACACAGCAGCCAGACCCTAAAAGGATGAAAGCAGAAGTTGCCAAGTCTCTAAAGGCCTATACCCAATAATGACTCGGCATAATTCCTGCTGTATTCCATGGTTCAAAGCAAGTCACGAAGTCAGCCCCCTTGAAGGATCCTGGAAACAGACTCCATGGCTTGATGGGAGAATTGGCATGTGCCATAGGGATGGGACTAAAGTTGGTGACATTTTTGAAGGCAACCTATCATACTGGCTTACATAGAACATTACTAAGCCTAAAGCCCTCTATGTGCCTCTTTCTGCCCTCTTTTTGTCCCTCACTTTTACCCCCAGATCATCACTGTCCCCTCTCAATATGTTTTTCCCTCCCAATATTGTTTCATCATTTTCTTGCTTTCCATTATTTCTTTTTTACCATATATGTAGGTATCTCCAAATAGTGTCATTTAGTTTTACATGATTGATATGCATTTATTTCTTAAAATTTTAAGTTTCAATTTAGAATAATTATTTATTTGAAGATTATTTATAAAATTCAGAAAAGTAAAAGAGAAAAATTAAAATATCTTCTAATCCCAGCTGGGCATGGTGGCTCACACCTGTAAGCCTAGCACTCTAGGATCCGAGGCTGGCTGATCACCTGAGGCCAGGAGTTTGAGACCAGCGTGGACAACATGGTGAAACCGTGTCTCTACTAAAAATACAAAACTTAGCCAGTCATGGTGGCATGCACCTGTAGTCCTAGCTACTTGCGAGGCCGAGGCAGGAGAATTGCTTGAACCCAGGAGGCAGAGGTTGCAGTGAGCCAAGATCGTGCCACTGAACTCTAGCCACTGAACCCCCACCTGGGCAACAGAGTGAGACCCTGTCTCAAAAATAAAAAAATAAAATATTTTTTAATCCCAGTCTTTAAGATATAATCATTGGTAATATTCTGGGATATGTTAATACCTGTGTACCCACCCCAGATTCATATCATGTATCTGTTGTTCTCTGAATCTCTTTCAGTGGCAAGGGCTATCACATTATCTGGATCTATAGTATTCAGTTTCTGAATTTTGGATTATACATAGCAAGAATTCCGATTTGTGAGGGATTCAGCCAAACATTTGACTCTGTTAGGATGGTGAGAGTTTGGATAGTGAAGGATACTTTTGTGTGTGTGCATGTGTTTGTATGGTGTGTAATGTTAAGAAAAGGAGGTAGAGTATTATATAGTAACATTCCTTTTAAAAATTTAGAAGGGAAAACAGTCTCAGTGGATTGTTGTTAAATACTCTGCAGTGTTCCAAAACTTTACTGTGCATGATAATCACCTGAAGAGCTTGTTGAAGCCCAGCTTCCTGGACCCCATGCCCAGAGATGGATTAAGTAGGTCTTGTGTGGGCCTAAGAATTTGTATTTTTAACAAGTTTGTAGGTGATGCTGACTTGCTGGCCTACGGATGACACTTTGAGAGCTTCTGTTCTATGATATGACTTTTAATGGATATATTGTGGTTTATCACATAAATGCATCATAATTCGTTTAATCAGTCCCTTATAAGACACTTAGTAGTCTAAATAGTTTTGTTATTACAGGTTGAACATCCCTAATCTAAAAATTTGAAATCCAAAATGCTCCAAAATGCTGCAGAATCTGAAGCCTTGTGGTGCTGACATGATGCCACAAATGGACGATTCCACACATGAGTACTTAACACAAACTTTGTTTCATGTGCAAAATTATTAAAAATATATGAAATTACCTTCAGGCTATGTGTGTAAGGTATGTACGAAATGTAAATGAATTTTGTGTTTAGACTTGGGTGCCATTCCAAGATCTCATTTTATATATATATATATATGTGTGTGTGTGTGTGTGTGTGTGTGTGTGTGTGTGTGTGTGTGTGTGTATATGTATGTATATATATGCCAATATTCCAAAATCCAAAAAAATCTGAAATCTGAATCACTTCTGATCTCAAGTGTTTCGGATAAGGGATACTCAACCTGTATTAACAATACTATAGGCCAGGTGCGGTGGCTCACGCCTGTAATCCCAGCACTTTGAGAGGCCTAGGCGGGCGGATCATAAGGTCAGGAGATCAAGACCATCCCTGCTAAAACGGTGAAACCCCGTCTGTACTAAAAATACAAAAAATTAGCCGGGTGTGGTGGCAGGCGCCTGTAGTCCCAGCTACTCGGGAGGCTGAGGCAGGAGAATGGTGTGAACCTGGGAGGCGGAGCTTGCAGTGAGCCGAGATCGCGCCACTGCATGCACTCCAGCCTGGGCGACAGCGAGACTCTGTCTCAAAACAAAACAAAACGAAAAACAATACTATAATGACCAATAAATTATACACATTTATTTGCATTTTCTTATAGTATATTTCTTTTCTTTTTTTTTTAACGGAGTCTCACTCTGTTGGTCAGGCTGGAGTGCAGTGGTGTGATGTCGGCTCACCGCAACTTCCGCCTCCCAGGTTTAAGCGATTCTCCTGCCTCAGCCTCCCAAGTAGCTGGGATTACAGGCGCCTGCCACCAAGCCTGGCTAATTTTTGTATTTTTAGTATAGAGGAGGTTTCACCTTGTTGGCCAGGCTGGTCTCGAATTCCTGACCTCAGGTGATCCACCCACCTCGGCCTCCCAAAGTACTGGGATTACAGGCATGAGCCACCACGCCCAGCCAGCATTTTCTATAGTATATTTCTAAAAGTTGAGTTACCTGGTCAAAGGGTTAGTACACATTTTTAAGATGTTTATAATGTAATACCTAATCATATTCCAGAGAGCTGTATCCTTTATATTCCAACTAGGAAAACATGAGAAATTTAAGTTAACGTTCTGAGGTCTCTGAGGGAAGTTTTCAAAAGGGGACTCCCAAAATAATTTAACATGTGCATTGGCTCATTAAGGTTATTATCTTGTGAGGGCAATACTCATTTGCATGTAAAAATTCTAATATATTAAAATGTTGGTTGCCTTATCTTACAGTTATACCTTGCACGTGGATGATTAACATTTTTAAGTGTTCAGATAAAAGTGTCTATTGTTTCCTTAAACCCCCCGGCGTGTGGACCAACACATTTATCTTTTTTAACCTCCTACAGTGAAATCCCACTGAAATTTTACATTGCCTATTGTAATTTGGTATAAAGATGAGTCATCTTTCATAGGGCTCAAAGCAGTTCTAGGGAAGGTAATAATCTCTGATCTTGAGGGACAAAGACTGGGTACAAATCTTTGTCCCTTTTCACTTATATTTTGACCATGGAGATCATCTAGGCTTTAAACCTCAATGTTACCATTGGGTAACATTACCATCGGGGTTACCATTGAGGTTATTATAGAGAGGTTGGGTATTACTGGAACAGAGTGTTATTTCCTTTTTGGAGCCCATGGAATTCTGCCAGGAAGTAACCTGCTTCCTCTGGCCTTGAGGAGGGACTGCAGATAAGAGACTAGTTAGCTGTCTACAGGTCCTTACCTTCTAGTGGCTGTATTTTTGCCCCTGAGAAGGTATAGGAATGGAGTTCGCCCTGGGACTGACAGGTACTACTGTCTGCATTTACAGTGCCTCTCTATTTTCCTCTTTTATGTATCTACTATGTTCCTTTAACCCTTTCAATGTAGTTTTTGGAGGACTTTATGAATTCTAAAGAATGTGAAAGAGCTTGGAAAGTTGTACAGAGTTTTGTGAATTCAAAATAACATTGCATTTGGTCCTATTCAAGGCACTATTGAAATGACTTACTCATTGGCCCTCAAGGGTAGTGTGAGAGGACCAGGTAATTATTTTTCCAAATTGATTTCTAATATTTGTTAGTGATCTCACAGATTTGTGTTCTTTCAAACATTCCCAATTTAAGAAAGGATCATATTATATTATAATAAGTTTGTAAAACACTATTTGGAAGTTGATTTATAAACCTCCCTTAAAACTTCATCCGCAGCATTTAACCTTTCTGGCTAGACCAGGAAGCCTATATCACCCATTTTATTGTGGGGAGAGCTTGGTGCAGATGAAAGTTTGAAATTTGGAATCATACAAACCTGAGATTAAATCCTCACTCTGACACTGAATAGATGTGTGACCTTGGGGAAATTAGTGAACTTGTAAGATTTGGTTTCAGCTGGGCGTGGTGGCTCATACCTATAACCCCAGGACTTTGGGATGCCAAGGCTGGCAGATCACTTGAACCCAGGAGTTCGAGACCAGCCTGACAAACATGGTGAAACCCCATCTCTACAAAAAAATACAAAAATTAGTTGGGTGTGGTGGCGCAAGCCTTTGGCCCCAGCTACTCAGGAGGCTAAAGTGGGAGGACCGCTTGAGCCCAGGAGGTCGAGGTTACAGTGAGCCAGGATTGTGCCACCGCACTCCAGCCTGGGTGACACAGTGAGACACTGTCTCAAAAAAAAAAAAAAAAAAAAAAAAAGTACAGTCACTTTGAGGGCCCAGTGCCAAATAGGTTCTTGATAATTGTTGTTTCTTTTTCTGCTTACTCTCTTTGAACATGTAGCTGTAAGTTTTCTGTTCTTTTTGAGTTATTATAGCAGTTGGGTTATGTTTTGCACAGACTTCTAGATTGTCCTGAAATACAAAATTACGGACACGTTTTAGCCTCCTCACATTGTAGAATGTTATACAATAAAGGAGAATACGGTCAGTTTGGAAAATTACATAGATCATAATGTGTATCTTCGGGAATTTTCTTAGAAAACGTGATTTTAATACGCTAAAACTATTTAGTTTTAAGTAATAAAGTAAATATTAAATTAATATTTTTACCCCTTCCTTTCTCAGCTATTAGAACTTAACTTATTGAGAATATCATTTTAAACAGTATTTCTTTGCAAATGTTATACTGCAAGTGCTATATAATTATCTTTCAGGCTGCAAATTTTTTGAAGGGGGCTTATTAGAAGTTATTTCTGGTCTGTAGCACAGTGGCTGTTTGCAGTGACTGACCTTCTGATCATTTTTGAGTAGAATTTGTTTAGTGTGTTAAAGTTGTTTCTAGTCATGTGAATTTACTGAGACAGTTATATGGTCAGATGTGTATTTTGCAGGGGGATGTCAGACTTTACACATTTGCTGATTAGTTAGGAATATTTCGTCTGCTGGTCAGTGGTTCCTGCTGATTTAAAAACAAAAGGTGCATCTGTAGACAGTGCTTAGATTGTATAAATTCAGTTGCATTAGCATCTGACACTGCAGGAGAGCAAATTATATCTTGAGCAAATAACTGTAAAGAATACAGCTGTTTGTGATATCTTTATTATGAAGGTACTGTTTTATTTCCACCCACAGTTTGAGTAAGATTTAATTTCCCGCCTAACCACATCGCTTTCTTTTCTAGTGAGATTTTGTCTTTGTAGGCTGAATTGTTTTTAGTTTTATATTTTAATGAAGAAGATTGTCAGCATTAGGAATTCCTTTAATTTCATTTGCTTTCAGCAAACATTGGAATTATTGTTAAACTCTCAAAACTATCATTCAATGAATAATATCTAATTATCAGTTGTAAAAACATTTTATTAATATTGATGCTATTCCAATGATTGCATCTTTAGCTTTCCTTGTTTAAGTATTTTTTAGGTAGCGTCACTTGGACACAGGAAACTAGAGTGCATTTTTCCATTAATAAAGAAGTGGTTGTTCTCTGATTTGATTGTTTGGATTGTGTGAATTGGAGAGTAATGTTTTTTTAGCATGACACTTTGAGAACTGCTACTTGGTTAGGATACTTTTGTTCCAAGGTCTCTTTGAGTCAGTTCCTATTAAAAGTGAAATGTGACAACCTATATAACAATGAGAATATTTGAACAATACAATACTTGTATTATTATTGTATGGCTTTGAGGAAAACCTCATACTGTGTCTAATTGAATTTATTATGCTTAATGAATTTTTTGAACCAAAGAGTACCTTTTTTGTTTACTTGACCATTGAGTTTGTTTTTAAGTATATATAAAATATGCTATAAAACATGTACAATGCTGAAAATTTGCAGCCTGAAAGATAATTATACAGCAGCTGCAGTATAACATTTGCAAAGAAATGCTGTTAAAAATGATATTCTCAATAAGTTAGGTTCCAATAGATGGCTGGATGAAGAAGGGGTAAAAATATTAAATTAACATTTGCTTTTATTAAGAGTTCCTGTGAATTTTTATAATAGAATTGATCACAATGAATTTATTTGGTAAATTATTAATGTCCGTGTTACATACCCTCTTAAGAATACCTTACAGTGTCATATTCAGAAACATATTATTAACTTAAAATGGTGTTCTTTTTCAAGAGAACAAAGAATTCAAATTTAGCTGGTTGATACTAGTTACATTATGTAAATTATGGTAAATGTAACATTATGTAAAAATCTGTAAGTAGTTATACAGGATTTATATCAGTAAAATAATTTTGGTTAGCTTATGCAAGAATATCACAATCAAATTTAGTGATGATTGCAGTAGTATCAGTTAGGCATTTCTCTTCTTAATGCTGTAACTATTGAGATAAGCGTCTTCCTAAGTGGCCCTTTTCTAAATCTAAGTTTTGGAAAGGAGTGGAAAACTGATGTGAGATTGTGAATTTTGAGGGCTAGGTAAAAAGTTTGTTTGTGAGTCTGCACGAAACTCTCTTAAAACTTGGTATCTTATGAGTATTAAAAAAGCTGGTAGAAATGTCTGTTTTACTTTTGCCTAATTTTTTTTACTTATTAGACAATCCAGTATCTGTTTGGATTCTTTGTGCTTTTCTTTGGATAATTGTGAACGCAGATCTTTTTTTTCGGGTCTAAGTAAAGCCGACTCAGTATATTCTGGTATGTTCTGTCCTACCAAATGTCATTAGTTATGACTTGTCATATTTAAGTATTAAATAGTACACCTTTTCCCTAATTTTTTTTTTTAGATGAGAAGGGCTTTGCCAGCTGCCCTTAGGAATTAGAAATAAAAAGGTTATCACCAGGCAATTCCTCTATTTGAGAGAGAATTTACTGGTCCTTTGGAAAAAAAAAAAGTCCTACTCACAGCCTTGATAAAAATAAATTACAAGTAGATTAAAGATGTACATTAAAAAGCAGAAGTTCATAGAAAATGTGAAAATATTTTTAGAAGTCTTACGAAAGGATTTCTTGACTAAGATGTAAAAAAGCACAAACAAAGCCAGATACAGTGGCTCACACCTGTAATCCCACATATTGGGAGGCTGAGACAGGAAGATTGCTTGAGTTCAGGAGTTCGAGACCAGCCTGGACAACATAGTGAGATCCCTGTCTCTACAGAAAACCAAAAAATTAGCTGAGACCACAGGTGCCTGTGGTGGTGTGCGCCTGTGGTCCCAGCTACTGGAGAGGCTGAGGTGGGAGGATCCCTTGAGTCTGGAGGTCAAGGCTGCAGTGAGCCATGATCATGCCACTGCCCTCCAGCCTGGAAGATAGAGTGAGACCCTTTCCAAAAACCACAAAGAAACATCACAAACCATGTTGAAAAAGACTTGACTCTTGATTTGAGTACACTAAAATCTGAAACTTTGGTATGGCAAAAAAGAACTATTAACAAAATAAAAAGACAATTATTAGATTGAAAATTTTTACAAGGCTTAGGATCCAGAATACATAAGGTACTCGAAAGAAAGAAATTTTTTAGATAGGCAAAAAATATTAGATGAAATAATAAAATAATAAATCCAAGTAGTTAAGAGTCATTTAAAAAGATTATGATTCTATCACTAAAATGAAGGAAATATAAATTAAAATCCTAAGAGAGTATTTTATACATGAGAGTGGCAGAAAATGTCAAAAATCAACCAGTACCAGTATTAATAAGAATGTGGAAGGGCAAAAACTCTTATGTGCTTTGATAATATCTAGTGAAGTGGAAGGTGCTCACGTTCTAGCAACCACTCATTCCACTCACTGTATATTGCAGTGAAATTCTCATTTGTGTACAAAGTGTCATATCAAGAATGTTCATAGCATCTTTTTTTTTTTGTAACTGAAAAATCCTTAAAACCTAAATGATCATCAACAGGGAAAAAATGGATAAATTGTGACTTATTAATATAGAATAAAGAATTATATAGCTGAATAGAAGAATTTTATAGCAATTAAAAGGAATGGATCCAATCTGCTTGAAGCAACATGAGTAATTCTCAAAAACATAATTTTGAATTAGAAAAACAGGCTAAAAGTACTATCTGCAAAATATCAGATATATAAATGTTAAAAATACAAAACAACTCTATTTTATCATGGGTGCATTTATATATATTAAACGTACAACAGTATGGATGGAAAGACTGCATGCCAACCTTAAAAAATGGTTACTTCTGGAAAGGGAAGGAGGAGGATAATGGGATAAGGGGTGGAAGGTGGTGCTTTAGCTATACCATATAGTGTAGATGTGTAGTAGACTGTATCATTCTAAGCTTGTTAAGTACACTCTATGATATTCACATAATGACAACATTGCCTAATGATGCATTTCTCAGGGTGCATTCTCATTGTTAAGTGACACATCACTGTATTTCAGAGGTCCAATTACAAATTATTAAAAAGGGCAACTTTCCATGTCATTTATAGTTCTAAATCACTTTATTTTAAAAATATATTGATGGATGTTTGGCAAAGAGGCAAACCCACAAACCTTTTTTATTTTTATTTTTGAGTTGGAGTCTTGCTCTGTCGCCCTGGCTGGAATGCAGTGGTGCGATCTCCGCTCACTGCAAGCTCCGCCTTCCAGGTTCACGCCGTTCTCCTGCCTCAGCCTCCCAAGTAGCTAGGACTACAGGCGCCCACCACCACGCCTGGCTAATTTTTTGTATGTTTAGTAGAGACGGGGTTTCACCATGTTAGCCACAATGGTCTTGATCTCCTGACCTTGTGATCTGCCCGCCTCAGCCTCCCAAAGTGCTGGGATTACAGGCATGAGCCACCATGCCCAGCCGTGGATGCTTTCTTGTAAGTGAAATTGGTGGATTATAAGGCATGGAAATTTAAAATTCATTCTATTTGTGCTGCAGAAAATTGTACCAAATTACTTTCCATCCAGCCATACTCTTAGTTATCAATTATAGGAGACTGCTTATTTCCCCAGATCCTTCAGTCTCCAGATGTTTCCCACACTTCTAACCTTTGCCAGTCTTATGGGGAAAAATGACATGAGTTATAAGATTATAAAACTTGAGCACCTATTTGCATCCCTTTTTTGGCATCTTTCAAGATGGTAAAGTGGTGGATCTGGCATTCCATCATTTTGAGAAATGTGTTCAACTTTGGAGGCTGTGAGTAGAAGAGAGCAGATTGAATGCATAACAGGGTCTAGTCCAGGCTTCAAGCAAGATGGATGAAAAGGTTCAGGGATTTGGCCGGGCGTGGTGGCTCACACCTGTAATCCCGGCACTTTGGGAGGCCGAGGTGGGTGCATCACCTGAGGTCAGGGGATCAAGACCAGCCTGGCCAACATGGTGAAACCCTGTCTCTACTAAATGTACAAAAATTAGCCGGGCGTGGTGGTAGGTGCCTGTAATTCTAGCTACTCAGGAGGCTGAGGCAGGAGAATCACTTGAACCCGGGAGGCAGAGGTTGCAGTGAGCCAAGATTGCACCACTGCACTCCAGCCTGGGTGACAAGAGCGAGACTTCATCTCAAAAAAAAAAAAAAAAAGGGATTTAAGTTCAAATTGAAATGTTGGCTTCCTAGGTAATTCTAGATCAAGTTTGTCCAACCCATGGCCTGGGGCTGTATGTGGCCCAGGATGGCTTTCAATGTGGCTTAACACAAATTTGTAAACTTTCTTAAAATATTAATAGTTTTTTTTTTCCTTTAGTTTATCAGCTTTCGTTAGTATGTTTGTTTTTTTTTTTTTTTTTTTTGTAGAGACATGGTTTTCACCATGTTGCTCAGGCTGGTCTCGATCTCTTGAGCTCAAGTGATCCTCCCTCCTCGGCCTCCCAAAATGCTGGGATTACAGGTGTGAGCCACCATTCCTGGCCTTTTCTTTCTCTTTTTAAAAACTTTGTTTGTGTACCTGCCTTCCCCAATACTGCACATTTCCTGTGTGCTCTGCTTCTCAAGCCCTGGCATCTCACCTGTCAGTCAGCATGGATGCAGAGTTCAGGCGCAAGAGACAGCCTGAGGAGTTCCACCCAGAAAAGAGTTGCCTTGCGACATGAAAGAGAGACATGATGGCCAACACCATGAGGCCAAAACATGAGATGATGGAGGAAATGCAAATTGAGGAGGAGAGATCTTTTAAGATAGAATTACCCCAGGCCAGTAATCTTTGTTATTCCATATAGGTTTTACTGGTCCTCAAAAAGGAGGTCTTTACAGAAATGCAGATTTTACATTAATAGCAAGAGGGAGGAAACCCCTCCAGATAATGAAGCGAAAATCATGAAGCAAAGTCAGGCAGACAGGACAAAAGGAGCCTTTAAAATTCTCATTGTTGACCAGACCGGTGGCTCCTGCCTAAATCCCAGCACTTTGGGAGGCTGAGGTAGGCGGATCACTTGATCAAGTTCAGGAGTTCGAGACCAGCCTGGCCGACGTGGTGAAACCCTGTCTCTAGTAAAAATACAGAAATTAGCTGGGCAGGGTGGTGCATGCCTGTAATCCCAGCTACTCTGGAGGCTGAGGCGCGAGAATTGCTGGAACTCAGGGGGTGGAGGTTGCAGTGATCCGAGATCATGCCACTGCACTACAGCCTGGGTGACAGAGCAAGAAGGCATAAATAGAATGACATTTAAGTAGCCACTGCTGCTTAAATTTAGAATTTTTCTCCATTGAAAAATCTTTAATAATTGTTTTCTTTCTTTTGTGAGAGGCTTGTTAATTCTACAGAGTGGTTAGCCACACAGAAAACCAGAAAGAAGTACTTTTCCTCAGGGCCATTTTCCTTTATAGGATACTTATAGGCATTGATGTTTTACCAAAGCAATGAGTTGTCTCAGGCTTTTAGATCATAGAATGATAGAATTTTAGAGTCAAAAAAACTCAGTAAACATTTTTAGTTTATATGTGAGAGAATTCAGGTTTAGAGATGTATTTAAGATCAGATAGTGGCAGAATCTAGGTCTGCTGATTTCCAGTCCAACATTTTAAGATTCATGCCAAATCTTTTAAATATTATAATGGCTATTGTGATTTTCTGAAAGCTTACTAAAAATGATTGTGTGCTATGAGTCTAATATTGTTCTAGGCATAGCAGATAGGAAGATAAATAAGTACTCGGAGGAACATGCAGGGGGCAGTGCATCAGTCATGGTCCAGCTGAAGATAATAGAAACCATCGTGCCGTTCCTTCTAGGTTTGTATCAGAAAAATGGGTTCCTCCTGTTGCCTCCTGTCTCCCCACATCCCTGAGCTTTCAGGTCTCACTAGGTGGATCTGACTGGCAGAACCTAAATCATACCCAGGATCTTAGTTGCAGGGGCTTTTTGGAAAATAGTTTGTAGCTTTCCAGCTTCTGTGATACTGGAGGGCCCACAGAATGTTGTGAGAGAGATAGAGTGAGCCAGTCTGCAGAATGCTTAGGGTTAACACATAGGACGGGCACTGAACCTGCCAGTGTGGGGTTGTTGGCTTGAGAGCTTTCACTGGGAAGTATTATAGAACCTGAGCTGAGACTAGAAGGATGGAGTTGAAGATGTCTCACCTTTTCTAAGGAACTTTGATGAGTGGATTCCTGTTGCTAGTTTTTTTATCAAGTCTGTATAACAGTAATTCTCAAAGTGTAGTCCCCCAGACCAGGGGCGTCAACATCACCTGGGAACTTAGAAATGAAAATTAGGCAGGGGGATTGCTTGATCTCAGGTGTTTGAGACCAGCCTGGGCAACATGGCAAAACCCTGCCTCTACAAAAAAATACAAATATTAGTCAGGCATAGTGGCGTTTGCCTGTAGGTCCAGCTACTTGGGAGGCTGAGGCGGGAGGATCATTTGAGCCCAGGAGTTTGAGGCTGCAGTGAACTGTGATCCTGCCACTGCATTGCAGCTTGGGTGACAGAGTGAGACTGTCTTAAAAAAAAAAAAAAAAGCAAATTATTGGATACTATTTTAGACTTACTGAAACAGAAACTGATCAAGCCCATCAGGTGACTTTGATGCATGCTAAAGGCTGATAACCTCTGCCATGTAAGCATAATGATTAAGATGATAGGTTTTTTGGTGTTTTTTTTGGTTTGTTTTTTGTTGGAGACGGAGTTTTGCTCTTGTCACCTAGGCTGGGGTACAATGGCATGATCTCAGCTCACTGCAACCTCTGACCCCCGAGTTCAAGCAATTCTCCTGCCTCAGCCTCCTGAGTAGTTGGGATTACAGGTGCCCACCACCACACCCGGCTAATTTTTGTATTTTTAGTAGAGACGTGGTTTCACCATGTTGGGCAGGCTGGTCTCGAACTCCTGACCTCAAGGGATCCTCCTGCCTTGGCCTCCCAAAGTGCTGGGCTTGCAGGTGTGAGCTACTGTGCCCGGCCAAGAATATAGGTTTTAAAGTTAAATCTGAGTTTGAATCTTAGCTTTTGCATTTACCATTGGTGTGATTATGAGCCAGGAATTTCATCTCTCCTGATCTTCTGGGGATAGCAACACTTACCTTGTAGAGTTACAGAGTTGTGAAGCTTAAGTGGCATGACATGGACTATGCTTATCACAGTGTGTGACACAGAATAGGCATTCCATGAAGTCTGTTGAAGGAGAGTTGGCTGGAGTGCCCCTGAATTAATCTATCCCAGGAAATTTAATAAGGGCAATTCAGATAGAATTCAATTCAGCAAACATGTATGGAAGGCAGCCTACTCTGTGCTGTGCACTGTGCTTGAAGTCTGTGGTGCCTTTATCTGTGGCAAGAGCACAGATGGTAAGGAGACATGGGTTCTGGTCATTGGAGTGGCTTATTTTACTTACTGGGGAGACAAGTACTTAAATGAAAGAATTAACAGTCGAAGACGAGAAATGATTAGGTGCATAATCAGGTGCTTAGTCATTTATTATGCTGCCAAAGTAGCGAATATTACAGAAGCTTAGGGAGGAGACCAGTCAAATGTGGGCTGACGTAGTCAGGGATGGATTCCTGGAAGAGGCAGATGGGGACATTATAAACTGTTGTAATGTAAATCTAATTTCCCAGGAACATATTTATTTGCAAAGTTCATTTAAAAAATTATGAATCTTATTAAAAATATAGAAAATTCAGAATATAAGGCCAAAAAAAATCACCAATAATCCTACAACTCACTCATGGCTAGATATTTTGATGAGTTAAATTTTAGTCTGGATTTAGAACATTAAAAAATGATAACTGCTATTACAGTATGATAAATCTTTGTATTTTGAGTTAATTCTTCATAATGCAATGATGTATTTCCACATGTTATGGTGATGTAAATATTGCATCACTTGAACTTATTAACACTCTTTCAATTTTTGCAATGATGCTTGAAAAAATTTTTAAAAAGTACCTACATTTCAGACTATTTCCTTCAGATAGATTTTAAGGTTTGGAATTACTAGGGTATAGAGTGAGGACATTGATAATGCTTTTGGTACATGTTGCCAAAAGAGGTATTTGAGAAGAAAGGGTATTACTCCCTTTATTCCTTCATTCCTTCTTTTTTTCATTCAGTATTTATATGCTAGGCCTTTTTCCAGGCGCTGGGGATACAGTAGTGAACAAAATAAGCGAAGATCCTTGCCTTTATAAAGTGTATAATTTAGGAGGGGAAAACAGATAATAAGTACAGGTTAAGCATTCCTAATCTGAAAATCCAAAATGCTCCAAAATCCAAAACTTCCTGAGTGCTGATGTGATGTCACAAGTTACTCTGAACATGTTATTTTTTCACTCTATTAACAGTATGTCAGGGCTGGGCACGGTGGCTCACACCTGTAATCCCAGCACTTTGGGAGACCGAGGCGGGCAGATCACCTGAGGTCAGGAGTTCGAGACCAACCTGGCCAATGTGGTGAAACCCCGTCTCTACTAAAAATGCAAATATTAGCTGGGCGTAGTGGCGGGCACCTGTAATCCCAACTACTCGGGGAGGCTGAGGCGGGAGAATCGCTTGAACCCAGGAGGCAGAGGTTGCGGTGAGCCAAGATCACGCCACTGCACTCCAGCCTCGGTGACAGAGCGAGACTCTGTCTCAATAAAACAACAAACAAACAGTATGTTGGCCGGGCATGGTGGCCATAATCCCAGCACTTTGGGAGGCTGAGGCGGGTGGATCCCTTGAGGTCAGGAGTTCAAGACCAGCCTGCCCAACATGGCAAAACCCCATCTCTACTGAAAATACAAAAATTAGCCAGGCATGGTGGCGGGTGCTTGTAATCCCAGCTACTTGGGAGGCTGAGGCAGGAGAATCACTTGAACCTGGAAGGTGGAGGTTGCAGTGAGGAGAGATAGTGCCACTGCACTCCAGCCTGGGTGATAGAGCGAGACTCCATCTGAAAACAAAAAACAACCCCCCAAAACCAGTATGTCATATTTTTTACTGTTAGGTACTTATATGTAAATAGGTACAAGAAAATAATTGCTTATTGGTAGCATATAAATTCACAGTTGGGAATGATGGTGATGCCAAACCACAGATTGTCCACATGGGTGGCTAAGACAGTGACATCTTTGCTTTCTGATGGTTAATTGTACAAACTTTGTTTAATGCACAAAATTATTAAAATAATATATAGGATGGTGCAGTGGCTCCCACCTGTAATCCCAGTGCTTTCGGAGGTCAAGGTGGGCAGGTCACTTGAGGTCAGGAGTTTGAGACCAGCCTGGCCAACACGATGAAACCCCGACTCTAATAATAATTCAAAAATTAGCTGGGCATGGTGGCAGGCGCCTGTAATCCCAACTACTCGGGAGGCTAAGGCAGGATAATCGCTTGAACCCAGGAGGCAGAAGTTGCAGTGAGCTGAGATCATGCCATTACAGTCCATCTTGGGTGACAGAGTGAGACTCTGTCTCAAAAAAAAAAAAAATTGTATAAATTACCTTCAGGCTATGTGTATATGGTATATATGAAATATAAATTTTGCATTTAGACTTGGGGCCCATCCTCAAGATATCTCATTATGTATATGAAATATTACAAAATCTGAAAAAACACTTCTAGTCCCAAGCATTTTGAAAAAGAGAAGCTACTCTACCTGTATATAATATGTTGCATGGTGAAATGCACTAAAGAGAAACATAACCCAGGAAAATGGAATGAGGAATGGTGGGGATAGGAAAATTATAAATTTAAATAAGGTGATTAGGGAAGGCCACATTGGGAAACTACCTTGTGAATAAAATCTGATAGCACATGCCTTATTCCTTGATATTTTATCAGACAGAGTGAATTGTGTGGGTATAAGCCATGAAGTGGAAGCATGGCATGCATGTTTGAGAAGCAGCAAGCAGACCAGCAAGGCGGGAACAAAGTTAGGAGAGGAGAGTTAGGAAGTGAGTGCAGAGGTATGCTGGTGAAGGGAGGACGTTGTAGAGGAGGCCCTGTATTGAGTTTTACAGGATTCCTCTAGATGCTATTTGAGAACAGACTACAGGAAATTGGAACCAGAAGCAGGAAAACCTGTTAGGAAGCTATTGGTAGTTAATCCAGGTGGAAAATGATGGTGGCTTAAATCAGGGTGTTAGTGGTGGAGATAGAGTGAAATGGTCAGAATTTGAATATATTTTGAAGATTTAGTTGGCAGGAGTGGCTGATACATTGGCTCTGGGATGTGAGAGAAAGATCAGGAGTTCCATTTTGGATATGTTAAATTTGAGACGTCAAGTGGAGATGTTGAGTAGACAGTTAGATAAATGAGTCTAGAATTGGAAGAGATAGGAGCTGGAGAAATAAATTTAAAATTGATAGTGCATATTTGAAGTGATGGGACTGAAAGAGGACCAGCAAAGGAAAGAAAGTCAAGTCCAAGGACTGAGTTCTGGAGCTCTTCAATAGGGAGAGATCAGCAAGGAGCCTGCAGAAGCCAGTGAGGCAGGAGAGTGGGATGCTTTGGAAGCCGCCTGAAGAAAGAAAGTGACTCCAGGAGTGTATTGGTCCATTTTCATGCTGCTATAAAGACATACCCGAGACTGGGCAATTTATAAAAGAAAGAGGTTTAATGAGACTTACAGTTCCACATGCCTGGGGAGGCCTCACAATCATGGTAGAAGGCAAGGAGGAACAAGTCACGTATTACATGGATGGCAGCAGGCAAAGACAGAGCTTGTGCATGGAAATTCCCATTTTTAAAACCATCAGATCTCATGAGACTCATTCACTATCACGAGAACATTGCAGGAAAGACCCACCCTTATAATTCAATCACCTTCCACGGGTTCCTCCCATAACATGTGGGAATTGCGGGAGTTACAATTCAAGATGAGATTTGGTTGGGGACACAGCCAAACTGTATCAAGGAAGAAGCAATCATGGGTGTGAAATTGTGCTTGTAGATCAAGACTAAAGATTGATAATTGATGTTAGCAGTAAAAGAAGGTCATTGGTGTGGCTGTTGGTATGTGAGTAGTTTCAGAGAAGCGGTGAGGTGAAAGCTTGGTTGTCATGGGTCCAAGAGAGTAGGAGGCGACAAAGTGGTGACTGTGGGTATAGACACTGTTTCAAAGAATATAGCTACAAAGAAAAGGAGAGAAATGGGGTGGTAGCTGTTGGAAAGTGGGCTTGACCTTTTAAGAAATATCTGTAGAAATAACAGCATGTTTCTATGCTGATGGGAAAGATCCTATAGAGAGGTAAAATGAATAAAACAGGAGGATTGGTGGAGCTCTGTCTGAGTTGGCAAGAGGGGATGGAGTCCTCTTTCACAAGTGGACAAAGGACCTTTGCAAGGGTCACGTAATAAGACGAAGGCAGAGTCTGTGGGGCAGAGGTGGTGGGAGAATAGAGGTGGTGGTGGGGCTTGTGGGAGTTCTCTTCTGATTCCTCTGTTTTCTCAGGGAAGTGGCCAGTAAGGGAATCAGTGGCAATTGAGGTTGGAGAAGATTTGAGGGAAGAGAAGAAAGTATAAAATAGTCACCAAGGAGAGAGAGAAAAAGAAAGTGAATGAATGAAGGAAAATGTGTTATAATTACTGAGTTGCATTAAAGCTCACTTACAGTTACTAACCACAGATTTAAGGTGAGATTAATCGGCATAGCTGTGTGTTTTTGTCCAGCCACATACCTTAAACTATAAGGTGTCAGGAGTTTCCAAGTATACATGAAACAGCTATGAAAATGGACCCCCTGTTAGCTATATGGGTGCAGGCGGGTAGTTGGATTTAACAATGACTGGAGTTTGCCAAGAGAGGATGACAAAGAGGCACAAGGCAGATGAGAATGTGTATAAAGGAACAGTTATAACAATAGAATTTAAGCTATGTAAGGAGAATCATGTAGACCTGAGGTGGATCAAAGGCAGTGAAAAGGGCTGAGTGTGGTGGCTCACGCCTATAATCCCAGCACTTTGGGAGGCTGAGGAGGGCAGATCACCTGAGGTTGGGAGTTAGAGACCAGCCTGACCAACACAGAGAAACCCCGACTCTACTAAAAGTACAAAATTAGCTGGGTGTGGTGGTGCCTGCCTGTAATCCCAGCTACTTGGGAGGCTGAGGCAGGAGAATCGCTTGAACCCGGGAGGCGAAGGTTGCGGTGAGCCGAGATCGCGCCATTGAACTCCAGCCTGGGCAACAAGCGTGAAACTCTGTGTCAAAAAAAAAAAAAAGGCAGTAGTGAAAAGATGGATAGAGTATATGCCCCTGTGGAATAGAAGAAGGAAGAGTGCTACAGGGGTTGAATGGAAAGAGAGAAGGTGGATCATGGTTGGAGACTGAGATGCTTGAAATTTGCAATTACTAAGGGGATTTCAATTATTGGTAGTGGTAGAGTTTAGGGTGTGACCGTAGGAGTAGAGGGTGAGATTGTTGTGGGAGTGGTGTTAGAGTGAGTGGCAATGCAGTATGATCCCCAAGAGTCAAGGATGAGGAATAACCCTGGAATTAGTAGGTGACAACAAAGCAGAATGGTGGTGGTGGTGTTGGTGTGGTAGGGAGGAGGGCATGGTCTGGTGACCAGAGGTTAAAATCTAGGGTTTTGGAGAGTAAGGAAGGTGAATGGCCTGTAAGTGGCTCTAATGAACAGAGGCCATCTATCCCACCTCCAGGCCAGTGGGCGGAGAGGTAGGGAAGAAACATCCAACTCTTGAAAGGACCCCAGAGGAAGTGAGCATTCGGTTGCAGTAAGAAGGTAAGGATGTAAAGGGAGCTTAGAAGAGGTTGCAAGTTTTGCTTCTGGCTGACCAGGAGTGCCAAAAGCAAGTTAGTTTTGTGAGTTGGGGAGCCATAGACGTGAGTGTGCCAGTTTTGCTGTTCCTGTGGCAACCTCATTAAAAATTCAGTGTACTTTTGATGGAAGACATAGTTCTTTGTCTTTTGAATTTTTAAAAAGTGTTGGTATGATTGACTGTTAATTCATGTAAGAATATACAATTGGTCACATTTATGAGTGATGCCTAAGTGCATCTTTTGAAAGATTTGGATAGTGGGAAGATGAGAAAGGTGAATAGAGCATGTCAAGTTTTGTGGGAAAGTTAAATGATTAAGCTGGCCAGGTTTAGGGATTTATATTTAAGACACAGATATGAAATTGGCTGGGTTGGTCTTAATGTCTGCACTAAGGATTGTAGGCTGTTAGGATAGCTTTACTACATAAAGTTCTTAAAACATTAAAAATGGTAAAGGTCCTCAAAAAATTAATGTAGAATTATTATATGATCCAGTAATTTGACTTGTGGATATATATGCAAAAGAAGTGAAAGCAGGGACCTGAATAGACATTTGCACATGCATGTTCATAGCAGCATTATTCACAATAGCCAAAAGGTGGAAATAACCCATATGTCCATTGATGGAATAATAAGCAATGTGGTATCTACATACAATGGAATGTTACTCATCTGTGAAAAGGAAGGGAATTGTGACACATGCGACATCATGAATGAACCCTGAAGACATCATGCTAAGTGATTCCACTTATATCATGTAACTAGACTATTCAAATTCATAGAGACAGAAAGTAGATTGGTGGTTGCCAGGGGCTGGGAGAAGGAGATAATGAAGAGTTGGTGTTTAATGGGTTCAAGGTTTCAGTTGGGGAAGATGAGAAATTTCTGGAGATGGATAGTGGTGATTGTGGCACAACAATGTGAATGTACTCAATGTCACAACATGGTACTTAAAGATGGTCAAAATAGTAAATTGTATGTATATTTTACTACAACAACAAAAGTCTCAAAGGACATAGGCACTGCTTCTCTAATGGTACAGATAAGGGCTAGGCAGCAGTGGCTTGTTCCCTGGAAGCAGGGTGGAGTGGGGAAGACAGGATTTTGGTATAAGGAAGGCTCTGTTTGATGGGCATGTGCTTCCCCTGCAGAGATGTCCGCATTGTCTCTCCTGTATGAATGGGAACTCCAGCATTGGGGTTCTCATTGTGGTTTAGAACACACGATGAGAACATGTTTTCTTAAGTAGGAAGACATTTTCTCTGTGTTTTTATTTACTCTATTTGTTTAGCAATTTTTTTTCATAGATGAGATAAGGATAACTCTAGCCTTCAAAATTATTCTAAGTTTTTAATATGAATTCATCTTTTAAATATTGTATTTACTAGTTGAATAGAGTGCCAGTTACTTTGGAGTCATTTTATTTATATCCTGAACTTGGCAGAGGACTATAAATAAAGAAATTGGAAAGCTGTCATTCATAATCCGCTAAGGCCTGTTTCATGAAAACATGTTGTAGTTATTTGTCCAGATGTATTCTTATTGTTGAGTCACAGTAATGACTAGAAGACAGATCAACAGGAGGATGTAAATAAATAAAGCCAAAAAGAAAAGCCAGTGTTGGATTCTTTGGGGCCTGATGGATTCAGGCTGAATCCCAGCTCTGTTACTTAACTCTGAATTTGTTCATTGTGAGCCTCACTCTTCTTATTTATTAAATAGAGAGCTTCTACTTACCTGGAAGAGTCATTTTGATGAAATAGGATAAAAATTAAGCCACCTATGGCAATGGTATACCTAAGAGGTAGCTGGTAGTATTATAATTGTTACTGCAAAAATGTTTAGTGGGACTCTTCCTGAAACCCAGTATGCAAACTTAGAAAGCAAAGGAATTAGCAGAAGGGTCCTTCAATTTATACAGATTCACCTCAGGGTTTCTGTAAATCTGGGGGAGTCCCTTGTGTATTT
Organism: Homo sapiens; assembly: GCF_000001405.40. Classification (NCBI taxonomy): domain Eukaryota; kingdom Metazoa; phylum Chordata; class Mammalia; order Primates; family Hominidae; genus Homo; species Homo sapiens. Next base: position 123,800,179 of record NC_000009.12, on the reverse strand, counting down.
GATGTTTACAGATCATTAGCAAAACAGATGCCAGGAGGCGAATAAACTGTAGCTTAAAGATTTTGGAACTACTGACAATGTAGAGAAAATCAGTTTCTGATAAAGTTATAGTGTTTCTAAGTAAGCAGTAGAAGGCAATGGGAAAATTTTAATTGGGTTTATAAAAGTTTATTTCAGGAACACATGTATTTCCAATTTGAGGCACACCTATACATCTGTAGTCATTGAATTTATAGTGCTTGCTTATTTCTCCATTGGGGTTAATAATATAACAACAACTAATATTTATTGTGTGCTTACGACATGTCAGTGTGATCTTTAGGAAGTCTGTAGCATTCAAAGGCTTGTTTTCATTTGGATATTTGGAAATTGGCCTTTTATCCACTTGGAGACACAGGGTGTTTAATGAGTTCATTTTGTTCTATTAATTCTATTACACTCCAAATATTTGTTCGGTATTTATAACAGTTAAGACATTTTGTAGGAGACAAAGTTAAGTAAGACATGGAACTTGGCCTCATAACAGACCTATTCACTATATTGTATATGCTTCAGAAGTGGGCGTGCCGTGTTATGGGATGAGCCCTGATCTAGTCCTGGACTCTACCCCTGGCTCTACTACTTCTTCGTGGAACCTTTTTCTGCCCCCTTAGGACAAGGCCAGATGCCCCTGTGCTGATTAACTCCTAGTATCACACTTACCAAGCCCCATGGTACCTGCTTGTTTAATTCTGTGTGTTCTCCATTAGGGCTAGACTGTAAACTCCTGGAGGGTGAGGACTGTGTCTTATTTATCAACAGGGCCAGCCACAGCAGAGCATTTGTTCCACGAGTGACTACTAATTTTCTAACTTTGGACAAGTGATAACCTATTGCTTTAACTATGATAAAATTGATTTGATAGTCTCTATAGCATAGCTTTGTCAGGAAGGTAAAATCAGAAAATTTCTCTAAAATGCCTGTCACAGTGCCTGGCAAATAGTGGGTGTTCCATCAAATAGTTTTTTTATATTTGAATAAATAAGTTATCTCTTTTCACCAAATTTGACACATATGATACATCTATTTATGAAGACCATATGGAGTGATGTCATATTTGTAATACATAAAGGGCACAGCTGTCGTTTAGGCAAAGTATAAAGTAATTATTCATATTGGCATAAAAATGTGACACTTCAGGTTACTCATTCAAAAAAGTGGGATAAAATGAATCCTAACTCATAGAGAAATTACATGGAAGCCTGAGATTATAATCATAAAAAAACTCATCTATAATTATCTATCAATTTGATAGATTTTAGGAATTGTTTCCAATAATTTTGAAGTAATTTTAAAAAATTCCAAATATTTAAATTTAAGTAATAATGAAAGTTGAAAACTAAGATATTCAGTAGAGAAAAAGGTAAATGTAAGTGAACATATCCTTTTGATTTTTTTTTTTTTTTTTTTTTTTTGCCTCCAGCACACCCTACCCTTCCTTTTGCATTTTAAAGCTCCCTTTGGAATTTCACTTATGTTTGATTTTTGGATTCACATAGCATAAATTTGTTTAAGGATCAGACTTATATTCCTTTTGTAGATGAAGTTATAAAAAATATTTCAAACTATCAGTAAGTAGTGGCATTTGCTGGTTAAAATCCTTCCATATTCTCCAGAAAGAAAGATGAAACTCCCTAGATTTTACTGTATAATGTCAATGGACTCATTATTTGTACAACAGCTGATGTATTTAGGACTTGTTGATTCACTTAATTGGTAACTGTACTACATTCATAACTTCAACAACTGAAAACAATAGGTCAGTGTCTGCTGTTTATGCATAAATAGTCACATCGGAGCAGGATATGTCTGAATGGCAGAATATGTTAGTCTGAGGAGGAATCTGGCATGTGAATGGCTCCATTGCTTGCCATACTGAGGTGGGTTTTTGCTGTCTTTCCTTGAATAATGTTATTTGTGTTTTTATTATGGGTGTTGATGGTTAACTGTTCCTATGTTATCAGGCTGGCTGCTGTGAAATTGCATTTGATTATACTTTAAATGCCAGTGTTGGGGGAAAATGGTAGACTAGACTCATGGTTAAAAATTGGGATGATTTAAAGTTTTTATGTCTTACAGCCTTCATGTGCTAAAGCAAAAAGTTACACCTAGAATAGATTTTTTTTAAATAACAAATTTCATTTGTACGTGGAATCCAAATAAATGTTCATTTATAGTCCTTCAAAATGATTTTTTTTCTAATTTATGAATTAGACGTCTTTCAAATTTTAGAGTCAAATCTGCATTTTAGAATCAGTATTTTTTGAAAAGAGTAATTTTTAATTAAAAAAATTCAAAAGGAAAAACAACCTAAACCTTTTTGTTTCATTGTCAAAAAAAGGAAAACATGCTGGTGATTTTTAAACTCTGTAAAACATTTCAAACATTCTTTTCAAAAATATATTATTTGTAACAAGTAAATTTTAACAATCGAACAATATAATTTACTAGAATAATTGTGTTTAGTTATTACAAAATGCTAACCTAATGAGTCAGGTATTTTACAATGTAAAATAAATGAAGCTGAGTTTTTATAGCTATAGTAAGTTTACTAGTGTCCTTGAAACGCTATATTTAATGCAGTCCAGTTTGCGGTCATCTTATCAAGAAACTTTAATTTTGCATAATACAAAAAAATTTTCTTCTTGAGGATTAAAAGAAAGCTTATTTCTGGGTGTATTTTGGGGAAAATTTGAGCTTGTTCTCAAACTATACAACTTCTTAGACTATTTTCTGAAAGTCTGCATTTTTAGTGTATAAAATTTGGAAATGTCATTAGTGAAAGAGCAGTGTAGTGGACTGTTATCCTGTTTGCAGCATATTCCCATCTTCTCATCTGGAAAATTAAATCTGATTACAGCTTGGATTAACATTTATGGTTGTGGGGAGAGGAAGATAGTATCTCAAACTCCATGAAATTGAACAATGAGATTATATGGTGTATAGCTAATGTTAAAGTCCTGCTTCTTAAAGGGCAGAATTTGTAATTGTAAGCTTTAAATATGTTCAATATTTTGTCTCTTATTGATTGAAATATCCTAGAGATAATGATTGGGTAAATTCAGCGGGCATTAAATGTAATGTTTTCTGCCTTGAATACCTAACATGTTAAAAGTGAAAGCAGTGTAGATTCCCGTGTTAACTGCTACATTTGCAGTTTCTCTTAAATTTCCTAAAAGAGGTCCTATTATAGGAGATGATGGCGTTTGGTTAGTATGCAGTTGTTAACGTGTTTTGTACAAAGTGAAGTCGGTGTATTTTTTAATCAGTTTAAAAATATGTCATGCCTTGACTCTTTAAATGAAGTCATTGGTATGACAGAGGGAAACAGGAAAATAATTTGGTAAGATGTGTGTGTGTGTGTGTGTGTGTGTGTGTGTGTGTATGTACACATAGGAGTTACCAATGTACAAATGAGCCCTCATACGTAACCACAGCACTTTTATGAATTATTTTGCATTTCTGTTGTAAAAGATCTGTCTACCACGTTTTCTAGGAACTTTAAGCCTAAGGCAGAACTCAGGGTTTTTGGAGCCTGTGTAAAATAATTTATAGCACCTTTCCAGTAAGTCTTGCACACACTCTTATTCTATTAATTAAACATTCTGTAGCAATCTGGTATATCTTAAAGATTTAAAAGTATGTATAGTAGAAGACTGGAAAACATAGACTGTTGAGATGGAAGAAGATTAGCCTTTCTTAAAAGAAAAAATGTTAGACATGTTTGTTTAGGAGATCAGTTTTTTCCTGCTGTGAAGACATAGCTTTTTAAGCATGGTCATGTTCTGTGCCTGAGTGAGATTGTGCTTTTGGGAGTCCTATACTGTGAAATGTGTGTGTTCAAATATGGAAATGCTTCTTGTGGCCTTCAGTGAAAGTGATACACACTTTTCTGTGGGGACAGCCTCTTTGATGGCCATGGTGCTGTGACATCACAATGACATGATACGAAACCTTGTCTGAGAGCTACCTGCCTCTTTGGTTAAGAGATGCATGGACTCTATTAGGGCGTACATATTATTAGCAAGATATTTTAAATACAATATTTTTTTCCTGTTGAAAAGTATTTTCCTGGGAGTTGATGACATTGATTTTTAAGTTTGTGAGTTATCTATTGTCTGAAGTAGGAGAAAGTTGTTGAGAGAAAAGGATAAGGAAAGAAGGGTGTGCTATGTACCACTAGATTCTTAATTTTCTGTCAGCAGGACAATTCTTGGGTAAAAGCTTGACATACGCTGATTATTCTTACTGCCAATCGCCTAAGCAAATTATGTTACTTTCTTCCATGGTAGTACTCTTCCCTGCAGATTTTTGTGTTGAAAGTTAGCTGTTTGATAACACTGCATTTGATGATGAACTTATGAATGTGAGAAGGTGTTTTGGAACGTTAGCAATTATAGCATTGAGTGGTGGATAAAGAAATAGATATATAAATATTAGACCGATGCACAGTTTTCCAGTGTATGTTATTTTCCATATAAAGATATAGAACATTTCATAAAATGTTCCCAGACCATTTAAAACTCAAAGAAATGCAGCTGACGCAATGAAATACATAGAGTACTTGTAAAAACATACAGACACGCAAGTGGATTGCTGCCAGACAGAAAATTTAAAGGCGGTTTGCTTAACTGCAGGGTGCTAGGTTTTGTACATGTGCCATGCTGAAACTGTTAGTAAGGCGGGTGTTGTGTTGCTTGAGAAAAGCAGATTGTATTTGGACCTTTTTAACTCAGATGTTTCCAATGTCGATATTTTGGTGACATTATGGCATTGCGATTGACTCAATGTGAAAAAAGATTTCAGCCTCCTGTGTTAGACATTTTAAGAAAATTCAAATAAATTATTTGCAGTTTTTGTGTTAATCTTTCCAAAATGGCTTTCGTAGTTTTATGAACTATCGGACTGAATCTTTGAGCTAATTGAATGGAACTTGATAGGTTGACTTGGTTTTAAAAAGCATTGCTTTTCTTTCTTTTTAAAAATGTATTATATTGCTTTGGTGAATGTTAAAGACCTATGAAGTTTGTTTTTTGTAAATGTTAGTGGCCTTAATGAAAAGAAACCAAGAGTTGTATACTTGAATCATAGTAACTAATAATGCATGTATTCTCTTGGAACGTTATTGTGTTAAAACCTGGTAATTTCATTGTAGAGAGTCTTAGGACAATTGAAGGAATCTAATTGATGGCGTTTATATTGCTTTCCATTGAGGCAGTATTGGGAATGATACAGTTTGAATGGCCTCCTTCTTGGCATTCCATGGTCATCTTTATCTTCAATGTGTTAAGATAGGTTGATTTTTTTTCTTTTCATTAATTTTCCCATGCTTTTTTCAATGCTATGTTGTATATATTAATCAAAAATATTTTTTAAATGAGTTTATTATGGTTTCTTATTAATATAGTTGACTGAAAAGATTTAAGAAGCATCTGCCACCTAGGAATAAGAATGGTATTTTTAAAAATTGAAGAATATACTACAAATTTTGGTTTCGGACATATAGTCTTTCACAAAATGGTGATAGAAAAGTAGTCTTTGGTTTTGTTTTCATGGGTATTTTGTAGTTCCCAAGAAGCACAAATTACTGCAAGAAAGAGGGCATGATAGTAACGATTGGCATGAAAGTAATTTTTGTATGAAGTTTGGTAGCTGAAGAATAAGTGTTAAACCACATGTCAATTGGAAGAAAAAGAATAAGCCTTAGATGATTTAGTGGCTTTCCCAGCCTCTGTTTTATTATGTCCCTCAGTGGCTTAGAGCTACATTTTTTGGGTCTCTGGACCAAATTTTAAGTTCTGTATGTATGTTTTAGGGATTATAGCCACTGCTCTTTTTTAGGCCCCTTGTTCCCCGTTGTTCACCCCCTTTCCCCTCACTGTACACTGGTAGAGGATTCTTGGGCAACAGGCTGCCCCTTTGTCTCCTGCTGGCGAATTCTTCTCCGCCAGCCTAGTCCTTTTCCTGCCACACTCTTGGTGCCCGCTGGCCTCCTCTCTCACGAGGGCTGAGTCCTTGGGCAGTTTCAGTCCTTCAGGCCAAAGACAGGTCAAGTGAAGAAACTGCTGCCTATCAGGGAAGCCCTGAGTTGGTACTGCAGGGGCATTACTCCAGAGTTCTCTAGTCGGTCTAGGCACATCATTGATTCCTTCCCAGTAGTTGAAGACGAGGGTGAAGAAAGAAATTGATTCCCAGCTTTTAAGTCAAGCAAAATACACGTCAAGAGTTGAAATCACTTGCAGATAGTTTCAACTTTTTTGCACCACTCATTTCGAGAGGCTCTACTTTTGGCATAACCTTTTGAATATTCCTGCTTTTATTATTAGTCTTGTGTTTTAAAAAATAATACACATTGGTTTTAATGACTTGAAAACTGGTATTTCTAGGATCCTAGTAGTTTGTGAATAGGCCCTTAGTTTTTTCCCTTCTTGATTATTCACTGAAGAAATGGACTGCAGTGAACTTTTACGTGGATTCATTTTCACAAGGATGTAAATTAGTGTTTTAGTATGGTGTTTAAAGGTAGCCATGGGTAGCATATATTGTGACCACTGTTAGACGGGAGACCCTCAAATCTATGATTTTCCATAAGCCTTTGAATTGATACATGATTTCTCAAATAGATATTATTCTGACCTCTGATCACTTCCCTTAACATGTCTCAAAGGAATCAAATCTTTTCCTTATTAGAAATGATTGAATGTTTTCCTAATCGATAGTAAATGGAATGCTAATAGCTTTTAATTTGTTCACTTCTGTATTGACTTACAGAAGATGGCATTGGATCATCTTGCTTATGATTTAAGAATAAAGTGATCCCTTTAGTAACTCCATTTTAAATAGGTGATCATGAAAGGTATTTTCTGCCATGTATTTGTATAGTTTCTGAGCAAGTTTAATTATGTCAGCTGGAACATAATTTTTTCATATTTTGTTTACACTGACAAGCCAAAAGCGTTGGTCCTCTTTTGAAGAAAACTTCCATCCAGTTTTATCTGCATTTTCATAAGAGTGTACAAGCATTTTGAGAAGGATATATTTCATTTATTAAAGCGATGAGTTTTGCATTTATTCCTTGAAAGAATTCTCTCACTCCCCCTTTCTCCCCAGTCTGAAACCAGTGCTTAAGGTGGTTTATCAAGCCCACATCTGTAACTATGCAAAGGAGGCTTCTGATTAGAGAAGAAAAGTCAAGCAGATTTAAGACTCATTTTCTCTGGAAAAATATATTGAGGGCAATTTGCAGCTGGCAAGATTTTTGCATTAGGTAATAGTCTAAAGTTAACAGTAGCATCAGGTCTTTAAAATTTTTCTTTTTTATATTTCTGGAGGAGGGTAATGGGAGTGCCTTGCCGAGTCCTTCCTTGTGCTCATCAACATAGCAGCCTCAGCTGCCCCCCTTGGATCCCCTGCCAGGGCTGCTATCATCTTCTGATCAAATATTAATGTGTGATCCTCTGCTTGCTCACTAATCCAAAGCCAATTAATATTATCTGTCAATTATTTACAGATCCTGAGGTGCAGAGGCAATTCCCGGAGGACTACAGTGACCAGGTTCGGAATGCGTAATTAATTTTTTACATGACAAAATTTATTTCAGAGTTGTTCAACATATTATTACTGTTCTTTTTACTGAAAGAGATAAATGAATTTTTAGAAGGGAAGAAAAGCAGTAATTAGGAACCAAAGACAAAAAGTAAAACGTATTGAAGTAGGACTGAAAATATTGGTGCTAGATTTGGGGTGTTTCCTTCAGGGAGAAAATGAACACAAAATAAGGAAGAAAACCTATCACAAATTTTACTCTTCACTTTGAGGTTTGCTACAGTCTACACTTCATTAGGAAATCCTTTTTGCATTGCCTGTGAACTTTTTAAAAAAATGCTATTTCAGGAGTCAAGAAGCAGTGTAACAAAAAAGAGGGAAGAGGGAAGTTTATAACATTTCCTGGAATTTGAAATAGATGATGAAATTATGTGTTATGGTAGTATTGGAAGGAGAAGATGCACGTGCAGAAATGGACTTAAGGGTGAGGGTGGTGCTGATGAGGATAGTGAGTTAAGGTTGGCCAGTTGGCTCTACCATCTTGAATTGACAGCATTCTGCAAGCATAGAATGGGGTAGAAGGAACGATTTTACTCACAAGATAGTGCTGAAGTTCTGATGTTGCTGTATTTTTTATAATTAGTTCTAGGTTATACATTCAGGATTCTAGTTTCTATCTTGAGAGATATTGAAGATGTTTTGTAGCTTTTTTGGGGCACCTTACATTTTTAGTTCAAATATGCAATTTGGTATACTTTTTAAAGCAGCTTTGAAATAAAAGCATTCTTGATTACACTGAATAAGACAACTTTATAAAACCTTTCACATGTGAAATACCATATACAGTAAAAGCATCTTCCTTAAGCACATCTATTTAATTTTTTTATTAAAAGTCTTTGAATGAGGATAAGTACAATAGAATAGAAATACCCAGTACAGTGATAGTAACACCTTTGCAGTGTGTCTTGTTGTATAGAGAGCAAGGTATCTGATACATCTTTATGAATAAAGGGGACATAATGTGACCAGGAATAGAACTGGATAATCAGTATAATGAGATGCTTTGTAATGAGATCTTATAGTACAAGAACCCAAGAGAACTGGTATGGTTTGCTTTGTGTTTGATCTCAAGACTTTTAAATAAGATTTTAAAAAATATTAAAATCTTCTGACTCTGTCTCTTGCTTCATCTTCTACTAGGAGAGTTAAATTTTTATTTTATCTTAAATTTCTATGAGATTGGGCTCTTTAGATTCAAACTACGCAATCCAAGGATTATAGGACCTTTTCATTAATGAATTTCCTTTCTTTAGACAATATATAAAGGCTGGAAAATCTTAACGTATTATTTAGAATACACTTGAGTCCACAGATTTTAACAAAATTATTGTTCTAAAGTCTTGTGTCTAGGTAAATAACCTTTGTAGTTCCATGATCTGAATTCTCAGTGAGAGGGAATTTTATAGGAGAAACTTAAAATAGCATAGTTACCATCTGGGTCTATTCCGTTCAACATAGTTTCTTACTATATCTGAAAGTTTTTGAACAACATGATTTCTTTTTTAGTATAACTTTAAAAAACTGCATGGGTAATATGTTCATGACAAAACATGTAGAAACTATAGATAAAGCAAAAATAAATTTACAAAAGAATGAAAAGAAAGAAAATACAAATCATCAGTTATTATACTGCACAGAGATAACCACTGTAACAATTTGGTGTTTAGCTTTCCATGTTTATTTCCCTGAGTACACATAGAAGTTTGTGCGTTTAAGGAGAGTGTATGTGTACGTATATGCATACACATGTACTATTCTTGCATATGTGTGTACTGAGAGAAATATAGGCTATTATCAATTCCATCATTGTATACAGAGCTCAGTTGACTGATTAGATATTATCTTATGAACGTAATTCTCTTTGCTTTAGTTAATGGATGGTCTTACAAGTATTTCATATATTGAAGTTGGAATTATTAGAATTATAGTAGGAACCTAAATAATAATGATAGCTTTAGTTATTTTAAAGGTGCGCATAGTATAGTAGTATTTGTTTTCTTTGTTGAAATCATTGACATCGTTTTGAAATTTGGAGAATGGTCCTCATGGACCAGAGGTAGACTTATAAGAGTGCACACAACTCAGCCTCACTTAGCAGAGATTTATTTATCTCTTCCAACTTGACACATACGATTTCCTTTTTTTTTTCGCCTCCTATAACCCAAGAAATGATTAATGAAGGATCTACTTTGTTTTGTAGACATTATCTTCAAATTCCCAGAAATATGTTTGAGAGTTGTATCTACTGGGAAAGAAAGTGAGAACTGTGTGTTTTTTAATTTATCTTTTTATCATTTAGGTTGTAATCTTAGTTTTTTCTCCTTCACATTTGTTAAATTATCTTTTCCTACAGTAAAACTATTATAAAGGAATTCTTAGAAATATTTCTATTACATACAAACCTTAAATGCTGAATATGCACTTAATCTCGACAACATTTCTAGTATTAAAACATTTATGATGTAATCCTTAAGGAATATTTGAGATAATTCACCACAAAGTATAGCACTTATTACCACACAGACACACAGACACACACACACACACACACAAATTCCCCCTCCCCCAGTTTTTCTCATTCGCCTAAACTACCAGTGCTTGTTTTTACATATAGTGTATTTCCCATGTACCAGCACATTGATCAGAGACGCTTGCTGCTGCTAGATGTTTTATTCTGTGTGTTCTTTGTACCTTACAGTAAAAGAATCTGTCACAAATTATTGTGGCTCACTGCTTTAGAAACTGAGAAAAAAGGGAGGTTAGATTGACATCTGTGACTGAATAATGATGACCAGCCTTTTGGCTCTCCTTGAGCCACAAAGCTAGCACTGCCTTTAGAGTGGAAAAAGAAGTAAGAAGAAAGGGGAGGGATAAAAGAGAGTTACAAATCTGTGGTCCCGGAGATGTATTACTGTTGGGCCAGTTGTCTGCGTGGGATGATAATCCATTTTGATCTTCTCTGTCTTAATTGTCTGCTAAAGACAAATGGGCAGTAAAAGTTCATCAGTTTCATCTTTTTGCTTCTCGTTTAGAAGCAGAATAAATGATCCATCACTACAGAAGAAGCCTTTCTTTCTGTCACGGAAGTAATGCAGACCCAACACGTTTTATTAAAATGTTTTCCCCTCATTATTTCAGTCCTCTCAGCTCTGATAGATCTTACTGTTTCATAAAAAATGTAATCTGAAATGTAAATAAGGGTCTCGATACAGAAGGAAGAAGTAATGAGCAGCCTGATTGTAATTACTGACAAAGTGATTTCTCTGTGCCCCATTTTTTTTCCTCCTTAAGTTGTCTGTGACACCCTCAGACCACAATGACATCTATGGTTTAAAACCATTAAATCACTGTAGCACTCAATATTTCATTTAAAATCTGGTAAGCCTGCTATCTTTAAACCTGGAAATACAGGCTTTGTTAATTCCTGAAAGTCATGCGTTGCCTATATTTTTTTTAAAAGAAAAAAAAAAAAACAAGGCAAAAGCAGGGGTTTTTCAGAGTTCATATTATTTATTCATCTGCTTTTGTTTAATGCTTAGCTAGTTTAAATACTAAAACATCAACATTGGTAGGATCCTGACTTGAAAAGAATCCTGTATTTTTGAAAAATTTTAATAACAGCTTACTTATGAAATTTTCTTAAATTCTATCTCCCTTAACTGTAATATGACGTAGTCTAAAATGTCTTTTTAGGGTTAAGATTACTAAATTACAGTGTAAGTTTTCAGTTACTTTGGATTTGCATAGCTTGGACTAGATTCTTTTCAGTCTCTTACTGTAACTTTAGGTAATGTGGCTCTTAATAAAAGCCAATTGGAAAATTTTGTTAAAGGACTGAAGCACAATAATAATGTATTTCTTTCATTTCTAGAAATTGGTTTCTCAAATATATCATGTCAATCAGACATTAAAAGTAAGAAAAAAATGAATAGCTTTCCCTGCTGAAAATAGTCTTGTAGTTAATTAAGTGGGTTTATAATTATTCTATTATGTTTACTGTGTTCATTCATAGTTATGGAAATAATTGGTAAAACTTTACTTATTGTGATTAGTTCAGTTTTAATGAATACTAATTGAATTAAAGGAGAAAAGAATGGTTAAATTAACATGTTAGCAAATTATGGTCACCACTCTCATCAAAATCCCATCTTTGGTCTCAAAACATTATATGATTTTTTCAGATTAAAAAACATGAGCCTTTATTAATTACAATATTTAGTATGGGATGGTTTGAAATTAAGAGATAATAACCTATCGGAGAGATTTCCATAAATAGTCTTGTAATGTGTCAAGTATAATAGGTATTACACATACCGTTTTGAAATGTATTAGTTATAATATGATTACTTCTTATACGAAAACACGTAGAATTAATAATTTGTCCTCACAATTGTACTTTCATAGCCTGTTTTTTCTAAGAGTGGCAATTAGAGTTGAGTGTGCTAAAAGTTGCTTCTCCAGTGTGCTCATCCACACTTTGATGGAATACAGTGAGCCTCTTAGAGCCCTTTAAAGAGTGGTCCAGGCACAGTTACCTACCCCTGTATATGTAGATTGCTGTTTAGAGTTGCAGGTAATTTTTCTTTCCACTGGCACTGAAACAGAGTGTTATAATGAAACCAACAATCTTTATGCGTTTATAGAAACTATAACAATTTTATGGAAATCTTTATATAGAAACTAACAGTGTTTCTTGTACAAGCTCTATAAGCAATGTAGAAACATGGCACATTGGGAAAAATTAAAAGGTGCCCTTTCTCTTAAGGTTTTATATTGCCTATGTGATTTCAAAATTTCACTATAGGCAGTTAAACAAATTATAAAAACATATACCAACTATATACTAAAAAGGAACAAAAATATGTTGCATAACTCAGGCTAATTGTGATGGAAATTGGCATTTCTGAGTTGCATGTAATTGCTTAAATATGGAGTTTTCATCTGTTCATGCTTGAGGTATGCTCCATGCAAAACATTTCTTAAGCTTATAGTTATTCACAATATAACCAATGTAAATCAGCTGGAAGATTCTGATTAGAGAGACGGTAGAGATAATATTTAAACAAGACTTGCAACTTGTATGTTGAAGATTGCCTTGTTCTTTTGGTGAGAGCTCCTGTGTATGAAAACTTTCATGTTACTTTCTTCAAAATTTTGATAAGCCAGAGATAAAACATTTCTATTGTAAAACTTACTCATGCCCTGATTCATTGAAAGAATACTATTTCATAAGAAAATTATAGATATAATCTAGTTCCTAAATTTTTGTTACTATGAAAAGAAGCCACATTATACCAACATTGTATGACACAAATGTATAATATTTACAGGAAGTATAAAACAAATGATAAATTTTGATTTTTTTTGCATCATTATTAGGCAGAGAAACATAAGAAGCAGTGTGGTGTATAAAATGTGACTTTGATTCCACAAAGGTTCTGCCAGTCTTTCGACAGTGGCTTGTTTAAACCATGGGTCTTCACATTGGAATTGAGATTTTGGGTTTGTGGTCCTTGGGGCCTTGTATTCACCAAGCTCACAAAGAATGGAATTGAACTTGGGTGTATCCCATTTCTCTTGGAAACTTTTGAGCTTTCTTGTTTTTTTTTTAATTCTTTTCCAAAGTGGGTGTTGTCATGCTTCCAGTACTCGCAGGTTCTCTTCAAACTAGATCCACTTTAAATGGTGAGGTCACCTTTGATCTTGGAAACTTTTTATAGCACTATATACCATGGAACAGAATTTGTAAATTCATTTGACTCTCATCCAAAGGACTTATATAAGGGTCAAATGGATCACATTTTAAAATGGTTCTATAATCTGGTCTTAAAAAGAGCAACTTATGGTTACAAGTGATGATATGTTCTGATTCTTTTTTCATCATATCTGTGTTTGGCAGCAGAAACAGTCTAGGAGACTAGGTCTGATTTTGTATATTAATTGAGAGATTGCTGAGTGTACTATCTGCAGACTTTGAGCCAGACAACGTAGCAGGTAAAGAGGAGGAGAGAAGTAGATTCCGTCTCTCCCTTGAAGGAACTTACTGCCTAGTAGGCTATAGAGTAATGCATGTCTAGGATGTTTTGTGGAATAATGGCATGGCCACAACACTTGAAAGTGGGAATGTCTCTGAAAACTAGAACCCTTGGGTGGTGCTGCCATGATCACATTCCTGCAATTTCTTGTTCTCTGTCACATGAAGCCGTAGAAGTTAGTAGAGTTAAGTGGTATAGAGAAGCAAGTGGAAAGTCTTGGAGCTGCCCTTAAAGGTCACCTTTTAGGTTGTTTTAGATATGTGCATTTCTTTCTTTCTTTTTTTTTTTTGAGACAGTCTTGCTCTGTTGCCTAGACTGGAGTACAATGGCACAATCTCAGATCACTGCCAACCTCCACCTCCTAGGTTCAAGCAATTCTTATGTCTCAGCCTCCCGAGTAGCTGGAATTACAAGTGTGTGCCAACATACTCTGCTAATTTTTGTGTTTTTAGTAGAGATGGGGTTTCATCATGTTGACCAGGCTGGTCTCCATCTCCTGACCTCAGGTGATCCTCACACCTTGGCCTCCTGAAGTGCTAAGATTTCAGGTGTAAGCCGCAGTGCCTGGCCAGATGTGTGCTTTTCTAAGAGTCACTGTTGATTCTTGGGTTTTTCAACCTCTTGCCCAAAAGGCTCACTTTCCGTATTTCTTAGTAACTTGGCAGTCTGGAAACGTAGGTGGAAATGTAATTTTTTCATCTGCAGGTATAAACTCTCAATCTCTTTAGACTATTCGGCCTAAGAGCTGATTGTTAGCATGATAGCCACAGGGTGCTCTGCTGAAGCGGGTTTCTTGAAGTGGATATCAGTATTTGTGAATGCCACCAAATGTAGCTGTTCTGAAGGACTGCATTACAGATTTCTAAGGTTCATTGATAGATTACAGATGTAGAAATACATCCCAGCTTAAATATCTGCTTCTTTTGTATATGTTTAAAAGTGTCCCATTGTTGACAATTAGCTAGTTTAAATGTTTTCTAAGTATAGGTTCATAGATAGGTAAAAAAAAATAGTCTATCACAGGTTGCCTCTTATTTTTCCCCGTGTTGTTACTAGTAAAATATATCACCTTGGACAAATGTCAAGGTGCTTTTTAAAGTGTTTGCTGAAGAAAAAACACTTTTTTGTTTGGTTTTGTGTTTTAGAGTTGGGGTCTCATCTCAGTCTGTCACCCAGGCTGGAGTGCAGTGGTGCAATCATAGCTCACTGTATCCTCAAACATCTGGACTGGTCTCAGGCAATTCTCCTACCTCAGCCTCCCGAGTAGCTGGGACTTCGGGGTGTGTACCACCATGCTGCCTAATTTAAAAAAAAAATCTTTTTTTAGAGACGGGGGTCTTACTATGTTGCCCAGGATGACCTTCAACTCCTGGCCTCAAGCAATCCTCTTCCCTCAGCCTCCCAAAGTGCTGGGATTCCATGCTCAGCCTCAGAAAAACTACTTTGTATATAAGAGGTACTATTCAGTAATGTCCATATGCTGAGTTTTTGTCCATTTCCAGAGAAGGGTGAATTTAAGAATGGGATGGGGTTGAACTGACATCTTAACGAAAGTATATTTCAACCTTAAACATTTAGCCAAACTCAATTGAAAAATTGAGACATTTTCTGACTTAAGGCTCTTCTTTTAAGTTGAAGATTTCTTCCCAATTTGGTCACTCCCCAGCTGTTACAGTTATGTAGAAGGAACTCATTAAAAAGACAAATTCTTTTTGAGCCATTCTTTCTGAAAGCACGCCAAGCTATACAGCTATGTTGTACTACTACTTATTTGAATCTGACTCCAGGAAATGGTAATTATGCAATCCTTACTTACACATTCTTATGAGAATGTTCTCTTGGGTTTATTCTGGATCCCAAAAAGCCCCACTAAATTTTTGTCTGTTGAGTACTATTGGATGGTCTTGTTTCTAGTAAGTTATGCTATGATTAAAACTAAATGGACCAAGTCTGCTTTTGAGAGAGGCAGTCTCTGTTTTCTCTTAGCCTCATAGAATCAGTCCCGGTTGCTCCTTGGACACACCTACAAGTCCTGTTCATTATTTTTCCTAAACTGCTCTCTAGTCTGTCCTATTCTTCTGTTTCCCTCTGCATTCACACTCAAAGCTTCTCTCACATGGACTCTTCCTAATGGTCTACAAGCCAGTGACGCTACAATCACCACCCTCTCTAAGATGGCCGGAGATGACTTTCTAAAACCTAAATCAAATCACATAACTTCTCTTTAGTCAAAACTCTTGATGGTTCCCTGGTACCTTAAAGATCAACTCCAAATCTCTTAACTTGGATTTAAGGCTGGTCACAGTCTGACTTTGACCCAGCCTCTAGTCTTGTCTCCTGCCGCCTCCCCTTACAGCCCAGACATAGGATGCCTCATCATTTCCCAGCTTGCTTGGCTTTTCCTCTCCTGTATATTTTTTGTCCAAACTGGCTTTTGGTTGAAATATTTTTCTCCTTGCTGTCCTGCAACTCCTACCTCAGTATACTTCTGTTTATACACCTTGTCTCACCTTCTCTGTGAAACTTGCCCTGATGAAATTAGTCACTTCAGCCTTAGCTTTTAGGCAGCAATGGGAGGATCCACGCCTATGTCGTCTTGCTTGTATATCTGTGTCTTCATCAATCTGTGAACGCTTCAAATGTAGAAATGGCTATGGCCAATGTTACAGACCCCTTTGAGCAGCTAGGACAGATTGGGGGCTCAGTGAACAACATGAGGTATGTGATACACAGATGTAATTGCTCAAGAGTTAAGATTCCAGAAAGAGTGCAGAGGAATGATTGTGGTGATTAAGAGCTTGGACTTTGGAGTGAGACTGCTAGGGTCTGAATCCTGGCTCTGCCATTTACAGGGGTTTACCACTTGGGGATTTGATTTCCTCATCTAGAAAGTAGAGATAGTCATAGTAACTACCTTGTAGGATAGCTATGAGGGTGTCATGATTTAAAATGTGTGAAGTGCTTAGAATAACACCTGACACCAAATCATAACCAATAATTATGTCGTGTCTCCTATTACTGGGCATAGATTTAAGTAAGGCAGCAAAGTAACCTGGTTTTGGTGCCTTTGTCAGGTGTTAGGGTTGTGTATGATAACCTTTGCCTCTAGAATTTCAGACTGATCCAGGAAGGATTCTGGAAATGCCTCCCTTTCTAAACCCACACTGTTTCAGAACAAAATTTAGAGAAGTCACAAAGGTAAAAGTGAATATTTTGTCAAGTAAGGATGAAGAGACATAATCAGAAACAATTCCTGAATATTTATGTTCTAAAATGTACTGAAAATATAAAAACCCTTTAAATGGTGATGAAGGGGTTTCAGATAATTACTTTTTATTTATTTTATTCCAGTTGTGAAATCTATATGTTGAGATTCCCATGTTCAAAACTTCAGAAATTTAGTAATGGGACCACTGTCCTTGTAAATGAGCCCTTTTGGTTGTGTGTAGTATTTTGTATTACTGCGGTAGCTTTCATTTTTCAAATATTTATATACAGTACAGTAAAGATTCCTCTGACTATTATAATTTTCAACTGTGTAACTTCAGTCAGTTTCAGATTTCAGAAGTGGTATAACATGAAGCCCAGACTGTGGGCCTGAATATATGTATGTATGTGTATGTGAGCGGGGGGAGCTGGGGGTTGGTAGGTAGAAATGAAAAGGTGTTTGTAAAATGAGAATCTCTTAAAATTGATTTATCAAAGATTATTTACATAAATTGTGTGATATAATGTTGTTTCACAGTGCTTTTATCCCTGGAATATTCTTATCTAGGTTGTTTGTCTAGAAGATACTAATTGGTTTTTCAAAAGTTAGTTCAAATGCCACCTCCTTTGAGGAATCTTTTACATCCCCCAGGTAGATTTCTATCAGAAAACCTAAACCACTTTATACTTGTTTACCTGTCCTCTCCCTTTCCCAGGCAGGAAGTCAGAGATTCTTGCCGGCTTCGTGTCCAGATCTCTAGGACCTGGTAACTAACTGTGCATGGCTGTTAGGAGGCCAAGTATTTAATATATAATAAGTGACTGAATAGTCTTCACACTGTAATCTTTGGGCTCAGAATTTAAGCTAGGTAGGACAAACCAAGACATACCTTTATTAAATCCCATTTTACCTAGAGAGGCTTAACCAGATGTGTTTATGATTCTCATATTTGAGTGTATATCAGACATGATGCCTCTTTGTGTAGTATCTAGTTTTAGCGGTATAACTTGTAAAGCGTTGAGAACATTTTTTATCAGAGCACTCTTCCAACCTGCCAGATACTTATCATTTCTGGAGATCTAAACCCCTGGCAAATTGAGAAATAGCTTTCAGATTTAATGGCAGCTAGAAATACTTTTTATTATTCATGTATTATTTATGTCTTAAGAAATATCCCCTACCCCTTAAAATATTACATTTTTATTTTTATTATTATTTTTTTTTAGACAGAGTCTTACCCAGTCACCCAGGCTAATGTACAGTGGTGTGATCTTGGCTCACTGCAACCTCTGTCTCCCAGGTTCAAGCGATTCTTCTTCCTCATCCTCCTGAGTAGCTGGGACTACAGGCATGTGTCACCACGCCTGGCTAATTTTTGAATTTTTAGTAGAGACAGGGTTTTGCCATGTTGCCCAGACAGGTCTTGAACTCCTGACCTCAGGTGATCCACCCACCTTGGCCTCCCAAAGTGCTGGGATTATAGGCATGAGTCACCGTGCTCGGCCTTTTTTTAAATAAAATGTTTAACTCAAAGAAAAGTTAGGAGGCAAATATCCCCATGTTATATGAGATTTGACTTTTGATATGACACTTTGGGCAAAGACTACATTTTTTGGCTTCATCTTTTTCATCTGTAAAATGAAAAAGTATTAATAATACTAACTTTGTAGAATTGGCAGGAAAAGTAGCCATAATGTTTACATAATACCTGAATTCATCTAGTTTAATAAATGTTTTCTGATGTAGTATGAGGAAGAAGAAGTTTGATGCTTCTGTGTAATTGATGATGTCTGATATTGTATCTACATCCCAGAATGTAGACAAGTCCTTCCTGTAGATAAAGAGCCTGAAGTCCAGTGATAAAACCTCACTATTTTAGCACCACTCTCCAGTTTCTCATCACAAGGCAGATGAAACAACTGTTTATTATTTTATTGCCCTCCAGACAAGCCATGGTTTCCCCTCTAAGATTCTGGTGGCCATAGCATCCAATCCAGGATACTTTTGAGACTGAAAGGGAGCACTGTGACTACACAGAAATCGTGGGCATAACTGGGATGTCCTGGGCAAACTGGCAGGTGAGGTTACCCTACCCTAAGGCCCTTCAACAGAACAGCACAAACATTTCACTCTATTCCTGCAAGTTGGAAGTGAGGTTGGAGAAAGGCTTTATCTGCATTCAACATGGAGGGCTAGTACTGCACAAAATCTTAGCTGTGTGAATGCCTGTGACCCTGGAGACAGAATGCTAATCAAGATTCTCAATCTCCATCCTTTAGTAGAGAGGTAGGCAAGTTACTTCACCAGTCTACCTGAAACTAATTTAACTTAGTTTTCAAGGTGCATTCCATCGATAGGAGGATAATATCTGCATAAAATTAGTGGTAGGATCACTGGGTATGTAACACTTCTAGCAAGACCTGACACATAGTAGTTGCTTTATCAGTCCCTTTCCACTTGTTACTTAACCCCCTCACCCACAGCCGCCCCAAGAAAAGATAACCATTGGTAGATGAGGAACCAAATAAAGTCTAAATAGGTTAGTTCCACAATCAGAAGAAACTCCTATAGGTCAATTTAGATACTTTATATATATAATTCATGTTATTAGGCAAAAATGGTAAACCTTTGACAAAAATGTGATATTACATTTATACAAACTTTAATAGTCTTCCCCATTCCTTTCATTTTCAATGTCAAGAATAAATATTTAAAGTTTGATTCTCTGATCAATTCAAGTCTGTGCTTTGGCCCATGTGGTCTCACTGCTTCCTATGAGGATTAAACAAGGAGGCATGTAGACTTTAGCACAGTGCATGGCAATAGTAAGTGCTCAGTCAATGCTATTTCTTCCCTTCTTAATCCGATCTATCATCCAATCATTTTTTTCAGCACCATCATTCACTGGATGTTTCCTCTGTGCCAGATACTCTGGGGAACACTGGTAATGAGTGTAACCCCCATCATTCTTAACTCATTCTAGAGATAATGGTCAATTTGATGATAGGAATTATAGACACAGGACAGGATTCTGGGGTGTCAACTTGGGAGAGGCGAGAAGCTCACTGAGAATAGCCTCTAAGTCCTCCTGGGGTCCGGAACATGTGGGGTGGACGGAGGGTTAGAAAGTCTTGTGCAAGACTGGGCATGGTGGCTCACGCCTGTAATCCCAGTACTTTGGGACGCTGAGGCAGGCAGATCACTTGACGTCAGGAGTTCGAGACTAGCCTGGCCAACATGGCGAAACCCTGTCTCTACTAAAAATACAAAAATTAGCTGGCGTGGTGGGGGGGCGCCTGTAATCCCAGCTACTCAGGAGGCTGAGCAGGAAAATCGGTTGAACCCTGGGTTGCAGTGAGCCGAGATCTCGCCACTGCACTCCAGCCTGGGTGACAGAGCGAGACTCCGTCTCAAAAAAAAGTCTCATGCAAGTGGAATGTGAAAGGATCTAATCCATGATCTGGCCCCTGCCACCCTGTCTAGTCTCCTCTGTTCCAGAATACCAGGCTGCTTTTCAGTTCCTTGAATGTGCCAAGGAGCAGAAGTGGGTGAATCGCTTGAGTTCAGGAGTTCTAGGTCAGCCTGAGCAACATGGCAAAACCCCACCTCTACCAAAAATACAAAAATTAGCCAAGCGTGGTAGTCCGCGCCTATGGTCTCAGGTACTCAGGAGGCTGAGGTGAGAGGACTGCTTGAGCCCAGGAGGCAGAGATTGCAGTGAGCCAAGATTGCACCACTTCCCTCCAGCATGGGCAACACAGTGAGACCCTGTTTTGTTTTGTATTTTACAAAACAGAACAAAAAAGAATAGGAACCCGGAGCTGGAGAGGTAGTTCAGAAGTGAACACTTGAATTTGAGAGTCATTTACCTTGTGCTGTTAATTGAAACTAAGGTATAGGTAAACTGCTAATAGAGGAGGACGCAGAGAGAGAAGGAGAAAGATAAAGTCCTGGAAAGGAGTTGAGAAGGGGCCCAGAAATAGAGCAGTGAGAGAGGCAGGAGGAGGCCCTTCTGTAGTCTTCATCTAATGGAACGTCATTGGACAAGCAATGTGTTTTGAGTGAGTGGGGAGTAGAGCACCAGAAAAGGCTTTCTGCTCTTTCAATATTGCTTTAAAAATATTCTAAGCCAAACAAACCCCAAATTGAAGAGCTCTCCATTATCCATAGAGCATGAATTCATTTATCTGTCAAGAAAACCCATGGACCTTACCTATAGAAATGAACTATATTGATCTAAGAATTGTCTCTATGAAGAGTCCATGCCACAAAACAGTTGTGAGTTTTGGATGGTGGAAACATGTTTTATTTTTAATTATTTATACTTTAAACATTTTTTTAAAAATAGCATATTTGTATGCGGTAGGCATTTGGTCATTTGGCAACAATCACATTTGAATCGTTGAATTACCAGAGAACCAACATGACTGGCATTGGCATTTTACCTTTTAGGATTTCTGAATTTGGGTTTTTGGGTGTTGGTGAGTTTGTTTGGGTTATGCGGTGTGGCCAGGCTCCTTAACACTCTAGATCGGGTTTGGCAGACTATAGCCTGAAGCCAGCTGGTCACATCCTGCCCGGGGCTGGATTTTGTATGGCCTATGAGGTAAGAAGGTTTTTTACCCTTGTTAAGGATTGTTAAAAAAACAAACAAGAACATGTGACAGAGACCATAAGTGGCCCGCAAAGCCTAAAATATTTACAATCTGGCCCTTTTGAGAAAAGTTTGCCGGCTCCTTCCTTAGGTTATAAGTTACACATGAAAGGAATCCAAAATTTCATAGGATAAGCTCAAACTGATGACTTCAATTCCAGAATGTCTTAACACTTTGAAAGAGTGACTTACCTGTTGAATCAGGAGAACACATTTTTGGTGGTGAAATGAAGACTTGATCGAAAGACTGCCTTGTATGATTTGACAGTACAGTCAGATGGTAAAAGAACTTCTGTACTGTATGATGTTTCAGAATAGTTCTGTAAAGTGTCTGAATGTACTCTGGTACCACTGTTGTGTTTAATTTGTCCGAGGCAGCCTCAGGTAAACACTAGAATCTGTTGCAGCAAGATATGCAAAGTAAAATGAAATATGTATGTGAGATTGTATTATTTTATTGTATTTTGCTGGACTTCTGAAGGGACTTTTTTTTCTACTTGCAAAAAATTAAAACCCTTGAGTGTTAGATGTTAGAAAACTTTTTGAATTATATAATTTCTTTATTTCAGTAGTGTTTCATATCACCTCCTTCTGTCTTTGTAATGAAATGTCATCAATCTGTTCTGAGCATAATTTTTTTCAGTTCTGAATCCTCCTTATCCTCCTTATATCTTCCTATTCTTTCTATCAGAATCTGCAAGTTGTAGGAAATAAAAGTTGATTTGAAACAGTTCTGTAACACTAAACAGATGACTGTTTAGTGAGACGTTCTAATCAATTGCTAAATAATTCTCTCTCAAAAGCAGATTTGATATTTACATTTTGATTTTCATATTCTGCTCACAGTGTTTGTTGACGGTGGCTAACATTCCCTGCCACTGGATAAATAAAGCCTATTATTTCCTTTTCAACATTTTAGGCTATTATTCTCATACAAGAGCTAATAAGCAGAAGGTTAGGTATATTACCAAACTATGATCCTGTCTATCAGAAGAAACCAGGAACCTTGATTAATATGCCTTGTTAACTGATGATTTCAGTTCCATATTGGTAGTGCTAGAATAATTTGTATAAACCAAGCAGTACAGATTCCTTATTTTAGCACTAAGACTTACAAAAGCTTCTTTTAGCAGCCTTTAATTTTGTACTTATGTATGTGACATAGCCTGTGGCTGTGATAGCTACTGTGAAGCTGCAGTTGTTTTGGGATGAAAGGAAGAGGCAGCTGGAAACTCGGTAGCTACATCTAGCTGTCTACCTAGAGAAGGCCTTGATTTCAAGTTTATCTAAACAAGCTCGACTAATCCCAACTATCTAGGGGGATCCACTGTCAAAACAAGCAGCGTGGCCCTGAGGCAAACACAGCTATACAGAAATGAAGGCTGGGGCTTCCAATACTCCAATGACTGCATACTGGAGGCCTTTTTCCCCCCTGAAAGAGGGTAAGAGAGGTAGAATTTGCATAATGCCTTTTCATTGGAAACTTTTGGAAAGCTGACAGACCTTCAGCTTATAGATCTGTAGCCACAATACAGAGTCTATAGGAGAATCCTTGAATGACCTAACCATATTGAAAGAAAATATAAAAGCGTCCAAGTATAGCCAAGTGAGAGAGGAAAAGAGGCTGATGCATTGTCTAACATCTGCTGTACTTCTCGTTAGTTTTGTTCTTTGCTATTCTGTGTGGACTTTGGAGAAGCCTAAGACAGCCTAACATGAATCCTATAATCTTCCTTCTGAATATTTATGTAGCGTGCCAGCTTCTAAGCTGTCCTTTGCGTTTTCCTACTTCCCCCTCATTTTCATGCTCTCAAATGAGGCCAACATTTCAAAAGCTAAATAAATGTTTGTGAATGTTTATAAAAGATTTGCATAAATTTGTCCTTGTCTGACAAAGATCACTTTTTTCTTATGCCAGTTCTGAAAAAAAATTTTTTTAAGGTTTTGGTGCTTGTCTTGACAACAGAGTCCTGCATCCCAGAACAATGATTGCTGATTAAGTGGGTATGCAATTGTGACTGAATAGGCTTTCAAGATTCTGAGTAAAAAGACCTATCATCTGAAGGCTGAATTATAGAATTTAGAAAATGTTATCAGAAGTACACATTTGAATCTATTTTTTGGTACCATATCATTAGGTAAGACAAAGCATTCTTACAAGTTAAAAGTATAGCCACCCATGATTTAAAAAATTATCCTGTATAAATTTTAATAATTAGAATGTTTCAATAACTCAGTATATCACTTTTCTTCCCTATGTTTGAACATATTTAAAAATAATTTTTAGACCTTTAGGTACTTTTTGGAAACTGTAACTCTACCAGTTGTATGCGTTAATACGGTTACTGGGGTGGTGATCAGAGGGAATTTACCAGGCAGTCCTTTAAGATATCTGAATGCTCAATCATACCTTGAGAAAATATAAACTACATGAAGTATGTGTTAGGGCTTAATTATAGGACACACATACACAGCGCCCAGACACTTATGCCACCGACGGGTGTTTGCTGAATTCATTTATCTTTTACAATTAGAATGGATTTTGTGGGGTGGCAGGGGAAGTTGTGGGTAGAGGTGCTAATTTAGTTCAGAGATATTTGAAGATTGGCAGGAGAGAGAGGTAACAGCCAGTTCTGTTAGTCCTTTGGTTGTATTGGTTTAGAGGTTTAAGTTGTCATTAAGGCACAAACTAGAGCCACTTCTCTGACACAGTTTTTATCACATCTGCTAGGCTTGTGTCCCAAGAGGAGACGTGGAGAGCAGCGAATTCAGCATGGGCCCATTATCGACTGCTTTTTCGTGTGTTGTAAAAGGAGTGAGACCTCAGGGAGGCTTGGAGCCTCCTCCCGTGTAATGTCCAAGTCAGATTTGAAGGACTGGTGGCAGGAAAGCTTTGGCCTTGGGGTGTGAATTCTAAGAAATAGAGGCACAATTAAGTTTAAAAAATTCAAGGACTTTGAGCTTGATAATGAAAGATTTTTCTCTAGACTAATGTGAGCAGAAAAGTTGCCCATCTGTGCACATTTTTGTGTGCATTTAAAATATTTAAAAGCTGACAGCTTTTAATATGCTTACAAAATAGTATTTCTATCAGTGCTCTTTTTTTTTTCCCCTTTTCTTTTAAAATAGTATCTTCCTAAGGGCAAGTTGCCTCTTCAATGAAATCATGTTTGCAGTTTTACTGTTGGGACCCCTATTCCTTTGGTATGTTCTGACTTGTGTCCCCTCCTCCCCCCTTCCTTTCAGAAATATTGATAACATAAATGTGCAGATAACAGGAATTTAAATGCTTAAGGAAATGAGCAAGAGAAACTATTTTAGAGTAATCATATTAAGTCCAAGGAATTACCACTGAATTCTGATTAGCCACTGAATGCTAATTGTAAGAGATCATAACCAAATCATTTGTTCATCTTGGAAGTACAGTATTTGAAGCATGTGTGAAGAATTTTATTGGCATTTCATGCTGACCTTATAAATATAGCTCTCATTTTCAACCACTTTGTGTAAGATTTAAAATTAATAAAAGGAATCTTGGAATAGAGGATGTTATATAATATCATGATTATGGAACAACTTTGTTTTAGCTAAGTTTGAGAAAGAGGAGGATGCAAAAGGATAAAGTTAATTTTGTTAAAAAGTTTTAAAAATAAGATGGAGTATTTTTGCTTCAGACTTCAAAGGTCATGAAGGTGTATAAAGTGGTTTCAGAGGGGTCTCTTTCACTGTTGAAAGCCTTCTTCTTCTGCACTTAATGTCCTTGATAATTTAGATACACAGTTTATATGAAACATGTTTATAGAGTATGATGAATTTATTATATTTATCTTTGAATTACAACATTAATACTGCATATTAGGTATTACATATAAAATTGCATAATTATAACATGTATATGACTCAATTAACTGAAGTTTATAAAAAGTAAACTAGGGGTAAATATTGAAATGTACCAAAGAAAGGAAGCAGACTCTGTAGCATTTGAGCAGCATGTTAGAAATTTGACCCGGCTTTTATGTTTGGGTGTTGAAAGGCCTTTCTGTAAAACCCCTTATTCCAGGCTTCTTTTTCCCACTGAAAAAAAATAAAAATTTGGTTGTAATTATACTATGGATCTTAGATTTAATTTGACACTTATAGTGAAGGAGAAAAATTTTATTTCCTGTGTTCACATTTAGGAAACTTCTGATCAACATTCTTGAACTTGGTGCTAATTAAGCTTCCAGGAACAACTGCTTTACCCTTCTTAATCATAAGCATTTAAAACCTTTGTGAGCTTTCACTGGAAGCCCCTGGTTTTAACTTGAAATGGCTTAAGGTAGAAATTTTGTTAGCTTTTTTGTATGTTTGGATTTTGTGTGTGTTCTGTTTTTAACTTTCAACTTGAGTTTTAAGATCGTCAATCAGGCTTTTCTTTCAAGTCAGTGGCACTGCTTGCAATTGCAGGACTTAGAGGGTCAGCATTTCCCTTATGGTATTAAAAAAAATTAAACATAGGGAGTATTTTAGGAATTTGAGCTCCACTGATCTTTTCATCACACACCTACATTTTGAAATGAACAAATAAATTAGATATAAGAAACCCAGGAAATGTTCTCCCATGGTTTCCCTTCCCCTTCCTCTTTCACTGTCGTTTTTGGACAAAGGTAAATTATCAACTGCTATATCGGCTTTCAGCAAGCCACAAAGAGGCTAATTGTGGCTTTACATATTTTAAAATACATTCATTTATTCAAGCTATCTCTTCTCTTTATTTAAATGTTTTCCTGCACCATGTTTTTCCCTTTGAACTATTGCAAATATGCCTCATCTCCCTGCATTCTGTAACTCCAGTGGACACTATAATCACTCTGCACTTTTATCTTTCAGATGGCATTTATTTATGGGGTGTGTATGTCTGTGTCTGACTGTCAGTTGTTTTCATCTGCCAAATAAAGCTAATTTTTGTTTATAAGTTTCAATGAAGCAATGAAAACAAAGTATTTGACATCTGGAATGTTGGTCGTTGCAGGATTTCCTATAGCCCCCTACCTAGCACCCCAAGGTCAGGGTGAATTAGTCTAGCCTTCTCATTAATAATCCCAGTTAACTTCATTGAATTTGGTCTTCGAGATTTTGCTTCCAGATAGGATTCTATAATGGATAATATTATACATTTAAAACTTTACTGGGTTCTTAGGCTCAGTATCAACAGAATGTAATCTAATTTCTCCAGATTGGAGTAAATTCGGGCCTTCTGACCGGATGAGAATTAGAATTGGATGAAGTGAATCCAAAGTAGACTGAAATGAATCTTGAGTTCATTTCTGAATTTCATTTGCAAGTGTATCCAGCGTTAGGTGTGTTAATTTCATATTTTGGTTCATACTCTGAGGCTTGGTGTCTCTTGTGGGCAGAGCTTTGTAGATGTTACTTTTCTATTACACTATGCAATCTGCTGCTTCATGTATGCATAACTGAAAGATTTGTGCAACTGCCTCTCTAACACACTTCCTCCCTGCCCCCTCTGCTCTTATTTCTTCCTACATGAAGTATCATATATTTTGTTAGGAAGAAAAACCCTTTTGGAAATTGCCTATTTCATAAATTGTCTGGTGACACAAAGGGGTTGAATGCTGTATTCTTGTCTCATTTATTTTGAAAACTTTGCTACTGAACTCACCTTAATCAATGAGCTCAGTGTTGTCTCCAATAAGTTATGTGTTGGATATATTGATTGGGAGGGATTTTAGAAAACCCGTCTGGGGTTTATAATGTCAGCAGTGTTTTGATTATGAAAAGAGTTGGAACCAGGGGACATGGAACCAGGTGGCGAATGTCCTAAAGCCAGTGGTGACATGGTGGACTGGTTTCCTCCTGGGATCTAGTTCATGCCCTGCACTTTAACTGTGGTGACTGGCTACTATAGATTCACTTTTTTGCTCATTAAAATGTTAAAAAATCAAACTGTACATAAAAAGATTTGTGAAAATATAAACTTGGGAATTGATCTGGAGAGCTGGCACACAGTCCTCCCCACCCCCTGCCTTAGCAATGAGGTCATTTACATTTCATCAGCTGTGCAGCATCCCCAAGATCCGATTTATGTGGCAGTAGTTGAAGTTGCACCGAGGCTGGTTGTCTAAAAGAGCTTGTGTAGGCAAGAGAAACGGGAAAGAGAACAAGAAAATTACCTTCTACAAAGAAAGTGCCCTAGCCAAAGACACAAGTTCTAGAGAGAAAAAGGGGTTGGTAACTGGTTAATGACTGTTGTCCCAATAAAGTTAATATTGAAAGACTGTGGGACACTGCCATGAATGTGGTACTCAAAATATATTTAAATCAGGATTTTAAAGCCCCCACTCTTGGAGAGTGGTACTTTTCATATTCGAATAATTTTATTTTTCTTTGGGAAAAGATGATAAGACATGAATGTTTATGTGTAAGGAAAACATCAGTATTAAGAAAATGGGTTTATTTAATTGATTTATTAAATTGGTTTATTGCAGTTTTTATTTACAGAGAACATTGCTTGTTTTTCCCTCCCTCTTCCTGTCCTCCCCTTCTCAAATTAAGAAGTAGATACCTCAGTTCCAATTGCGATAATATGTGAATATGCAGAACACAGAGTAGATGCTCATTTTTGTTTTTTCTTCTGACAGCACACCACCATCTTGTTTGACTTAAATTGGAATATCAAGCTCTTGTAATATCACAAACATGAAGGAACATATTGTAATGTACCAACATGTGCCTACATTGCCTATATTCCCTTTCCCCCTCCCCTCCCCCCATCCTATTGCTTAATTAGATTTACTGCTGTTTGCTTAGATAAAAAGGAAAGCTGGTGGGTGGTTACACTCAGCCTACATTGGGTATTTTGATATTTGTTCTAATATTATCTGACAGACAAGTTCAAGGTTGGTTATTACTCTTGACATTAGAGAGTGGTAAGAAGTTTCTATATTGTAGTGAGTAATAAGTTGGGCATATTAGATTCCTTTGACTCTGCTGTAAAGCACAATGCCTTCTCGTAGCCAAGGGGGTCCTTTCTTTCAAAAATCTTTGAGGCCTTTTGCCAGTACAACTCCAGCATAGAGTAGAGAAGTGCTTTCTGCACCTATAACTTTTGAGGGGTAAAAGATAGCTTTCTTTGTAGCTGATATTGGCAATGAGTGAGCACTGAATACTGAGTTTTAAAGAATGGCTGTTTCATATACTGAAGTTAAGAGATGCTTTCTGTTACTATTCAAAACTTGAAGTGGAAGGAAATTTGTAAGGAATTTGTGTGTGTGTAAATCATAAGGGTTTTGTGTATGTGAATTGTAGTATACTTTATAATTAGCACAGCAGGCATTAAATGTTTTATGTGATCTGTTTTCCTATCTTTGCCTGATAATAACATTATGCACTGAAAAATTGCCTTTGTTCTGATTCTGTATTACCTATTGCAGTTTATCTAAGCATGATTAGTTTATAAACAATATATATGCCTGAATGCCACATTATAAAGTTAACTAATATATAAGTAATGTTTCTTAGGATATGCTGAGGTGTTCTCATCCACTCTTTTTCACTTCTTAGTTTCCTATTCATTAATTACATTATTTCATGACATTTCTTAGCAGTGCTGTGATATACATAGTACCAGTCCAAGATGATATTAAAAAATAGGATATGCTCAATTGAATTATGTAGGCGGAACATGCTCTGGCAGAGCAAGTCAATGTGCTTTCTGCTTCATTGAGTGGGTTATTAGATTGATGTGGTTTATTTCTTGAATGATAGAACTGGTTTTAAAAATAAATGAAGCGAGAAGCATCAATTCAGTTAGCATTGATAATTCATTATTATTGGTTAGAAAAGTGCTACATTTGTAAGCTGATCTTTAATTTATCACTTGGATTAGGGTTTGCAATGGGCAGGTTTGTTTTAATTTGAACCAGCTTTTCAATGACTGAAAAATGTGTTCTTCATTTTGTCTTGAAGTTGGGATTTTAAATAGTTAAAAAGCAAATCAAGTGCATGAAAGGAATACTTTTTTAAAATTTATAACATTGGTCTATGAACTTATGATAAGCACCAACCGTGGGCTGTCCAAGTCTGAAGTTAAATTAAGTTAAGCTAAGGAAAATTCTGTGAAGGAAATAATAACTAACTACCTGTCTATGTGGTTAGCTGTGTGTATATGTGCTATATATATGAAATGTGTCTTTTAGGGAAAGTTATACACCACTGTTTATTGTGTGTCATGTACTGTTTTTTTCTGTGGTAATGTAAGAAGATTGTCTTCTATGAATAAGTTGTTAAAATGTCACCTTACTTTGTGTACCCTAATCCTGAATAATGTGCTTGGCTTTATGTACCTATATATGTATTTTTTTAGAAAGACATTTAAACTGGTAGTTTGCTTTAGATTTTAATACATTAAAATTAGGTGAGTATGTTCAAATATGGTGATATTTCAATAAGAATAGTATATACTTAAAACTGTTACAGTTTGGTTCCAAAATAAATATATGCCCAAAATGGCAACTTCTTTGTAAAGTAAGTAAATGAAGTTTTAAACTCTAAAAAATGTAGCTGACAGTGTTCAGGGACAATTATCTTCAAGTTGGCTTTCGATTCTGCTGTGATTTGGCCTATTGATGTTGGGAAGCGTTGTCTAATCCTGGCCCCCTCTGTTCCTAGGTAACAGGCAAAAACGGTGCCAGCAACAGCGGCCCTGCCAGGCCAAACCCATGTGGCTCGGTGTTATTCACTCTGATCCATATGGTCAGGCTGGAGATGTTCCCTGGAGGGGTGTTAACACTCAGCAACCCAACCGCCTCCCTCCCTTCAGAGCTTTCCTGCATGGCTCCTGCTGCTTGCCCATGTGTGATTCTTGATTAATTTTTCATTTTTAATGAAGTTTGATCATGTTTATTATTTCTCATGATTGACTGCCTGGTACTCCTCCCATGTAATTGATAAAGCCCATATTTCTTCATCTGTCTCCTCTTTCTTTAGGGTAAAGTTGCTAGATTGTGTGCTGTGGTTAATGTTAGATTTACTGGTCCCATTAGATGTATAAATTATCTCTCTTTCTCTCCACAGGAAGTTCTACAGACTTTGACCAAGTTTTGTTTCCCCTTCTATGTGGACAGGTAGTGTCAGATTTTCAAACTTTACTAGAAAAAAAGTATCAATAAACCTGCTATAGAAAATAAAAACCATACCATTCTTAACATTCTGTCTGTTTAACCATGATTTAAGATACCTGTGTTCCAAGGAGAGTTGCAATATTCTCCCTTCCTGGGGTTTTTATTGACACTGTCAAAAAGTTTAAAGCTTAGAGCTTTGCATTGGTTAGTTTGTGAGATGTATTTTGTATGGCATTAAAGTTTTGATTTTGTTATCAGACTTAAACTGTGATTAAGAATGGTTGGTATTTAATCTCTTGCTATTTAATTGTTATTTAAATATGAATATATTTGGCTTAAACAAGTAATATTACTTGATTCCAACGTTTTGTATTATATAGACTTTGTTTTTCCTAGACTTCAACTTATAATTTAAATCAGCCTAGCCCTATCTTGTTTAAAAGTATTCAGCAGGGAATATTGCTAAATAGTATTTTATATTTTGTTTAAGTGGCTAAGAATGGTATCTCTGGGAAAAAGAGAATTTTCTATAGATTTTGAGATTAAAAGTACAAAACCACCTAAACATTTCCTTAGTATTTACATTGTGATAAACTGTTTCTTAGATAGGTACAAATATGAGAACTCTAAGACAATTAAAATAGTCTGAGGTTTTTTTTTTTTCTTTTTAACGAGCCACTGGTTAATGATAAGAATTTTAGAGGAGTTTTTTTTTTTTACTTTATAAAACTAATGTATTAACTATATTAATAAAATAACAATTATTTTATTTTCAAAAAATGTCTACTCTTTTTCATTACAGTTGAATCATTAGTTTTTTACATTCATTTATTTGCCCATTTGATTGTTGTCTCTTCAGTTTTCTCTTAATGGAAATTTGAACTATGAAACTGTACATACATTACATCTTAACAAACCCACTTTTATTGACAGAAAGGTTATAGAAAATAACATTGTAAGTAAGAAATGCCATAATATGGTCCAAGAAAGCTATAAAATTTGTGCTTATCTTCAGGAAGATTCTATCATGTATTTTAGTGTACCCAAACAAGGCAAAGCCTGTAAGATTTCAGTGATTTAGAGTATATGTGGGTAGTATGCTGTTTGCATCTTTTCTACACATTGTAATACCACTGTCGTGGTTTATTTGGCATAAACCTAAAAATGGTATGAGATGAGAATTGGTAGCCAAAGGAGTTTAAAAGGTACTAAAAAGCAACTCTGGAATGTTGCCAGCCACTTCTAATCACTGCTCTCCCTGGTTCTAACATTTTATTTTTTCTTAAGCCAATCAACCATTATAGTATTTCCAGACTCAGACCTTGTAAATCCTGGTACCAGGAATATTTCAGTAGCAGGTTGATGCTCAAAAAAGAATAGCCTTAATTCTAAGAGGGTCAGTCTTTGTAATGGGAGTCGTCTTGTCTCTTCTTTAGCCTATTCCTCCTAAAAATGCAAGGAAGTAAGGTTTTGTTTAGAGATATTTAATGCAAACTTCACATTTATATGTATGAATTAGCTATGCATGAAATCTCCTCCAGCCACTTATAAAATGTATGACAAATTATGGCAAAGACATATTTATAAAAAGTAATAAAACTGAAATGTTTTATAAATGCAGTTAGGTGTTTAATAAAGAAAAATAAGAGAATACATTTTTACATGACTTCTTGTTAGAGTGGTGATTTGTTTTGGATAGGTGTTTCTTAATTGACTTTGTTAACTGCTTAAGGAAGTGAGCAAGAGAAAATATTTTAGAGTAATCCTATTAATGTTTACTAATGTTAGAAGAAATGCATAGAGATTAAACCTCTGTCTTCCCCACCAACACACATGTGCAGGTGTGTGTGTGCATACACACATACACACACTGATTCATATTTCTTTTTCTTAGATGTATACCATACACACACTTCTACTTACCTACCTGTCTGGGTGATTACATTCTGAAATGGAAGAAAAGCAGAGTCCTTAAGTGATAATTCTAAAATCTTTTTTGTTACCAAAAATATCTGATGCCTTTTTGTTGTTGTTAGAAATATGTTTTTCTTCCAGAATCCTTCTCTCCAAATTATGTTCCCCTAATCATGTTCCTTTTTTTTTTCTTTTTTACAAAAGGATTTGAGGACAGAAATGTTTCTTTTTGAATATTTCATTCCTTACCATGTACAATAGTTCTTTCTTACATTGTATTATATTACATACCCTATGGGTGTTGATAACTTTTATTGATACCAAAAAATCATTTTATGTGGGGACTATATATTTTCTTTCTGTTCCCCCACCTCTAACCTTGGTATACTTTAATACAGAAGAGATAATAATAATGAATAAAGTTCATTTGTAAGAAATATAAAGGTTTCAATGTCTTAATTTTTTTATTAGTTTGCAGTTAGCACTGTCAAATGGATATCCCCAGATTCTGAGGCCCATAAAGTCCCCTAGATGGGTTTATGATATTGTTTGACTTAGAAAATATGCCAGCCTGGGAGACAAGTAATGCCCCAGGTGATTGCGTTCAAAAAAGAAAGCTTCCTGATCTTTTCAGTATCTGTGCTTTTCTACCCCAAGGAACAGTCATAAAACTTTCTGACATTTCTAGTCTATATCAAGAGGTGGATTTTCACAGTCATCATCAAATCACCCGTTAACATTGACATCTTGCTGTCTCGTGTGTTGTTTTAAGATTTTTCTTTTTCAAACTAGGACTTAGGAAAAATAATAAAGCCAGTAGCTTTTCAAAAGAATGTGCTTCCTCATATATTATCTCATTTTATCCTCCTATCATAAGAGATAAGAGCAGGTGCCATTATCTTCATTTGAACAAAATTCTAAGCTGCAGAGAAATTGGGACTTGCCCAAGGTTCTCTGAGCACAACCTAGATTTCCATCTCCCAGACAAATACGTTTCAGTAGACCACCTTGCAGGGAAGACCAGTCACCAAATATATAGAGAAGAAGGAAAGGAAGGAAACGAGGTTTGATTTCCTTATCGATTCTAGTCAAAGTGCTGGATGCTGCCACATCACTGTCTCATTTATTCTTCCTAGAAGCTCTAGGAGATAGATGGTGGTATCTTTTTTACAAAAGAGCAAAGGAAGGTTCAGGATGTAGAGCATTGTGTTGGGTAATATGGGGGATAACGGAAATGGTCTCAGACTTGGAGCCCTGCCCTCCCAGTCTAGTCCAGGAATTATAAAGACATATTAAACAGGATCGACCCAAAGGATAGTGAGGTTAGAGAAGACCAAAATGGTCAGAGAAAACTTCTTATGGTGGGGGAGACTTGTATTGAGTCTGCCAGGACAGCAAGAAGTGGGCAAGTGGGAGGGAGAGCCTAACACCCCATCAGCACTGAAAAGCAAAGCAGAGGAGAAGCCCCGAGTGAGCCTAGAGCTTGTTCAGCCAGAGCAGATGGAGCTCGCTGGGGAGAGGGTGACTGTGAGAACCTGGGCTCTGGCCACAGGAGGCCTTGAAAATGTGTGGAAACAAGACCACAGGATTTTAAAACTGAAATTCATCTGGTTCAAACTCCCCATTTTATAGAAGGAAAACCATGATCCACAGAGGTGAAATGACTTGCTTATGGTCACAACTATATAATTTACAGGGCCAGGAAAGGCACTGGTACTCTATTCCTAATCCAGAGTTATTTCTACCCTACAGTGTACGTGAAGCTGTTGGTGAGAGGGAGTAGTGAAGTGTCAGTGTTGAGATTCCTGTATCAATCTCAAAAACTCATTATTACTAATAAAAATAGTCTCTTAAAAAAAGACTTGTACCATTCCATATCATGTTTGCTACTTGCTTGCCCTTGATAGCTGACAACCAGCTTCAGTTACTCAAAGCACTTGAGACATGCATTGGATGATGGAAAAGCTATTCTCTTCCATTTTTGTGTTTATCCTCTTTCAGAACCCTGAAAGTCAGCTACCATTCCATTTTCCTGTAAATTATACTGGCACACACAACTGACAGGATAGTCAAATGCAATGAAATAATCTTTTCAGGGCCAGAGGCATCATTTAATGGTCAGGATGTAACCCCAGATGCAAATGTGGCTCAAATGCTACTTACCATTTTATTGGGCATCTGTTTTGTGCCAGGCATTGCCCTATGTTCTTTTCCTGTAATAAAAGATTACAAATTTGTAAGGTTACCATTATCCTCATGCCACACAGGAGGAAACAGAGGCTCAGATAGGCTTGATAACTACCCAAGGTCTCACTACCAGTTAGTGGTATAGCTGCTTGCAGAACCCTCATTTGTCTGACCTCCAACTCCACCATACTTTCCCTGTTTTACCATACTGCCTCCATAAGATCCATCACAGCATAAGTAGCCTAACAAACGGTTTTATTTCAAAAGCAATAAAGCAATATATATTTATTGTAGAGAAGTAGGAAACTGAGAGAAAGAAAAAAATGAAACCCACACAGACATAGGACCAGTGTATTAACATCTTATCTTCCCAGACCTCTCCTCTGCAGATTCACCCTGCTCTCCTTTCTAAACCTGAACCCACTGGGCCCTTGAAGTCCCTTGGTTTAGCATACAATATAGGTTCAGCTGTGCCCCATGATTATTTTCTACAGTGTTGATGACAACGAAGCAGCTGGGCCTTAGTGGACAGACTATTGTAGGCAGCAAGCAGGAGATCTGGGTTTTGGTTTTGGTTTTACCACTGCCCTGCTCTGTGCTGTGAGGCAAGTGACTTCTCCCCTGAGGTTCTTCATTTTTTCATGGATAAAATGAGGGAATTGGATTCCATCAATCTCTGCTGTTCCTTCTGCTTTTGATACTTTTAAATTCTGCAGTTATGCTTCATGTTGACTTTGTCAGGCTCATGTAGAGGGAATGGACAGAGCTCTGCTCTTAGAATTGTCTGGTGAGTTTCTCCAGCAGGTAGGCATTGCGTTCTGTCTCGAAGTGTGTCACTTACTGTTGGTCCCCTCATATTTTGGGTCCATGTCATTCTCACCACTTGGATCTTTGAGCAGGGAAGGTGAGAAACTTGAGGCCTAGGCAGATGTAAGGTGTGTTTGTGGAAGGAAGCTTTGAGGCTTACGGAACTAAAGGCTGGGAGATGTGGTAGTTTGATGAAGCTTCATTCCTGCCTCATGCCTCATACGCACTGAAGGAAAGGAAAAGTGTCTGTTAGGTGCCCTGCCATGGACAACAGATAATTGTCGGTAAGCTATAATACATAGAGGGGGACAAAATGCTTCAGTTCTATCTCTTGAATTTTATAATTGCATAACAGTAGTGATGATCATTTTTGTCAGGTACCTACTATATGCTAGTTATCTTGTATACATTATCTCTAATCTGCAACCACTCTGCAAAGTGATGTGATTATTCTGATGATTTACAGATGAGATCAGAGAAGTATAATAACTTGTCTATGCCCACATAACTGCTGAGTAACATGTCTGGGATTCTGATGTAAGGTCCAGGCCTTAATGTTTTCTCTTCTGTCCTGCATCATAAATCTCTGCCTCTGCTGAATCATTTCCAACAGCTTAAAAACAAGTTCTGGTATTCATCCTAAAAATAATAACCACCACTCAGTTGCTTTCTGATTCTCTATTTTTTGAACGAGTTATCTACACACTTCAACTTATCCTTCAGCCTTCTTCAGCTTGTCTTCTGCTTCTGTCATTCAACTAGAGCTGTTTTTATCGAGGTCATCTAAAACCTCCATATTGCTTAATTCAGTAGACATTGTTTTTTCTTCTTCTCATCTTTGATGCATCAATACAGTTGACCACTCCCTCTTGTTTGTTCTGCTGGCTATTCTCCTTTCTTTGGTCTCTTCTCCACCCATCTTCTAAATTGGTGTTTCTATAAATTAGTCCTGGATCCTCTTTTGTTTCTCTGAACTCCCTCCCTAAGTGATCCCAGTCTTTACCATGGTGTTAAATACCATCTGTTTGTAGATGACTTCCAAATTTGTAGTTTCAATCCAAACGTTTCCTCTGATTTCCTAACTAGTGTATTCAACTCTGTACTTGACATTTCTATTTAGATGTTTTACAGGCTTCTCAGACTTAACATATCCCAAATGGAACTCTTGGATCTTCCCCCAAACTTGTTAGTCTTTCCTATCTTCAAATGGTAATATTCTGCCTTTTTGCTCCCCAATTCCCAGTCCATCTGCAAGCCTGTCATTCATATCTGCTAACTATAACTTGAACTATCCATCCCTCTCCATCTCTACTCTCCCTACATGAGTTAAGCCACCATCCAGTCTCACCTGGACTACTGCAATCACTTCCAGATTATTTTCTCTACTCCTACTTACACCTTCTTCCAAACTGCTCTCTGTATAAGTCAGTTGAAATATTTGAAGCTATAAACCAGACTGTGTTTTTCTCTTGATCAAAATCATTCAGTGGCATTCTATTGCCTCCCCCCACCGCCAAAAAAAAAAAAAAAATCTGAATTCTTTACCATGACCTGTGGGACTCTCTGTGTGATCTGGAGCTTGCTTTATCTAGCAGCTTAATGTGATGCCACTTTCCCCTTTATCTCCTGTGCATTAGCAGGACTCCTGTCCTTTTGGTTCCTTGATCATAACTAGTTCTTTCCAGTCCCCAGAATCTCTGCCTAGTTCTTTTCTCTGCCTGAAACAACCCAGTGCCCTGTTTCTTGAGTGGCTGCTCCATTTCATCCTTTGGTCAATATTGTTGCCATCCCTGAGAAGCTACCTCTGACCACATTATCTCAGTAGGGCCTTTCCTTCCCTTCCATTTTCCTCTATCTTCGTTTCTTCTTTGGTTTTGTAATACCACTATTACAAGCTGTATGTTTTGTGGTATACTTGTTTATTACTTGTCTCTATCTAGACAGAAAGCCTGCAAAGGCAGGGGCCCTGCCTATATTGTTCAGTGTTGTATATCCAGCACTTGTTACAGTGCCCAGTGTAGTTGTAGCTCAATTTGCAAAATGGATAATGAAACTTAAAGTGAAGCTCACATGTAAAAGTTTGTTTCTCACTGGGAGACTAGAATCAAACTGTCCATCCTCATGCTTCATACCATTCATGCACTGGCCCTGTAAACAACTTCAAGATTAAGCAAAATGCTACTGGAGAGGCCCTGAATGGCTGATAGGCATTTAAAAGGAAGCATGAAGGTTTAGGTCTGTGGCTTGAATAGCTATTGCTTTTCTCCCTTGTTTTTCATATTCACCTAGGCACGGGAAGCTACAAGAAGCACAGCTAAGGCTGGTCTTGGCCCTGGTCTCCTGGGTTTATTTCTGGAGAACTTCAAATGTGGTCTCCCTAGCTTAGTGAAAAATATGGTTTTTTGTTAAGACAACTATCTGAATTCCTCGCATACCTTAGTTCCTTAAACCGAGTTGAAAGCTTCCCAGGGAGGATTTTCATTGTGTTTAGTGCAGCGTGGCAGAATGGAAAGGACTTTGAACCAGAAGTTGGCTTGGATTTTTGTCCTAGTCCTGATAACCTTGGAAAACAAAATGAAAGTAAACCCTAAATATCAGTTTTCTCATCTGTGAAACATGAGAATTGGGTGAGATGGTTTCTCCTAGCTTCCATCATCCTGAAATCTCTGGTTCCTTTGGAAATTATGGATGCTGAGGTAAACTCAAACTGCAGACTTTAAGGAAGCAGACCCTTTCCCCAAGGTCATTTTTATGGAGAAATAGTGAACACTCCCATAGACTACCCCAGCAAGTAGGAGAGAGAGAATGATAAATTCCTTGGAGATTCAGAACCCTTTTAAGTTAACCTCTTTGACTTCCCTTGCCAGACCTTTAGTTTATTGGAAATTGTCCAAGGAAACAATCTTTTAGAGCCTACTGGTTTTGGGCTTTTGTCGACTTCTACTTCACCCTACCAGGAATTAAAAAAGGGAATCAATTGAGAATAAGTACCTCCTGGTAAGCTGTGGCACCCCAAAAAGAATCTTTTTCACTGTAAGGCAAGCATCAGTCACTTGGTCACCCAGAGGACTAGCCTTTCCTGAAAAATATGCAACAGGCAAGAGAGAAAAGAAAGCAGACTTCTTCCTCTACTCACAGATATTATAAAGCTGAATCAGGAAGATTCTAAGCAAAGGCCTAGTTTTTAATGTGAGTTTTAGTTTTCACAGTTGGCAACAGCTTGCGTCCCTCTTTTTAATTGTTCCTACTCTGGACTGACCTTTATACTAAATTCTTTTCCATTTATTCTCAAAACATCCTTTGGGTTGGATGGTAGTGTCTCATTGTTATTCCAGGTGAAGAAACTCAGGTGCTTAAAGGTTTTAAGTAACTTGCTAAATTTAGTCAGTGATTGAGTTGGGATTTGAACCAGGTAAATGAGTAATGATTCTTTCTCTGAGCCTGTAGGGTAGCTAAACACATTTCCAGCATTTTTAATAGGAATAAAAAGAGAGTAGGAAATTAATGACACACAATTCACAAGTCAGGTGCATTCATTCTCTGTCTTTTTCCTGGAGAATCCTGGGTGTTTTCTTTTCATCGAGTCCTATCGATACCCTTCCTTTCTAGGATGATACTTAGTATTCATTTTAAACATTCTAGAAGTGAAATCAAAACCTGAGTTAAAACACTGAACAATCATATTTTGTATGATCACGTAGTAGTGTTTCTTAAAAGCACAACCTTATTTGTAACTTGGAATCATCCAGACCTGTTGCTTTAAATATTTTAATAAAACAGGATTTCCCCTCCCCCATTGAGGCCCACTTTTCTCCCCAATCACTTTAATTATGTGAGCTAGAATGCTGTTTCTCACACATCTTCAGTTCTCAACCTTGTTAAAATTAATCATATAATCCCCCTTTAAAACATAGTATTAAATCACCATAGTAACACAGTATCCAAGCTTTATGGATAAAACATAACAGGCATAGGAAGGTAGCGTTTGGTGTCCCCTTGACGGCCCTATAACTTTTATAGAAATGTGTTTCTTCTCCTGGCTGTGTAAGGTGGAGGGATAGCATTACTTACACCTGCTTTATGACCACGTTGCTTTTAAATTGCCACCTTGTTTTTGTTCACCTTCCTAGTTAAATAAGGAGAGTGGAACACTTTTTCTTTCTGAATTATTTTCTTGTACTCTCTAACCACTCTCTAAGAGATGGAGTTGTCTCCTTAAATATGACCAGGCAGAGTCCATTGACCTTTGTATTG
The DNA here is from genome assembly GCF_000001405.40 of Homo sapiens. NCBI lineage: Eukaryota > Metazoa > Chordata > Mammalia > Primates > Hominidae > Homo > Homo sapiens. The sequence goes on along the minus strand of NC_000009.12, from coordinate 123,760,354 downwards.
GAATACCTTGAAAATTCCTTTAATTTTAATTATTTATGTGGCTGTATAAGGGAGTTTTAGAAAGTCTACCCTATCTTTGAAAACTTTATTCATATCATATCCAAAGACTCAATAAGAATTCTACCTTTGGAAAAAGCTTGGTAAACCATGATTTTTAAATTTCTTCTGATAATTTATAAAGTAATAATTGATAGCATAGATTTGACTATTTTACCAATTTGAATACACTTTGTAAAATACAATATGAGTTGATGAGTTCCTTTGAATAACTCAGTGTTGAATTCTAGCATATTACGTTAATATAAATTCATGTATTAGAATTTGGATTTTTTAACCAAAAATACCTTTATTTTAATCTTCAGAGAAAAAACTCTTTTCTTCTTTTTCTGAGATAATTACTGTAACTTACAAAAATGGATATACATCTTCAAAGGATTTCCCTTGAATGCGAAATTTAGCTTTATGGGATCTAAGCATTTAAAGGTAAAAAGCAAATTCTATTTTGTTGCCATTATAAGACAAAACTGAATCTAGCATAAGGTAGGGAAACCCATTCACTCTTCAGGTTCTTCTCTGACAGGAACTAGCATTGTTATATTATTTCCACTTAGCAAAATCTGCTCTAATTTAATTATACTTCTTCCTGGCCAGGCGGTAATCCCAGCACTTTGAGAGGCTGAGGCAAGCGGATCACTTAAGGCCAGGAGTTTGAGACCAGCCTGGCCAACATGGCAAAACCTTCTGTCTACTAAAAATGCAAAAATTAGCTGGGCGTGTTGGTGCACGCTTGAAATTCCAGCTACTCAGGAGGCTGAGACATGAGAATCACTTGAACCCGGGAGGCAGAGGTTGCAGTGAGCCAATATTGTGCCACTGTACCCCAGCCTGGGTGACAGAACAAGACTGTGTCTCAAAGTAATAGTAATAATAATAACAACAATAGTACTTCTTCCTTCTGGTGTGATTTCAAACTCAGTGACCTCTTCTAGTCCATCTTGACAAAGTCATCAACTCCTAGAAGAGTACCCACGATTTCTTAATGACTCTTCACCACAATGTGAATTCTTGAGCCTATACATTTGTCTACAAGCTCTAGCAGCAACAGCTGGGCAAGTAGGTGGTAGCCTTAGCCGCCATAACTGTGACGGAAGCGGGATGTTTAAATTTTTAAAATGGAATGAAATCCAAGCTAACTGGTAAACTGATTTTAAAAACTGGATTTTTAGACATTTTACAACTTTAAAAAAAGAGTTTGGCCGGGCGCGGTGGCTCACGCCTGTAATCCCAGCACTTTGGGAGGCCGAGGCAGGTGGATCACGAGGTCAGGAGATCAAGACCATCCTGGCTAACATGGAGAAACCCCGTCTCTACTAAAAATATAAAAAAATTAGCTGGGCATGGTGGCGGGCACCTGTAGTTCCAGGTACTCGGGAGGCTGAGGCAGGAGAATTGTGTGAACCAGGGAGGTGGAGGTTGCAGTGAGCTGAGATCACACCACTGCACTCCAGCCTGGCAACAGAGCGAGACTACATCTCAAAACAGAAAAACAAAACAAAGAGTTTCTGTAATCTGATTAGTATTGTTTTTAAAATTTTTAAAAATAGATATTTTAATGTTGCGTTTATGTGTGGTTTTTAAATTTTTGTATTGATATATTTTTAGCTTTTTTCCTTTAACGTCTTTCTTTAAAATGTTGTTTCCATTTCTTAGAAAACACCATGCAATGCTAGACATTTTGGTTATTTCTGTCCTCTAAAATAGGAAATATGTTTCTCATAAATTCAGAAATTATGAAAGATATAGGAATTTAGGAAAGTAACACCTAAGCTTGCCCTGTTTTCTTTCCAGTTTCAATTTCAGCTCCTCCTCTTTGTAGCTGTGTGAACGTGATTCAGTTACTAAGGATGTATTCTGGTCCTTAGTTTCCTTTTCTGTAAAATGGGAACATCCTCTAAATTCCATGGTTGTCCTGAGAGTCAGGGAGATGGTCTACGCATATATGATGTCTAACTTTGTGGCTGGCACATAGTAACATTTACCTTTTGCTCTGGCAAGCACTCTTATTTTCTGAACTAGGGAAGTTCTCAGGTGAGGATTGTTAGCAGCAAGCTGGTAGAGTGGCCTGTGGAATCAGCGCGAGGGTTAAAATCCAGCTTTTTGCCACTGATCAGCTGACCTTAGGCAATGCCTCTCTAGACTATTTCTTCATCAGCAAAATGAGGTTAATAGAGGGCACCTTTCGGAATTGATGGGCTGACTAACAGAGCTGCCTCAGAGACTGAACTCAGTAAGGAGAAGGTATGATAGCTCTGATTATTTGATTTCTGAGGTGGTCACTAGAATAGGCTGCTGGCTGTCTTTTTTTTTTTTTTTTTTTTAACTAGCTTACAGTCTGTTCCCTTGAAATGTGTAAATTTTAAGAGTTCCACTGAGAGAGGAAATGTTATAAGTTCAACGACTCATTGTGATTAGATACTTTATCAAGAAACTTACTGCACATTCATTTTCCCCTTTGTTCTGCCTTTGCTGCAGCCTCACAGTTAGCCAAGTTGGCCAGAACTTCACATTCGTGCTCACTGACATTGACAGCAAACAGAGATTCGGGTTCTGCCGCTTATCTTCAGGAGCGAAGAGCTGCTTCTGTATCTTAAGGTAAGGGAGAAGGCTTGGGCTGTTGGCTTGTTCTCTGAAGCAATGTCAGCTTCTGCATTGCTCTTCCGTAATTAAATCTTCCAGCTGTTCATTTCATTTTCCTATCTGTTTCCCACAAGTCACTGCATTTGGGGAGAAGGACTTCACAGTGTTGTTCTTGCACTGTAAGTTCTGCAGATAATTGTATTTATTTATTTGTATCACATCCCTTGGGTGGGAAAGGGGACCATCTCTTCTGAGTAGTTTGTGGAAGCCAGAGAGTCAGTGTGGCTTCAGTGCCTTCTGCTGTTATCTGGAGCTGTCAGAAATTAGCCTGTTAGACTTTCTCTTGGACATTTTGTGTATGTAAGATTATTAATAAAGTATGTGTCTGTAGCTCAGGACATCTTGCAGACACAGACTGTGTCCGCCTTAAAGTAACACCCTTGCCCCCTTTGGGTCGGTGAATGAAGAACTGTGTCCCATTTTGGCTACCTCTGTAGAGGTTTGAAAAAATTAAGAATCGTGTAAGAAGGCTTCTTCAGGTCTTCTAAAAGCCCCTCATACACCAGAGCCACACTTGCTTAAGGCTCTGTTTCCTCCTGCCAGAGGGGTAAGGCATGTTCTGAGGTGGGAGGATGTGTGGAAATCCGATTTTGGAGCTGCTGGCTCTGTGGACTCCTGCTGGGCTCCTCCTGAGGGGGAAGTAAAGGCATCCCCCATGCTCCCCTCTCCATCTGCCTTGGTTAAGTAGGTGTCAGAGGGGCCTGCCTCCTGTCTCTCTCTGCTCATGTGGAACAGCCAGGGCACAGCAGCAGGAGGTGCCCATGACAAAACCCGGGCCCCCAGGCTTGGGTTGGGCCTGGGCCTGGGAATAAAAGGCCAGACCCTCTATGGATTCCAGAAAGGGTAGCTCTCTGCGGCACTAGTCTCTGCACTTTCTTCTTCTCATCAAGAAAAGACTCCCCCACTGACTTCTGTTCCCCAAACCCACACACCCTCACACCACAGGGGAGGAGGGGCTGACTTTGGAAGTTCCCAAGCTCACTAACTGTCAATCTGGACTGCTATACATTTGCATTTCTCTACACAAATCTTAGTATCATTAGTGCTTTTAATCAGTGAAGTCGACTCTCTTCTGCACCAAGCATAGCATTTGTAACCTGGGCACAGGAGGATGACTGCTGGGGAGGCTTTAGGAAGGAGGCTGCTTTGGGAGATTCTGTGTGTTCTGTTGTTCTCAAGCACGCCTTAGTAGCCCAGGCCCAAGAATTACCTGCCCAGAGCATTAGAATTTGATGTAAATGATTATTTACATTTGGATTGAACAGTGCAGTCTTTTTCTTTTTAAAGAAAAATTTCTCTTTCAGTTTTGTCTGTTATATTTCAGCCCTGGCCAGGCCACTGCATATTTATACAGTTGACCCTTGAACAATATGGGTTTAAGGGTACTGGTACCCTCACACAGTTGAAAATCCACATATAACTTTGACTCCTCAAAAACTCAACTATGGCCGGGCACGGTAGCTCACGACTGTAATCCTAGCACTTTGGGACGCTGAGGTGGGTGGATCACCTGTGGTCAGGAGTTTGAGACCAGCCTGAGCAACATGGAGAAACCTGTCTCTAACTAAAAAATACAAAAATTAGCTGGGTGTGATGGCACATGCCTGTAATCCCAGCTACTTGGGAGGCTGAGGCAGGAGAATTGCTTGAATCCGAGACATGGAGGTTGCAGTGAGCCAAGATCGTGCCACTGTACTCCAGCTTGAGTGACAAGAGCGAAACTCCATCTCAAAAACAAAACAACACAAAACCCACAAAAACTTAACTACTATTCCATAGCCTACTGTTTACTGGTAGCCTTACCTGTAACATAAACAGTTGACTAACACATATTTGTATGTTGCATGTCTTATATACTGTATTCTTACAATAATTAAGGAAGGGAAAAGTTATTAAGAAAATCATAAGGAAGAGAAAATATATGTACTGTTCATTAAGTGGAAGTGGATCATCATAAAGGCCTTCATCCTCAGCATCTTCACACCGAGGAAGAAGAGGAGGGGTTGGTCTTGCTGTCTCAGGGATAGCAGAGGTGGAAGAGGTGGAAGGGAGGCAGGAGAGGAAGGTATAACTTTTACTTTAAAAAATCCACATATTGGCCAGGCACGTGGGCTCACTCCTGTAATCCTAGCAGTTTGGGAGGCTGAGGTGGAAGAGGAGGAAGGGAGGCAGGAGAGGAAGGTATAACTTTTACTTTAAAAAAATCCACATATTGGCCAGGCATGTGGGCTCACTCCTGTAATCCTAGCAGTTTGGGAGGCTGAGGTGGGCAGATCACCTGAGGTCAGGAGTTCAAGAACAGCCTGGCCCACATGGCAAAACCCCATCTCTACTGAAAAAAAAAAAAAGAAAGAAAGAAAATACAAAAATTAGCCGGAGTGGTGGCAGGTGCCTGTAATCCCAACTACTTGGGTGGCTGAGGCATGAGAATCGCTTGAACCCAGGAGGTGGAGGTTGCAGTGAGCTGAGATCATGCCACTTCACTCCAGTCTGGGCGACAGAGCAAGACTCTGTCTCAAAAAAAAAAAAAAAAAAATCTGTGTATAACTGGACCTCAGCAGCTCAAGCCTGTGTTGTCCAAGGTGAACTATGTATTCATTTGGAGGTGGTGAGGCTTAAACTGAGTTCTTAGAGTTTTGCAAAAAGGTTTTTCTCTATAATATGTTTGGGTTACAGTGTTTCTTTCTAAGCTGTGTGTGTGTATGTATATGTATATTCTAAACTGGCACTATCACTCAGCAAATTTTGATAAAAGTATTCATTTAAAAATTTACATTTGAATTTGCTTGTCTCTGATTCTGATGTGTGACTTTGTGTGCCTATACAAGTAGGGTCCTGGATTTCATATTTGTGAGAAGCCAGTTGAATAGTCTTCGTGCTTTCATCCTTTAGAATGAAAAATGGCAGCAATTGATGTGTTTTTTAAATCTGTTATAGTAGGTTAGAACTATGGAGAAAAATTCGGTGGGTTAATTCATTCATTTGTGTGTCAGTTCTTAATTGAATTCCTACTATTAGCTAGTCACTGTCCTTGAGTAGTTCCCAGACTAGCTGGGGAGATGGATGATCACAATACAGTATGCTGTATCTAATACACAGAATGATCCCAAGGCATAGTGTCGTCTTGCTGTTGCTTTTCTAGTGCCAGAGGATAGTGACTGTGGCTAAAAATAAAAGAGTCCTAGATGAATTGTGGAACATGAATTTTATGAGTATTTAATATGAGGGTAGAGAAGCTATCTTTTCCAGCTTGTGTGGAAATAAAGGGCACACCCACTGACACTTTCCCTCTGTTGGGTTTGGGAACATTGCTAGGCTGAGACTAGCATGTAAATGGAAGGGTTTACTGTTAAAGCTGGATGACTGGTTGACGGTGTATCCACTGGGGAGTGGAGAGGTCTGCCAAGAGAATGAGAGCTCAGTTTGGGTCTAGGTTACATTGTTGTATTGTCCTCTTCTGCTGCTCAGTCTCCTTGCTTCCTTTAGATACTTTCTCTTTAGTTAACCTGTGCCTTGAGGTCCAATCACCCTTCACAGTGTGCCCAGGGCTGTGGCTCAAGTCTGCTCATAAACTACCTCTACTTTTGCTTTCCATTTCTTCTCAAGGGATGTAGCTCTCAGTTATGGCATCTGTGCAGACGTAGCCCCTGTGGTTCCAGGATTTAGCTTCACTTCCTCCTTGTCTGACATTCCAAACTTCTATGCTTTCTGGTCCATGTGAACCACTCAACAGTCTCTGCTTTCACATGTTTACCCATCCTCCCAGACTCAGCCTAGGCACCTCTGCAGAGTAGCCTTCCCCATGTAGAGGTAATCATTCCCTCTCTGGCACACCCAGCGTGCTTTGCATTCTTTAGTTACACACTCATAACCTTGGTCCTCCTTTGTTTTCCTCCTATTGGAAGGTCAACTCTTCAGGGGTAAAGGCTGGATCTTAATTAACTATGCATGCATCTCCAGCAGTTAGTGTAGTGCTTATCCAAGATATTGTGTGCATTGGGATCAGAGACAGGGAAATGCATCAAGAATGGGAGGGCAGGGCACCAAAGACTTTGAATGAGAGGACAGGTGTCATGGGACGTAAATTCAGAGAGGAAATAAGAAATAGTTGTTGGAAGAAGTGTAGTTCACATTACCAAACTCATTTCATGCTAGTTGTAAGAGATGCACCTTTTAATCTCACAATGGAGGTTCAATATTGAGTGATAGACATTTTGTCCATGAAGGGTTAAGCCATCTGTATTTTAAAATTTAAACTTAATTTCACAATGAAAGGTTTTTAGACACCCTTTGTGCAACATAACCTACTTATTAGGTTCCTTTTTATTTTCTGTTCCTCCCCACTAGGGCATGAGCTCCATGAAGGCTGGGAATTTTTATGTTTTTTTCTCCTCCCACAAATACATCCAAAGTTTATTGAAGAATATTCTGGCACATAGCTGACATTCCCAGCTAGTCTGGGAACTCTTCAAGGACAAGGACTTAGCTAGTACTTGTTTTATGAAGGAATGAATGGGGAAATAAGCCCATGTTTATTAAAAAACATTAGAAACTTTGGTATGAACTCTTATTACCAGCTAACCTTGGCAGAAACCTAGTCGTACCAAACAAGTCCTATTAACACAAATGCCACTATAAATCAAATGCATTATTTCCTCCCATGGTTGACTAGTTCCTGCCACTGAAGAATTTTACTCCTCCTTGAGATTTGCCACATTATTTAATGAGTTCCTGGATGGGAGTTGATACTAAATTAAAAACACCAGCTAGGAGAACAGTAGTTACGGATTAGTTAGTCTCCATCATAAACACAGGGATGTGAGAGCATTTTAGCATTTTCATATTGTACCATCTGAGTCTGATGCAATATATGCATTTACCTCTGAAATCTTTAAATATTATAAAACAAAGTGACCTAGAATTGAAATTTGTTATGGCACTTGATATTTGATTTGCCCCAATGGCACATACTCCATCAAGGCCAAAACTGTAATGAAAGATGCGATTTCTAGCCAACTTCTAGTTCTGGATCAACAGAAGGAACACAGGAGTTCAAAGGTTTAAATTTGTGTTTGAGGGTTATGGGGAGATATGTCATACAATAATTAAATACCTTTTGTCTTTTATAAAGGAACTACACAAATATTTGCCCTACAGTTTTCTCCTGCTTCCATTGGGATCTTATTGAAGCTCTTAAGAAAGATTGAGTAACTGTCCTTACACCCAAATAAAACTAATTTTATTATACATTTTGGAAAGAAAAAACTTTTTTCCTCAAGATGCTGTCTAAATTTTTTTAGTTTAACTTTTTAAATTTTTATTCAATTAAAAAGTATCTGAGTACCTAGTATATACCCAGAATGGGCAATACATAACACTTGGTCTCTGGCCTTCACTTGTTTCAAGGTCCCTTAACATGAACACAGAGATCTAGCCCCAGATCTCCATTTGAAAACTCTTCAGATATCACACTCATCCAAGATTTTGATGAGCTGAACTTTCTGAACTTGGTAGTACAAAATGAAAAAAAAAAGTATTTCTTGTCATTTACCAAATATAAAATCTAATGTGCTTCTAGGTGCACTGTTCATGGACCACCTCTGATTTTGATATCCATCTCCCACTGCACTTCTGCTACCCTCACTCTTTTAGGAACTGCTCAATCTTTGGGGTGGGAAAATGTAAACAAGTAATGAAAACATAATGCGATCAGTGTTGTTTTAAGAAAACATATTTATGTGTAAGGTTCTTCAAAGTCACAGATTAGACAGTGCCCATCTCTAACTTGAGAATAAGGGAAAGTGTTGCTGATGAGTTCCAGTTAAACTGAGTCTTGCAGAATGAGTGGGGGCTTGGCTGGAGGAAAATGGGAGAACAGCTCTCTAGGCAGTGAGAACTGATACACAAAGTCCCCAAGAAATGAAAGGTATAGCAAGATGAAAGGATGCTGAGAATGCAGTGAGGGAGCAATAGCAAGAGATGATACCATCGAAGTCTGGGGTCCAATTGTGAGTGCTTCTGGGGCGTGCTCAAGATTTTAGATTTATCCGGTAGCAAATGGAATACTGTCAGCTGGTTTCGGGTAGACATTAGAGATGATGATGTTTTTAGACCAAGGCAAAAGTGATTTTTTGAATGTGAAATGTGCTTGGGTTTTTCTGGTTATTGTTTGAAGGGATGTTGCGTGTCACTTTGGAGGTAGCACCCAGATTTAGACTGGATTTTTCAAACCTCAACTGCAGGGGGTTTTTTTGTTTTCTTTTAAAAACAAGGATAGTGATTATCCCTTCTTCCATGCTAGTTGGCATATGGACTTGATTCTAAACCTGAGTGGTGTTCAGTGACAACCTTCTTCCTTCTGGAGCACTTTCTGATCTCAAGACTGGAATGACCATTGCATCCATTCTCAGCTGTGTTACATTCATTTTCACTCGAAACACAGAAAAGCTCCATTTCCACGGAGCAAAAAAGAAGCTAGAAGTAATAAAGGAGTCTGGCTTTAAGAACTTTGGCTTTCCTTGCTGACTGTTCCAGTGTTTTTAAACAACACATACAGTTCAGGAATAAAATCAAAGGACTCTGTTTCCTCAGGCAGGTGCGGTGGCAGAAGCCCTTTTGGGTTGTGTGTTAGCTGCTTTAGTTTAAAATAAGTGTTTGGGAGGTGGGGGAGGGAGTCGGGGAGGAAGGCTGTGGGGACAGCTCCCAGATTTTTACCTTGAAAGCAGGTGCTGCTGAAATATTCCAGAAACAGATGGAATCTCCTATTCTTGTTTTAAGCTGTTTATGGTTGTCTCGCCCGAGGGTACCCTGCTATACAAAAATGCACAGCCTGATGTTTGAGGGCAGTTGGGCATCAAAGCCGGGGCCCCTCTGGGAGAAATCAGCCTTTCTTCCCAGTGCCTTAAATGCCATTCTGGAAACCTGGGTCTTTCATACCGTTTAACAGAGGACTTTCCTTTGCCTTTTGAGTGTTTCTGTCTCTCTGGAACTGTTTGATTTCTTTTTAATTCTTCTCCTTAAAAGTAAGCTGGATACTGTGTTGTTCTTGTTATTCTCTGGATGGTCAGTTGGCAGAAGGCCCCACTGCTAAGGCAGATTGATAATTTCACCGACTGTGGGTCTCAGAACATGGCATCTGTCAGAAGCTGAACATAGAGGATGGGCCAGGGAGTCTGCTCTTTCCTAGGCCCAGGGCCCTTCTGAGTTCCTCAGTATTTTGAAAGGCTTGTGTGGGTGCAGGGCATGGGGTGCTCTTCAGAACATCAGTTTGTGGGAGTTTATAACTAGTTTTTCTGAATTAAAAAATGAAGTGGTTGGGGAATGTTGCATGTTTTATTGCCATACAGATGCCTTCATACTTAGAAACATATATAATCCTCTGGGGAGCCACAACTCAACAATAGTAACAAGCTGTACAGTTTAAAGAAAATCACCTTTGAAGAGAAGAAAGAGAAATAGCCGAAACTGCCCTTGCACTCCCAGTGGCCTGCTGTTGGAGGTTGATTTGAGGGCTGGGAAGCTGCGCAGTTGGAAGGACAGGTGTGTCTTCTGCAGTGGCCATGGGGGCTGGAACAAGCAGCCAGCCTCAGGCTGTCCACTGCAGGAGGAAGCTCCCTTTCTCCTCCTGATTCTTTTCAGAGGACACCAGCCTGGCACAGCCTTCCCTCAAGCAACCTGACCCTAGGGTTGTAGGGTATTTGTAACTCTAAGACTTTGGCTAAAAGGGATTTTTTATTTTTGAGACGGAGTGAATTCTAAACCTTACAAGAGATGTGATACTTTCTCTGTTTTGGAAACAGAACACTTCCTTGTCATTAATCCTCATGAAGCTTAGTACAGGGCAGGAAGTGAAACCACCTCAAGAACTCCAGGAGTGTAGTTCTGCCTTGTTTTTTGCTCTCTACCCACCCCCGCATTCTTCAATCATCTTGCTACCTCTAGTGACTGCTGCTGATGGCTCATGTTACTTCATCATTTTGAACATGGATAGACTAACTCTGGATAACTCACTACAGAGGATTTGGAGTGGAAGGCAGGAATTAACATTTATCAGCATTTATTTAATATGCCAGCTGGTTTATGTAATTTTCATTTATTTTTATAGCAATCTTATGAAATTATCTCCATTGTAGAGATAAAGGGATTGAGACTGAGAGAGATACAGTGACTTGCCCAAGATCTCAAGGAGAAAGTTAAGGAATCTGGTTTGGAAGCTAAAATCCAACCCAAAATTTATACTCTCAACTGCAAATTCTGTCTTCCTGCCACCAAAGCAACTTTTACTGCTTTCAAAAGGTTATTTGTCCTCTCTTTCTATATGTATATACTTAGTTTAAAAAGACATAATGGGTAGTTTGCCCTTGCAGAATGAACTCAGAGGTGAGCTTAAAGAGCTTTCAGAAATAATGTTCTACAGCTCACCCTCATCTTATAAATGATGAAAATGAAACATGAATGAGACAGGAAGATTTTTGTTCCAAGCTCTTTGGCTGGTGAATGACAGTCTTCTGACCTCCAACCCAGGGTTTTGCCCGTGATATGGCAATGATTCTTCCAACTCAGGAGAATGAGCCCAAGGCCAGCTGGAACTAATGTTTTTTCAAGACTCAGTAGCCCCTGGTTAGTGTCAAGGAGTCACATTCCCTTTTGGTTAGCATCATTATGAGCAATGTGAATAATCCAACTATGTGATTATAGAGTGAACAAGATGATCAGTTCTGTTTAAATCCGATGCAAGGTATGTTTGAATGGAAAACCAGTGAAATAGAGCCTGTCTTTTGAAAGGATCTCAGAATTCGACATGAGGGACCCTTTTTGGGAGATGAAAAAGCATTCTACAGGAGAGGCTCCTCGGTGCTTTTTGATTGAGTTTGAGTGTCAACAATTTTTCTTGGACCTCCCTGCAAGCCAGCCACTTTCCTTCAACAGCAATAAGCAGAAGGCATTTATCTGAGCCTGATCTTTGCTTTTCACTGGGTGGGAGGTAGAAAAGAAAATGGCTCAAAATACACCTCACTCCTAAAATTGCCCTTTGCTTCTAAGCTACACTCTTAAGAGCAAGATGGATTTGTGAATACAGGAGTCTGAATTTAAGTTGTCTGGCCCTTTCAGGGATCAGTTTTAGAAGCAGTAGGAAGCCTAACATTCTCTCCATCATGGAGAGGCCCCATAAGACTGCAATAATAGGTACTTCTTTACAGAAAAATCGTAGTACCATGATTGAAGTTTGAAGAAGTTTGAAGACTCTACAATTCTAGCAATCAATTATGAGCCACTTATTTTTAGGATGTTATTTTTTAAGATTATAAAGATACACTTTCTCATTAGAGAAATTTAGAAAACTGCAGAAAAGAAAAGAAATCTCTCATCCCACCATGCTGATAATGACTAAGGGTGTTTCCTTCCCTGAATTGGGATGGTGCTGTAGGTATAACTTTGTATCTAGCTTTTTCACTTATTAAATTGTAACCATCTTTACATGTCATTAAATATTCTTTCCTGAGAGTGTTTTTAACTACATAATTTATTTGTGTGAGATTGATTTATAATACAAGGAAAGAAGCTCTTAGTAATGTGAAAGAATATTTCTTGCTAAGGCTTATCTTCTTTTTAAAAATGCATTTGCTATAATGTTGTCATTCAGCTAACTACTTGGTATTTTTTTAAAAGAAACACTCAACTTTTTTTTTTATCTTAACATGTGAGCTATTACCTGATTCTTGACAATGAAGAATAGTTACTAGCTTCTGAAACAATGAACAGAAGAGTATGGAAATAGTATCAAAAGTCTTGGTTAAAATCAAGTGGCAAATAATGTGTTGAGTTTACGTTTCCGTATTTTATTTTGTATATTTACATCTTCAGAGTAAGTAATTTTATTAGCATGAGTTGTAAAATGCAAATTGTAACATTAAGGGAACTCTTTTGAAGTTAGATAGCAGTATAATTTTGAAATTAGAATATATTGCATTCTAAGTGAAAGCAAATTACATGTATCTTAAAACTTTACGTAAACTTATGGAATTTTTAAACATTGTGGAGAAAATTAAATTCTATATATTGTAGTATGCAGTGGAAATTAAGTAGGTTTTTATTTTCTACTCATGGACTTGAATCTACCAGTGATCTTATGCAAAACCAAGGGCAATTGTTGTGCTTTAGCTCAATCCACAAGTCTTAAACTACCACATAGAGATTTTAAATCCCTTATCTATAATACAAAGCAATATTTATTACAGAATTAATTCTGAGAGGCATCATTTATGGTTTCTAATCCATTCTATTTCAGATGCCTTTGAAGTAAAGTGGTGGAGTTTTGCATGTGAGGTTAATTGTCCTATTGTTCATTTATGCAGTCTGGTATTTTAACTACCTCTTTATGTGAATTAATGGACCCAAAATACAGCAAAAATGCTTGACTTGAAAAATTTTACATTTTTTAAAAACCGATTTAAGAGTGTGGTGGGAGAAGAAGTTGGGTGAAATTCAGTGTCCTGCAGTTTGTTGTCTAAGCTCCTTGGGATGACTGACTGATTTTTTTTTTATTTTAAGTTTTTAATTTTAAAATTCTGGTCCCATCAGAAAACAAGTTTTTAAGTGGTTAAAAAACAAAAAAACACTGCAAACAAAAACAACCCCAAGCCAAAACAGACTCTAAAGAATGTATGTTTGCTAGTATACTGTTTTCTGCTGAGCTAGGATTTTTACTGTCACTTTTGTAAATTTTGTAATTTTGGATACCAACTTTGGAGAAAATTTAATTTGTGCTTTTTCTTTTTTATTAGTATATGAAAAATATAGCCAATATTGATTATCCTTATTGAGTAAAGATAACTGTTGTCCCGTGACCACTGAAAACAAAACTTTTATAAATATCTTTTCATTGTACTCTTTGTTAACATTCTCCAGAGATTGCAATTCTAGGTCTTTTTGTTTGAAGGGACAGTTTAACTTTCAAGGACTCCCATGAACTTGTGCGTTCCTCAGATTTAGTGTACTCAAGTATCCCTAATCTGAACATCCAAAATTCAAAATGCTCTAAAAGCTTTTTGAGCACCAACATGATGCTCAAATGAAATGTCCATCGGAGCATTTTGGATTTCCAAATTAGCGGTGCTCAACTGGTATATATTCTGCAAATATTCCAAAATCCAAACAAATCTAAAATCTGAAACATTTCTGGTCCCATATGTTTTGGATAAGGGATATTCAAACTGTTTTTGTGTTGTAATGAAACAAACATTGGTGCTATACTTTGATTTTTTTTCAATCTTTTTAAAACATGGATTTATAATAAAAATATTTTTACTTGGCTGTCATTTGGTTTTTGTCTCAGTTATTTCAGTGGCAAATTGTGGACAATACTAATGCAGAATATTGTTCTAAAGATTAAATAAAACAGTAAATACTTGATAAAGTCCCTGTATGCTATATCTATTGTGTAAATGTTTGATCACAACCCTGTGTTTTTCCCTTTTGTAAATTGTGAAATATAACCTGCAAACAGAAAAGGGCGTCAAATGTACATATACACATTATACACACATAAGTAAACATAAATATACAGCAAATACCCATGTAATCACCATTGAAGTTCAGAAATTACTAGCACCCTGATATTAATTTTTTCACCTATGTATACATCCCTAAATAGTATAGTATAGCTTTGTTTGGTTTTGAACTCTGTGAGTTGCATTATGCAATTTAGAATTGTTATTTTCAGTCTTACTTCTTTTGCTTAACCTTGAGATTCACCCATGCTGTTGCTTATGGTTATAGTCTGTCTTCTTTGCTATCTAGTGTTCTGTGTTGTATGATGATATACCACAGCTGGTTTATGTAATTTTCATTTATTTTTATAGCAATCTTATGAAATTATCTCCATTGTAGAGATAAAGGGGTTGAGTTGTTTATGCATGTAACTGTAGGTGGCCATTTGGACTGTTTCTAGCGTGTGACTTTTATGAACATTCTTGAAGAGCTATACTGGTGCACATAGACTTAACTTCTGTGTACTGTATGTACCTAAGGAGTTGAATAGTTGTGTCATAGGACATGTATATCGTTGACTTCATTGGGATAAATGCCAAATTGGGCAATTTTATTCTATTAAGCTCAATCAACTTTATTGAGATAATGCCAAATTGTTTCCTTCAGTGGTTTCACCATTTTCTGCTTCTGCAAGCTGTGCATGAGCATTCCATGCACCACACTGCTGCCACTAGCTCCTTGCTTTTTAAAGAAGACTCGCCAGCATACACTTCACTTTTCTCAAAGCCCATGAGATCTAGGTATTATTGCCCTTATTTACTTCTCCAAACATTAATCTGGTCTCATCGTTTGCAGAGGTGTTGCTAGAGAAAGAGGCAGTCCCTGGAGTTGTGAGAGAAAGTTGATCATTATCTGAAAGGTAAAATGAGTTACACGGTGGCATGGCATAAGAGTGTGGTCTAGTGTCAGAGTAGGGCCTGCATTCCAGTCCTCCTGATTTGGAAATGAGCTTCTGATTACTCCATTTACTCTGTCTGAGCCTTAATTTCCTCATATCTATTTTTTTGGTGAGGATTAGAGATAATATAAGTAGGCCAGGCACGGTGGCTCACGCCTGTAATCCCTGCACTTTGGGAGGCCGAGGCGGGTCGATCACCTGAGGTCGGGAATTCGAGACCAGCCTGGCCAACATGGTGAAACCCTGTCTCTCCTAAAAATACAAAAATTAGCTGGGCATGGTGGTGTGCGCCTGTAATCCCAGCTACTCGGGAGACTGAGGCAGAAGAATTGCTTGAACCTGGGAGGCGGAGGTTGCAGTGAGCTGAGATTGCACCATTGCACTCCAGCCTGGGCAATAGGAGCAAGACTCTGTGTCAAAAAAAAAAAAAAAAAAAAAAGAGCTAATATAAGTAAAGAATATTGGTAAGGTGGTCGTGGACATCTCACCACATCACATAGTATAGTAGATATTGAAAGGTAGACCAATTGTCATAGGTGAGATGTATGTGGGCATACATGTGACAAAGTGTACATGAGCCTAGGTTATGCTAGCTTGCAGATGACACTTGGTAATGAGGTAGGCACTTACACACTGTTGATCAGGTTGTAAAATGGTCCAACATTCTTGGAAAACAATTGGCAATATATATTCAAAACCTTTAACATTTTTTCCACTTTGGGGAATCTGTTTTATGAAAAACTCAGAAATATAAGTACGGATATATGGACAAGGACATTTAGCATATAGAGTGAAAAGTTAGAAACAATTTTAAGGCCTAGAAATAGAGGATAGTTAAATTTAATTAGATACCATGTAGCCATTAAAATTGGTTTTGGTGATTATTTGATGACATGGAAAATATCCAGTACTTATAGAAGAAAAGCAAGAGACAAATTTTTATATGTGATGTGATCTCCATTTTGTAAAAAGTATGTAGAAAAAAATGACGTGGGGGATCGGATCCCAAAGTATTAATGAGAATAGTTAAGTAATGTTATCATGGGTGTTTTTAATTCTCTTTAATGAAGTAGTTATCCTGGCTGTTCTATCAAGCCCAATCCAAATATTCACTGCACAATAATTTACATATTTTTTAGTTTGGAAAAATTATAACCACCTTCATATATCTATCTCATGATTTCAAATATAGAATGCCACAAACGGCAGTACTTTAGCTACCAAAATAGTAACTGATACTCTAATGTGTGTTTCCCCACTAAGTTTGTGAAACGGACTTACGCTCTGAAATCAGAACTGTGTTCAAATTTTGATTCTACCCCTTACTAGATCTAAGGCCAAAACATGTCATGTCACCTTTCTGAGCCTGTTTCCTTAACTGTAAAACAGAAAGTACATCTCATGGTAGCCTTAAAGATTACGAGGTATATATATTTTTAATTTAAATTTAAATTTTTTTATTTTTTATTTTTTTTTTGAGATGCAGTTTCACTTTTGTTGCCCAGGTTGAAGTGCAATTGCGTGGTCTCAGCTCACTGCAACCTCTGCCTTCCAGGTTCAAGTGATTCTCCTGCCTCAGCCTCCCAAGTAGCTGAGCTTACAGGCACCCACGACCATGCTCAGCTAAGTTTTGTAGTTTTAGTAGAGACAGGGTTTCACCATATTGGTCAGGCTGGTCTCAAACCCCTGACCTCAGGTGATGCACCCACCCCAGCCTCCCAAAGTGCTGGGATTACAGGAGTGAGCCACCGCGCCCGGCCTATGTTTTTATTTTTATTATTTATTTATTTATTTATTTATTTATCTTTTGGGACTGAGTCTTACTCCATCGCTCAGGCTGGAGTGCAGTGGCACGATCTCGGCTCACTGCAGCCTCTGCCTCCTGAGTTCAAGTGATTCTCCCACCTCAGCCTCCCAAGTAGCTGGGATTACAGGTGCACGACACCATATCCAGCTAATTTATTTTTAGTAGAGACAGGGTTTTGTCATGTTGGCCAGGCTGACCTTGAACTCCTGACCTCAAGTGATCTGCCTGTCTCAACCTCCCAAAGTGCTGGGATTACAGGTGTGAGCCACCATGCCTCGCTCAGGAGAGATTTTTTTTTAATGGACATACCACGCACAGTGCATAGCACATCTTTGGTACTCAGTCCAAGGCAGTTATTCCCATGTTGTCTGCCAAGACTTAAAAATACCATTAGTTATACACTGCACCATTGATGTAAAAATATTTTTTCAGGGGGAGAAATGACTGTGTTAAATTTTTAGTTTGTTCCCAAAATGCATTTTGATTTCAGAGATGTTAAAGGAGTTCCTCTTAATTGAGAAATGTTAGTATTAATTTCCAAGTGGGATATTTAGCATCTGTCCTATGCATTATCACCATTCTCTACTCACCTAGTTGACCTGTTAATTTTCTCAGAAATTTTTATCTTATTTCTGTAAAATGACTAGGAACCTATTCCCAATGTGTGTCTCAAACCTGCTTTTTATGGCCTCAGGATCTCTGTCATAACCTGTTTTATGCTTTCACAAACTGAGCCCCTGGGGAGCTGTCTGCACTTTTCAGTGTGATCCAGCTGAATTCCTTCCCTTCCCCACTCAAGCCCTTTGATTTGCCAGGTTTTTGTTCGTCTACCCTAAGGATGAACTGAGATTGCTGAGCATGGCCTCTCTTGTGGTGCAAAGTGAGAATTGTTTTTAATTGAGCAGAAACATGTGGAAGGATCAGGAATATCTCAAGGGATTACAGAAAAATTCCAAATTTGTACTACTTACAGCTTGTGTTTAGAACAGGGTCTGCTGGGAATAAATGTTAGTTAGTGTGGCCTGTGACCTTAAAAACTGTTGACATGGACTTCAGCCAGAAACTAGCCACAGACCTCCTTTGTTAAACTCATTCATAGCTCCTTGAAAACTCTAGTCAGTGAAAGTTGCCAGCTCCAATCTAAGCATAGCCTTTTTTTTTTTTTTCCCATGCTTTGGAAACAGAGGACGCCCCTTAACCAGCAGGCCTTCTTTAATAGGACTACATGGCCTAAACGCAATTGGAATTGACAACTTCCTGGCTTGGGTTT
Source organism: Homo sapiens (assembly GCF_000001405.40). Taxonomy (NCBI): domain Eukaryota; kingdom Metazoa; phylum Chordata; class Mammalia; order Primates; family Hominidae; genus Homo; species Homo sapiens. The sequence continues at coordinate 123,742,132 of NC_000009.12, read as the reverse complement.
GCCAACTGGCAGAGCTGTGAGGCCGAGGGGACAAACAGCGTTGGGGCGCTATGCACTTGTGTTTATGTATGTGCAGAGGAGACTGAACTCTAGAGCATGGTGATACCCTTCGCTCTGAGAGCAACGCTCTGGCCTGAATTGGACACGTCTTTCAAATGTTCTGCTGGAATAGACACATCAGAATTATCCCTCAGTACTTTCTTTTTAAAGGAAAGAAAAGAGAAAATAACTGCCCTTTCTTTTTTGATAGGAATGATCATGGCCTTTCCCCTCTCTGCTCAGAATCCTTGATTTAATCCTCTTTTTGTCAGCGTTGTGCTATGTTGCTCAAATATAAAATGAGAACTTGAAACTCGGATTGGGGAATTATCATTTGTTGAATGACACTCAGCACCCACTCACTCTGGAGCTTTATTTAACAAAGTTTAGTTTCATATCAAGGTGAAGGGATAACCAGGATATCTGTCTATTTTACTCATTGAGGAGACTGAGCAATGAGGAAGTTAAGCAATTTCTTCTCCTTTCCTATCAAAAGAACCCTAAGGAAGGGCCTTAAACAATTATGATGCTGCCTCTGTAAACCAGCATAGTAACTGAGTTAGAAATTAATATTTTCCTTAGTTCTTGTCTTTAATCCAAAAGACTACATTGTCTGAAATACCTGAAATTTTGAAAAATGGATAAATGGATCAGGCTAAAAAGAGGAAGTAGTTATTCTGCTTACAGAGTTTCCTTTGACATTGTTGACATTGATGGTGGGTAGGGAAGCTAGCTTAGTTATGGATTGTCATTCTGAGATATCCGATCATATCCGTTCATATCTCTTTCCACTTTAATCACTTGTAAAATTTTGGTTGTTGGAGTAGAATATTTATTTCCAGGTATGCCGTTGAAATTGTTTTTAACATAAATACTCTAGCAGACTTATCACTTTTAAAAGTTGCTGAGGTTTGGCATGATTTCAGCCAGGCATGTGTGAGGAGAAAAAAGGAATGTCACATTGGCCTAGGAATATGGAAACTTTGAAAGAAGAAATTATATAATTTCCTTGAGAGGGTACAAGAATTTAGATGCCATTGAGAGAACCCTTGAGAGTAGCTGACCCCTAGTAGATTCTACATAAGTACTTATTGAATGAATAAAAGTTGCTGAAATAACTATTTCCTAGTCCTGGTACTTGCCTGTCCATACTCTCTCTCTCTCTCTCTCTCTCTCTCTCTCTCTCTCTCTCTCACTTTCCCTTCCTCAGCATCTTTCTTTACCTTAGAACATTTATTTCTTCCGCAGAAAGTAGGTGATGCCATCATGTTTAATTACCTAACATTCTAAAGCACAGCTTGTAGATTGAGACCTAGATTCAAATTCTGACTTACGAGCCATGTGACAAATCATATAACCTGTCTCATCTGATCCTTGTTTCCCACATCTGTAAAAGAAAGATAATGAGGCCTACTTTGTAAAGTTGTTAACATATGTGTAAATATGTTATATAAGATACCTAATTTAGGAGTTAGCAACAGAGAATTTTTTTTTTCTAAGAAGGAATTTCATATGTTTTTCCACATATGCTTTTTCTCCTGCTCTCTATCAAAGGGAATAATAAGAAAAGGTCTCAAAGACTTTGCTACCTCTACAGATCTCCTTGCTCATTCAGGGAAAGTAGTTACTGGGTAGACCAGCTAAGAGTAATTGAAAGTGTCCCAGACTCTAAATGGGAGATTTATAATAGCCTATGGGAGTTGTTTAATGCTTATCTTCTGTACCTGTGCTCTATACTGAGAGTAGATTAGATAGTTAGAAAATATATTTAGACAGGTTATTAAGAAAACCAGATTTCTATTTTTGCTGCTTTTTTGACAAAAAGATAATCTCAGAACATTAAGCAGCATAGAGAATTGTGGAGAATTATCTGAACTTAAGTTCTGTTTTGCACAGGATTTTTTTTTTATTTCCAACTTTTACGTAGAGGGGCATATGCACAGGACATGCAGGGTTGTTACATAGGTAAACATGTTGCGCAAGATTGCACTGTAAGTGCTCCCCTTCTTAAACACACTTAAAGGTGGTTTTGTAAGAATTAATTCTAAAACTCTCCCCAATGTAAGCTGATACATCCATGTGGTCTTATAACCTCTGTGTACATTATGTGACTCTAACCCTTGGTGTTTTGTGTGAATAGCAAATTATATGAAGCCTTTTTTTTTTTTTTTCTCCTATGTACCAGGGAATTAAGAACACACTCTGGAAAAGGATGAAGAACTCTGGTGTGTAGAAGAGGGAAGAACTTTTTTGTCAGATTTTATTTTACTGGAATATATTCCCTTAAGATTTCATAAGATGAGAGTATGTCATCTTTTTTTCTAAAGATTTTCCCCCTAATGCTACCTCATTTTCTAAACTTTCATTAATAGTTCTTTGCAGCTGAAGCAAATATTTTAGATCTTTCTTGTACTCTCCTCCAGCTGGGAGTGTCTTTCACACATCAAAGGCAGATATGAGCCTCTCATTAAAAGATAGTATGAGTTCATCATCTTAGAAGAGTAGGACCTGAAAACCTGAGATAACTTTCAGCTGCAAGTCATATCTAAGCTGGACTGAGATTTTTCTGTTGGTTACCGCATTTCTTTTCTCAATTCATCACTCCCAGGTGCTCTAAAATCTGACTTTCTCTCTTAGTTTTGTTTATAACTGAAAGTTATCTTTATTCAGAATACAAAGTTAGTTGTAGAGGTTAGGAAAGATAAATATTTTAACACTTATTTTTAATAAGAAAATCAGGACTCTGGAAACTTAGGAAGAAAGCCCGGGGTCTGCTTGTTATTTTCCCTCTCTGTCTTTCTGCACACTTTTTGTGCGAGGCCTTATTAATACCCTCTCACTGCACTGCCTGCTCCAGTGTCTATAAGGTAATTATTTGAAACTCATAAGTCAGCCCTGAAAACTCCACAAATCCTCCTCTTCCTAACTTTTGCTAATGAAAAGCAACCCTGAAATCAGAGTGGTTGAACAGATTTCTTGAGAGTATGGAGAACAATGATTATGTCCTTCAGATTTTATTTTTGAAAAAAAATTCTAGATCCCTATGAAGGCTGGAATGTGACATTCTATCTAAAAGCCACACGAAAGGTTTTTAGCTCCTTTTTTGTGTATATGTACATATGCATGCTTGTGAACAAGTTATTGCAAAATGTTGCAGGTTCCATCGTTTGAGTAATAGCCACATCAAATCCCAATTCTTTTCCATAGTATTTACTTTTCTTACTTTGCTCAATTTCAAGCTCTGTGTTAGTATTTTCTAGCCAAAGGTGAAAGTTGTCCCCAGATAAATATTAGGATGGCCTGCCAGCCAAATCCCAGGCAACCCAGTGAATTACTCTCTTTGATAGTAGACAGGTCCAGTTCAAGTTGCTCTGAATGGCATTTAACTATAAAACAATAGCCTTAACAAAAGTTGCTGGTATCCTTGAAATGGTTTCATACCAGTAGCCAATTCTTTCAGCACTTTAGGATATGAGGCTTGTTCCATCAGAGTGCCAGCTTTTGGAGCTTTACATAGCCAATGAATGGTGAAAGAGGGAAGAGAAAAGTATGTAGATGTATTGAAAATGCATAAAATAAAAAATGAAAAGCAAACAAACAAAAACATCACTACACACACACACACACACACACACACACACACACACACAGAAGCTGTTGACACGGCAGTTTTTCATTCTTTATGGCTCTAGGGACAAGTTTAAATTGGGAAAAATTTTTTTATTCTCTTGTGCTGTGTTGAACAGGAAGGCAATGTTTGATGTAATCTGGCCCAGATGTCAGCAGTGTGCAGCCTTGTGATGATTATTTATCTTCAGGTTTTTATTTTGTAAAAGGAGAATCCACAAACAATTGTTTAGAGTCATAAGCTGTATTTAATGACTGTTTTTGACATTTTGTGTATGCAACGAACAAACATATTAGTTTAAATATGTTTTACATTTAATTTCATTTTAGCTATTATCTTAAAATCCTCTTTAACAAATACTGGTTATGAGTCCCTTGATAGATGTTAACATGTTCAGTGCTTTACATTCAGGATAGCGTTTCTCTTATTTCAATTTCTTACTCTTCTAGGAAGTTTTCTCAGCTAAGACTGTCAAACTAGTGGGCTCTTTTAAATGGTGTTTGAAAGAATTTTCTCATATAAATTTCCCAGAAGGATATCAGTATTTTGGGGTTAGAAAATGGCTTAGAATGTAAGTGGCAAAACTTCAATAACAGCTCCCAAATGGCAGTCCATTTACTCACATTTGAGGGGATTAATTATCTTGGAATTCAGGTGTCTTTGTTTTAACAGTATTGTTTTCAAAATATTTTGAAAGATGAGCATTGCTTATGATTTATACCTGTCTCTTGTCTACCCCCTTTGAAGTGCTGCTGATGGCTGCTAAGACCCCTGGAAAGAGTGGATTTTGAAATTTCATTTTGGGGATGGGAGGAGCGGGGAGTACTTTTGCCACATAATACTCTTTTAAAGATCGAGGAATGTGTACAAAAATCTTAGCTTCTGCTACGTTTTTTCCAAACACAACTAAGCTTTCTCAGTAAATTTAATTTGGACTACTCAGTTGTATAGTGGGTTGCCCTTTAAAAACTGAGTTCAGGCTGGGTGTGGTGGCTCACATCTGTAATCCTAGTGCTTTGGGAGGTCAAGGCAGGAGGATTACCTGAACCCAGGAGTTCGAGAACAGCCTGAGCAACATAATGAGACCCCATGTTTACAAAAAATTAGCCAGGCATGGTAGTGCACACCTGTAGTTCCAGCTACTTGGGAGGCTGAGGAAGGAAGATTGCTTGAGCCCCAGGAGTTCAAGGATGCAGTGAGCTATGATTGCACCACTGCACTCCAGTGTGGGCGACAGAGTGAGACCCTGTCTCTTAAACAAGTACAACAACAACAACCAAAACTGAGTTGAATTAAAGGTTAAATTAAACATTTTAAATATATTCCATATGAGATGCCAATATTAATTCTAACCTAGCACAATAATAATTTTAACCCAGGCAGGATTAACTCCTATTCTCCATTAGCTCACCTCATTGACTTCAATGGAATTTTTGTCTTAAAAAATACCGAATAAATTATATTGACATTTTATAACTTCTAGATCAGTAACCTCACAGCATTGGTAGTTAGTCCATTAAGGTAATCTTCATTGGCATCAGTGTAGGATAGCAGAAAGATGAGTAGTTTTAGGACCTGGATTCAAGTCCTGTATGTACTGCCAATAGGCCCAGTGACATTGGGCAAGACGTCTGACCTGTATCTACCTCATCTGAAAAATGAGGGTTGTCAGTGTCCCTTAAGACTGAGATATTCTGTGATTCAAAAAAATTCAAATCAAAATAATGTTATTAAATTCCAATGAGCTCATTAGGGCTTTATTGCCATAATTCATTTTTTTGACAATTGTTTTCTTATTCCCATGAATGTGTTTGAGATGCATGATCAGAGGGATTACAGAAGTTTTAGTGCAGTCTTGCTAATGCATGGCAGTATTTCTAAAAAAAATGTAATTGTATCTTATTATCAGCATTGTCATCACTTTTAGATAGGACATTAAATATGAGGCCTCATTTATTCCTTAAAATATAGGAACAGTGACTCTATGCTGTTCTCTTACCTTCCCTAACAGCTCTCCTGAGGAAGCTAAGACACAGGGCAAGGGACTTTTTCCTTGTGACATCATAGCATGACCTGGCCTGGAATTCTGATGTAGTAAGGAAAGAACCACTAAGTTGGCAGAGAGACCCTCAATCTAGACTCCGCCCGGAGCCTGTTGGACTCTGACTTTGGGTATGATTCTGGGCTTCTCTCCTTCCAGAAAATGGAAATGATAACATTAGCCCTTCTGAGCTTACAACATAGCTCTTACAGGTCATGTGTTCTCATACACTGACTTGAAGACCTTCTTTTGTTTATTTGTACCTTTAGCCTTGATAAAGACAAAACTGCTATTGGTGTGTATAGTTACTATAAGGATTTTTAGTTCTCATTAGAACTACTTATCCAGCTATGAGTACATTGGTAGAGAAGGTGCAGTCTAACTAGCTAGCTTCAGTGATTTTTCTTTTTTCTTTTTTTGGAGACAGGGCCTTACTCTGTCACCCAGGATGGAGTGCAGTGGCAGTGGCACAATCTCGGCTCACTGCAACCTCTGCCTCCCAGGTTCAAGCAATTCTCCCACCACAGCCTCCCGAGTAGCTGGGACTACAGGTGTACACCATCATGCCCGGCTAATTTTTGTATTTTTGGAAGAGACAGGGTTTCACCATGTTGGCCAGGCTGGTCTTGAACTCCTGACTTCAAGTGATCCACCCATCTTGGCCTCCCAAAGTGCTGGGATTATAGGTGTGAGCCACCACGCCCAGCCAAGCTTCAGTATTTTTTTCTAAAAGGTGACTGTTGTTTTGGGAATTCAGAATTCTTGATTAACAATAAAAACTTTTAAAAAAGGAAACATCTCACCACTTACTGTTTTGTTACTCATGAGAGGACAATTTCTAGAATATCAGGCAAATACTGAGTGTGGTATGTGTCACGGACGACCTGAGGAAATCATGATGCTGGCTTTTTTGACTAGGACTTCAGAGATCATGGGAGCATCGGGAAGTCTCTGCAAGTGAGTGCAGAGAGTGTGAGCTGTGGAGTCAGAGGGGTTTGCATTTGCTTACCAGCTCTTGCCCACTTATGATCTTCTTACCTAACATCTTGCAACTTATTTTTGTCATCTTTGACATTCAGAGATAAGGACTCACCTCAAAGGGTTGCGAGAGAGAGAGAGTGTACAAATTATTCAGCAGAGTGTCTGATATATAGTGGGGACTCCATGAACTCGTTCCTTCCTGGATGAGCTGGTTTAGAACATCTAGAAATGGTCATAGTGGAAATAGGGGTATTTTAATTTTTATCACCTGGTTAATATTGGGAAGTTCACTGAGCCTTTAGATAGATGTGCCCTTTGATATCTTCCTTGATTTTCTTGGGGGGAGAAAAGCTTAGAATATAAACTCAGAAGGTTCAAATCCCATCTCCTCTTTTCCCAGCAACATCTCCATGAGCATCTCCAACTTTTCTGGCTTCTCCTTCTCCATCTACGTAATGAGAGCAATCATAAGTCCTTGGAGGATTGTAGCGAGGATCAAATCATAACGTATGATGCTGCCTGGTAGTAGTAACTGGTTCCTACACAAGTTTTACCTAGTGACAACTTGAAAGCTAACACGGCTTTTTTTAAAAAATAAAAAAAATTATTTTCCCAAGCCCTCTCTTGGGATGTGCTCATGTGAGAGGATGAGGCAGAAACTTGCTGTAATACACACCCATCATATGTCTAGAACCAAGTGCCCTGAACATTCACGTGCATTCTCTCCTCCACTCTTCACAGCAGTCCCGCAGAGGAAGAATTATCCTCGTCTTACAGAAGAGGAAAAGGAACCTTAGAGAATCATTATTAGCTGATATTGTCAGTATTTGAACCTAGCTCTGTTTGACTCTGAAGTCCATGTTCCTCCCATTCTTTTGTCTTGCCCCCATCCCAAACTTGGTGCCTTATTTGACTTAGGCTAAGGAAACGTGTATTGTTATTTGGTGTCTGTAGGTGTCCTATACTCCACTGCAGACACTGAGGATGCAGTGATCCCCGAGACATGCACTTTCCCCACTTTCACATGGCCCAGGATCTGAAGGCAGACATATAATTAAACAATTAGTTGCAATATTGAACTCTGATAAAGAAAGTTAAATTATTATGTAAATGAGTAGTCATCTGTGTATTTTAAACAGGCAATTTCCTCTGAATAGGTGACTTCTGTTGGTTTCAGGGTATCACATAATCTTAAAGTAGTTCTCCTTTTGGGGTGAATGTAACATCCTGTATTTCCATAACTTATCTTGCTAAAATATGAATAAAAACTTAATAATGACTCTGCCTCTACATAAAAAAATAAAAATGTTACCTGGGCTTGGTGGCAGACATCTGTAGTCTCAGCTACTTGGGAGACTGAGGTGGGAGGATCACTTGAGTCCAGGAGTTCGAGGCTACAGTGAACTATGAACTATGTGCCTCTCTGTACTCTAGCCTGGGCAGCAGAGTGAGACTGTCTTGAAAAGAAGCAAACAAGAGGCCTGGCACGGTGGCTCATGCCTGTAATACCAGCACTTTGGGAAGCTGAGGCAGGTGGATTACGAGGTCAGGACTTCGAGACCAGCCTGGCCAACATGGTGAAACCCTGTCTCTGCTAAAAAGTACAAAAAATTAGCTGGTCATGGTGGCATGTGCCTGTAGTCTCAGCTGCTTGGGAGGCTGAGGCAGGAGAATTGCTTGAAACCAGGAGATGGAGGTTGCAGTGAGCCAAGACTGTGCCATTGCACTCCAGCCTGGGCAACAGAGCAAGACTCTGTCTCAAAAAAAAAAAAATAACCAACAAGAATATGATTCTATAAAAAGTAACATTCAGGAATAAAAAAAGGAAGTTCTTAAAAATTAAGAAAGTGAAAGCAAGGCTGGATGTGATGGCTCCTGCCTGTAATCTCAGTGCTTTGGAAGGCCAAGGTGGGAGGATCGCTTGAGGCCAGGAGTTTGAGACCAGCCTGGCCAACATAGTGAGACCCTGTTTCTACTAAAAATAAAAAATATAAAAATTAGCTGGGTGTGGTGGCACATACCTGTAGTCCCAATTACTTAGGAGGCTGAGATGGGAGGATCACTTGAGCCCAGGAGTTTGAGGCTACAGAAACCTATGATCACACCACTGCACTCCAGCCTGGGCAACAGAGTCAGATCCTGTCTTTAAAAAACAAACAAACTGGCCGGGTGCGGTGGCTCACACCTGTAATCCCAGCACTTTGGGAGGCTGAGGCGGGCAGGTCACCTGAGGTTGGGAGTTTGAGACCCGCCTGACCTACATGGAGAAACCCCGTCTCTACTAAAAATACAAAATTAGCCGAGTGTGGTGGCGTGTGCCTATAATCCCAGCTACTTGGGAGGCTGAGTCAGGAGAATTGCTTGAACCCAGGAGGCAGAGGTTGCGGTGAGCCGAGATCGCGCCATTGCACTCCAGCCTGGGCAACAAGAGCAAAACTCCCATCTCAAAACAACAACAATAAACTTAGTAGCCACTCATTTATTGAATGCTTACTATTTGCTTAGTGCTGTCCATGCGCTCTCTCATTTAATCCTCATTAAAAACTCTTTGAGAAAGCACTATGGCCCCCATTATACAGATGAAGAAACCTAGGTTTGGACAGATTAAGTAACTTGCCAAAAGTGATACAGCAAAACCTTGGCAGGATTCTCATTCCAGAGCCTCTATTCCTAACTAAATTCAATCAGATAAGTGTATTACAAGAGTTGCAATGTATTCATTTTTCAAAATTAATAGATTTGGTGAGACTTTTCTATTTTTATTTTTAATTTGTGTACAGTAAAATTTCCTCATTTTGTATAATTTACTGAGTTTTGACAAATATGTAGTCATATATCTGCCACCATAACCACCATACGAGCACTTCTGTCCTCTCCCACTCCAGTTCTCTTGTGTTGCCCCTGTGTGGTCAAACCCTTCTCCTACTCTTAACCCCTCTTCTCCGTCTCTATAGTTTTACCTTTTCCACAGTGTCACAAAAATGTAATCATATGGTATTACCTTTTGGAGACTGTCTTCTTTCACATAGTAAAATGCATTTGAGATCCATCCATGTTGGTGTGTGTATCTGTGATTTATTCCCTTTTATTATTGAGTAGGTATTCCACTGTAGAATGTGTTCATAGTTTGTTTATTCGCTATTGAAGGACATTTAGGTTGTTTGGGGGTTTTATGATTATGAATAAAACTGTTACAAACATTTGCACACAGATTTTGGTGTGAACACAAGTTTTTGTTTCTTTTGGACGAATACCTAAGAGTGGAATTGCTGGGTGTATGTTGCCAAGCGTATGTTCAACTTTGTAAGAAACTGCCTGCTTTCCAAAGTGGTTGTTGTATCATTTTGCATTCCCACAAGCAAGGTGTCAGAGTTCCAGTTGTCCCACGTACTCACAAGCATTTTAGCTATTCTATGTGTGTAGTAGGAGCTATTGTGATTTTTTAATTTGCGTTTTCCTAATAATCAGTGATTGGGGCATATCGTGCTTATTTGTCATTTGTATATCTTCTTTGGTAAAGTATTCAAATCTTTTGCCCATTTAAAAAAATTGATTTGTTTCCTTATTGTTGAGTTTCAAGTGTTCTTTAAGTTTCTTGACATAAATCTTTTTTCAGATATATGATTTGCAAATCACATATTGTCCCAGCCTGTGATTTCTCTTTTTATTCTCTTAACAGTGATTTTCTACAGAACAAATGATTTTAATTTTGATAAAATCATAACACATCAATCTTACCTTTTATGGATCATGTTTTTGGTGTCATATCTAGGAACTCTTTGCCTATCCCAAGGTCACAAAGATTTTCTCCTATCTTTTCTTCTCAAAGTTTTATAGTTTTATGTTTTACCTGTAGGTCTGTGATCCATTTAGAGTTAATTATTTTTAAGGTATAAAGTATAGGTTGAATTTTTTTGTAGATTGTTTTTGTTTTGCATATGAGCATCTAGTTGTTCCAGCACCATTTGTTGAAAAGACCATCTTTTCTCGATTGAGTCATCCTTGTGCCTTCGCAAAAATTAATGGACTACGCAGTGTTTGTGTGGATCTGTTTCTGGACTCTATTCTGTTCCATTGTTCTGCGTATCCATCAGTATTATACTGTCTTGATTGTGGCTTCACAGTAAGTCTTGAAATCAGATAGCATTAATCTTCCAGCTGTGTTTTTCATTAAAAATTTTTTTTTAAATTATACTTTAAGTTCTGGGATACATGTGCAGAACGTGCAGGTTTGTTACATAGGTATACACGTGCCATGGTGGTTTGCTGCACCCATCAACCCGTCATCTACATTAGGTATTTCTCCTAATGCTATTCCTCCCCTAGCTCCCCACCCCCACAACAGACCCCGGTGTGTGATGTTCCCCTCCGTGTCCATGTGTTCTCACTGTTCAACCCCCACTTATGAGTGAAAACATGCAGTGTTTGGTTTTCTGTTTGTGTGTTAGTTTGCCGAGAATGATGGTTTCCAGCTTCATCCATGTCGCTGCAAAGAACATGAACTCATCTTTTTTTTATGGCTGCATAGTATTCCATGGTGTTTATGTGCCACATTTTCTTTATCCAGTCTATCATTCATGGGCATTTGGGTTGGTTCCAAGTCTTTGCTGTTGTGAGCAGTGCCGCAATAAATATATGTGTGCATGTGTCTTTATAGTAGAATGATTTATAATCCTTTGGGTATATAACCAGTAATGGGATTGCTGGGTCAAATGGTATTTCTGGTTCTAGATCCTTGAGGAATCGCCACACTGTCTTCCACAATGGTTGAACTCATTTACACTCCCACCAACAGAGTAAAAGCGTTCCTACTTCTACACATCCTCTCCTGCATCTGTTGTTTCCTGACTTTTTAATGATTGCCATTCTAACTGGGGTGAGATGGTATCTCATTGTCGTTTTGATTTGCATTTCTCTGATGGCCAGTGATGTTGAGCTTTTTTTCATATGTTTGTTGGCTGTATAAATGTCTTCTTTTGAAAAGTGTCTGTTCATATCCTTTGCCCTCTTTTTGATGGGGTTGTTTGTTTTTTTTCTTGTAAATTTAAGTTCTCTATATATTCTGGATATTAGCCCTTTGTCAGATGGATAGATTGCAAAAATTTTCTCCCATTCTGTAGGTTGCCTGTTCACTCTGATGATAGTCTCTTTTGCTGTGCAGAAGCTCTTTAGTTTAATTAGATCCCATTTGCCAATTTTGGCTTTTGTTGCCATTGCTTTTGTTGTTTTAGTCATGAAGTCTTTGCCCATGCCTATGTCCTGAATGGTATTGTCTAGACTTTATTCTAGGATTTTTGTGGTTTTAGGTCTTACATTTAAGTCTTTAATCCATCTCGAGTTAATTTTTGTTTAAGGTGTAAGGAAGGGGTCCAGTTTTAGTTTCCTCATATGGCTAGCCAGTTTTCACAACACCATTTATTAAATAGGGAATCCTTTTCCCATTGCTTGTTTTTCTCAGGTTTTTCAAAGATCAGTTGGTTGTAGATGTGTGGCATGATTTCTAAGGCCTCTGTTCTGTTCCCTTGGTCTATATATCTGTTTTGGTATCAGTACCATGCTGTTTTGGTTACTGCAGCCTTATAGTATAGTTTGAAGTCAGGTAGTGCGATCCCTCCAGCTTTGTTCTTTTTGCTTAGGATTGTCTTGGCTATGCAGGCTCTTTTTTGGTTCCATGTGAAATTTAAAGTAGTTTTTTCTAATTCTGTGAAAAAAGTCAGTGGTAGCTTGATAGGGATAGCATTAAATCTATACATTACTCTGGGCAGTATGGCTATTTTCATGATACTGATTCTTCTATCCATGAGGATGGAATGTTCTTCCATTTGTTTGTGTCCTCTCTTATTTCCTTGAGCAGTGGTTTGTAGTTCTCCTTGAAGAGGTCCTTCACATCCCTTGTAAGTTGTATTCCTAGGTATTTTATTCTCTTTGTAGCAATTGTGAATGGGAGTTCACTCATGATTTGGCTCTCTGTTTGTCCATTATTGGTATATAGGAATGCTTGTTTTTGCATGTGGATTTTGTATCCTGAGACTTTGCTGAAGTTGCTTATCAGCTTAAGGAGATTTTGAGCTGAGACGATGTGATTTTCTAAATATACAATCATGTCATCTGCAAACAGAGATAATTTGATTTCCTCTCTTCCTATTTGAATGCCCTTTATTTCTTTCTTTTGCCTGATTGCCCTGGCCGGAACTTCCAATACTGTGTTGAATAGGAGTGGTGAGGGGGGCATCATTGTCCTTGTGCTGGTTTTCAAAGGGAATGCTTCCAGTTTTTGCCCATTCAGCATGATAGTGGCTGTGGGTTTGTAATAGCTCTTATTATTTTGAGATACATTCCATCAATATCTAGTTTATTGAGTGTTTTTAGCATGTAGGGGGGTTGAATTTGTTGAAGGCCTTTTCTGCATCTGTTAAGATAATCATGTGGATTTTGTCATTGGTTCTGTTTATGTGATGGATTACGTTTATTGATTTGTGTATGTTGAACCAGCCTTGCATCCCAGGGATGAAGCTGACTTGATCGTGGTGGATAAGCTTTTTAATGTGCTGCTGGATTTGGTTTGCCAGTATTTTATTGAGGATTTTCGCATCGATGTTCATCAGCGATATTGGCCTGAAATTTCCTTTTTTTGTTGTGTCTCTGCCAGGTTTTGGTATCAGGATTATGCTGATGTAGCATCTATGTATCTATCAATACTATACTGTCTTAATCGTGGCATCATAGTAATTCTTCAAATCAGATAGCATTAATCTTCCAGCTGTGTTTTTCATTTTTAAAATAGTCTTAGCTATTCTAGTTTCTTTGCTTTTCCACATAAATTTTGCTCTTCTAGTTTCTTGACCTTTAATAGCTATAGAAAATCCCACTGTGATTTGGTTTGACATTGGATTGAATGTATAAAATGACTTGGGTAAAGATGACTGATGCCTGTTTTTTTTTTTTTTTTTTTTTTTTTTTTTTTGGGAGACAGAGTTTTGCAATTGTTGCCCAGGCAGGAGTGCAATGGCACGATCTCGGCTCACTGTAACCTCTGCCTCCTGGGTTCAAGCAGTTCTCCTGCCTCAGCCTCCTGAGTAGCTGGGATTACAGGCATGTGCCACCACGCCTGGCTAATTTTGTATTTTTAGTAGAGACAGGGTTTCTCCATGTTGGTCAGACTAGTCTCTCACTCCTGACCTCAGGTTGTCTGCCCGCCTTGGCCTCCCAAAGTGCTGGGATTACAGGTGTGAGCCACTGCGCCCAGCTGCAAAGATAACCTTTTTACAATATTTGGGTCTTTCAGTCCATGAACATAGTACATCTCTCCATCTACTTAGGGATTCTTTTTTTTTTTTTGAGACAGAGTCTCACTCTGTTGCCCAGGCTGGAGTGCAGTGGTGCGATCTTGGCTCACTGCAAGCTCCGCCTTCTGGGTTCATGCCATTCTCCTGCCTCAGCCTCCCGAGTAACTGGGACTACAGGAGCCTGCCACAATGCCTGGCTAATATTTTGTATTTTTAGTAGAGATGGGGTTTCACTGTGTTAGCCAGGATGGTCTCGATCTCCTGACCTCATGATCTGCCTGCCTCAGCCTCCCAAAGTGCTGGGATTACAGGCATGAGCCACCACGCCTGGCCTATTTAGGGATTCTTTGATTTCTTTCTTTGGTGTTTTGTGGTTTTTGGCATACAGTTCCTACACCTGTATTGTTAGATTTATACCTAAATATTTATTCCCTTTTTTTTTTCTTTCCCTTATTGGTGCTAATATGAATGGTACAGCTAATAATTAAATACTAAGTTTTTATTACTTTCATTCTTGGCTTTCTGAAGGTGTTTTCCTATCATTTAAGGTCTTTAGCAAGTAAAAGATTGTTTCTTGATGTTTGTCCTTTGAGTCATCATCTGTTTATGATTTCACAGCCCTTGCACCATTTTGTAATTATGATGTCAAAGCAAGTAGCTTCAAAGGATACATCTGGAGGATCGGAAAAGTGCTGTTCTCTGGATAGGTGGGTTAGATTTGAGACAGAATCCATGTTTCTTTCCTTGAGTGTCATAGGTGTTTTAGAATTTCTTTTGTTTTGCCTATGAGAATATCATTTAATTTCTTTTACTTCAGAAAATCTAGTTTGAAGTATGGATATTAACTTTTAGCTTGATATAAATGAGGCTCTGTAGTAGGCATTCCAGGAAAAGTGGATGTTTTCTGGCTCTTTTCTCTTAGATGACTAAACAAGAAAACATTTTCTGGGAAAAGAAGAGCAGCTGGTACTCTCATTATATTTCCTTCAGTGGTTCTGTACCATCTCCTGTTCATGTTTTATTGTTGTATACCTTACACACTAGCCAAGTAGAGAGAAGGTATTGTGTTGAATACTTTAATGCTGATCATCCCGTTTAGATCTTGTGACAACTGGGTAAATTACACGTGACAACACTGAGCTTCAGAGTCACCTGACCAAGGTTCTATGACTGCCTGGAGGACATGACTTGAACATAAGCCCTCTACCACAGAGTCCCTGGCCTTTCCCACTCAGCCCCATGACAATAAAATTGGAGAAGACTCTTAGAAGGCAAACTTTTTGGGAGGATAGGATACCTTTGCAAGTCTGCTGAAAGCTCCAGGAACTGTCTCCAAAAAAATGTTTATGTGGGTTTCCTTAAAAAGTTCTATAGACATTATAGGTTTTCACAGAACCCCTTCTGTGGTCTCTGGATCATAGGCTAAAAATCCATATTTAAGATCTTTTCTTCACTTGCTGTTTTTTTCACCATTATTAAGAATTACCCAAGTACTGTATACCTCTTCTATGATACCAGGGAGCAAATTTCACACTACCTATTGTGGGTGCTTGTGTGTGAGCAACTGGTAAAAGCCAGAGGCTCCTCCCTCTATTCTCTTCATTCATTTTTTAATGCTCTGTGCTGTGTACTGGGGATTCAGCTGTGAATAAAGCACTATCCCTGTCCTCAAGGACTTCATGGTCTGGTGCATTTCGGAAATGGTCATTTTTGGAATGGCTAAAGTATGTTCGTGTGATAGGGAGAGGCAGCATGGAGTGTGGTGGAAGAATCTGGATTCATAGTCAGGCTTGGATTCAATGTGAGACACGTTATTATTGAATTATCTGAGGGGCTTTTGTGTCAAGGGAATAATGATGCTAATGCCTACCTTACATCCTTTACAAATGAGAGCTTTTCTTCGTAAAAATGACTTCTTCTGAAAATGAAATACATGTAAAGTCCTGAGAAGAACACTTGTTGCAGACTAGGCCATTAATAAAGGTTGCCCATTATTAAAAATTAACACATTTTATTCAACAAATATTTGAGAGGGAAATCAATGCTGTGAGTCAGGTCCCATTAATAGAGATGGATGTATAAAGTCGTATCATAGTGCAACACAAACTTTGATATTTAAGGTCTGCATTCACTAATGCCCAGTAAGATTTTACTAAAAACTGGTTTAAGTCGTGAGTAGAAATTATATTAGGTTGTGCAGTTTTTCTTACTTACTAAAAGCTGAACGTGTTTTTCTTTTGTTGTTTGTTGTTTACCTGTTAGAATTTAGTTTATAAGGGGCCACGTAGGTATTTCCTCAGGAAGATATCTTCCTCAAGATTTCCATGGCATAATTTGTGACAGAATTAAGTTATGCCACCTTTGAAGTCGGTCACAGCCCGAAAGCACAAGAAGTTGTTTACAAAGGAACCCATCGATTCTCCTTCTTTCTCTGGAAGCATCCGAGCAGTGAGGCCCGTACAGTCTGTTTGGCACAGTGACTGCTCTCAGCTGGCCAGGGGCCCTCCTGCTGCTGGGCAGAGGATGCGCCAGAGCTTTGCTTGCAGCTAAGCAAAGCCTGCCTGCAGTTCTGCTCGTGGTTAACTGCGGCCTTGCAACTGTGTACCACAGCCTACTGGTTTAGTTGCAATCTCTTTTCCTTAATATTTTCCATCTGGCCAACAATGACCTATAAAGACAGACACAAAACAGGGTTTGAATTATAGGGAGTGTGATGCTGAAATGTTTCCAAATCACACTCTAGAACCTGTAGTCCCGGGCAGCTGCCTTTGCATGCGGGACAGAAGGAAACTTTTCTCAAGTTGGTTTGCAAAGCACTGAGTCACATCAAAGACCTGAGCCATTCAGCTTTTAAGTGTTTTAAAAGGCTTCATAAATTCCTTCTCTGTCACTGAATTTTAGCATTTAACTCACAGTTCTGCTACTGATATTGAACATTTTTGAGAAAAATATAATGAGGGTCACAAGAGTGTTTCATATCCAACTTCTAAATTTTTAGCTTTATCTAAAGCTTTAACAATTAGTGAAGCTTGGGCATAATTGGTGTCATTGTGCTCTGAATGGCGTTACAATTGCAGAGATGTTTTACTATAAATTTAGAACTCATTGAAACAGATTTCAAAAATGAGTAAGAGTTGCTTTTGAATTTCTCTTGCTAAGAATTTTCCTGAAGATGCATTTGTTAATGGTTTTGAGCCAGATTGAAATGGTATGCAATAAAGTCATCTCATATTTTTGTATCATTAGAAGCCAATTTAGAATATTTGTCAAAATTAGAATGGAAGTTCAGATTTGGAAAATTTTTTTATCAGCTATCAAAGCACTTGGGGATGATTTGTGTTTTTTACAGCTTGAATCGTTTGAGAATTGCTATTCTTCTTAGTCTTTATTTTCAGAATATCTCTTAGTCTAAGAAAGGCGAGTTGCTTCTCCCTTTTTGGAAGATGACCTGTGCTCAGAGAGGTTATGGTTTGGCTTCTGTGGCACAGCCTTGAAGAGAAAGCTGGGGAGGCCTGGCCAGACATTTTGATGCTCAGACCTCAAGTCCATGCTGCCACCTCCTGTCTGCATCCTAGCTTTCATTTTAAATCAACCAAGCTTTTCTTCAGAAGTCTGCTCAATGACTTTTTTTTTTTTTTTAATTTTATGCTTCTCTGTCCTGTCTTTTATTTCTCTCTTCTCCTCCCCTCTCCTTCCCCTCACTCCAGGTGGTTAACTCTTTGTGCCAAAGTTGAAGTCAGATTTGGCCTGGAGCCAACATTGAGAATTCAGTGTGTCTATTTTTCAGTACCTCTAAAGGTTGAGATTCATGCTGAAGTCTCATTAGGAAATTTAGGTATGTGTGGTTTTAGAAGCTGATTAGATGCTCCACAGATTTGATCTCCTGGATGCTCCCTCCCTTCAGCCTCCCTCAACGAGTTGTGCTTCTTTTCTATTGTGGCTCTCAATTTCCAAGTCTGGGGTTAGGATGAGAAATGCAGGTTAATTAGAGCAACCCAGTTGACTCTAAGAATGGGAGTGAGCACCAAGCATTATGACTACAAAGGTTAGACTAGTTCAGTGTCTTTGAGAAGGGAAGGGAAGAAGGGAGGGAAATTTGGATGTTCTTCTTTAACAAGCTGAGCAGCAAATAAAGATCACACTAGAATATGGTGGGTGTTAGGTATCACCTATTCATTCCTTCAATAAATATTGGTTTAGTCAACATCTACTGCATTATACTATGAACCAAGCAATGTAGTTGACACTGGAGTCAGAGAGATGACATGTCCTTGCAGGAGAGATGGTCAGACTAAAAACCTTGATGTGATAAGGGTATAAAAGCATGAAGCCCTGAGGGAGGTGTATTAGTCTGTTTTCATACTGCTGATAAAGATATACCTGAGACTGGGAAGTAAAAGAGGTTTAATGGATTTACAGTTCTGCGTGGCTGGGGAGGCCTCACAATCATGGCGGAAGGCAAGGGGGAGCAAATCACATCTTACATGGATGGCAGCAAGCAAATAGAGCTGGTGCAGGGAAACTCCCATTTTTAAGGCCATCAGATTTCATGAGACTTATTCATTGTCACGAGAACAGCATGGGAAAGACCACCCCCATGAATAAGTTACCTCCCACAGGGTTGCTCCCATGACACATGGGAACTGTGGGAGTTACAGTTAAAGATGAGATTTGGGTGGGAATGCAGCCAAACCATATCATTCCACCCCAGCCCCTCCCAAATCTCATGTATTCACATTTCAAAACTAATCATGCCTTCCCAACAGTCCCCCAAAGTCTTAACTGATTTCATCATTAACTCGAAAGTCCACAGTCCAAAGTCTCATGTGAGACAAGGCAAGTCCCTTCTGCCTATGAACCTGTAAAATCAAAAGCAAGTTAGTTACTTCCTGGATACACTGGGGGTACAGAAATTGGGTAAATACAGCCATTCTGAATGGGAGAAATTGGCCAAAACAGAGGGGCTGTAGGCCCCATGCAAGTCTACAATCCAGCAGGGCAGTCAAATCCTAAAGTTCCAAAATTATCTCCATTGACTCCGTGTCTCACATCCAGGTCATGCTGATGCAAGAGGTGGGTTCCCATGGTCTTGGGCAGCTCTGCCCCTGTGGCTTTGCAGGGTACAGCCACCCTCCTGGCTGCTTTCATGGGCTGGTATTGAGTATCTTCAGCTTTTTCTAGGCACACAGTGCAAGCTGTCAGTGGATCTGCCATTCTGGGGTCTGGAGGATGGTGGCCCTTTTCTCACAGCTCCACTAGGCAGTGCCTCAGTAGGGACTCTGTGTGGGAGCTCCAACCCACATTTCCCTTCTGCACTGCCCTAGCAGAAGTTCTCCATGAGGGCCCCCACTCCTGCAGCAAACTTCTGCCTGGGCATCCAGGTATTTCCATACATACTCTGAAATCTAGGCAGAGGTTTCCAAACCTCAATTCTTGACTTCTCTGCACCTGCAGGCTTAATACCATGTGGAAGCTGCCAAGGCTTGGGGCTTCCACCCTATGAAGCAACAGCCTGAGCTGTACTTTGGACCCTTGTAGTCACAGCTGGAGTGACTGGGACACAGGTCACCAAGTCCCTAGACTGCACCCAGTAGAGGGACCCAGGGCTCAGCCCATGAAACCATTTTTTCCTCCTAAACCTCCGGGCCTGTGATGGAAGGAGCTGTCGCAAAGGTCTCTGACATGCCTTGGAGACATTTTCCCCATTGTCTTGGTGATTAACGTTCAGCTCCTCGTTTATGCAAATTTCTGCAGCTGGCTTGAATTTCTCCTCAGCAAAATGGGATTTTCTTTTCTATTGTATTGTCAGGCTGCAAATTTTTCAAACTTTTATGTTTTATTTCCCTTTTAAAACTGAATGCCTTTAACAGCACCCAAGTCACCTCTTGAATGCTTTGCTGCTTAGAAATTTCTTCTGCCGGATACCCTAAATCATCTTTCTCAAGTACAAAGTTCCACAAATCTCTAAAGCAGGAGCAAAATGCTGCCAGTCTCTTTGCTAAAACATAACAAGAGTCACTTTTGCTCCAGTTCCCAGCAGGTTCCTCATCTCCTTTTGAGACCACCTCATCCTGGACCTTATTGTTCATATCATGATCAGCATTTTTGTCAAAGCCATTCAACAAGTCTCTAGGAAGTTCCAAACTTTTCCACATTTTCCTGTCTTCTTCTGAGCCCTCCAAACTGTTCCAGTCTCTGCCTGTTACCCAGTTCCAAAGTCACTTCCACATTTTTGGGTATCTTTTCAGCAATGCCCCACTCTACTGGTACCAATTTACTGTATTAGTCTGTTTTCACACTGCTGATAAAGACATACCCAAGAATGGGAAGAAAAAGAGGTTTAATGGACTTACAGTTCCATATGGCTGGGGAGGCCTCACAATCATGGTGGAAGGCAAGAAGGAGTAAGTCATGTCTTACATGGATGGAAGCAGGTAAAGACAGCTGGTACAGGGAAACTCCCATTTTTATAGCCATTAGATCTCATGAGACTGATTCATTATCATCAGAACAGCATGGGAAAGACCTGCCCCCATGATTTGATCACCTCCCACAGGGTTGCTCCCACGACATATGGGAATTGTGGGAGTTAAAATTAAAAATGAGATTTGGGTGGGGACACAGCCAAACCATATCATGAGGTAGCTCACTTTTGTTGGTGGAGATGGGAAATGGGATGAAACCTGAAGAGCAACTAAGAATGTTACCCAGGTGGATGGGGAGGTGGGACAGGAATGGGAGAGAAGGCAGAGCATGATAGGCAGGTTGGACAGCACGGGCAGAGGCCCAGGACCAAGGGAGCACAGTGCTTCTGCAGAGTGGTGGAGCATTCAGTATGCCTGGAGCAGAGGAGAATGGCAGGAAATGAGGCTGGAAGGACCAGAGAGCAAGGACCTCACAGGTCATGTGGTGGCTTTTGGACTTGATCCTGAAGTCAGTGAAGAATGACTTGGAGAATCTTAAGTAAAGGGATGACATAATCAGATTTGTGTGTTAGAAAATCATTTTGGCTCTAGCATAGAGGAACCACTTACAGGTGAAGTGAGAAGTTGTGGGGATCTGCATTGGGGCAGAGAGGGAGGGGAAGAGTGGGTGTGGAGAGTAAGTGAGCAAGCAGGTGAGCTTGCACTCTAAGGCTGAAGACAGTTCTGGGTCAGACACTTGGAGTATCATTTATAATCTGAAAGTTCTGCTTTTCATACCTAATTCCCTAGCATTCTGCTTTTTAAATGATCATGGGATGTTTGATAAATGAATGCATGAATGCCATTTCTTTTAGGTAAAGACTGGTTTACTCTTCTAATTCCATTTTGCCTAAACTAGCCTTGAGTTGTTTGTGTTCCCCAAGTGTTTACTCCCAGCAAGATGGAGGCAGCCCACGCATGCTGGATGGCAGCAGGAAGTCAATCTTGGATTTCAGAAATTGCCATAGATAAGAATCAGCTGCAAATAATCATGGCCCAACCCATAAGAGACAGTGTTGGCAATGATAAAGTTAACTCTGCTAAGATTAGTCTGAAAAGAGTTTGCATGTATTTTGAATAGCCCTGATAGAAGGGTGAACATGTGTCTGTACCAGTTGCTGGGCCTAGTAAAGAGATTGTATTTTGGTGAATGAAAGGATCAGAGGGGCAAATCTCCTGATCCTTTGCTAGGCTGAGCTGGGTCCTCCACTTTGATTACATTTGAAGTCGCAGGCCTATTAATGAGAACACTTTAACTGGTCTCGGACCAATCTTTCTTCCTCTTCTCTTTACCTTTGTTCATTTGGGGCCCCCCTTTTGCCCCCCAGCATGCACAGACCCTCCTCCATTAAAGAATAAGAGCATTTTCCCTCGGAGCCCTGGCTGAGGCAGCTGCCTCTTCTGTCATCCCTCACTCCCGCTGCCCTGTTGTTATCTTCAAGACTTAGCTGGTGGTTGCCAATCTGTTACACCTGCTCTCAGGGGCCCTCCCTGTTTGAATACGTGGTGATGTTGAGCTACATTCAGATGTAGAAGGTTCACTCTTGAAAGAAAAGCTCATGTATTTAATTGCTTATTGTGGCATGGAGGGAACTGGGTAATTGAGTATATTTTCCATTTTCAGTATGGAAATTAAATCAAAGCAAGCCTTTATGATTTGTGGTCGGTACTTAGGCAGCATGGCATGGTGAAAGGAGAGCAGGCTTTGAAGCCACAGACTTGAGTTCAAGTATTGCTATCTTCATTTGCTACAGGTTGAGCATCCCTTATCTGAAAATTCAAAATCCGAAATGTTCTAGAGTTGGAAACTTTTTGAGGGACATGACTCCACAAGTGGGAAATTCCACACCTGACATTATGTGATGGGTTGCCATCAAAATTTAGTCAAAACTTTGTTTCTTGCACAAAATGATTAAAAAATATTCTATAGAAGTACCTTCAGGCTATGTGTTATGAGGTGTATATGAAACATAAATGAATTTGATGTTTAGACTTGGGTCCCATCCTCAGGATTATCTTGCTCTATATATGCAAATACTTCAAAATTAAAAAAAAAAAATCTGAAAACCTTTAACACTTCTGGTCCCAGGCATTTCAGATAAGACAACTCAGTCTGCGATTTAACTGAGCCTGGTATTCACTCTCTTTAAAACGAGGATTAATAATAGCAGCAGAGTCTCAGTCGTTGCAAGGATGATGATTAAACAAGATAATAGATGTCTAAGTGCCAGCTCTGTGTGTGATACCTAGAGAGCACTCCCAGGCGGACAGTTCAGTTCTCTTCGTGATTGTCATCCACGGCAGTGGCAGCCATAATGCAATGGGGAGAGGATAGTCTCAGGTGTCAGAACAGGGTTTGAATCCTGGCTCAGCTGCACATTAGCAGTGTTTGTGATACTGAGCAAGGTACCTCTGAGCCTTAGCTTATCAAATGGGAGTCGTAATTCCTACCTTACAGGGCTACGAAAACTTGGGATAACGTTAACCACTGTGTTAGTCTATTTTCACACTGCCTATAAGGACATACCTGAGACTGGGTAATTTTTAAAGAAAAAGAGGTTTAATGGACTCACAGTTCCTCATGCCTGGGGAGGCCTCACAATCATGGTGGAAGGTCAAAGGCACTTCTTACATGGCGGCAGGCAAGAGAGAGAATGAGAACCAAGCAAAAGGGGTTTCCCCTTATAAAACTGTCAGATCTCGTGAGACTTATTCACTACCACGAGAACAGTATGGGGGAAACTGCCCCTGTGATTCAGTTATCTCCCACCGGGTCCATCCCACAACATGTGGGAATTATGGGAGCTACATTTCAAAATGAGATTTGGGTGAGGACACAGCCAAACCATATTACCACTTGTACAGAGCTTAGCAAGTTGTGGACACTCTGGGTGTAGTCCTTTGTTACTGTTGTCTGGGCTTGCCTTTGAAAAGAACATTGTCCCAACAGAGTCTGTAGTTCCAATGGCAGTTCAGTTTGAGTCCCAAATTTTGATGAGTCTTAATGTTCCTGCAGCCAAGAGAGTCCAGAAGAGAATCGTTCCAGTGTTCTTCTGGACCTGGATCTCATATGAGTAACAAAATGCAAGCATACAATCCTCACTGTGAATCTACAGGAGGCTGTTGTTTCAACTGACTTAAGAAATTTCACTGAGTATGGAAAGGATGTCAGAACTTTAGCCAGAGCTGCAACTATAATCACATTATTTTGCTGCTGCTCAGTGGAGCTAAGAAAGCTTAAGAGTATTACCATCTGGGCAAAGCTAGGCAATGGTGAACTGTGAACTGCTTACCAACTTAACAGAAACTCTTGCTACCTCATTCATTAATTAGGCCTTTATGGCACACCTTCTTTTGGTTGCTTGGCAACCATAATAGCAGTCATTAAATTCTGTCATTTTGTATTAACCCTTTGGCCCTGGGTGGATTGGGAGCCCCCACCTTAACACTAATGCATTTTACATTAGTACGTCTACCTGGGAAATCCCATTCCCTTGACACTTCAGCTATAAAGAGCAAATAGCCAGAGTCCAAAATAGAAAAAGTTCTTTTTTTCTTCACATTAGTGTATGTGCTTTTAAGGCTTTACAAAATGTATCTGTCAGGATGGAGGCCATTTCCCAATTTGCTGACAGACAGACATAACATACACCCAGCAAGATGAAAAGACAGCTAGTTTCCCAGAAAACAGGAGCTGACTGTGACTTCTGTGGGCTTATGGAGGAAGGAGGTGGTGTGAAAACCAGATGGGAGAGTTGTTAAGAGTTGTATGTTTCCAAAATTGCCTTTGTAGCTCCTTTGCAAAAATTTGGACCATGCATGCTGGAGGGATAGGGGGCTATTCCAACTACACACTGTTTAGCATTTCAGCAACTGATTAGAGTGGTAGGGAACAAACTGTGTACTCTGGCAAAGTCTGTGAGGAAATGCAGTGGACACAGGGCAACCTCTGGGAGACTGTCAAGGGCTCCTATGATGCTCTGCCCACTAGGTTACATAAATGTGAACAAGATATAAAAGCCTTACATTAAAATAGGGCTTAGGAATTTAAACTGGAGGTATATCCTCTTTTCTATAATGAGCTAAAATGATTTGAGACTTGTGTAGTATAATTAGAATAATTCCATTTCTCAGAAATATTAATTTTTCTCTTAGTGGAAGAAAACAGGAAGTACGTTAGGTTTTGGCATCAGACAAACCTAGGTTGGAATCCTTACTCTACCCAGTAACTGTGTAATCTTGTACAGTTGCCTTTCTTTTTTATCTCTCTTTCCTTATCTGTAAAGTGGGGATAATCATTCCCCTTCAGAGTATTGTTATAAGGATTAAATGAGTCACATACATTATACGTATCTCCTAGTTAAGGCATGGCCCATGGTATAGACCCCATTCATTCTTTCAACAAACAGGACTGCAGTGGTGATCAAGAACCTCTCCACTCTCATGATTTTACAGTCAAGCTTAGTGTCAGATCCTCTTTGTCCCTCAGTTTACTAATGACGCCCAGAGAGGCTGTCACTTGCCAACTATCTGACCAGATCTGATAGTAGTATCTGGGTTGCCTGGCCACCGGGTCTCTCAAATAAATTTTATATGTAATACTGCTAAGTTTCCTAGGCGCGGTGTGACTATGTATTTACTATTTCTCAGTATATTTTGGGTGGTAACTTTAGAAGGCAAAAGGAAAAGTAAAAAGTAACCACAATTAACTAGTCCAAGTTATTAGTATCAAACTTAAAAACTAGATTAGTCATTTGCACTTAACGGTTCATGTGGTTATAGTAAGGTGGGCCCTGCTAAAAATGTTGGCATTGTTTATTGAGGAGTTTAAATAAAAATTTACTCCCCTTGCCTCTGCCCCGTCAAGCATGTACGTGATACTCACAGCATCTGGGATTTAAAGTGGCTACTGTTTGTTAAAAAAGCAGTAACTTCCCTGAAGGAGTTTTGTGAGTTAGGAGAAGTCACAAAGGCAATTAATTTTGTTCTTCAGAGCAGTACCTCCACTGCATTCGTTTGTACTTTTTGCAAGCTTAAATTATAACCCAGGAGCCAGCCGTACCATGATCCGATTTGATATTTAGTTTTATTTTATTAGTAGTTGTCTTTAATGGATGTCTTGTCATGTAGGTTTCCTGATTATTAGTAATTTAAATTGACTCTGAGAATGAAAGGAAACCACAGGCATGAAACTGATGGACTGTGACTACAGCGGTCTTCCAGCTTTCAAGGCAGCTGTGATGGCTCTGCAGGCTCCCTTGGTTCCCCCCTCCTTCGTCCTTTTAAAGCTTTGAACACTCTTTTAGCTAATGCTGAAAATGAGAGCTTAATACTGTTACTATATGGGAACTTTTAAAAGCAAATGGGCATCCTAAGTGTTCTTTCCTCTTTGAAGGTAAGTGTTATGCATGGGTCTACTCTCTACTTGATCAGATCTAATTTGACCCAGGAGTAGAGATCTGTGAAGATGCTAACTGAAAAACAATGATTGCAGGGAAAATAATTTCCCTTGTTCTTATGCTGTGCCTTTCTACCACTCCCTAGAATTGCTTACAGTATCTTTGTGAAAGGAACAGGTGAAAATTTACTTTTCTTGCCATCTTTTGGTAGTAGCCAAGATCACATGTATCCTAAAAGAGGCTGCTCCCTGGAGTGCTCCAGAGCAGCACAAGTCATGCTGTTAAAGGGCATTTGTTGTGGCTTTAAGATCCAGTGCCTACCCGGGTGTGGTGGCTCATACCTGTAATCCCAGCACTTTGGGAGGCTGAGGTGGGGGGATCGCTTGAGGCCAGGAGTTTGAGACCACCCTGGGCAACATGGCAAAACCCCATCTCTATTAAAAATACAAAAATTAGTTGGGCATGGTGGCGCCGCCTCTCGTCCCAGCTACTCAGTAGGCTGAGTTGAGAGGATCACTGGAGTCAAGGCTGCAGTGAGCGGAGGTTGTACCACCACACTCCATGCTGGGCCATGGGAGTGATATCCTGTCTCAAAAACAAAAAAACAAAAAGCAACAATAAAAAACAGATCCAGTGCCTATAGCATTAATTTCTCTGAGCTCTAGACATATAGTTGATGATCCTGGAGTCTGAGTACTTTAGGTTAGATTTAGTTTAGTTGCTGCTTAACAGCTGCAAACTAGCTCTAGGTAGTTTGCTAAATAACTTTACTCACTCATTCATTAATGAAGCCTGTGTTAAGTGTCTCCTTTGTTCAGTCATTGATGTGGGTGAATGAATGAAGAAAGGAAGTTTTATATGAGTCAGTGAATGAATGAGAGTTGTACTTTCTGTCTTCAGGCAGCTCACAGTCTCTGATAAGATGATCTGACCAAGGCTCTTTTTATGTGAGTGAATTTTAGAACCTCGTGCCAGTGGGATATACTGCCAACCCAGAGTCTATAAATCACAGTTATTTTTTGCAAGAATTGAGTATTCTCATTTGTCTTGCTAATCCAGAAAAGTTAAGTTGTAAACAAAACATTTATTTTTTATTATTATTATTATTTTTTTTGGAGACAGAGTCTCTGTCACCCAGGCTGAAGTGCAGTGGCGCGATCTTGGCTCACTGCAACCTCCACCTCCCAGGTTCAAGCAATTCTCCCTCTCTCAGCCTCCTAAGTAGCTGGGATTACAGGTGCCCGCCACCATGCCTGGCTAATTTTTTTATTTTTTAGTAGAGATGGGGTTTCGCCATGTTGGCCAGGCTGGTCTCGAACTCCTGACCTCAGGTGATTTGCCTGCCTCAGCCTCCCAAAGTGCTGGGATTACAGGCATGAGCCACTGTGCCTGGACGTAAACAAAACATATTTTAGAAGTTACTGAAAAATAATTTTTAAGAAGCCAATGAAACCTGACTGTGGAGAAATATATTCCTAGCAACCAACCTGTGGACTCAGAGAAAGAACCTAGGATGGAATCAATTTTCAATTTGTCTGTTCCCCCACTTCCTCCATTGTTTTATAGTTATGATCATTTAAAGGCACGTGAATGTATGTGAAACTGTGCTGTTTTTCTCATGCTAGAGCACTTCTGGTTCTCTTACAGTAGGGCTGACTCTGAGAGTAGGTTTTTGTTTTTGTTTTTGTATTTTGAGATGAAGTCTCACCCTGTCCCCTAGGCTGGAGTGCAGTGGCATGTTCTTGGCTCACTGCAATCTCTGCCTCCTGGGTTCAAGCAATTCTCCTTCTTCAGCCTCCCTGGTAGCTGGGATTACAGGCATGCACCACCACACCCGGCTAATTTTTGTATTTTTAGTGGAGATGGGGTTTCACCATGTTGGCCAGGCCGGTCTCGAACTCCTGACCTTAAGTGATCCACCCAACTCAGCCTCTCAAAGTGCTGGGATTACAGGTGTGAGCCATTGCACCCGGCCAATGCTGAGAGTTTTTGTCCCTGCAACATGATGGTAGACAAGGTCGCCTGGCAGGAGCTACCTGCACAGACAGCATTCCCCACTGCTGGGGCTGGTATCTGTGGCTGAAACAGGGTTAGCTGCAATGTGAGAGGACGCTAGTCCCAGCCCACCAGAGTGATTTCTTTGGAGTGTTCTGATAAAACTGCCGATCCTTTCTCGAGCATAAAATGCCACTGCTTTGTCTTTCCTTTACTCAATCAATTCTAATATACTTGCTAGGCAAGCATGCTTCTAACTGTACACACTAATTTTTAAGTACTGTTAAAAGTAAATTCCAATTTTTAGATGGCTCTTATAAGGGGCATCATGGCATAATTTGTGATTTTTTTTTAACTCTTCTCTCCATATGTAAAGGTATAGTGGCAAAGTCAGACAGATCTAGAGTCAAATCTCAGCCCCGTCTTTCATAAACTATATGACCTTGGGAAAGATATTTCACCTCTGAATTTCAGTGTTTCTGTTGATGGAATAGTGACAATAATGTTATTAGTAATAATATTCTTATTGTCAAAATTAAATATGATAATGTATCTAAGAATTATCAACATAGTGTGAATTTCAGGAGAGTCTAGTTTTTTTTTTCTAATTGTCTTTATTTTAAAATGTATTCATTGTTATTTACCCCAACTTGTGGAAAACTGTGTAGGTTTCAGTGCCATCATAAGGAGTATGTGGAAAGGTATGATGAAAAGCCCAAAGTCCCGTGGTCCCACTCCTATGAGCAGTTGCTGTGGAGACATGGAAATGCTATTCTGAATTGACCTAACCAGTGGTCCTGTGCTCTAATCTCTGATTCCCAGATGATAACAGATGTCTCTTAAGTGATTCCAGGTGTTCTGAACATAGTGAAATCTCTTATCTGCCACATCCACAGTTACTCCTTAAAGTTCTTTTATATTACCTCTTTAATAGTATTTGAAGGATCGAGATTCCTTGACAGCTGTTGGAACTCTAACTCCCTACTTGAAGGGACTCTGCTTTTAGTCCTCAGGTGATCTCCAGACTTTCATGCTGTACCGTTTGATTTGGGCCCACATGCCAAATAGTTTTAATATGTTCTCCTTTTTTATTAAACAGTTTTTGTCATGTCCAAGAGATTTCCTGCTGGTAGCAGCTATAACTTTTTCTCACCATCAAGGCATTCTCTGCCCCTTGTTAACTCTCGGTCAGGGATTTTCTGCATACTTCTCTTCAAAATATTCTCGTTGGCATCGTATAGGCGGTGAAGTTTTCCCTGACTACCTTAGGAGTTCAGTACTCCCTTTTCCATCATTTAGAGTGTTTTATGCATACTTGTAGTTTCAGACCTTTAAAGGCCCATTTGTACTTTGGGGGACATTCGCCTTTGTCCAACCTGAGCTTTGCTTCTGTAGCAGGAGCTGAGGTATTTAGGTAGAACTTTCTGCCAGATTAAATCTGTTGGAAATATCGAAGGCAGAATGTTGTAGTTACAGAGTTGAACTTGATTTCTAATGCCAGCTCTACATTTTAATATCCTTTTCACCTTGGGCTAGTTACTTAAGTCTTTTCACATTAGCCTGTTTTGTTAATTAATTAATTTCTCTCCTAAACCCAGTTAAAAGAAGCCAACATTTCCACTGTTATAACAGAAGCAGGGAGGAGGAACCAGTGGCTACAGATTTCCATATGTACATCTGGTGCCTGGTCTATGTCATTGTCGTCATGGTGGTGGTAACAACTAATGCTTATGGCATGTTTACTCTGTGCCAGGCACTATTCTAAATGCTCCATATACTTGTCTTTTTAAATCTCCATCACAACCCTGTGAAGTTGGTACTACTGTTATCTCCAGTTTAGAAATGAATGAACAGGAGCACAAAGAGGTTAAATAATTTACCCAAGGGACAGAGCTAGAGTAAGAACACTGGTGATCTGGTTCCAGAGCCCAGACTTCCAAAAGTGTTTAATGAATATGTAAATATGTATTGAATGAATGAATGTGTTGTTGGAAAGTTGAGGTAACTCCTGTCTAAACTTCTGTTTTCTTGATGAAGTAGGTGGTAAGATCAGATACTGAGGGTGAGGAAGAGAGAGTATGAAGATTAAAGATTTGAGTAGATATGGAATAGTCATGTAGGCCAACTAGTGGAAAAGGCTGGACAGTGTTGAAGACTTAGTTGATGTTGTAGATTTTATAAATGTAGAATTCCTAGAGGTATAATATGTTTGTGTGGAATTTTTCCCTAGCTATGCATATTAGCCTAATGGAGGCACAGAGAAGGTAAATAGTTGCATTCATTCAAGAATAAGGCATTTCCATGCATCAGGGATGAAAGGAAAAGAGACACATGCCTTTATGGTCTGGATATGATGGACCATAGAACTGAGCTGGATAAGCCAGTGGTGAAGAAAGGAGAGTCTCATACTTGAGGAAAATGAAGAGACCATTAGTGATAAGGGTTAAGAACAGGTAGAAAAGGAGCCGTAAGATGAATGAACACCAAGGATAAGAAACTAGTTTCAGATTTGGGAAGTCTTAATTAGTGATTTTAGAGGCAGGGCGGGTTTGGTAATGGGAAGGTTAAGGGGAGACTAAAGAATGTGGCTGGGATACAGTAAAGAAGGAGGTCAGAATGATGAGGTCATTGAAGCCCCTGAGAGCCAGGGTGTTGAATGACTGCCCCCATCAACTGTGCACATGGTAGTTATGCTTTAGGTTTGCAGTAGGTAGGATGTCACAGTAGCAGTGGACTTGAAAGACATTGCTTTGTTGAATTTATATATATATATATATATATATATACATATATACATATATATATATATATATTTTTTAATTTATTATTATTTTGAGATGGAGCCTCCTTCTGTCCTCCAGGCTGGAGTGCAGTGGCGTGATCTTGGCTCACTGCAACATCTGCCTCCTGGGTTCAAGCTATTCTCCTGCCTCAGCCTCTCTGAGTAGCTGTGATTATAGGCACCCGCCACCACGCCTGGCTAATTTTTGTATTTTTAGTACAAACAAGGTTTCACCATGTTGGCCAGGCTGGTTTTGAACTCCTGACCTCAGGTGATCCACTCGCCTCAGCCTCCCAAAGTGCTGGGATTACAGGTGTGAGCCACCGCACCTGGCCTCTATATATTTTTTAATTGACAAAAACTGTATATATTTATACTGTGTAGCATGAGGTTTTGATACATGTATATATTGTAGAATAGCTAAATCAAGCTATTTAACTTATCAATATAATGCGTATTTGTTTACTCCTTTTTGTGTAAATATTCTCAAATATACATTACTCATCCAAGATAGATAGGGGAAATACATTAAAAAGATCTCTTCCGGCTGGGCATGGTGGCTCACGCCTGTAATCCCAGCACATTGAGAGGCCGAGGCAGGTGGATCATGTGAGATCAGGGGTTTGAGCCCAGCCTGGCCAACATGGTGAAACCCTGTCTCTACTAAAAATACAAAAATTAGCCTGGCATGGTGGCACACACCTGTAATCCCAGCTACTTGGGAGGCTGAGGCAGCAGAATTGCTTGAAGCCGGGAGATGGAGGTTGCAGTGAGTCAAGATCATGCTACTGCACTCCAGCCTGGGCAACAAGAGTGAACCTCTGTCTCAAAAAAAAAAAAAAAACCTCCAAGATTTTTCATTAAATTATAATCTTTAGGGAGTACAGCTTGTCCCTAACAACATTTAAAAATTATCAGAATTTCTTAAAAAGCTCAAAGCAAATTTGTATGATGCCAGTGTGTGTGTGTGTGTGTGTGTGTGTTTAATGAGGCTTTATAGATGACTCAGCAGCGTAGCTGCACTCAAGTTATCTTTTCTTGGTTGGTGAGTGACTAGAAAGGATTCTCTAGAGTGGTAGCCTTGTTGAACTTAGCCTTCAGAATTCAGCATTCAAACTCCAGTGGGGATTTCCCAGTTGATTGTTGCCTGTAACTAAACAAAAGGCCTTCAAAACTCTTATTACATGGTGTGTTTTTGCAAAATTTTGTTGGTGACATAAAAAGACAAAACAGGACATGCAAAAGCCCTTATATCACAATACCCTAGTATTACCTTTTCTTAGATTTTGTATCTTTAGACGCACACACTTTTTAAATTAGTGAAAAACATTTGTATGTATGCAAGGATTATTTAGAGCTAGGTAAAGATTTGGAAGTGCTTTCGTAGTTCTTAGGTATGTTGGAAATTTGGACGTCATCATGATGTGAGGAAAAGAGTATTAACTTTGAAAGCAGAAAGACCTGGTTCAAATACTAGTTCTACCACTTGCTACCACTTGGCTATTGTGAGAAAGTTATTAAACTTTCCTGAGTGTTGGATTCTTTATCTCTAGTGATAATTCTTAATTCATTGAGTTGTGACTAGGGTAGGTAAATATATGGCACACAGTGGTTGCCGAACCAATATTAACTTTTCCTTTCCAATACCCCTCTTCCCATTATTCAAGTGAATTTTGGATCCTTTGTCTTGAAGAAATCTTGGTTTTCCAAGTTCCTTAGAAATTCCAAATGGAAACTGTCATATATTTTGCAGCTTTCATGAGTGTGGCTAGTTTTTAGGAGAAATTTCAGTAGGGACCATCAGCAGTGCAGTTTACAATGCAGGCACATGATGTCTGCTGAAATTGGCCCCTGCAGACGTTAGGGTGTATAGGTGGGCCATCACTGAGCAGCAGGCCATATAGCAAGGCAGTAGCAAGCTAGGATGCAGGAGGAAGGCAAGATCTACGGAAAACTTAAAGGGACATGGGGAAGTAAGAGATCAGGGGTGGAGGGTAAGAGGCCTCTGACATTGTTCTCTGAGGTCAAGTTCAGACTGTGCCAAAGCAGAATCAGTGCCAAGCCAAGTATAGAGACTCAAGGGGAATTCAGAATGGGGAAAATGAGGCAAGAGAATGTGTTAGAGCAGAGTTGATCCCAGTATAAGAATCAGTGCTTGATCATTACGAGAATTCTATCCAAAAGGCACAAGAACAAAGAACATACCTTCTCACCTAGAAACTGGGGCACTGGTGCTCAGAGGGGGGCCTGGGTCGGGAGTAGGATTGGGAAAGAGAAGTCCTGGGAACAGAGGAGGCCTTAGTTACAGAGTCTGCTAAACTGGCAGGGGATCTGTCTGCTCCATTTAGGCCTTCTTCCTGATAGGGTTGCAGAAATGCTAGCATCTCCACTTTTTAGACATAGAACAGACTTGACCACTTTCAGTCCTGCTGGGTTGTAGAGTGACAGCCCTTGATATGCTGACCAGCTGGCTCAAAGTCGATTCCAGGGGAATGGTAGGCAGCCTACTGATAGCCAAAAAGGGCTGAGGCGGGGGAGTTATCCCAATACTGTAAATGAAATTCAAGTATGTTTAACCCATGGTCATCTATTTAGTGTATCATACATAACAGTAAAGTCAAAGCCAATGACCTCCTGAAGAAATCAAGTGGTGTTTTCTTAAGAGGTTAGAATTCAGTTAAAAGCAAAATTCAAGTCTTAGGTACTGAGAATGCTAAAACAGAAGGCTCCGGTAGTCTTTTCTTTTTTTGTTTTTAAAAATTCCCAATTATGTAATCAATACATGCTCATTGCTCATCCTACTCCCCCTGCCAAACTGAAGGTGCTATAAGAAACTAGAAGAAGAAAAAACCCCACATAACCCTACCATCTGCATGCAACAATGATGACATATTCTTTTATTTTTTATATACTTGTAATATTTTATATGTTGTTACTTAAAATTTATTTTTCTGGTCATGAATATACTTAGACTCTGAAGTAAATGTGCAACATGCTAAAAAACTGAAGAAAATGGCCCCAAATTCCATCTACCCAGAGAATTTAGGCTTCCAAAAATATTGTGCAAGCAATGCATCAATATTTTTCTTGTAAATAGTTAAAATAACATATAAATATGTAATTAATATAGGTATAATGCAGGTTTCCTTTGATCACCTCTCAATTCCAGTCCTCTATCCAGAATAGAACTCTTATACATAATTATTACATATATTCTTTCCTATGCATCTAATTATATAGAATATATGTAAGGTAATGATAAAATAAACACTGGAGAGTCTATTGCCCAACTAAAGAATATGACCATTCGCATTCAAACCACTCCTGTTGGTGGACCACATGGGTTGTTCCCAATTTTTTCTTCTCTTTTTTTTTGTTTTTGCTATAACAAACACTGCTATTATGAAGCCTCAGAGAAGAAATTCTGCAATCTGCTATCACCACATCTCACCCACCTACAACTTCACCCGTATACGCTACCTTCTCCCCTGTTATCATGGGTGCATTTTCCAGATTCCTAGCAAGAACAAAACCATGCATCCATGCACTAGATTCCATCCCCTTTCGTCTACTCAAGACACGATTCCATCAGTTTTCTTCTTCCCATTCTGAATTATTTCCCCCTCTCTACTTGATCTTCCCCTTATTGTGGAAGCATGTAGCTATTTCTCCTATCTTAGTGGATGGGAGTAGGAAAACATCCTCTTGAACTAATACTGTTCTCCCATTAGGTCTCTATTTCCTCTTCCCTTTACAGCAAAATTCCTTTAAAAAGTTGCTGAATTTGTTGTCGTCAGTTCTCCACTGAAGTCATTCCAATCAGGCTTCCACTCCCACCACCCCTCTGAATCTGCTCTTGTCATGGTTATCAGTGACCAAAAATGTGATTAATTCTCAGTTCTCCTCTTTCTTGATCTGTTTGACACAATCACTGCCTTCTCTTTGATATATTTTCCTCATATGACTTCCAGGGAAGGGAACCCTGTTTTCCTGATTTCCTGCTACTTCCTTGGCTTTTCTTTCTGTCTCCTTTGCCAGTTATTCCATACCTCCCCAAAGTGTTAAATGGTGCTCCCTTCCAGGGCTCAGTCCTTGGGCTTCTTTTTTTTTTTTTTCCTTTTTGAGATGGAGTTAACGCTCTTGTTCCCCAGGCTGGAGTGCAATGGCGGGATCTTGGCTCACTGCAACCTCCGCCTCCCAGGTTCAAGTGATTCTCCTGCCTCAGCCTCGCGAGTAGCTGGGATTACAGGCATGCGCCACCATGCCTGGCTAATTTTGTATTTTTAGTAGAGACGAGGTTTCTCGATGTTGATCAGGCTGGTCTCAAACTCCTGATATCAGGTGATCCGCCTGCCTTGGCCTCCCAAAGTGCTGGGATTACAGGCGTGAGCCACCGCGCCCGGCCCTGAGCTTCTTTTCTTTAAATATATTTACTCCCTTCATTGCACCCAGTGTCATGTCATGTCTATTAACACCTTCTGACAACTCCCAGAATTAAATAGCAATCTCAGACATGGACTTTTCCCTTGAACTCCAGCTGCTTACACCTTCTCTTGGCTATCTGATAGGCATTTTTATATAACACATCCAAAATTCAGCTTCTAATTTTTCTCCTCAACTCTATTCTTAGTCTTCCCCATCTCAGTTAAGGGCAGGACAATACTATTTTTTTCCATTTGATAATGCCAAAAACCTTGGAGTTGTTTTTGACCCTTCTCTATTTTTTTTTTTTTTTTTTTTTTTTTTTGAGACGGAGTCTCGCTCTGTCACCCAGACTGGAGGGCAGTGGCGTGATCTCGGCTCACTGCAAGCTCCCCCTCCTGGGTTCACGCCATTCTCCTGCCTCAGCCTCCCGAGTAGCTGGGACGACAGGCGCCCGCCACCACGCCTGGCTAATTTTTTGTATTTTTAGTAGAGACCGGGTTTCGCTGTGTTAGCCAGGATGGTCTCGATTTCCTGACCTCGTGATCCGCCCGTCTCGGCCTCCCAAAGTGCTGGGATTACAGGCGTGAGCCACCGCGCCCAGCCGACCCTTCTCTTTTTTGTCCACATACTCTATATCCAAGCCATCCACAAATTCAGCCATATCTT
The DNA here is from genome assembly GCF_000001405.40 of Homo sapiens. Taxonomy (NCBI): domain Eukaryota; kingdom Metazoa; phylum Chordata; class Mammalia; order Primates; family Hominidae; genus Homo; species Homo sapiens. The sequence continues at coordinate 123,706,426 of NC_000009.12, read as the reverse complement.
ATGTTGAAAAATATCCTGGGAGGCCAAAATGGGCAGATCATGAGGTCAGGAATTTGAGACCAGCCTGGCCAACATAGTGAAACCTCGTCTCTACTAAAAATACAAAAAATTAGCTGGGCATGGTGGCGGACGCCTGTAATCCCAGCTATTTGGAAGGCTGAGGCAGGAGACTAGCTTGAACCAGGGAGGTGGAGGTTGCAGTGAGCCGAGATTGCGCCACTGCAGTCCGCAGTCCGGCCTGGGCTACAGAGCAAGACTCCGTCTCAAAAAAAAAAAAAAAAGAAAAAATATCTAGTATCTGTTGATGTAGCTCCACCTCCACCACTACCACCCTGGTCCAAGCCAACACCATTTCTTGCTGCATTGTTAGAACTGGTTTCCCTGTTTCTAATCTTAACCTCCTAGATGCAGCTTTTCTCATACTGCATTTCTCATCTGATCCCAGAACACAAAACAGAATTTGAATGACACTGTTTTCTCAGTTCTCCCAAGGATGGTACATATTATTTTTGCTGTGTCAATTACTATGGTCTTAATATCTATCTAGTTCTCTACGTCTTCTTTTCTTCTTGGATGTTCTGCTTTTCTTGGTATTGTGCCTTTCCATGTAAATTTTAGATTCAGTAATATTATCAAGTCTCATAAAAACCAGGTTGAAATTTTCACTGAATACAGATAAGTCTGGAATGAATTGACACCTTTATGTTAGTGAGTTTTCCTGCCCAATTCCTGAACATGGTGTCAGTTTATTTAGATTTTATTTTAATATCTTTTAAAAACACTTCAAAATTTCTTCCATAATGGTCCTACATATCTTTGCTTCATTTTTTTCCCCTAAGGACCTATGTTTTTACGGGTTCTATAAATGGCATATATTTTTAATTACATTTTTCTGTTCTCGTGTTGTTTAGAAACTCAATTGATTTCTGAATATTGATCTTTTGCCCAGCTACCTAATTCTAGTAGTTTATTATATATCCTTTTGGATTTCAGATATAAAATTATGTAATTTATAAATAACCACTTTACCTTTTTTCCCCTTTCCTATTCTTTGTACCCTTTATTTCCTTTTCTTGTCCAGCTGTGCTGCTTAATATCTTCAGTACAACGTTGAGCAGAAGTAAAGATAATGAATATACTCTTATTGTTCTTCATTTTAAAGAAAGTATATTAGCATTTCTCCAATAAGTCGTAAATAGATATTCTGTCTTAGATTAAGGAGATTCTTTTTTGCTCTTGTTTTATTTACGTGCCACAAATGAGTATGTCTAATTGTTACTCTTAAACTAATTCACTTATTTGTTCTTGCTGTCTTCACAGTGCTTTGTCTCTCATGTGTTTGTTTGTTTTTTTTTTTTAAATTCATCTTGCGTGGGATTTCAGCAATTCTGGAACAATCTCAACCATTATTTCTTTGACTTTTGATGCTTCTTTTTCTTATTATATCCTTCTGGAAATTTGATTAGAATACATTAGGCTTTTTCACTCTCTTTCATGTTGCTTGTTTTCCTTTTTCAGTTATTTCTTCTTCTTGTCTATTTAGATCCATTATGAATAACGTATCTGGGTTTATCTTCCGGCTCACTAATGCCACTTTTACTCGTGTCTAATCTTTTCATTTTGTGATATTCCATTTGGTTCTTTTATAGATCTGCTTGGCTGTTGGTAGTCTTTTTTTCCCCACCATTGTCAATCATTCCTTTAAAAAATGAGAAACTAAGTTTTTTACATGCATTAAACACTGTTTTATTCTGTTTCTGATTATTTTAGTTGTCCACAAAGCTTTATTTGTAGGAATTGGGGGAGTGGGGCTTGGCTCAATTTGAATCCCTCTAGAGTATATTTATATTTCAACTATGCTTCTGGCTATTACCTAGGAATACTAATAATTTGGGTTCTCTATAAATATGTTTGCCATTTTATGAGACCACGATGGGTGAATTTGGATTGCAACTCCATGTGAAAGCATACTTTTAGTTAGACGTGTCACTGGAGATATTTGCTTGTACCCTGCAACAGCATCAAGAATGAAGAATTTTCTGCTGATAGAATTTAATCAGAATATTTTATCCTTACACTAAAGATGTAGCCCTTGACTACCTAAGTATTAGGCTGTTGTGTACTTAAGAGATTTCTAGGCTTTATCTCCTTTCACCTCTGACCTGTGTCTCCATCATTTTGGGAGCTCAAAGTGTTCATGGTTTGGCAAAGAGCTTCAGGGGTAAAAACTAGCTTTATTGCTTGTTTACTTTTCTGAGTTCCATTTTTTTTTTTCATTTTATTTTTCGGGCCTCTAGAGTGTTTACTTTTTACCAGATTAGCAATATTTTTAAAGATGGTACATGAAAATATATAGTCTGGCATTTAATTGTATCAGTTGGGAGGGTTTTAAAAATATCTAATCTTCCATAGGCCAAAATGGATGAACTAAAGAAATGAAAACATATATAAATATAAAATATATATTTACATACACTAAAATTCACCAATTTTAAGTGTACAATTTAATGAGTTTGACAAATGTATACAGATGTATAACCACTACCATGGTCAAGATACAGAACGTTTCTGTCACTCCCAAAAGTTCTCTGTGCCCCTTTTTAGTCACCCCAACCTCCCCTGGCCCTAGGCAAGCACAAATCTGTTTTCTTTCATTGTCAATTAACTTTATCTTTCCTAGAATTTTATTTAAATGGAAAGGAGTACAATATGTACTCCTTTGTGTCTAGCTTCTTTTGCTCAGCGTAGCATTTTTGAGATTCATTCAAGTTATTTATATATGAGTAGCTTGTTCTTTTTGGTAAGGACTTATTACTGCCATTTTCATTGTTTTCTAGGTCCTTTCTTTCTTCCTCTCTTACTGTTTCCTTTGTGGTTGAGTGATTTTTCTATAGTAGTGTGTTTTGATTCTTTGCTTTTTATTTTTAGTGTATCTATTATAGTTTTTTGCTTTGTAGTTACCATGAAGCATATAAAAAACATAACTATAACAGGTTATTTTAAGCTGATAATAACAACTTAACTTTGATCACATGGAGACCAAAAAACTCTGTAGTTTAACTGTACATCCTCCCCTGACATTTTGAAATTTGATGTCATAATTTACATCTTTTTATAACGTATATCCCTTAACAAATTATCGTAGTTATTTTTTAGGCTGGGTGCAGTGGCTCACACCTGTAATCCTAGGTGGATGGATCACTTGAGTCCAGGAGTTCGAGACCAACCTGGGTAACATAGTGAAACCCCATCTCTACTACAAATACAAAACAAAGAAATTAGCCATGTGTGGTGGTGTGTGCCTGTGGTCCCAGCTACTTGGGTGGCTGAGCCAGGAGAATCACTTGAACCCAGGAGGCAGAAGTTGCAGTGAGCCGAGATCGCGCCACTACACTCCAGCCTGGGCTACAGGGAAAGACTCTGTATCAAAAGAAAAGAAAATCATTGTAGTTATTTTTAAAATAGTTTTGTCTTTTAACCTATATACTTGATATAAGGGACTTACATACCACCATTATGGCATTAGAGTATTATAAATTTGACTGTATACTTACTTTTACTTTCAGATGTTTTATGTTATTTATTAGCATCCTTTTCTTTCAGCTTAAGGAACTCCCTTTGGCACTGCTTGTAAGACAGGTCTGGTGATAGTGAACTCCCTTATCTTTTGTTTGTCTGGAAAAATCTTTCTCTCTCCTTCATTTCTGTAGGACAGATTTGCTGGGTACAGTATTCTTGGTTGACAGTATTTTTCCTTCAGCACTATAAATATATCATCGCAGTCTTTCCTGGCTTATAATGTTTATTCTCAGAAGTTTGCTGCTGGGTGTCTTGGAACTCTCTTATATATTATTTGCTTCTTTTGTCTTGCTGCTTTCAGGATTTTCTCTTTGTCTTTGATCTTTGACAGTTTGATTAGATTCTATCTTGGGGTAGTCTTATTTGAATTGAATCTGATTGGAGGCTTTTGACCTTTCTGTACCTGGATATTTGTATCTTTCTGTAGGTTTGGTATATTTTTTGCTATTATTTATTTAAATAAGCTTTCCTACCTCTTTATCTTTCTCTACCCCTTCTTGAATACCAGCAACTCATACATTTGCTCTTTTGATGCCATTCCGTAAATCTCATAAGCTTTCTTCGTTCCTTTTTTTTCCTTTTTTATCCTCTGATTGTATATTTTCAAATAACCTGTCTTTGACTTCACAGATTTTTTTCCTTCTGCTTAATCAGGTCTGCTATTGATTTTCTCTATTGCGTTTTTATTTATTTATTTATTTTTGTATTTTTCAACTCCTGAAAAATGTTTTTAAAAATTATTTTAGGCTCTGTTAAATTTCTAATTCTGGTCACTTATTATGTTTCTCATTTCATTGAATTGTTTATTGAGCACCTTTAAAATAGCTATTTTGGATTCTCTATCAGGCAGTACATACATCTTTGTCTCTTTATGGTCAGTCACTAGTACCTCATTTTGTCTGTTTAGTGACAACGTGTTTCCCTGATCCTTGTAGTCATGCATTGACCTTCTGTACATTGAAGAAGTAGGTACTTATTCCAGTCTTTGTAAGCTTTTGTGGCTTTGTTTTGGAACCTCCTTCAAAAGTAAGCCTGTTCAGAGTTTCTAGGCAGGTTGTCTGGTCTGGTCCCTAATCCTCAGATTGCTGTAGCTGTGGTAGCTTAGCATGCTAAGCCCATGGCTACCAAGGCTGGTACAGCACTGGGATATACCTGAAGCTCTTGGCTGCTGAGAGCCTGCCTGTTGCTGTGGGTTATTCATAGCCTAAGGCCACTGTAGTCAGCTGGCAGTGATGCAGGCCAGAACTCAAATCTGTGTTATAGGGGCTGCAGGTCTCTGGTGCTGGGGTGGGTCTAGAAGCTCAGTTCACAGGTGTCGGCCTGGAGTTAGAGGCCCTAGAGGTCTGCCTGATGCTGGGTTTTATGGTGGCAGGCTCAGTATTGGGGACCTAGACAAAGTCTTAGACTTATTTCTCTTTCCCCCAGGCAGATGATATCTCTTTCCACTGCCTGAGGTAAGGGGAGGGATGACATGGGTAATGCAAAATTGTCCTTTCTACCCTCTTTGATGTGTCTTTCTTATTATTGTGCTATAACCAGGCACTATGATCTGTTACATGGTTTCTTTAGCTCTTGTGAGGGTATTTTGAACTGTTTAAATTGATGTTTCTGTGTGGGGATAATCCCTGGAGAGTTCATTTCTGCCATTTTGCTCTACCTTCTATCAATTTTTACTTCTGAGTTCATGCTTTTTGTGTTCTGTGAAATCTCTGCATAACTTAAGAGCACAGAGATTTTCCCCTATATTGTCTTATAGACATTTTGTAGGTTTATCTCTTATACTTAGGTCTTCAGTCCATTTCTATAAATTTTTGTATGTAGTGTGAGGTAAGGAAATTGGTATTAAAATTGTAAGTTCAAATTAATAAAACAGAAGCTTTTATAATAGCATCAAAATATGAAATACCAAGGGATACATTGAACAAAATATTTGCCTGACCTGTGCACTGAAAATACAAAACATTGCTGAGATACATTTTTTTAAAAAGATCTAAATAGATATACCAGGCTGATGGATTCAAGGATTCCATGTTGTCAAGATGTTATGATGGTTAATCTTGTGTGTCAGCTTGTCTAGGCTATGGTACCTAATTATTTGGTCAAACACTAGTATAGATGGTACTGTGAAGGTATTTTAAATCTAACTAACATTTATAATCATTGACTTTTAGTAAAGGAGATCACCCTCCATAATGTTGGTGGTCCTCATCCAATCAGTTTAAAGCCTTCAGAGCAGAAACTGAGGTTTTCCAGAGAAGAAGGAATTCTGCTTCAAGACTGTAATTTAAAAATCCTTCCTGAGTTCCCAGCTTGCTGGCCTGCCCTACAAATTTTGGACTCAGGACTGCAACATCAGTTGTTACCTGAGTTTCCAGCCCACTGGCCTGTCCTATAGATTTCAAACTTGCCTCAACCAGTTACTTAACATAAATCTCTTTATACACACACACACGCATGCATACAATAGTCTATTCTGTTTCTCTGGAGGACTGTTACTGATACAGATGTCAGTTCTCCCCAAATTGATCTATAGAGTCAATGCAATAATACCACCAGGCCTTTTTTTCCTTCAGAATTGGGCAAGCTGATTCTAAAATCTGTATGAAGATTTTTGTGGCAAAGAACTTAGGCAAAATAACTTTTTAAAAGAAGAATAAAGTTGGAGGACACATATTACCTGATCTCCAGTTTTATTGTAGAGCTACAGTAATTGAGACATTGTGGTATTGGCACAAGGGTAGACCATACGGATTAGTAGAACAGAATAGAGAATCAACTGATATCTAGATATATTTTTTAGAAAGGTGCCAAGGTAATTCAAAGGGTAGTCTGTTAAAAAATGAAAGGGTAGGGCAGGCATAGTGGCTCACACCTGTAATCCCAGCACTTTGGGAGGCTGAGGTGGGTGGATCACCTGAGGTTGGGAGTTTGAGACCAGCCTGGCCAACATGGCGAAACTCCGTCTCTTCTGAAAATACAAAAATTAGCTGGGTGTGTTGGCACATGCCTGTAATCCCAGCTACTTGGGAGGCTGAGGCAGGAGAATTGCTTGAACCTGGGAGGCAAAGGTTGCAGTAAGCTGAGATCACGCCACTGCACTCCAGCCTGGGTGACAGAGCGAGACTCTGTCTCCAATAAAAAAAAAAAAAAAAAAAAAAAGAAAGAAAGAATGAAAGGGTAGTCTATTAAAAAATGTCGATGGAGCAGTTGGGTATCCGCAGGGAAAAAAAAGGAACTGAGTTTTGGATGAAATCACTTTTTCCAATACAGAAGAAGAAAATAATTATCTTATTATTTCAGAGATGGGCACAGGGAGCCAGGGTGAGGGGGGAACCTGGAAGATGGGGACGGGGTGAGCTTGAGGGAGAGGTCGAAAATAATTACCTTTAATTTCATCATCCAAAGATAGATATTGTGGTGTTTTCTGTTAGATGTTGTCTTATAATATATGTAATATACAGATAACTTAAATGTATATATTTTTAAATTTACATGTTTGAAAACCTTTTTACTGGATTTGCTTTTTACATATTTTTATAACATCACAGCTTTCCATCTGAAGGACATTTGAATGACCATATGATACTAAGTCATGAAGGTGTTCCATATTTTACCTAATGATTCTCAACTGTTGGAATTAATAATAGTGATAGTAATAGCAGCTGCCATTTATTGATTACTTTCTACCTGGAAACTATGCTAAGCAGGTTTTATGAATTGTATTATTTAATCCTTATGACAGCTCTTTAGTTGGCTCCATTAAAAAAAAAGTAGGGGGAACCACGGGTTAAGTCACATGCCTGTCTCTAATGTGTGAAGCTTAGATTTATAATTAATTGTCTTTTATTCCAATACCTGAGAAAAATATACTGCCATTCTTTAGGCTTTTTATAGTTTTTTGCCACCGTAAATTCTGAGGCAGATATCTTTGTGTAGAAATTACTGTCTACATTTCAGACATCTGAACTTCTTCTCTTCTGCTAGTCCTTTATATGTTTGATCCATCTTCACTGAATGAAATATTTTCAAAGCCTGTGTAGGTGTGCAACGTAGTACGCAGGGCAAAGCAGTGCACAAACTGCCAAGCTGTTCTTTTGGTTGCCAGTGGCTTGAGCCAAACAGCACCAGACCATGATGGGCATTTCTATAGGAATGCATATCTTCTGGGGAACGAATCTAAGGGATCCGTAGAGCTGACTATTTGGTGGTTAGACTCATGTTGTAAAACGAAGGAGAAACAACTTTAGTAGTCTGTACCCTAGGACATTTTTAAATGAAATTATATAATGTTGGTCCAGTGACTTAACCCTCTGCCTTGGCTTTTCCATCTGAGAGAAGAGCATTAAGTTAGAGCTTTGTCTCCAAGTAAGATGCCCTAAAGAGGTAGTATTGCCTAATGAGCAAAATCATATCTGTTGATGATTTGGATGTCACTAAGGGGGCAGTACTACTACACTTGTGGTATAGCCTTGAAGCTAGAGAGATTTAGGTTCAGATATAGCTCTAAACCATTTATAGCTTACCAAATGATTTCAGACAAATTTCCTGAGCCTTTTTGAGCTCCGGTTTTCTAATTACTTGGAATATAAAACAAGCACACACTGATCTTTAAGCAAGGGATCTCTTCTCACGACTCCTTGGTTTGTTCTTTGGACTTTTCCTCACCTTATTTGGGCTGTGATTTTGTAGAAGAATCAGGGTCCTCTACCCCTCCACAACCCCCATATGATCTAAGGCTTCTTTTCTCTAATGAGCAACTTATTTCTGCTTATTCTGTATGATATGATAAGGATAGAGTTAAATCTTCTCGGTCCTTAACTTCTATTATCTGCAGGTCTGCCTATCTTTTGCATTCTCTTAACCTGTTGTTGACAGCAAAAGTGGCCTAAGTAAGACAGGAGGCCATGTCTAAATTTGTGAAGAGTTGTTTTTAAACAGCCTAAAGGTTGTGTTTATATTTAGAATGTCTTTTCACTTTCATTTCCATGTTAAAGGCTTATGTACCATTAGTGTTAGGGTAAAAACAAAAAAGCACAGCAGCTCTAATAGTCTCTCCAGTACACCTTGTGTCACTCCATGACTACTCCTGGGGTTCCTGGTTTTTCGCATTGAGGCTCCAAGAACCCTGGAAACTCACTGCAGAAGTGGGGGAAGGGGGAGGAAGGAAGGAGGAGGGAGACTGTGAAGTAACTCAGGAATGGAAAACCAAACACCGTATGTTCTCACTGATATGTGGGAGCTAAGCTATGAGGATGCAAAGGCATAAGAATGATACAATGGACTTCGGGGACTTGAGGGGAAGAATGGGACGGGGCAAGAGATAAAAGACTACAAATAGGGTGCAGTGTATACTGCTCGAGTGATGGGTGCACCAAAATCTCACAAATAACCACTAAAGAACTTACTCATGTAACCAAGTACCACCTGTACCCCAATAACTTATGGAAAAATAAAAATAGAATAAAATTCTATAACAACAACAAAAAAGTTGGAGAAAGATAGCTGGTGGGTAGAATAATATGGGAAGTTGTACTTTTAAATTAATTTTGTCTTGTATGACTAAAGACACACTGATTTTTGCCTAGAGAAACCTTTGTTTAAAATGGTTGTTTTTTAATCCAAGAAAAAAGTGGAATATGGAACCTAGGTGGGGATTAAATAAATGTGCATGTGTGCATAATTTTTTCCCTTTTCTCCTGTTAAAATGGCAAGCAAAATATCTGGGGAACAGATATATTCTGCAAGCGGATCTTCACCATGTTAGAATTTGGGGATTACTCTTAATGCAAAAGAAATGCCCCTTTTATGGTTTGTATAGCTCCAAATTGCCGGTTAAATTTAACCGGCACAGTGGCAGGTATTTTGTAAGATGTGGCTGATACGTAGCACCTTACAAAGTTTATTTTGAGTGATCAACAAAGAATACTGGTGAATAGAGACCTTTTTAGTTGTGTTCTTATTTCTTTATTTTCCTATGCCCTGTCCAACTAAGCTGGAGAGGACATGATCAGATCACTATAGTAATTTAGAAAGGAACACGCTCTATCCCTGCCCCTTCGCTGTCTAATGAGTTCATGTAAAAAATATATCAAAAGAAATTCTCATCGCAGAATCCTCACATTTCAAAGGGGAGTATATTTATTATAAGAACTGCTGATTCATTAGGAATGCTTCCTAATTCGCACAGCAGCAGCTGCTTCTGGTTAGAATAAACTCTGTCTCCTCCTTTGTGCCCTGTCTCTCCAAAGGGATGTTAAATTTTGGTTTAAGATTTTCTCTTGCTTTAGCTTTTTCTCTCCCACTCTTCCTCTTTCCCCAGTTGTAATGCTTTATTCTATTCAGTGTTCATAGGATTTGAACAACCTACTGTACCCACTCTCCACCTTTAAAAATGACTTTCCTTAAGATTACAAATGCTAACAAAACTCTTCCGATAATGTGTTTTGTTTGCATTCACAGTGGCAGTGGAGTATATTGTACAGCAGTAAAGAAAAAAGTTGAGACACCTTGTAGTCATGAATTCTAAGTGCAATAATTTAAAGTACAGGAACTGCCATTGTCTGTTAAATGAAACCACTGTATTAACGTATCATAGCATGCTGTTCTAATCACTTTTCTCCAAATACCAGCTTTTGAAAGAAACATGGCTGTATTTTTTTATACAAAATCTGAAATCGTGTAATTGAATGGCTTGGCAGAATAGGTAAATGAATGTAGCAACATGCATTCAAATATGTCTCTTGGGTTTGTAATGAGCTGATTTTGAAGTTCACAGTTGTAAGACTTGCCATTTTATTTCCTGATTTTATACTCCGGACCCAGACAAAGGTGCCAGTTTTTTGGTGTGGGTTTTTTTTTTTTTTTTGTATTAACAGAAAAAGGAAGAAGAAAATTGTTCATAAAAATCAGTTTGCCTTTTTTGGGCATCACTATTGGATTCTGTGTTCCAGTAACCTTTATTCAACTGTCCTTCTATAAAATTATCTTCTAATGTGACCATTTCTACTTAATTTTAGAATTATTAACTGCCTCTGTTAGAGCTGAAAGAAATTCTGTCATGTTGGCCGGGGTTGGTAGTCTGCCACGGGTGTGTGCCCACACTAGTATGAGAGAGAGTTGTTGCCTGTGCATACTTCTCTCATAGCATTAATCTTAGTAATTACACTTGTTGATTTACAAGTCTGAATCCCCCACTAGACACTGAGCTCCTTGAAACTAGAGATTGTATCAGAATCGCCTGTTAGCCCCAGGACCCAGCAAAGGACCTCACAGTCAGTCAATGGTTTATGACCAATGAGCTATAGAATGCTGTATTAGTCAGAGTTCTCTAGAGGGACACACTAATAGGATATATATATATATAAAACTCAATGACATCATATTCTTTAGAATCTATAGTGTTCTTATCTCTAATAGTGTTTTGAAAATTGGTATCCTTGTTAGCTTGAATCCTCCAAGAAGCTGACATCAAGACAGGATTAACAGATTCTGTGTTGAAATAGAATGATTTATAATTTCAATAATATTTAGCGTATGGACTTTTAACAGTAATGTGCTGACAACAATCTTATTTGAATTTCTTTTGAAGTTAAGGCTTATATTCTTAGAGAACTTTTGTTTCTCCATATATATATATATGGAGAGTTATTAAGTATTAACTTACACAATCACAAGGTCTCACAATAGTCTATCTGCAAGCTGAGGAGCAAGGAGAGCCAGTCCGAGTCCCAAAACTGAAGAACTTGGAGTCTGACGTTTGAGGCCAGGAAACAATCCAGCATGAGAGTAAGTTGTAGGCTGGGAGGCTAGGCCAGTCTCTCTCTCCTTTTCATGTTTTTCTGCCTGCTTTATATTCACTGGCAGCTTATTAGATGGTGCCCACCAGATTAAGGGTGGATCTGCCTTCCCCAGCCCACTGATTCAAATGTTAATCTCTTTTGGCAATACCCTCACAGACACACCCAGGATCAATACTTTGTATCCTTCAATTCAATCAAGTTGACACTCAGTATTAACCATCACAACTGGTAAGCCAAATGGGTGTCCGAGTAGATACCAAAGTGTGCAGTAGACAAAAAGATCATCAGCTTTGGAGCTAAAGAGACATCATTTCGAATCCTGGTTAATTAAGAGATTGGGAATTGCTTATGGAATCCAATTGAGATTTTGATGTTTTAGGACAATTCTAGATATTGAAAACAGCGACTGCACTACTATACATTCAGACAAGAGAAACCATGTACTTTTGGTGGGAGATAGGGCAAAAGAGGAAAGGACAGAGTAATATTGGGAGATTGCCATTCAATGGGCACAGAAAGATCTACTTTTGGGTTTGTCAGGATGTCCTTTAGGCTATGCAGATGTGTGACTCTAGGTAAGTCCCTTATATTCTCTCAGCTCATCTTTCTTTTGCTACAAAATGAGAGAGTTAAACAGTTTAGAGCAACTGGCTGATCTCCCACTTTCTTTGCCTCACCTGGTTGGGCTTGATGACACAGAGCTTGGGTTTTACCTTTTCTTTTCAAGGAGCAAACCCTTGGCACCACTCATGGTATTACGGCCAGACCTCTGGGATGGGCATGATTTCTTAGCTAGGAGAGAGCTTGGTATAATAAGGAGGTTCTCAACCCCAGCATACATAGACAGACTTGGTTTATTTCACTCACTTGTGAGATGTTTCACAAATAATTTGTTAGTGTTAAATAATATAGCTAGGCCAGGTGCAGTGGCTCACGCCTGTAATTGCAGCACTTTGGGAGGCCAAGGCAGGCATATCACAAGGTCAAGAGATCGAGACCATCCTGGCCAACATGATGAAACCCTGTCTCTACTAAAAAAAAAAAAATACAAAATTTAGCCGGGTGCGGTGGCACACGCCTGAAGTCCCAGCTACTCGGGAGGCTAAGGCAGGAGGATTGCTGGAACCTGGGAGGCAGATGTTGCAGTGAGCTGAGATTGTGCCACTGCACTCCCGCCTGGTGAAAGAGAGAGATTCTGTCTCAAAATAATAATAATAATAATAATAATAATAATAATAATAATATAGCTAATGAAACTTGTGGATGATATACTGTTTTAATACATTAGGTGGACTGAAGACATTCCTATACTACCCTTCACTTGAGGTGGAGTGGCAGCTAGCACCATGGGGTTGTGATACATGGGCATGTCCATGGAACTCTATTGCCATGAAAACTTGTCCTTCATTGGTCAGCAGTCAGGGAAAAAAGCTAAAATATACAGTGTAGCTTAAAAGATCATGATAGAAGCCAGACTTAAAAGGCTATGTACTGTATTATTCCATTTCTATGATGTTCTGAAAAAAAAAGCGAAATTATAGGAATAGGAAAGAGATCAGTGGTTGCCAGGGCTGAGATTTGGGGAGGCAAGGTTGGCCACAAAGGAGCAACACAAGCAGGCTGGATGGGGTGTGATGGAAGTGTTCTATATCTTGATTGTCTGTGGTTGTTACACCGATGTGGGCATTTGTCAAAAGAGTGACTTTTACTGCATGTTTAAAAGAAGTGAATTTTTAAAAGAGAGATGGTGGGAAGGACAGGTGGAAAACAGATGATCTCAGTGCTGTGTGCTAAGAGCTATGACACATAAATAGACAGTGAGGGAGATTCTGTTGGATGGTGCACAAGCAAACATTTAGGGGTCCTGGAAATGTTGTATGGATTCATTGCGGGTGGTGGTTACATAGCTGTATCCAGTTGCCAAAATTCATCTATATATACACATAGAATGGGTGGAGTTTATTTGATATAAATTAAAATTCAAAGTTGATTTTTAAAAAAGAAAAAGGATCATGAGCTTTGGAACCAGAGACCATACTTCAAATCTTGACCATTTCTTTACTTGCTTGGTGATCTTGAGCAAGTCACTTCATGTCTCTGAGCCTCAGTTTCTTCATCTCTACATTATAGCTAAAAATACCCATCTCACATAGTTGAGGTGAGGAATAGAAATAATGCCTGATGGAGCTAAGGTACCAGATATTTTCATTTTCATCCCCAAAATGGCCCAGAGCACAGAACTGGTCTTTAAATTAACTGAAGCTGCCCTATTTTAGAGTCATAATAAAAGTTAAGTTCAAACATTTGTGAAAGGTAAAAATGTTACCATCCATATGTTTGTTTAATAGTAGCTCTTAGAATCTTATTAGCTTTGCTATCTTTTATATCACTATAGCATGCTAAATCTTCTAGGGTTAAGTCATATTTAATTAGTTAACTAAGAATAATATACGCTGTTCCTTCAGTCAGGAAAGCACAGGGAATTACTTATAGTGTTAGCTCGGAAAGAGTCATTCATTGAGGAATGATTGAAAAAGTACTAGTGACCCATTTATAATCCCCATCTTTTTTTAATTTGCTTTCATTCTGTCTTTGAAATGAAATCTTTATCTTGGGTTAGGGGAATAAATATTAATTTTAGAAATCCCTATTGGCCCAGCCCACTCTTTTGTGATTGACGCAATCTTAAAAGTAATTGGAAAGAACATCTGTGTGCTTGTGGCACTCAACATTTTAAAATCATTCAAAATGTGGTTGAGAACCATTCTTTCTCCTAAGAGAGTAGACATCTACCTAACAGTCATAACAGAAGCTACCTATTTTTGAGTCTCTGGTTTGTTTTGTGAACTGTGATAGGTACTTTGTGTTATTTTGCTTAATTTGTTCCATACCACCACTTTGTTAGGTAAACAGGAAGTGTTGCCCTTTTGCAGAGGAAAGTAGCCTTGGAGAGACGAAGGAACAGCTCTTGGGGGAGCCTGCTTGTCAATGGGAGGACCGCACCTGCTGCTCTGGATGGTCCAGCTCCCCTCCTCTCCTGCCATGTCTCACAATGGACACTGCTTCTGAAGGAAGCAGGCAACCCTCTGCCTAACAAATTCAGGTCAATCTTCTACATGACAGGAGCTCCTTTGTTAGCTCTCTTCTCCCAGAGTCAAATCTGTTTTTAAAATTTTATTCAGTAAGTAAAAGAGCACTGACGGAGGCCCTCATTTTTGGAACCTCCTTCTTCCTTGAGGACTTTCACCAGCCACATTGGTCTTAAAATTGTTGAGTTTATCTGATTCCAGACTATCCTCCTTCTAAAGCAGTCTTTTTACAAAGACAAAACCCATCAGATCTGTCCACTGCTTGAAACCCTTCTTTGATTTCAGGAAAAGAGTTAAACTCCATGGTCCAGCATGTAAATTTCTTACAAGCTGGGCTCTTTGGACTGCTCTAGTTTCATCTCTACTATTGCCAAAGATCCTCTCTCCACCCATCCCCACCCTCCAAAAAAAAAAAAAAATCACACAAAGAGACACCCCGCTCTACCCTTACTCTGGGATCCAGTAACCCCGAGCCATTTGTAATTCTTTGTTTCTTTGCCTCTGTAATTTTTGGTTTCCTCCAGACAGAATGTGCTTCTGTTTCATCCAGTTCGCCTTCCTCACTTAGCTGATACTACAGTCTAGTGGAGATGCCCTTCCTTGGTGCTGCCACAGCCCTTTGCCCACCTGTGTTGCAGCATCATCACGTAGCATTGTGATCCATCCTTTGCAGGTCTCTTCCCCAAGAGACTTAATAGTTCCTTGAGGACAGACAGCACTGTGTCTTGTTCATTGATTTATCCTAGCTGTCTAGGACAGGGCTGGCACACATTTATGCTTACTAAATGTTTGTATGAATGATCCAGCCTTGCAGATTTGGCCTGAAAATCTAACAGGGAAAAAATAGCTTCTGACCCCCCCATTTATTCCCTCTCAACTAAGAGTGACCTTAGATAAGGGAGGGTTGCTGTCTTCCTGAGCCTGCCAGGGTTTATTGAGGCTGACTGTACCCACATTAAGGAAAGGTCACTGAAAACCTTATTAGCACACCATCCTTGCCCTGAACTGAGATCCATGATAAGCATGGCACAGGAGGAAGAGCATGAGGCTCTCGTGTGACCAGTTTGTTAGAGAGTACAAACTTCCGCTTCATCCAGAAAGCCCATTTTGGAACTGGGTCATCACAGTTACTAAGCTCACTCACAGAAGCAGGAGGGCTGTTGCATCTTCATTCTATTCTCTCTGACCAATCCACCTCCCTAGCCCTTCGGCAAGACCACTTGGAAGTTGGTAGCCAGCGGGGAATCATACCTGTGGCTGTTTGTTTGTTTTTTAAAGAAAGAAAAGGAGGGGGGATATTTTGTTAACAGTTAATAAAATAATACATGTAGACTGTAGAAAGTTTGGAGAATATAGGAAAACACAAAAACTAAAATGAAAAAATCCTTCGTATATATTATAGAGCCTGCTTTTATATCTAAATATATTGTAAATGTTTTTCCATGTTAAGTATTCTTCTATAGTCTGATTTTAATGAATATATAATATTCCATCATTTTGATAGTTCATAATATATTGTAATCATTCTATTATTATACATTTAGGTTGCTTTCAAGTATTTTCAATTATGAATAACAGTACTTAACAGGCAACTTTTTTTTCTTAAATTTTAAGGCACTGCATGCTCAATACATAAGCTGTAGAAGACACAGAAAAGAATGCAGAAGAAAAAGATTTTCTACAATCCCATAATCTAGAAAAACCACTATTAGTTTGTCTTTTCTTCTGGTCTTTCTAGGAGCATATATGATGGCATGTGACACATAGTGGTGTATACCCCTTGTTTTCCCTCCTCCTTCCTCCCTCCCTCCCTCCCTCCTTTCCTTCTTCCCCCCTCCCTCCTTTTTCTTCCTCCCTCCCTCCCTCCCTCCCTCCTTTCCTTCTTCCCTCCCTCCCTCCCTCCCTCCTTTCCTTCTTCCCTCCTTTTCTTCCCTCCCTCCTTCCCTCCTTTCCCTTTCCCTTTTCTTTTTTGGTACAGACTCTTGCTGTGTCACTCAGGCTGGAGTACAGTGGCGCGATCTTGGCTCACTGGAACCTCCAACTCTTGGACTCAAGCCATCTTCCCACCTCAGCCTCCTGAGTAGCTGAGGCATACAGGATTACAGTGACTACAGGCAGGCGCCACCACACCCAGCTAACTTTTGTATTTTTTTGTAGAGACAGGGTTTCCCCATGTTGCCCAGGCTGGTCTTGAATTCCTGGGCTCAAGTGACCCACCCGCCTTGGCTTCTGAAAGTGCTGGGTTTATAGGCGTGAGCCACCACACCTGGCCATTCTTTTCAACCACTATTATTTTATGGACATTTTCCCATATGATTAAAAATAATCTAAAATATAATTTTCTGTTGCCTGGATTTGCTGTAATCTCTCTAGCCATTCTCTTAGCACATGTTTAGAGAAGTGTGTGTGTGCATGTGTGTGTTGTGCTGTTATAAGTAATAAAAGAACTATCATTTAAAATATATTACCAAAAAAATTGTCACAATATTTAAGGCCGGTAAAAACATAGTAAAAATGATTCATGCGTACATTTTTCTGCCCTTCGTTTTAATTTTCTACTTTTTGTAGTAACTCATTAAAAGGCAACTTTCCTGCATTCATTCAATCCTATATGAGTTTATGAATTTACATCAGAGGCCAGGTGCAGTGGCTCACACCTTTAATCTCAGTACTTTGGGAGGCCAAGGCAGGTGGATCACTTGAGGTCAAAAGTTCGAGACCAGCCTGGCCAATATGATGAAACCCCGTCTTTACTAAAAATACACAATTTAGCCGGGCATGGTGGCATGCACCTGTAATCCCAGCTACTTGGGAGGCTGAGGTGGGAGGATCGCTTGAAGCTGGAAGGTGGAGGTTGCAGTGAGCCGAGATCACGCCACTGCACTCCAGCCTAGGCAACAGAGCAAGACTCTGTCTCGGAAAAAACAAAAAAGAATTTACATCAGAGAAACATATTTCTGCCAGGAGGTTTGCTGACTGAGCATCTTTTCTCTAAAATTTAGTTTTTAGGGTTTCTGTTTTGAAAATTATAAATACAGCCTTAATTTGAGGGAGTTTTTTTAACAACAAATTAGGGTTTTGTAACATTATGGACTGCTTTTCATGGCTTATAATAAAGCAGTGCCATCTGTACAAAGGTTATTTTAAAAATCGGGAGTGGCTGAGGGTAAGAATTCCATCAGGGTCTCAACAGAGAGTGACCAGTGGCATTTTATGTTGTAGCTTTGGGTGCCTTGTCGTGGATTCCCAGCTCTTCAGCCTCCTCGTGTTTGGGGCCCTCTGTTCTGTTGAAAGGTTCATTTGAGAAACCTGCCTATTTCATGCTGTGGCTGCTGTGTGATTTGGGTACAGAAGGAATGCGCATCATACCTCTTTTCAGGGCGGCCCAACCATTACTTACCACATTTTCCAAGCTCTGCGCCTGTTGCCTCTATCAGATCATTCCTAATGCCATGATGACTTCTCGCACAAATCTAAACCAGGGACCAACTTTAGTGGAAGTTATGCCATATTCCACTCTCTACTCAGTGCCTGACTTATATATATTAGGCAATGAATGAGTGAATGAATGCTGTCTATAACACAAATGAGCTTAATTATTATCTCATTTTGACAACAGCTAATCAAATGTAAAGTATAATCACTGTGTAACATACACTTTACTGAAACCATTCCCAGGGATTTTTTTCCAGAAAAGTACTTACTAGTATAGGAAGTCACACAGAACTGGATTCGACCCTCATCTACTTTGTGGCTGTGTGACTGTGAGCAAGTTAGCTTTTCTGGGTGTCAGTTTTGCCATTCGGTATCTGGGGATATGATGGTACCCTATCTAGAATTACAATGAGTAAATAAGCAAAGGCATGTAATGCTCCTGGCATTTGGTAAATTCCTGAATAAATGGTCTCCACTACTATTAAAATATTTACCACTCTACTTCTAATACTTTGATCGGTTTGGTGCACAGCAGTCAATGTGCTTGCACCTAGGTGGATCTTGTAGTTGTAGTTGAATAGATTCAGTCCTCTTCAGGATTGCTGGGCTTCCATGTAATTAATTGTGTACAAATAATTTTGCTTCCCTCAGCCTGACCCAGGTCTGCTGCAAAATTAGATAGCCGTGAAGCTTTTCCACAGAATAGGAGAATCTGGTGGGCCAGACAGAATCCCATGGCAGAGTGAAGCAAGAAGAAGGGCTGCTTGCCTTGCACAAATTCTTGCTTTACTCTCTCTAAAAACCCCTCGGTTTCATTTTCAGAAACATTTTGGGAAAAACTTCTCAGTGAAAGAGTTGCTTCGTCACTAAAGGTAACTTGAGAGCAGACCAGTTTCCCGTCTGTCTTTGTTGCCAGCTCTCTAGTTGAAAGGTTCTGCTTTGTACCCGAAGGAGGCTTTGAACATCAGCTGTCTGGAACAATCTCTGGCCTTATCGCTTATTTTAATGTTCCTTGCACAGGGTCATTCTTGGATGTGGTGCTCTGGGCAATCTCACCCCAGAATGCTTCCCTTCCTTTATTTAACCTCTGACCTGTGGAAACAAGAGTTAATCAAGAGTTCTAAGGTAGCTAAGAGGAAGGGGAAGTGTTTGGTTACAAATTAAATATGAACAAGTCATAAGTCATAAATCCCCAGTAGTGCCACCAGTTGTGTGTCTCAAGTTGCATATGGTACAGAGTGTTTGGGTTATAAATTCAAGTTCAGAGCTCTCTGATCGCTGGGGGGGTAGGTGCGAGGTTCATTTTATTTTGGGCTAAAACTCTGCCTCCTAAAACATTACTTTTATTGGACTAGCTTCATTCATATCCTACTTTCTCTGTGTGCCCGTCTCTCCTTCTTCCTTTCTTTACCTGCCTGCCTGCTTGTGTTGATTGGTGTGCTGTTCTGTGAATTGAGACAGAACTGCTTCCCTGAAAGAAGTTAAGCATATGGAAAAAGTTGCCAAGGAAAGGCATTGAAGCATAGAGCGTAAATGGGTTTAAGAGACAGCCAGACACTTTTATAGAGAGATTTGCGATTGAATGATATAACATTCAAGCAGAGATCTGGGGTGGAAATGAACTTAAATGAGTACTATTTGTGGAAAGCTGATGCCCTGTCTAATCTAGCATTTCCTTAATTGTCACCATAAGCATACATTTAAAGCTTTATACTTTAAATTAAAAAAGGCAACACAGTCTGTTTAAGAATCTAAGACATAGGCCATAGTTTTTCTAGAAAAAGTTCTTAAAAATATGCATTTAGGGTATAGCAGAGGCACTGGGTCTTGACACGAAACACTGGAAACTTAAAATACTCTTCTGCTGTGTTTGATTAAAACATTTTAAATTGAGCTATTTATATTTGTGTTTCTGAATATAACATGTACACTAATTCCTGAAGCAATAAAGAGCTGACACATGACTAGTGTCCCTGGAGCTGGCAAAGTAAGAAAACACGCTGAATTGTTGGGAGGCAGCCAGAGTTAGATTGCTCAGAACACTTGGAGCCGAGGGGCTTTTGGAGGCAAGCTTTCCTTTATCTTATCAAGCACTACAGTGAGAACCACAAGGTAAGGATTTTATATCCTAATCTCAGGATTTATCATTGTACGTGATCATACTACTATTGTACTGTTTAGAGCAGGTCAGACTGAGAAATCATGCTGGACTGGTTTTGTGTCTGATCTGTGGTTTTAGTAGCTGTGTCATCTTAGGGAAATTACTTCATTTCTCTACGACTCAATTTTCTCATCTGTAAAATGGGATAATTCATCTCACAGAGTTATGAAGAGTAATATTTCAAAGCACCTAACACTTGATACCTAGTTTCCCCCCTTACTGCATTAGCTTCTACTCTCTAGCCCTAAAATGAGGTTAATATCAAATGGCATCTGACTGGGATCATTGATTTTTTTGTTTATTACTGCAAGTAGGACACGGATCCTCATGTAGCCATTTCTTCCTTTTGTTGTGTTTTTTTTTTTTCTAGTAGAGACAGTGTATTTCCTAGGCTATGAAAGCTCCAGTAGGGTGGGCCTTAGTTAGAACCTCACTAACCCATTACATTATATTACAGTAGTAATTTAAACCATAAAATAAGATACTCTGAATGGGGAAAGTCTTGCAGGTGTGTGAATACAGGAGTAGGCAGCATCATAAACTCTCCTAGGAAAATGATGAAAGGCCTATGTGCTCACCCTGCCTGGGCTCAATGGAAAATATTGAGAATTACACTGAATTGTCAGTGCAGGTGCCATTATTCCAAAGATCTCATGTTACCAACACTTCACCGGTGATAACAGAAAAGTGCCTCTGTGCTTTCCTCCTGAGCAATCTCCTTCAATCAAAGTAATACTCTCATAGAAATAAGATGACAAAGCCACTCTCTAAAAGCAACAATTATTGAATGCCCATCAAGAAAGAAAAGAGCCTTGTTTCCAAAATCAAATCCAAGTGTATGTTTGGGTAGATTTATATAAGCACAGATGTTTTATGGGAGTTTTTGGTGTTTCTTCATAATGCAAATTAATATTTCTACTCATTCAGTACATATATTTTCCTGCATAGATATAATAGGTATCACAATGGGACATTAATTATGGACATAAATCAGAGATTCTTGAGCTTAACTAAATATCGTAATCAATTTACAGTTTGAGATTAGCAGCTGTGAGCAAAGCAGAATGCCCAGACTGGGTGAGACTGGCTTAGAGCTCCCAAAGAGGATTGTGTTTTTCTCTTATTGAGGTTGCTTTGACTTTTGATGTTATCAAAGAGTACGGTATTATCAGGGTGAAACAAATTGTACTCAGTTTCAGGCACTGTGATAGGTGCATTTACATATGTTTCAGCCTCAAAAGAACCATGTGAGGGTAGATATTCCCATTTCACATGTAGGGAAGGAAGAGCATGGCTCAGGCCACAGCCAGTAAGTAACAGAGCTGGTACTCAAACCCAGGTGGGTCTCCTGACTTTGCAATCAGTGTCAAGCTGATCAGTGAGGTGTCACTTCCTCTTGGAAGACTTTCTAGAATCTCTTCTGTGTTCCCTTTGTGAACCTCTATCAAAGCACTGACCCAGTGCTGCTGACATTATCTGCCAGTGTGTCTGCTTTCCTCTTTAGACTGTGAGCTCCCCAGATACTGAGACATGGGCCTTATTCCCCCATGTACCTAGCAGAGGGCCAGGCATATACTGGTGGGTCTTAATAAGCATGGGAAAATATGTGGGTAGATGCCATTGATGGAACATTTGAAAAATGAATCATCTAGAAATGTGTGATGTTTGGACTGGAAACGTCTCAGTTTTAAATTCTGTAAAAATGTTCATTGAAGCTAAATGTGGTTATCTCAGGAAGATGAGGTGTGCTTTTCCCTTAGGGAGGAACCACATATAACCTTGGTGCTAAGGTTGTGGTTTGAGAATCATAGACCAGCACACATGAGTGATTTCTGTTGTGCTTAAAGGTGGGAATGCTTGCTGGCTGAGTATAATAGGGGAGAAGATGTGTCTTACAGAAGGCAGTGCAGTTGGGCTCTGGGGTCTTTCCTCCTTCTCACCTCGAGTTAGGAGGGAGAGGGAAAGGAATGAGAAGTATAGGAGTGGAAGAGCTCATGTGAAAGCTTTTCTCTTTGGTGCGTTTGGAGAGAAGAGTATCTTCTGAAGAGAGGGACAGAAGAGGAAAAATGTTTGGAGCAGACTGGAGGGGGTGGGCAACAGGAGGCCTGTGGCACTGCAGATTAGAGGATTCTTGAACAATTTTAAGGGTTCACGTGTGCTTGAAAAATTAGGTTTTCAGATGATTGTCATCAGCCTGGTTTTGTGAACTTTTTACATAGCAATTGAAATGGGAACAAAAAGAGTAGATGGTGGGGTTTACTTGTGTTGAGGAGATGGGCAAAGGGCAAGAAATCTTGTTTGTAAGTATTCCTTGATCTACTTTGAATAATCACTTGCTCTATACTCATTATTTATCCCAGACTCCAGCAGGACATTTGCAGGAATTGTTTTTTAAAAACCAGGTCATTTTCCAAACCCAAATGCTGCCTGCTAAATTTGGATCCCCACGTCCCGACTAGAGTTGGTTGACTGTTACTCTGTAGCTCTAGTGGTAATTAATGGCCTTAATAGAACCTATAGAGATGAGTTACGTCTGTCAAGGTAAGCTATGATTTATTGAATGTCTCACATGTGCCAGGAATAATTAGGGGTTAAATAGTCAATACACAGTCACCGTCCTTGATCTCATGGAGTTGACACCAATGGAGAAGACAGGCAAACAAGCACGTATTATAAACGATGGGGAGTTTTAATGTCTAGTAAGCCCAGGAGGTCTTCATATTCTGGGAATAAAATGCATCAATTTAAATGGGGACCAAAAGCTCATAGTAAAAATGAGGAAAAGGTTAGGATTTTATCTAGAAAAAGTATAAAAAAGTATAAATTTACCTCAACAAACTCTGTCTCTTAATTCCAACAATGCAGTAATTCTTAGAAAGAATAATGCATCAAGTATTGTGGGGAGAGGAGGTTATAATTTTTCTGACTTAATAACAGTTCATAGTTGACTTTCACAGCATAATCATAAAAGGAGTCATTTTTTTCCAAAAGTATTTGAGGACTTCAGTTTCCCGAAGGTCTCTTTTATCCTTTCATATTGAAATCATTTTCTTTTGATGTGACTGTTGTGTTACTATCCTTGTTTTTCTTGATTTTTCTCTTCATGTCTTGTTAAGTGGTCTAATACAGCCAGGTCTTCATTTGTCAGTGACTTTGCCTCAACTCTGTGCAGGTATCCAGCATGTCCAACATGGGCTTCATAAAATCCAGTCTCCTTTGCAAGAGTTGTAGTTTTAGTTCATGGCAAATTTGCATTTTATTATAGATGTTTGGCTGAGATACAGACAGAGGAGCAGGGATAGATGCTAGGTGAAACTTGAAAGGGTGGATAGGGGACGTATTGTCTGGAAACTGGAAGGGTGGAGAAGGGTCATGTTGTTTGAAGCAGTCACATTGTTGGTGAGTATTTTCCTCTTATAAGAGCTTCTGTTTTCCTGCCCATTCTGGTTGACCACATGGTATGAGGAATTTCTGTAGAATTCTGGAGGAGCCTCTGACCCAGACACCAGGAATCAAAGAGAGATTCCCAAAGCTGAGATTGCCAAGGGGGACAGGAAGCGTGTTCTGGATTGGTGGCTGTCATGTCCATCAGGTACATTAGCAGGTGGTGTATATCTTTTCATAGAGGAGGAAACTGAGTTTTGGGAAGACCGCTTTCTCGAGGTGTCACATCTAGAAAGGAGCAGAACTAAGATTCAAACTCGGGGTTACCAGACTCAAGCCAGTGTTCTCCCCAGCATGTGCCATGCTGCTCTGCTTTTTAACATTGGGGAGGAGGTTTTTTTGTTTTGTTCTGTTTTGTTTTAATAGGAAGGCTTTAAATATTGAGTGCTGAATGGTCTTAACCAAGGGATGCTTTGCCATTGGAAACACGTTGGCAAAATCTGCTGACAGAAAGAAAGGGATACCTCTCCTCAGGTATTCAACATGGAATGTCAGGAGCTCCTCAGACAGTAGCAAGTCACCAAAAGCAACTGAAAGACCCTGTGTCATGTTACTTTTAAACTCATCAGTCCCGACATGAACACAAGCAGCTCTGCCGCAAGTCTTCCCCCGGGAGGCACTGCTTCATTGTATCATCTATTCTAATGGTGCCTGAGTGTTACATCCTAAAATTTTATTGCAAATTACTTTTATTTTTATTTCTCTTTTATAGGAGAGCCAGAGCATTATTTTGGTTTTGTGAATGACTAGATTACATTAAGATTTTGTTTTTAGGATAGCAAAGTAGATGCTGGTTCTGATAAGGCTGAAATCCACTGGGCTCTGCTGAGGTCAAGATGAGGGGAAAGAATTACTTCCCACCTGGTTCTAAAGCCATCGCTCATGCGCTTTCTTCTGCCTGTCATGCAGATTTTGTCAGTGGAAGCCCCTCCTCACTGGCTTTCGTGTCCTGTTGATATGTCCTGATCATGTGTTGAGCACTGCTATTTTTTTTTTTTTTTCCTAACCCAACACAGCATTTCCCAGCCCCAGCCCTGGAATCAGACATTTTTTTTCAAGGAGCCCAGGTTCCTATTACTGGAGAATAGTATTTAGAAACCAATATCTGGGCACTAAGTGTGCTCATTATAATTGGGATATCTCTGCTTCCAGGCCTTCTCAGTGACTAAAACTAGGGAAGGTATGTATGTACATAGATTTGTATTTCTATTTATTTTATCTGTCTCTACTTTCCTACCTGTCTACTGAACATCATGATGCCCCACAGTTACATTCAGTTCCAGTTTGACACCGTGGGGTTCATTCTCATTCTTTCCCTAACTGGATTTGTAACTCTCTTCTGATAGTAAGATACCTGGTTCCCATTATATATTTACCAGCTTGGTCAGTCTTGATCTGTTCCTTGTTTGTAACCAGTGGCCCTCTGCTGCAGCCCCCTTCCTACACAGCGCCACCCTCCTCACCCTGTTTTTACAGTAGCATGTGCTACTGTTTGAACTGTGGCACCTTAGGCAGAGCTGCTGCTGCCCCTTCCTATCACGGACAGCATTCTCAACCACATGGACTCTGCCTCGCCTCCCTCCCCTCCCCCGACCCCCACTTTGGTGGAAGCCCTCCCACCCCTCAGGCTCTGACATCCCACATTGAACTGCCTTCCAGATGTTCTTTGTACTCTTCTGGGTTCTAATACCATTGCTGGTCAGGCCCTCCACTCCACATAGATGCTGTCTTTATCCCATGCCAGGTCTAACCCCTCCTTGCCCCCTTGAGTCATGAAACTCCAAGTCAGGCCTCCCCCATGAGACTCCCTCCTCATCCTGCTCAGACGCTGACTTTCCCTTACTAGGCCCCTCACTCTGCTTGGGCCCCAGCACACTATGCCCAATGACCCCTCAGTGGGACACCCTTCTCCTCCCACTTGGACTCTAACACCAGGTTGCCCCTTCGGGAGGACAGCTTCCTCCCCTCACCTGAGTCTGATGTCCTGCTGTGGACCAGCATTCTCCCAGGTGGTTGCTGCCTTCCTCGACTTGGTCAGCCTCTCCCACCATCCCTGTCCCCTGCTCTCTTCCATACCTACCTTGCCTGGTCCCATCTCATAGCTTTGAACTGAACTAGTAGAAAGAGGTGTCGGAGAGCTCTTAAAATTTTTTAATGGTTTTCTGTTTTAATACTTAAAGAAGTGGAATCCCTTTATATTCACGCTGAACTTACACAAGGCCAGTCATCCACGTGTACACAAACTCACCAGTTGGAGTGATTATCATCCCAAGTGGAGTGAGATTAGAAAAGGCAGTCCTCTGCTCTCAGTTCAGCTCAAGAGCCAGCAGCTCACCCGGTCGACAGATTTAGATGCAGGATGCTGTCATTCAGCCTGACCCCACAACTCAGGTTAACTACTTTGTGTTTACACAGACCATGTCCGCCATATTTGGAGGTAATTTAAGGGCTTTTTCAGGGTGATTTTGACTATGGGCTGTTGCTGCCATAAGTGCTGTCTTTAGAACCTGCCCTTGCCCTCCTTACAAGGGCCGGTGGGACCCCGGATCGGGAAGGCAGTGGGTGGAGGAAACTTCTCAAGTTTAAAACTTATTACCTCATATGAAACACAAGCCTCTCCATTTGACTCTCAGGCCTGGGAGTGAGGGTAGAGCCTGGGACAGAGTTACCTGAGCCACAGTGGGTGAGAAGGGAGAGAAGCCTGGATCCAGGCAGGTGCCTGGGGAGCAGGCTGTTCCTTTTCGCTTTTCTCTGTCTTCTGATTGGGTCATGATGATGCTCCATGATCATCTTCTACATCAGTCCGAAAGCCTAAACTAAATAAAGCACTTGGGAAGGACTTCCAGCTCCTTCCACCCAAACTGTTACTCTGTTGTGGGTGTGTCTCTTTCTGATGAGGACCATAGCTTTCTTGAGTGCAGGAGGACCCTTTGTGCCACAGCCTTGGACAGAGCCCACCATAGTCCCAACTGTGGTACTCCGCAGTGGGGACTCAAGCCGTCACACAAAGGCAGCAGGCAGAGGCGGACCACGGATGGTCGCACCCCGTTAGATGTCCAAGGTGGTGCAGTGTACTAGAGTGTTTGTTTCTGTCTTTGGACTGGGAAGGATTGTTTATTCAATGATGACAGACACACGCAGACTGGAGTGCAGGGTCCCTGCAGCCTCACCTGCAGCCTAGCAGGCCGCGCAAGCTGTTGTGGCGGCTCTAATGAAGCAGGACAGGAAACGCCGCTGGATAGAGCTCCGCTGTGAACCCTGGCCTCCCAACAGGGGAAAACAGGGGCCCTTTGAAGAAGAAGACAGCTGGGTTTCGGTTTCAAAACCTTAACACTGCCATCACTAGATATTCATCTGTGAGTGTACAGGGGACAACATGTGGGGAACAGTTGTGTCCGGTCAGGCCAAAGGGAGAAAGAAATGGCTGATTTCCAGGGTAACTGCAAAACTTCTTGTGGCCAGTGGTTCTGCTTAGCATAGCCAAAAAGAATTGACTTGGTGAGGCTGAGGCTGAGGCTGAGGCTGAGTGTGAGAACCAGGGTGCCATCTATAGTAGGCTAGGAGCTCCTTCCCACGTCACCTCCTTCATCCTCACAGCAGGTGACAACTTGGAGGCTGGAGCTTCTGTGCCCAAGCCACATTGGTCAGTTGAACCTACTCATCCAAAACTACTTCGATGGATTCTGTAGTCCTAAACTGTCAGAGCACCCAGCCTGCCCCATATCACTTCACCAAATATTTCTAAAATGATTCAGTTTTTCTCTTGTTTACTTGAAGTCACAGTTTTCTTGCAAGATTCTACTTCCCCTTCTTGCCTTTTCCCCCCTGCCTCCTGACTTTCAGTGGCTGGATTTAACTAGTGGTATTTTGCTTTCAGGAAAAAAAAAATTTGTAATCCTTGGTCAAATTTGTTTACTGAGTCGTCTAATCTGTGCAAGAGTTTTCTTCTGAGGGGATTTCTCGTTCATACTATAATGGCTTTTAACTCGGCCGAGGTTTATTTAACAGAATAGGAAAGGAGAAACTTATCTGCTCCCTAATCCCTCTTGAATGTTTACATTACTCTGCCAAAGTAAATGCTGTGCAAAGTGGCAGCAGTCATTTGCTATGTAATAGTCAATATGCAGCTGCCAGGGCTGATTGAAACATATTAACATAAGTGATAATACTGTCATAGAAGTGAAAAGTTAAGTTGCTTATCAGTATATTTTGATAAGCTACTTAAATTTTACAGTAGCATGTGCTGGCTTTAGACAGACGTTAATGACAGAGGACTGTGCACTTTATCTGTTCTCTTTGTTGCCTCTCACTTCATTTATTACCCTCAGTGGCGCAGCCGGTAATCTGTACAGGGTGCTGATTCCCCTCTCCCTGGCAGGATATCACATCTGTGCGCTACCTCGTGTCCATATCTGTCGGTATTGGACTCTGTTAGCACAGCAGGGCAGACATGACCAGGCCGGCAAGCGCTTGGTACAACCTTCTTCTCGCTTGCTGTTAGATGTAGCTTTGGAAAATTTCCTTCTAGAGAACAAAGCCGTTGAAAGTAAGTGGCAAAACTGCTTGGGGGTGTGGATACTTTTCAACAATTCCATAGGATGCGTGCACCCTTGCCGTCAGTCTTTGTCTGGCTTTATTTGCTCAGTAAACGCTGAGCACTGACGGTGTGCCAGGTGCCATTCTTGGCACCGGAAAGACAAAGTGAAGAAAGATAGGCCCCTTCCTCTCTGTTTGCATGTGGTCTGTTGAGAAAACAGACATGCCATTGAGGACTGCATCATGTGGGGAATGTTCTGAGAGCAGCATTCTCATGACCAGGGCAGCACAGAAAAGAGAGAATTAGGGCACATGAAGTGGGGATGGGGAGGGGGTGAGGGACAGTTAGGAGGATGAGTAGAAATCAGCTAGACTAGACCCACAGAGGTCTGGGAGAAAAGGGCCCAGTGTATGTAAGCCCAGGCAGGCTCAAAGATACCAGGACGTTCCGGAGTGAGAGGAGTGAGGGGAGCATATCTATGAGGAAGTAGACAGAGGACAACCAGAAAAGTGGGCAAGGGCCTGGCAGTGAAGAGCCCCAGAAGTCCATCCTAACAAATGTGGACTGGATCCTGGAGTGACGGACATCATTGCAGCAATTAAGTACAATGTGCGATGGAGATTTGCATTTTAGAAAAACCATTCTAAGAGCCGTGGCCAGGTGGCTCACGCCTATAATCCCAGCAGTTTGGGAGGCCGAGGCAGGCAGATAACCTGAGTTCAGGAGTTCGAGACCAGCCTGGCCAGTATGGTGAAACCCCGTCTCTATTAAAAATACAAAAATTAGCCAGGCATGGTGGCGCACACCTGTAGTCCCAGCTACTCAGAAGGCTGAGGCAGGAGAATCACTTGAACCAGGGAGGCAGGGGTTGCAGTGAGCCGAGATCATGCCACTGCACTCCGGCCTGGGTGACAGAGTGAGACTCCATCTCAAAACAAACAAACAAACAAACAAAAAACAAGCCACACAGAGTGGACCACAGGACTGAGGTCAGCAGCCAGTCTGCTCTGAGTGAAGGGGAGCAATGGCCAGGACCTGGTGGAGGGCAGTGGGGATGGGGAAGTGGAACTCATCTTGAAGTAGATAGAGAGATGGTGTGTGATGGGTAGAATGTCTGTTGCAGCAACATGGATGGCTTTGGGCTCATGGGGGCATTGGGACCCTTTGCAGATGCCTGCAGTGGGAATGCTGTGTGTGTGTCAGTGTGTGTGTCTGTGTCTGTGTCTGTCCCATCATGAGAAACTGAATAGAAGCTTTCCTGGAAAGGGTGGGTGTGCTGGGAGAGGCCAGGGGACTTCTCAGAGATGGTGCCTGATTGTGGAGTCGGCTTTGAATTTCTTCTCTGTGAACTGTTCTAGCTCTGAGGCATGGGAATAATTTATAATGGACATTTAATCCTCTGCCTTGCACAGGCAATTTTTTAAACTCTCAGAAATAATTAGCATTTCGCCAGTTTGTGTTTCCACCAGTCTGTGACAGGAAGACTCTTCAGGATGTAGAGCAAAACTGAAATGTATCAGTCTTGAATTAGATCCTGGTTAAAGTTTTTGACCTGCATACTAATATTTCATGTGTTTCCTCTTCTTCCTCCAGCTATCTCCCCTGGTTCGAGGTATTTTATAAGCTGCTTAACATCCTGGCAGATTACACGACAAAAAGACAGGTATTTACCTTTTTAAAATAATTCTTTTAAACAAATAAGCTTTAATTTTTATGATGAAAAAGTAAAACATGCCTTATATTTTACCAAAAAAGTGATGCATGCCCATTATAGGAATTTTGGGAAATTCAGAAAATAATAGGAAGGAAAAGAAAATCACTTTTAATTTGCCCCACTCCCTTCCCTAAAATAAATATTCCTAGCATTTTGGGTTGTTTTCTTTTTTAAGTTTTTCTTTGCATTAAAGAAATGATAAATAGACCCTTAACGTTCACAGAGTTAATGTTCAATTTCTAATATTCCCAAGCAGCCCGGAAAGTTTGTGACATGTATTAAATTATAATTTTGCTGAGGCACATATCTGAATTGCTCATGTCATGCTGCAGATCTGGGGTTTGCAAGTAAAACACTTAACCAGCAAGTGACCTACCCAGCTGTCCTGAGTTCCCATTTCAATAAAGCTTTGTGGTGCTTTTACAGTAACTTTTGTAGGGGTCTGAAAATGACGTTAAAAATTCATCTGTACCTTGCTGTACTTTTGGAAGAAGTGGTAAGGTAAGGTATCTTCCATGGATGTCAAAGGCCAGTTGGACCTTTATGTAGATTTTTGTAGCCCACATTTTCAGATACCATTATAATGAGCATGCCTCCCACACTATTAAAAATGTTATAAATATTTTTCATGGCTGCATAGCATTTTGTCATGTACCTTGATTTACCAAAGCATTTTCCTATTATTGGAAATTGTTAATTGTTTGGGATTTTTCTACTGTTATGAGAAGTGTAACCATTCGCATCTATGAGGGTAAAGCATTTTCTTCATTTTGGATTGTTTCCTTAAAAGGAGAATCCCAGATGGGCCACTGTAAGATCAGTGGACATAAACATTTTTAAAACATTTGTCAAACTGCTTTCCAAAATAATTCTGCTGTTTTCTTAAAGGATACCCTTTACCAGCAATGTAAGAGAGTGCCTGGGTCACGATACTCTCATCAGGATCATTTGTTGAATTTGTTGTTTGACAAGTAAAAAAGTCTCATTGTTTTAATTGCATTTCTTTGATTATTAATGAGTTGGATATTTGTCTATATATCTAATGTCTTATATTTTTCTTTTTGTAAATGGCCTAAGATTTTTAATTAAAGTGATCCATTATTATTAAACGTTAAGGAAAAATTTCCCTTAATTTTTTTCTGTTGAACGTTCTGAGCAATTTGAGTGTTAGTTCTGAGAAATGGTCCATGAAAAGGGTGCCAGTTCAGCCACACTGGGGTCCAGGGAAGGGAAAGCTGTGTTTCATTTTCATCTCCTTAAGATTCATTTAATGTAAGCTCTACGAAGTCTTGCATTGGAGAAACCTGGGTCGCCTGTGCTTCCCATCTTGTTTTGCCCCAAACCCCTTTAATTCTGTGATAAATCTTAGCATTCTGAGATAGCAGTGTTTCCTGGAACACACTTTGGGAAATGCTGTTTTGGAGGAAAGGGGGAAATTGTGTGTATAATGACTAAATCATTTTTTTAGAGATAGATTTACTCACTGGCAAATGTATTCCAGAGGTCACAGTAAATGGAAGGAATAACTAATAGAAACGGCTTCCTTGATCACTACACTCACTGTGAAAAGAAGCTTAGATGTCAGGGGATTCTGTCGTAAAAGAAGTGGATTACTCTTTGATGAATGAGTTAGGAGGTCACCTTGGGTCTGTTCATCTATTTCTGATTCACAGTTACCTTTAGTCAAACATTCAGGTTTTCACTCAAATTTGAAAGGTGTCTTTAATAAACAGAATTGTATAATATGTAGGCTCTTAACAGGTTTGAATTGGAGATTGACTCACATTTTTTCCCTCCATATGTTCCAGTCCAAAAAAAAAAAAAAAAGAGAAAAAAACTCAGCAAAACAAAGAACTTAGTACACTTTTTAAAACATGTGATTTGGGAAAGATTATAAAAGGGTAGGTACAACCTACACATATGGGAGATTGGATTATTACCGTGTAAAACTGGTGAACCTTTCCTCTGGGCGATTGCTTCAGCAGGACTCTGCCTCTTGGGATGTCGGACTGAGATCAGTAACATGTTTTAGTTGGAGTCTGTTTCTCTTGAACCCAGGACTCTTTTCTTCCCCCTTTGGTTAAAAGAATTATGACACAGATGATAGGAAATCTGCCTGTAATTGGCTTAATTGTTTGCAAGGTTTTAGTCACCAGATTAGAACAGGAAGAGATTTTTTATTTAAAGAAATAGAATCTACCTCCTGCCCCAGGGCTGAAACCTTCTCTCATCCAAAAGTCATTGGGAAGGTTGGGAAGCAAGATAGGCTTCTATTGTGTGTGTGTGTGTGTGTGTGTGTGTGTGTGTGTGTGTGTGTGTGTGTGTGAGAGAGAGACAGAGACAGAGACAGAGAGATTGTGATGGCTAAGCATGGGGTGTGGGAGACCAAGGTGTGAGTAACTGGGATATCTGTTTGGGCCATGGACCCATCATGCTCATCAGACCTTGAATGGGCACCCTTGTGGAAGGGATGGCAGGGCAAGGCAGGCATCTGAGCCAGGGAGCAGCCTGCCTCAGGGTGTCGGAGCCTGAGGGAGAGAAGGATGTTTATGTGGGAGCATGGTGGTAGAGGCTCAGCATGGGATGTCAGAACTCAAATAGGATCTAGAAGAATCCATGTGAGAAGGGAGGCAGCAGCTGTGGCCCAGTGCTGGTGTGTTGGATCCTGAGGTAAGGAAGGCATTTGTGTGAGGGGTTGGGCAGTAGAGGCCCAGCCCTGGATGTCAGTGTTGGGGAGGGAAGGGAGGGCATCTGGACAGGGAAGGAGGCAGGGATGGCAATAGAAGAGTGGTTCCATACAAATAACCAAATATAAAAAGAAAATACAGGCAAGGTTTTTCACTTTCGTAGGATGAAGTCACAGATATGTAGAGGGAGAAAACTAGAATAATTTCTATATTGGATTGGAATAGGAGCCATTGGTGTGAACCCATGGTTTTCAATATGGGAAGATGAATATAGAAATAAATAGAGATGTGAAGTGCCTATTGTGATTCCATGTGTGTGTTATATATTCCCTGGCTCAATTGACTGAAAGGGCCTGGCATGAGCAATACTAAGGAGCAGTGAGCACACATGGTGCCCAGATCTTGGTTTCTAAATACCATTGCCCACTAAAAGGAACCCAGTCTCATTGAAGAAATAACCTGATTCTGGGGCTGAGGCAGGGAAAGTATAAGATGAACCTGAAATATCTTTTCTGCCAAAAAGTAAGGAATTGCTAAAAACATGATCATGATGGGAACATGTCAGAAGGACACAAAAGCAGTAAGAGTGCTCCCTCTAGTCATATCTGGAACAATTTGAGCATCAAAACAAATTAGGATAGTAAAGGATTATGTCACACTGAATAAAACAGGAAACTATGGACCCATGGTAAAATAAATAAGTAAATGAATACATTGAAAGTTTGAGGAATGGGATATTTACACAAAGTGTGAATCCACAAAATGGTTATTTACTGCAAAGAGAAAGAATAATGTTACTGTAGAGATATCAAGTGAATTAATCAATTGATGAAAGCAAACATCATGAGTGAAGGGACATTGACATCAGACATTAGACAAAACATTAGACAATTGAAAGTTATTCTACAAAATGGGTGGTCTCATCGTCAAGGCCATACAAATCTAGAAAAGACTGAGGAGCTGTTCCAGACTGAGGATGAGTAGAGGGTTATAACTACTAACTGCAACATGTGATTCTGAAGTGGATTGTTTGCTGCCAAGGATATTATTGGCACAGTTGGCAAAACTTGAGGATAAGGTGGTAATTCTGCATCAGTGTTAATTTCCAGATTATTATGATTCTCTTAGTTTGTTTTCTGCTGCTATAACAGAATACCACAGACTGGGTAATTTATAAAGAAAAAAGATGTATTTGGCTCACAGTTCTGGAGGCTGGGAAGTCCAAGAGCCTGGTGCTGGCATCTGGTGAGGACCTTCTTGCTGGGTCATACCATGCGGTACTCAAGACAAGAGACACAAGTTAGGGGCCAAATTTATCCTTTATCAGAAGCCCACTCTCACAATAATGGCATTAATTCATGATGTACTCACTCTTAAAGGTCCTGCCTCTTAATACTGTTACAATGATATTTAAATTGTCAACACATGAACTTTTGGGGGAACCATTTAAACCACAGCAATAATTAATTGTGGTGATTTAGGAGAATGTCCTTGTTTGTATCTGTGGATGATGGGGCGTAATCTTGGCAGCTCATTCTCAAATAGGTCAGGAAATAATAAAAACTTTTTTTTTTCAACAATTTCTACAACTGTTCAGTAAGTTTGAGATTGTTTCAGAGCAAAACCAAACACATGCACACACACCCACAAGTTCATCTCTCTCCTCTCTGAGAAGCTTGTTTGATTTGTCAGAGCTCAGATTGAAACAAGCTTGTAGTCTGGGTGCA
Organism: Homo sapiens; assembly: GCF_000001405.40. Taxonomy (NCBI): domain Eukaryota; kingdom Metazoa; phylum Chordata; class Mammalia; order Primates; family Hominidae; genus Homo; species Homo sapiens. Next base: position 123,672,254 of record NC_000009.12, on the reverse strand, counting down.
TCTTCTTTTTCCTTTCGTTAAATTCACTACTTAAAGACAGCTGTAGTGAAGCCAGGAGGGCTCTGGAGCTTGCATTTCACCCTTTAGCTGTGCAACTTACTAAAGGGCTGATTTGAGACAAGTTGCTTCACCTTTTGGAGCCTCAGTTTTCACATTGTTGAAGTGGGTAGTTGGGAGGATCAAATAGAGGGTGAATAGATACAAATATACACTTATCAGTATTAGCACAAAGAATTCCACATGGTGGGAGAAATAGCATTTGGATAATTCTGTGAGCAGTGTTCTTTTGAGCATTTTAGAGGTGAATCCATTTTCAATCAAATAATTTGCATTGCTTTGTATGTCATCATGTTGCTCAATTTCACAAATTAGAATGCATAGCCACCATCCTATATTGCATGCTGTTGTACTTAGTTCATTTCTAACTTTCTATAATTGGAGGCTGCCATGTGTATCCGGTGAACACTCAATAAAATTAATTGAGGGTAATGATGATGAAGACAAGATCTATAGTGTCATCGTTATTTCTCCTAACCACCCCCGCCCTGTAAGCTAGGATTGTTTGCATTTAAAAGTTGTTGCTATGGAGTTTAGGGGATAGATTTGCTGAGAGCTTATGGTATATGATCCATAAAAGGCGGTCATGGTAGGTGTCTCACTGAGTAGAAAATGTCAAACTTGGTGTAGGAGGATCTATTTGGCTCTTTATGTTTGAGGCATACGTGGTGTCTTTTGTCAAACCCTACATGAATATCAAACCTATTTCTGTACTGGGGCCAGCATCTCCCCAGCCCCCTCAGTCATGTGTGCCCAGACCTCCCTGCAGGTATCTTACTAAGGGCTCAGCCTTGCTTTTGTTACTTAGGCCTTTTATTTCTTTCAGGAAAATCAGTGGAATGAGCTTCTTGAAACTCTGCACAAACTTCCCATCCCTGACCCAGGAGTGTCTGTCCATCTCAGCGTGGTAAGTGGGGCGGAGTATTAGCCATCACTGAAAACGCATTTCATTATTGACAGTAAGAGGGAGCTAGCTGAACAGGATTGTATTTTGTCAGCCATACCTCCCCTAACCCTACCCCCAAATACTCTGAGACCTCTGAGTTCAAGATAGGCCAGAGAGTAGAATTTCTTCCTTTCTCTGAGATTCTATAAGAAACAGACATGTCCTGAATGTCCCCACCCTCCTCTGTGGCCATCATCCCATCACCAGCATCTCTTGGATCACAGATGCTGGGCTGAAATAGGACAGCTGGCTCCGCCTGCTTCTTCAGTCCCTGTCCCAGCCTGCCTGTATCACCCTCGTCCCCCAGCACTGCTGTACATGTCCCTTTGCTGAAGCCCATCCTGTACCCTCAGCTTTCAACATTGCCTCTCCCCTGTTTGCCAGGGTAACACATATTCATCCTTCAGAACTCAACTCTGATTTTATTTCCAGAGAAATCCTCCCTTGATACCTCGTAGGTTTTGCTAAGATTACCTCCTTTGCTCGAAGCATCTTGCACACTTTGTGGTACTTAGTTACACCCTATTGGAATGATTCCTTTTCCTGTCCCCCTCACTGGACTGTGTGTCCCTTGAGGACAGAGCAGGAGAGTGCTTAATGTTGTTCCTGGCCTATAGTAATAGTTTCTTTGAATGCCTATAAATATATACTGCTATTACATGTTCTGCACTGTGCTCTGAAATACCAATTGGGAGATTTCCATCCTAGTCATTGTCTTGCCAATGACCTGAGTGATCTTAATCAGGACCTTTAACCTCGTGGGCTTCAATTTCCTCATCTGTCAGATAAGGCATCAGAAGAGGTGTGGGAGATCTTTTCCATATTTTGGTTCCAGGAATTCTCTAATTCCCTAGGTCAAACCCTCAAGCCCTTGTCACCACCTTCATCAGAATTCTCAGATGGACATACTTTGACCAAGTATTGATTATTATCCAGGAGCTATTTCCCTTATGTCATGGGGCCTGAAAATTTTAAGAGTTTTGTCTTTCATCTTCATTAGAACCAGGTACAGTGTTGGTATTCAGTGGTAGAAAGGTATCTCCCCTCCTAAAGAAAATTGATATTCCTTGTAGGTTTTTTCAAAATGATGATAAAATTGAAAGCAGTGTTACTACCAGTAATTAATAATAGATCTACTATTTTAATAAATTCCTAATTTATACTAAATATGTATCTCTAATATTCAAAACAAGTTTACAAAATAGATATTAACATTCCCATTTCATGGATGAGGTTTCAAGAGGAAAAGATACCTGCCCTTCCAAGGTCGTGTAGTTAATAAGAGATAAGACTTGAGTTTTCAAAGCCAGGGCTAACTTCAAGCCTATGGTCTTTCCACTGTGCCATTCGTGTGGAAGGAGAGGGAGAGAAGGAAGGAAGGAAGAAAAAATGAATTTACAGAGACTTTTGCCCATTTTAATAGAGCATAGGAAAGAAAGAAAGAAACCTTGTTACAAAAATTCTCATACGGCAGGGGAGACCATCTGGAAAAGATGAAAAAATGAGCTTTAAACCTGCCCCAGTCCTTGCTGTATAGCTAAGCAACCCTGCCTTTGTCTCTGTCCTTTTTCCTAAGCAGCTTGATCTCACCACTTCAGTCCGTAATGACATCCGACAGGTAGCTGTGGAGTAGCCTGGCTGGGTCACCAGCTGCTAGGGAGGAAGGTCCACTCCTTCCTTCAAATGGCTGCTCAGGCAGCATGCATGCCAGGCCTCAAGGACAAGCCATCTCAGGGGCAGCAGGAACTGCTGGGGTGGCGCAGCTGTTTCATGCCAGTGGTTTCTAGGAATGTTTCTGACCTCCCCTGGTCCCCAGCATTTCATGGGCAATGGAGCAAGACAGAATCTCAAAGGACAGCCTGGGGACTACTTGGTTTTGGAATTGTGTTGGCTCACTATTTACTATCAATTGCATCTGTAAAGGCAGATTTTTTTTTCTTTCCTTTTCACTGGGAATTCCTCTCTCCATATTGCATTTCTGATTGTGAAGGGCTACTCTCATCTAGGTTATACATCCTGAAATGTTGATAAAATGGTAATCCTGGACTTTTTGTCTCTAGTCACTCTCTGCAAGAGTATATTTCTGTGTGTCTGATATGAGTGATGGTAAAAATAGTAATATGAACTAGCAGTTCACAGCAATAATAATTTTGTATTAAAATACCATTTATTGAATGGTAAGCATTTCATATATATAACATTTATTCTTCATAACAGTTTTGAAGTAGATAATATGATTCCCATTTATAGATTCAAAAACAGGTTCTGTGCTATTAAGTGAATTTGCTGAGCTACATAATCACCACATGGCCATTTGTTACTCAACTAAACTTCTAGCCCTTTGGTATAGAAGTTGGTATCTCATGGAGTCATACTGGAACCTTGCATATTACTTTTCCTGTTTTAATCCTCACTGTTGAATTAATCACTAGTTCCCACGCTACACCGTCTCTACTGTAATACTTCATAGGTAGTATTTTGATATACACACAGATTTTGGAATAATGCATCGAAGAAGGCTTTTTTAAGTTATCTTTTTTATACTTTTTATTTTTTACTTTTTTATTTGTTCAAGCCCCTTTAGCTGTCATTTGCCATAAAAAGCACAGGTATAACAGTCTGTCATGGTGGAAAGAGCACAGCTCTAGTTACACAGATTTAGTTTTGGTCCATATTCTGCCACGTACTAGCTGTGTGACCTTTGACTGACTACTTGACCTCTGTGAGCATTAATTTACCCATTTGTAATATGGAGATAATATCTATCTCAAAATTTGTTGTGGGAATTAGAGATAACATTTACAGAGTACTAGACATAATGCCTTTCATGTAGCAGGTATTCAACAAATATCTGTTGATTATTAGACAAGTACCTTATACTATTATTGTTGTCACCATCATCATTACGATTGTCCCCAGGGCCTTTCATTTCAGAAAGCCTATACAACTCATTCTTCTACACACCTACCTATTTTGCAATCACCCAAGAGTGGGGGTTGGGGTGGATAACTTCCTGAAATGTCACTTGGGGGTCCAGATTTGAACTTAGGCCATGGCTACGCTGACCTTCTCTGCATGTGACCTTTCCTGGCCTTTGCACAATCCCATCTTTAATTGGCCGGCACCAAGCTCTTTCCGTTCCTGCTTGCCATTGTCTTCTGAGTCTTTAATAGCAGCAAAGGAGGTGCCATCAGTTCAGCCTGTTGTCATTTAATTCAGGGATGCATGCTTGTTGCATATGGAGATGCCTCATTGGACGTTCTTTGAAGAGGTCAATTTTTCAACTCCGCTGAGTCTCCAGTCAGGAGGCTTATGGTGGAGTGGGCTTCGGGGGCAGAATTTCTCCACTCTTAGTCATCGGCAATGGTCTCAGCTCCAGTGCTCCAGCAACTGGAACTCTTCCTAACATCACTTAGGCCTTTGGGGCAGATTTTGGCCACATTTTATAGATGAATATAATCTCAGATGCTGAAATGAGATGACAGGTTTGGTTGGTAAAAATAATCACTGAGTGAATCTGGTGATATTTTGTTCCTAGAATACACTTGCCTCACTGAACAATAAATTATGAAACCAACGCCTTTTTCATGTGTTTAGCCATTTAACTTCTTTGAACTATTTATGTATTTATTTAGAGACAGAGTTTCATTCTTGTCGCCCAGGCTGGAGTGCAGTGGCACAATCTCAGCTCACTGCAACCTCCACCTCCCGGGTTCAAACGATTCTCCTGCTTTAGCTTCCCGAGTGTCTGGGATTACAGGTGCCCGCCACCACACCTGGCTAATTTTTTTGTATTTTCAGTATAAACGGGGTTTCACCATGTTGGCCAGGCTGGTCTCGAACTCCTGACCTCATGTGATCTACCTGCCTTGGCCTCCCGAAATGCTGAGATTACAGGTGTGAGCCAACACTCCTGGCCTGAACTCTTCATTTATATCTCCTAAAGAAGTTCTCCTCTCATAGAAAAGAACTCCATCTACCAAAGTGATGATTTAATGCATCTGGTTCAATCTGACATTATCCAAAGAAAATATTCCATGGGTGTTTCTTCTGAGTGAAACCGTTTCCTTTTCTGAGTAAGGAAATATTTTCCAATCATTTACCTGAATTCTGAGTAATGCAATTGTTACACATTTTAGCAGAAATAAATCACTTTTGCTTTTCTTTTCTAGCATTCTTATTTTACTGTGCCTGATACCAGAGAACTTCCCAGCATACCTGAGAATGTAAGTACTTGGGAAGAAGAAAAAATTAAATTTTTATTCTTCTCTGTTTTCTGCCTATTTGTTTGAATAAATAAAGGATGTGATTTAAAAGTATCATTATAAAAATTATGGTTTTTAAAAAACACATTATAAAAACAAAAGTATAAGAACTGAAGTGTATTATAAAAACAAAAACAAATAGAGAATATTTGCAAAGTATAGAAAGTATAAAGACAAGGAAGGATTTTTATTCCTTTTTCTCAAAGGTAATTATGTATTAATATGATATTTGATTCCCTCTTTTTAGAATGTATTTTTACATAGTTAAATCACCTATTATAAAAACATCTTTTCCATTTTCATTCATATGACTTATTTTTGTCAACTATCTAATATTCCATTTACTCTGTAGTTTAGCCATTCTCTCACTGTAGAACATTTAGATTGTTTCTCATTTCTGCTTTTATAAGTGAAATGTTTCCATATAAAGAATTTTCCAAATAGAGGTTTATTAGGGTAGATCTACTCAAGCAGAATTACACTTCTACTTTTTACCTTTGTATATTTACCTTTCAGAGAATAAAATAAAGTATTTGTGGGTGAAGCATGAGGGCCTCCATCCCTACCTCCAAAGGATGTAGGAGCAGTGAACTAGAGTGTGAGAGAGCAGAAGGTTGATGTTTGCCTTCTGAACAAGCTGAATGACATATCTAGTCTAGCTGCATGACATGTTTTCAAAATGTTTTACTATGATTATAAATAGTACTATGTAGAATCAGATAAAGAATGTCTACCACTTAGACACTTGATTACTTTTTTAAAATTGTGGTAACAAATACATAACATAAAATTTACCATGTTAATCATTTTTAAGTGTACAGCTCAGTGGTTTTGAATGCATTCATATTTTGTACAGTCAATGTCCAGAACTTTTTGTATCTTACAAAACTGAAACTCTGTACTCATTAAGCAATTCCCCATTACCCTGTCTCCCCAACCCCTGGCAACCATCAATCTGCTTTCTGTCTCTGTGAATTTGACTGCTCTCCATATAGTACTTCACATAAGTGAAATCATACAATATTTGTCCTTTTGTTCTGAGTTATTTCACTTAGCATAATACCTTCAAAGTTCATCTGCATTGAAGCATGTGTCACAATTGCCTGCCTTTTTGAGGCTGAATGATATTCCATTGTAGGTGTAGACCACATTTTGCGTATCTGTTCATCCAGTGATAGATGCTGAGATCAATAGATATTGTTTTTACCCTTTGGCTATTATCAATATTACTGCTTTGAACATTGGCGTACAAATGCCTGTTTGAGTCTCTGCTTTCAATTCTTTTGGGGATATACTTGAATACTTGATAAGAAAAGTACTGGAATATGTGGTATACCTTTTCATAACTATTGTAGATTCACAGAAAGGAAATTTTTCCAAGTGTCGTCTATAGAACAGGTTACAAATGTCAGGTGATCAAATGTAATGAATGAAGTTAGGCTGTAGTATTGTGATTAGATAACAGTCTTGATAAGTTGGGATTATCAAGCATATCCATGTAGTATATTATCTGTATGATCAGACTGTGGTAGAAAATGTTGCATCCTTTTTTTTGACATTAACTAATAAAAAATTCAGACCAGAGTTCCCATTTCAACAACAATAGCTAATGTTGATTGAGTACTACTACTCGAAATATTATATATTTGGTGCTTTTCTCCATTTTCTCATTTAGCTCTCTCAACAAGCTTACATGGTAACTACCATAATTATTTAATATAAGGAAACAGAAGCCCTGAAAATTTAAGTCACATATTCAATATCCTACAGGAAATAAATGGTAAAATCAGAATTCAAATATTGGTCTTTCTGGATTCTTGAGACTGAGCTCTTACATAACATGCTATACTTTGAGCCTGTGATTTTTTACCTTTCATCTCTCAGAAAATTCCATTGAAATGATGAACGAAAGGAGAAAAATATTTCCCTAATGACAGAGGAAGCTACCATGAGCCAGAAAGTTTGGGAATTTACATAATATAAAGGAGATGATTACTGATAGTTGCAGTCAATTCAGTATAGACAGTGGAGAAATCCAAAAAGAAGTGGGAAAGTAATGCAGGAAGAGCAGAAGCAGAGGCATACTCTGGCTATGAAGGAGGCTACTGAAGGATTATTTTAAAATGCCATGGGACATTTATAAGAACTGATCATGTACTAAATCACACCAAAAATTTCAAAATAGAGCATACTAAACTCTTACAGGTCACTGTCTTTTATGGTGGTGAACGAAAACTATAATAATAAATTAATTAAAGGTTTAAAAATATTCATCTATTTGAAATAGCAGTTGGATCAAAGATGATACAAATTGAAATTAGTTATTATTTAGAAATTAATGACAATGAGGACACTAAACAAGTGCCTTAGGGATGTGGCCAAAACCACACTCTGGGGAAAATTCATAGCTTTGAATGCTTTTATATAAATAAAAAATTTAGAAAACAATGAACTTGACTTTCAAGAAGCTAAAAAAAAAGAATAGTAATAAATAACCAAAACTAGAAAAAGAAATTATAATTTAATTTATTAGGGAATATTGTTAAAGTAAAATTGAAAAATAGTAGTTTTTAAAAACTGAATTTGTGAAAAGAATAAAATTTTAAACTTATTCAATAAATTTAAAGATTGTGAAAAGAGAAAATTTTCTAGAAAAAGACAAATGATAGTTGGCCTGAGAAATAGGCAATATGAATATAGAATTATAACTTGAAAAGATTAATAAAGCTCTATTTCAATCTCCATCCTTCAAAAAAATCTATCAGGTTTAGGTGGTTAAGGTGTTTCAGGAACAGATAATTATTACTTAAACAGTACCAAATCATAGGAAAGGTATGTATGTATGTGTATCACACAACAGCAAAAGAAAAATCAGGCATAATCTCCCATCTCAGAGATCTGTTTCTGAGTTTTTTCATCCTTCCTTTTTATGACATGTAGTTTTCAAAGTGTGCAACCGGGAACCCCAGTGTTGCTTTGGCAGCCCTGGAAGGCCTCACAGAGGTAGATGGCTAACTGATCAGAGCACTAGATCCCTGCTCCTATTTTATTCAGAGCAGGTTAGTTTCCACTGCTTACACTGGGGGTTGAGTAATACTTTGTTTGAGACAGAAGTATTCTTTTGGTTTTTTTTTTTTGTTGTTAAGTTTCAAAACTTACATTTTTAAAAGCACACAAAATGTACACACTTTATATCTGTTTTTCTTGTAACAATGTACGCTGAACATTTACCTGTGTCATTAAAAATTCTTTACAAATATTTTGTTGTAAAAGATTAATACTGATACATAGAGAAAAAAATGAAAGGCCCCCATTACCACCACCCCCTCCAACCCCAATCCCACTCTCCCTCCAACCCCAATCCCACTCTCCCTCCAGTGTTTGATGAAACCTTTCTCTAGGAATTTAGTGTTATGTGTAGCTATGAAGGAGGCTACTGAAGGATTATTTTAAAATGCCATGGGACATTTATAAGAATTGATCATGTACTAAATCACACCAAAAATTTCAAAATAGAGCATACTAAACTCTCACAGGTCACTCTTTTATGGCGGTGAACGAAAACTATAATAATAAATTAATTAAAGGTTTAAAAATATTCATCTATTTGAAATAGCAGTTGGATCAAAGATGATACAAATTGAAATTAGTTATTATTTAGAAATTAATGACAATGAGGACACTAAACAAGTACCTTAGGGATGTGGCCTGTGTGTGTTGTAGATGGTTTTTAAACATAAATATGATTCTATTCATACTTGTTTAGCAACTCATTTTTTAGTTTAATGTATTCTAAAAAGTGTTCATATCTACCTACTTCTTCCTTTTTAATGACATACTTATTTAGTGGTATTTTTACTCTTATGAAAGTAATGCATATTAATGGCTTAAAAACATGTAGTACTACATAGTTGTTGATGAAAACCAGCAATTTTCAAGTTGCCCAGCTACTTTCAAGTTTTTAGCAGCTGTGTTTCCCTCTGTATTTTTGAGTAACTTATTCATATTGCTAAATCTTATTTTTTTTCTGTTACAGATATCACTTATTGATTTTCCTATAGAAGATGAGAGTTTTGGTCTTTTACCACCTATAACACTCCCCACCCCGAAACACACAGAATAACGTTCTCTCAGTCACATATTTCCCCTCTCCCATTCTTTCTATACCTTTAGAAAATTTTTACATTAAATCAGAAGTTAATGTTTACATTTTAATGAGCATACTGAAGTAGTTAGTAGATTACCTTTCCTTTCTTATACAACTTTTTGTCACGTAAGCATTCTTGGGTTTCACATCTTCCTCATTCTTGATTTCACTCCCTCATTTTGGTGAGACATGCGCCAGTAGTTTTCTTGAGAAAGTGCTTGTTAGAGGCAACATTTTTAGACCTAGCATGACTAAAAATAACTCTCTTCTTCTTTTTTTGAGACAGTCTCGCTCTGTCATTCAGGCTGGAGTGCAGTGGCACAATCTCGGCTCACTGCAAACTCCACCTCCTGGGCTCAAGCGATTGTCCTGTCTCAGCCTCCCAAATAGTTGTGGCTACAGGTACACACCACCACACCTGGCTAATTTTTGTACATTTTAGTACAGATGGGGTTTCACCATGTTGGCCAGGCTGGTCTTGAACTCCTGACCTCAATTGATCCACCTGCCTTGGCCTCCCAAAGTGCTGGAATTACAAGTGTGAGTCCAGCCTCTTTATTCTTCTTTTGATAGTTTGACTGGGTATAGAACTCTAGGTTGGAAATTACTCTATCTTCCCAACTTTGAAGATGTTTCTCCACTGACTTCTAGCTTTGCTGTTGCAACTAAGAAGTCTCAGCCATTCCGATTCCTGTGATTTACTTATTGTAACCATCCTTTGGTGGTCCCTCCTGGTATCCTGAAATTGCAGTGATGCGCCTTGCTACGGGCCTGTTTTCATCTATTGTGCTGGGCACTTGGTGGTTCCATTTAATATGGAAACTCATGTCCTTTAGAGCTGAGAACTTTTCTTACATTATTTCTTTGAAAAAATATTCTTCATTTTTCTTTCTTTCTCTGGGGCCTCTATGATAGAATGTTAAAATATCCTGTGCTGATCCTCTAATTTTCTTGTTTTTTCTCTCCTATTTTCCATCTCTCTCTTTTCGTTTTCTCTCTACTTTCTTCAGCAAATCTTTCCATCTTTGGAAATTTACTTCTGCCATTATATTAATATTTTCACTCATCTGTGAGACTGTTATTTATAGATTTTAAAAAGTGTTCTTCTCCTCGTATTATTTTCCTGCTCAACATTCCTATCTTCTGTTTGTTTTATTCCTTAACTTTCACTGTAGAGCCTTTCCTCAAATGGCTGCCCCGTCACATTTAAGAGTGAGGCACTAAAAAGCTGGCTGAATGCTCTGTCAGTCATTTCTGGAGCTTGGAACTAGTGTGGCTATTTTGGGGGCAGTGGCCTCTCAAATATCAGTATCAGAATCTTTTTCTTTGGAGTTGGTCTGTTTTCTTTGCCTAGGTAGTGTATGCTTTATTATCAGTGTTCTGGAAGCTGAGTAGGAATGGTAGGTTATGACATGTCAGCATCTAATATGTATACCTTCGTTTAGTACTCATTTTCAGTGTAAGCCTTTATTGCCTGTCAAAGGCTTTATTGCCCGTCCTCAACTGTACCTGGTGTCACCAGGCCTTTCTGGTTCAGTTCTTCTAGAAAGTAAACACATATTCCTCTGGAGAGGTGTGGGAAAGTCTGTTAACTAGCTCATTGAGCTGGGAGAGGAGATCCTTGGGATTGAATTACTCCTATTTTTATTTGCACCCCGTCTCCTAGCCTTCAGAGATTCTGGGTGTCTCCAGTTCCTTTTTGGAATTCTTTTTGTGCTATGAGTTGGGCTGAATGCTCGGTGCTGTGCCTGCCCACCTTATCCGTAGCTTTAAGCTTTCCTTCTCAACCTCAGTCGCATGCTTGTCAGCTTGGGCCAGATCATTCTTTGTTGAATGGGGCTGTTTTATACATCGTAGGATATTTAGCAAGCATCTCTGGGCTCTACTCACTATATGATGGTAGCACATTCCCCTCCAGCTGTGACAACCAAAAATGTCCCCAGGCATTGCCAAATATCCCCTGGGGGACTAATGGCCCCAGCTTGAAAACCACTTCGTTAGTCACATCTGCTTTTTGGCTTTCAAAAATTTGATCTCTTTGTTCCATTACTAATTCTTCTCCTGTTTTTTGGCGTTTGTGCCTTTTAAAATTCTTTTACTTTGACTTTTTCTGGGAGGCTGGTATCAGGAGAGAGAAAAGATAAATGTATGTTTAATTCACTGTATTTAACTGTTTTAACTGTGCTTTTCCTACTAATAGACATTTACATTTTCTATAAATAATGTTATGATAAAAATGATTGCCTAGGTTAGGTTCATTAAAAAATTTTTTTTTTCTTTTAAGAATAAATAATTTCTTAAGAACTTCATTTTAAGGTACTTGGAAATTCTGATCATTTCTAATTTTTCAAAACCACAATTGAGATTAGGAAGTTTTTTTTTTTAAGTCTTCTCATAGCCTTACCTCCAAAGCCTGTCTGCACTGTATGCTACCTCTCCTGCCCCCACTATTTTAAAAATTTACATTCCTTCTGCTGGTTTTGCTACTAATGAACCAATTCCCTGTGCATGACCCATTGTCCCTAAATCCTCCTTTGCAAACCAGTAAAAGGCTAGCGTTGTTTGTTTCTAAGCAGAATGGTGATACCAATCTGCCAGACTCCTACCGTACATGCTTCCACTTTAATCCTTAGAGCTACTCCGAAAGGGGTAGACCTGAGCCCCGTTTTAGACAGGGAGCCCAGAGCTCACAGAGCTGAGGTGGCAAGGTCTGCTCGTAAGCACAGTGTAGCGACCCAGGTTTGTAAGCTTTTGTTCCTGTTGTACCCCACTGCCTCCCTGGAATTGATGTGTTCTATTCATGAGGAAAAAAAGAAAAGAAATGTTTTTTTAAATATATAGCAAATTACAAAATGAAGCAGGAAAGCCTTTCCTCTAAGGAGAATCTGAACTTTTGTAGGACCAATTTATGTGGTTTTTGACACAGAATCACTGTTGAGCTCTAGCAGTGTTGAAATTTGCATATTAATCTCTTGATGATTTTTCAAGGATTAATTTAAAATTACTAAATTGCTGCATTGCAAATTGAAACAAGCAGTAACTGTGGGGTTGTTAATCCTTTATGATCTGGTGTAGTGGAAAGAACATGAATTTTAGAGACAACCAGACTCTGGGCTTTGCTACCCTGGGACTTTGGGGCAATGTACTTATACTCTTGGAGCCTCTAGGTCCTTATCTACAAAAGGAAAATGTGAGAAACTCATGAAGTATTAAATGTAGCGTTCCAAGGACAATGTCTGGTTTGATGGAGATGCTGCTTTCAATGGTCTGTTTCTTTTTCTCCTTTTCTTGGCTCTCCCAGAATTCTAGTCTTAACCTCCCTTGAGATCTGAGTTGTGGCTGAGGGCTGAAGAACATTATTCTTGGAGCACATCTTTTCTAGATTTTTTTCATATTCATGGTTATGGAGATTAATTCTCTTCCTTTTATGGGGCATATATTTCATGGGGCCTTGAAAGTGTCTTAGCAGGCCCTTTTCACACCAGAATGTCTGAAGCTTGGAACTGGTGTGGCAGATGGAGCCCAGGGCTCCGCTGCCTGTAATATAGATGGTTTGTAAATATTTATTGATTATCTCCTCTAAGGAACATAAGCAACAAAAAGGATAAATAGGCTTTGGGATGTGGAACTTAATAATGTTCTATCACCAGATAATCCTGTTCTCCTGGACAGCTTCAGAGAAGTGTTAGTGTGCAAAAAGAGAGGAAGGAGCTGGTATTTATTGAGCATCCACTGTGGATCAGATCGGGCACTGTTTGTTATGTTATGAAATCTTCACAACAGCCTTATAGTATGGTTGTTATCTCTGTTCTGGAGAGGAAATGAAGCCCAGAGAAGTGAGGTAACTTGCCAAACCAGGAAGTGCTAAAACCAGGATTCACCCTTCAGTGGGTATGATCTGAGCATTGAGATGCTGCCTGGTCTGGGCCCTGGCTCCGTGGCTCTCTCTGCCCATCTAAGAAATTGCTCATCATATGTGTAAGTTATATAATTAATTGAATGAACGTTTGGTAAAATGTCCTCTCTCCTTCTCTAAGGACAGGGATCAGTATTTTTTTTCACAGTAGCACTGTACCCAGAACAGAATAGATGCCCAATATGTATTTATTGACTGAACGAATGACTGAATGAATGAATGAACATGTAGCCACCCCCAGGAGAAGAAAAAAGAACAATTCCTTTCAGTTGGCTTTTGGGCCAATTTGTCTGCAAGACATTAATGAAAAGCAAACTTAAAAAATTAATTCTTTTCCCTTTCAGATCCCCATTGAAGTTAATTCTCATTATTTCTACAATTTCTTTGTAAAAATATTTTCTTTCTTTTCACTGAAAAACTATCACTCTGTAATTGCTCATCAGGGTTTTCTCTGTCTATCAAGATAACACATGTAGGAGTGAATTTTATGCAGGCAATAATTAAATGAGCATAAATCTTTATAAATTTTAAACAGTTGACCTGCATTTAAAAAAAAGTCACAGATCATGAACAGTTATGTAGTAATAATTACATTGTAAACCAGCTATATAAAGGATTTTTTTTTAGTGTCCAGGTTTTGAAGTTTACTTTTGATTAATGGATAATCATATAGACCTTCATTTGGAATATTAAACAAACCTGTCTTAATTATCTCGTTGGTGTCATACCAAGTGGTTAATGATGCGAGGAAAGCAGTTAGAATGGACAGTTACATATAACATTGCCCAGACTCCACTTTGTCAAAAGATGCGCCATGATATAGAAAAGATTTATGAACTCATCATGACTTTCAAACATAAACAAAGTTGAAGTGGTAGTAGAAGACCTATTATCAAGAACTGCGATTATAGAGAATTCCATTGTTGCTCTTAAGAGTTGTCAGGTAATTGTTTATTCTAATGGTTTTTCTATTCACATGGAGGGATGAAAGTTGACCTCTGAGTAAACTCTGCTTTCCTTTCTAGAATACTCTTCTCTGATTTGATTGCTTATGTGAATTTCTGGGATTCTTTCTTAAGCAGATTGTTTTATAATCCAAATTTATAATTCCCTTTAAAGAATCCCTCCCAACTAAGGTTACCTAAATTCTTAAAAAAAAAAAATCAGTTGAGGGTTTTAAAAATTTTTATTATGGTAAAATAATTTGAATAGGAGTTATTTCAGTAAACAAGACCCACTGACAAAACCAAGCCTCTTGCCTTGGAAGCTGCCTTCAGACACAAGACAGTAGGTCTTTATCATGTGTACCATGTATGAAGTGGAAAGTCACAAAGACTAATAAAATGACAGACAGTGGGGCGGACTAGCATCTGTTTCGAAGGCTCCAAGGAGTACCCAGCTTAGAGTCAGTTCTTTGGTTTGAGGATTATCTCATTTCCCTAAGGTATTGAACCTAAGACGCTTTCTCTCTAAGCCCCACTATATCCCCTCCCATCCCCACCCCACTCCAACTCCCCCCATCGCCACCACCCCCACCTGCTTCGTAACCTCAGGCATGGATCACAGTGAGCCTCAAGTCCCCAGCCACCTGGATTGGTGCAGGAGCCAGCAGGGACAGCTAGAAGGGAGCAGCCATTATAAGGCTTCTCCTGGGAGGATGGGGGTTTTGCCAGGTGCCATTCCCTTTCTCTTTGTCTGGATTTAGAGCCACAGGGGGTTCGCACTTGACCTGACGCTTACCAACGTTTCTTTGCAGAGATGAGAAGTGGGAGCCAAGAGTCTAAGGAGCTTGTGCGTTGCAGGCTTCTTCTGAAGTGCACCTTGCAGGCTGCTCTGTCCAGAGACCTTCCTCAGATTTGAGCCCTTTCCAGCCTGGGTGGGGGATAGCTTTGTAGCTGTGCTACCCAGCCCTAGAGAGTGTGGCCAGAAGAGATGCTAGGTGGAGAGGCACATGCTCATGGGGACATAAATGTATGTGTAACTGAAATAATGTTTAAACTCCATGAGTAGGAAAGGAATATCCTCAAGCCTAAAAACTTACTGGCACTAAGAAAACCGAGACCTTTTGAGCACAGAAACTGGGAACTAGTCCTTGAAGCAAGGTTTTCCTTTCCAAGTAGGTGAGTCACACAGAGAAGTAATTGGCAGAGAATGAAGAAAGTGGTTACTTAGGCTCAGCCATGGTGGCATTACAGCCCAGGACACTAAGCCTAGGAAGAGGTGGCCAGGGACACCATGTTTGACAGAAATTATGGTGCTTTAGAAGGAGGATTTATCCTTTATTAAAAGAATGGACTCTCCCTTTAAAAACCTATTTGGGCAAGTAGACTAGTATGGTGCATAGTAATCTAGAAGTCCAGGGGTCACTTGAGATTTTTTTCTCCTTCCCTCCCCAAGTCTAATTCATCGTCAAGTCCTGTGATTCTACTTTATGGATATCCCTGACATCTACACCCAAAGCTTTTGTCTGAATTGGTTTTCTAATGTATATTTTAATCATTTCTTTCCCAGAATATGGCAGCAGCCTGTTAGTTGACTGTCCTGCCTCCTGTTTGCCCTCTTATCTGTCCTCCACAGAGTCTCTAGGAAGATTTTTCTGAAACACAAATAGGGTCATGTCAGGATCCTTCAGCACTGCCCTGTCCCTAGCTCCCCTGCCCCCTGCTCTCCCTCCCCGCCCTGCCTCTCACTCTCTTCCCTGCGTGTGCGCTCCTCTCCCCACCCTGTCTTTGCCTCTGCCTGGAATATGCTTCTTCCCTGGTCCACTGAGTGAACCCCTGTTTGGAGGCCCAGACCAAATGTCTTCTCTGTCACACTTTCTCCAGCCTTCCCCTGCATATCCGTCAAGGGGAGTGAGGCTTCTCAGCCATGCCTGGAGTGTAGCCTCAACCACGGTATGTTGCATACTGGATTTCTGAGTCTAATGTCCCTCCCACCCCAGAGTAAGCAGGAAGATGGAGATCACAGTTAGTTTATCTCTGCAGGCCTAGCTCCCAGGAGGGTGCTAGGCACATAGTAGGAGTTAAATAAGTGTGTGTTGATTGCCTGATTATAGGAGATAGAAATGAGAGGATGAGGATTTAGTCTGCAGGAGAAGCAAAGTGCTGGGAGAGTGGCTTATCTTGTGTCTTTTATCAGCAGAAGCTCATAACGTGTTCTGGCTGTAGTCTTGACTGAGGACAGCCTGCCGCGGAAGTCCTCCCTTCTATCCTCTGATCTTACCCATCGGAGAAATATGCTTGGCCTGGCTGTGAAATGAACACATGCTTCTGTGTACAGCCCTCACCCCAGTTACCTGATAAACCACTAATTTATTTACATTTTTAATACATGTAGCCACAGCTACCATGAAAAGTCACCCCTCCCTCCCTCCGCCATTCCCAGTTACTTACCGGTCTTTGTGTAGCTTCCAGTGGCAGTTCTTTTTCTGCGGGTTCTTCACCATTACTGAGTAATCAATTGCTTCATCTGGCTCAGAGCCAGGTTTTCTGGAGTCACATGCTACGTTCTTCCTAATGTCCCACCTGGTCCATCTTCTGGGCTGGTGCATTCCTCACTGCACTGTTCTCGCCTGAGTGAGGGACCAGCACCCTCAGCCATTGCTTCCTCCGTGCACCGAGCTTGCTGTCATCAAACTGCTGGATGATGGGAGAAGCAGCTTCACCTAACAGGACCCCGTCTCGTGGCAAAAACATACTTAAAACTGAGTTACTGTAAGATGGGGACAATGGAAGCATACAGGAGAACTTGACAAATGAATTGAGGAAGTCTCCCGGGAGGAGGTGACATTGGAGCTGGGCCTTGAAAAGTAAGCGGGTGTCCTCAAGGAAGAGTGGGGCATTCGAGGCAGAGGACACAGCAGGAGTAATTACAATTTCCAGGTATTTCACTCAATTGTCTCTCAGGACATGGCAGGCCTGAGAGAGTAAGGATTGGTGTGGCTGGGGGAGGGAGATTCCTGACTCCATGGGGCGTGCTTCTGAACTGAGGCTTGATGGGAACTGCGAGTGCTCCCTGCAGCTGCTCCTGGGGCCCCGCTCTGCCCCACAGGTGCTCCCACGGCTGAGCGAGGTTCCCAGGGCTGTTGGCACTCCCACCCACTCCCACCCGCTCAGGCGGGTGGCATCCCAGAAGGAAAGAGGCAGGGGAGGAAGCAGATAAGAAAGACAGCTTCTGTTTAGACACAAATATCTTGGTAATCAGCACAGATGGGATGAGAAATACCAAAAAAAGTACATGACAGTTTAGAGAGAATTTGGCTAAATGTTACGTATTTTTAACATACCTGTGTAGAGTTTTTGGAACAAGCACCTGAGTCCCTCAGAATCTGATTGGAGATGGGGGACATGCCTCAATCAAATGGTGTTTTTATTTCAGAAATGTTTCCTTCCCATCCACAAAAGTATCCTTGTGATTTTTTTTTCTCCCACCAAAATAAGGCGCAGGATTTGTCTCTGACGCTGTGTCTCCCTATTTGGACGGCAAGCTGTGTAACATATTTCTCCCCAGCGTGAAGCTTCTTGGCAGACTCTTGAGGCCACGTTTTGGTGGCTTCAGAGTTATCTTTGGATCTGTCAAAAGTGCTAATGGGCTTTCTGGCCTTCTTTAAGCTCCTCATTTCTATTTTCTTTTTACTTCCATCCTCTCCTAAAAGAAAAATTCATGTAATTCATCAGCAGTTAAGCTTTTTACTGAAATGCTCAGTGAAGGGCCTCATATTTTTGTTTGTGAGGAGAGCTGTGCCATGTCACCGTCTTCAGAGCAAACCCCACCCTTACATCATTAGCTCTGTGTTCCTCCGTCCAGTGGAGGAACCAAGATACACTGGTTGACTCCTTCCGACTGCCTTTGGTGTTTGCTGTTTTGTTTTTCACTGAGTTTGTTAAGAGGCAAGTTGGTGTGGTGGTTAGGGTATGAGTTTTGGATTGAGGAGATCTAGTTTTGAAACATGGCTCTCCCCTTTCTAGCTGGGTGACCTTTAGAAGTCTACTGAGACTTCCTGAGCCTCCAGTTTTTTTTTTTTTATTTCTCATCTATATAATGGAGATGATAATGCCTGTCTCAAGCTTGTTGGGAAGATTGGAAAGAACACAGGAAAAGCACCTGTTGCCTGCCACATACAGATCACTCCGTGAATGGGGTAACGGTAATTTTTAACAGAAGCATTTTCCTTTCTTTAGGCATACTTGATCTTGTTGCGTTTCTTTTTCCAAATATGAGTTTTACCTACAATTTTGTGTGGAATAAAAAGAGCATGGATTTAGAGACAGACCCACTCAGGACTGAATCATGTCACATCCACTTACTGCGTGACCTTTGTCAAATTACACAACTTCTCTGTGCCACTGTTTTCTCATCTTCGTAGAGGGATAATAATACTTAGTTCAAGGAACAGTTTGAAGATTAAGTGACATGTTTAATAATAGATGTGAATCTTTCAAACAATAGATGTGCATAAGAGGGACAGTGTTGTGTACGGGAAAGCGTATAGGCCATGGAGTCAGATCTGACTTTGCCAGTTGCTGACCTCTCCCAGACTTTATATTGGAAAGAATAACGCCTCACTGGATTTTTGTGAAGACTGCACAATTACACATCCACAGTGTCTGGTACAGTGGCTGGCACTTGATAGGTAGTTAGTATATAGAGCTGTTAATTCACTTGCTCTGTATTTATAAAGGTTGATGGTTAACTTGGTACTTCAGTCAAACAATAATAAATTATAAGATAAGTGCCCATTTTTACTCCCAGCCCATAATATTGTTGAAAAGCACTTTGTGCTATTTTGCATGTAAAATCCACCTGGTTTACTTCAATTTATGGGTTATAGATCTTTAATCATTATAAACTGCAACGCCTGGCAATAGCATTCCTTCCCTCCCAAACCCCTTTCATTTTCAGAGGATTATATTGTATGGCATTGAAAACCTGTAACATTGAAGAAATTAGCATATTCATGTGTATTATTAAAGTCAGGTGGGTATAGAAAGCGTTGTATAAATGAAACACATTCCATTTTTTTTCTGAAATCTGAAGAGTACCAATCTATAGTACTAATTAAAAGACTGAAGCCCAGGCTACAGGGGTGGAAAAAAGCTAGTTAAAACACTGCTTTGTCACAACTTGCTGCTGTTTGTCTTCAATTTTTTTTCCCCTTTTGAGTGAAATACCTGGAAATTGTAAATGTTCGAAATTGCCTTAATTCCAGCTGAGCCGTTTTAGCAAATGTAAACTGTGAAGGAGGGGATACCAGCAGTGATGACGGGAGAGGAGCTCGCCTGGCCTTCGTGGGTGGCATCTCCTGCACAGAAACAGGCTCAGTGCCAGAAGCATTTTGGTCCCTGGGTACTTTCTTTTGCTTAGGCGTATGGCACAGCACATCGGGAAGGTTCTAGGATCTGGGGCCCAAAGATTTGAGCAGCAGTCCTGTCTTCATTGCTTATTAGACTGTTCCATCTTGGAGAATCTCTTTGAGTCTTGGTTTCCTCATTTGTAAGATATGTAGAATTCCTGTTCTGCTCACCTTTAGGAACTGACCTAAGTGCTGGATGCGACCTCATGTTGTAATCACCACACAAAGATGTAATTGCTCAGGCTCCTTCCTCTGTAAGGTGTCTTCCAACTTTACCCTTCATGATTTTACACATGTGGGGATTTGGCCTCCCAGGTAGAAAGAAAAGGACAGGGAAAGAACAGAGTATACTTTCTGATTATTTTATGTTTCTTATGCTCTTATTAGATACAGTTATAATAAGAACAAAGAAAATCAGCCACAAACCGTGCCTTCTTCTTTCTCCTAGAGAAATCTGACAGAATATTTTGTGGCTGTGGATGTTAACAACATGTTGCATCTGTACGCCAGTATGCTGTACGAACGCCGGATACTCATCATTTGCAGCAAACTCAGCACTGTGAGTAGACAGTCTTAAGACTGGCTTTTTAATGATCTAATTTTAATTGAAAGATACACCAGCAAGATGAAAGAAAATTTTAGAAAAAGGAGTCAGCTACAGTCCCCTTATATGGCAGCATGTCATTTTCATTAATTGTTCATTTTTTTTTTTTTACAGTGCCAATGCACATTTCATTTATTCCTGTAGTCGCACAGTCAATTATAAATAGCTTTCCATTTGATTGTGTGTTATGAACATTTTGCAGGTTTCTACATGAGCTTCAATTGTCATTTTTTAATGTCTACACCATATTTCATGATACGGGTGTGTCATTATTTACTAAATCCTTCTCTTGATGGCCATTTAGGTTGTTCATTATGATTTAATCCTTTTAGTAGATAATACTGCAATGAACATCTTTTGGCTTCTTTTGACTGTTACAGTTATATTCTAAGGAGTGGGACACTAGGTCAAAGGGCTTGATAAGCGCTATGACTTAGGGACTGCCAAATTGCTTTGCAAACAGGCGGTGCTTGTTTACAGTGAAGGCTGCCAGCTGTAGATGAGTGCACCATTTTCACCGCAGCTTTGCCAGGAAAGAGAGAGAGTGTGTGTGTGCGCGCATGTGCGCACGTGTGTACGTGCATGTGCTCAGGTGTTTTAATTCTGCTAAGAAAGTAGATGTGCTATGGTATTTCAGGCTTGCTTTAATTTTAGAATTACCTCTTTGGTTAGAGGTAACTGAATATTTTCCATGGGTTTATTTTTTTATTTGTATTTTGTTAATATCCTTTCACATTTATTTTATAGGTGTCTTGATTTTTTTATTAATTATAATGAACTTTCTATATAACTTTTGCTGTGTGTATAATATAAATATTTTTATATTCCTTTTATTTTAGTTTTTCACTTGCTAAGTATGAGTTCACATTTTCCCCAATATTTTTTATGAAAATTCTTAAGCCATTATAGAAAGCTGAAATAATTTTACAGTGAATGCTGATATACTTCCATCTAAATTCTACTAGTGACATTGTATCAGTTGCTTTATCATGTATTTATTCAACTATTTATCATCCATAGCATCCATTAATCCATCTTTTTTTTTTTTTTTTTTTTTTTTTGAGACAGAGTCTTACTCTGTCACCCAGGCTGGAGTTCAGTGGCACTATCTCGGCTCACTGCAACCTCCACCTCCCAGGTACAAGTAATTCTCTTGCTTCAGTCACCCAAGTAGTTGGGGTTACAGGCACATACCACCTCACCCAGCTAATTTTTGTATTTTTAGTAGAGATGGGGTTTTGCCATGTTGACCAGGCTGGTCTCGAACTCTTGACCTCAAGTGATCCACCCACCTCAGCCTCCCAAAGTGCTGGGATTACAGGTGATCCATCTTATTTTTTATGCATTTCAAAGTAAATCACAGGCGTCACTTTACTTTCCCCTAAATAATTCAATATCTGTTTGCTGAGTTTGTTGTTGTTTTTGTTTGTAGACAAAACTTATATACAGAAATTGACTGGGAGTAGAATGCCTAATAGGCATCCCTCTGTTAGAGAGAGTAGAAAAATATTTTTATAAGTGGAGAGTTCCCTAATGAAGGGCCTATGGATAAAATCAAGTTATGTGTTTACTTATGAATAAAAGGCACCTAATAATGAAAACTCTCTGAGACTACTAGAGTTTTCCTTACAGTTTTTATTATACCTTCATTATTTTATTATTTCTTTGGTTATTGATTGCTCATCAAGAACTCAGTTTTTTTTAATTGCCTAGTATGTGTTAAGAATAGCCTATAGTAGACCTCTTGCTTTGTTTTACATTTTATTTTACACCATACGTGCAGTTCATAATTTCAGGGCACAAACACCCAGACTGAGTTTCAGAATGAGAATATTGTCAACCACATCTATCATCACCTCTTTGAAAGAGTCTAGTCCATAACCAGTTACTGTTGCTTTAGATTATTAAATTTCAGTCAACAAAAACATGACATCGTCTCAGTGGAAATGAATTCCTTATCATTTAATCATGATGTTTTTGATCCCTTACTGTGTGCCATGCACTGTCCTAAGCACTTTTCATGTATGAACTCATTTAATCCTTACTACGACAGCCTTAGTGGGTTCTGTAATTACTTCCATCTTATAGATAAGGAAGAATGAACCTTCTGTGTGATTTTGCTCTCATAAATGTGGTGGATTAAACACACAAAATTATTTCTGCTTCCTCCCAAAACTAAAATGAAATAAAGGAATAAATCTACAAACACAAAAAACAGATGCAGCAGGAATTTTTAAAATAGTAAGAAAATACTGTTAGCAACTTTATGCCAGCATTTGAAAACTAAGGCAAAATAGAAGAAAATAGCTTAGCAAAGTTGACTCCCGAAGAAATATAAAAATTAAATAGGTTATTTAACTTACAGAAATTGAATCAATATCTTTACATATTTTTCCAGATAAAACACTCATCCCAGGGGGTTTTACAAGTGTGTTTTATCAAACATCTCAAGGAAAAGATTATTTCAGTCTTAGACAAACTCCTTAAGAGTCTAGAACAAGAGGAAATGAAACCCAACTTTTCCTGCGACACTTGTATAACCTTGACATTCAACACAAAGACTGCACAAGAAAGAAAAATTAGCAGCCAGTGTCACTCATTAATGTAGGGGTAAAAATCCTCAATTAGGAAGCAAATGATTGATGATACTAGAAAATCTATTAATATAACTTACATATTGACATATTAAATGGGAAAACTTTTATGGTCCTCAATAGAGGGATGGAAAGCACTACCATGTTTATGAATAAGAAGACCTGATATCTTGAAGATGTTATTTCATTTCAAAATGATGTATAGATTGTATACAATTATATTCAAAACCCCCATAGGGTTTTACATAGTACCTGACGAGCTAATTCTAAAATTAATATGGAAAAGCCAGAGAAAGAGCCACAACATACTTGACAAAAAAGAATGGGTTGCGGAAGCTTGCTTTACCAGATATCAAAACTTTCTATAAAGCTGTAGTAATTACGATGCTAGTAATGGGATGAGGATACACATATGGGCTGATGGAACAGAATAGAGAGCCCAAAAACAGATCACATGTATATGGGCTCTTTATTTTATAAAAGGTGGCATTGTAGCATCTCTGGGGAATCAATAATTGGCTGTCCACATAGGAAAAAAAAGGAAGACCGTTTCTATTGTACACACACAAAAATAAATTCCAAATGGATCAAGAACTTAAATGTGAAAGGCAAAATTTAAAAACATTTAGAAGACAAAATAGAATAATACTTGATGATCTTTGGAGTAGAGAAAGGCTTATTTAAAGGTGGTCCAAAATATACATTGTATAAAAGAAAATATTAAAATCGTGAACTTTTATTCATTAAAAGATACTTTTCTCTGACTGAAAAGTCACAAGCTGAGATTTGCCATATAAAAAAACTGACAGAAAATTAGTATCGGAAATAAGTACAGAACTATGACAATTAAAAAGAAGACAAGCCTGTCAATGGAAAAATTGGCAAAAGGCATGAATTAGCATTTCACAGAAGAAATACAAATGGCCAACATCTGTATGGAAAGATACTCAACCACATTAGTAATAATCAAAAAGCACATTAAAACTACAGTGATTATGGCTGGGCACAATGACTTACACCTATAATCCCAACATTTTGGGAGGCCAAAGTGGGAGGATTGCTTAAGGCCAGGAGTTCAAGAACAGCCTGGGCAACACAGTGAGAGCCCTGTCTCTACAAAGAAAATTAAAAATGAGCGTGGTAGAACGCGCCTGTACTCCTAGCTACTAGGGATGCTGAGGCGGGAAGATCACTTGAGCCCAGGATCATGGCTTTGCAGTAAGGTATGATCATACCACTTCACTCCAGCGTGGACAACAGAGTGAGACCTTGTCTCTGAAAAAACAAACAAAACCAGCAGTGAAACACTAGGTTTACAAAAAATTTCGTGGCTGACAAAGCCAGGTGTTATATTGGAAATGTATTAGAGAATGTCATTTACTACTATTTGAAGGGTATGTGCTACAAAACTATTTACGTATGCCCATCACTCAGCAATTCTACTCCTAGGTGGAATTTTGTGGGTATACACACACCCCTTGGTCATGTATGGTAGGATATATGTATAAAAATGTTCACAGTGGCTTTTTTTAGGTTTTATTTAAATCCTGGAAATAGTTCTCATGACTACCAACAGAGAACTGATAGGCCGTGGTGTAGTCACACAGTAGAATATCGATCGGATCAATGAAAATGAACTGCACTATCAATATGATTATGTCTCTAATGTAGAAGCTGAGTGAGGAACTGGGTTGCACAAGGATATACTGTTCAGTATGATTTCATTAATATAAAGTTCAAGCTAGAAAAACTAAATGGTATCTTGTTTAGGGATTCACACAAACTACAAAGGTAAAAAGAAATAATTAACACAAAATTTAGGTAATGGTTTCCTCACAGGGAGAGAAAAGACTGGTTTGGGAAGAGTCATACAAGGGACATCAAAAGTTTTGCTTTCTGTCTTAAGCCAGGTGAGGAACTAACACATTTTGCTATAAAGGGTCAAATAATAAATACGCCTTTGCAGGTCATATGGTCCTTGTTGCCACTGCTGGGCTCCAACCTTGTAATCGAACAGAGGTAAACTAAGTGTATGATTGTGTGCCAACAAAGCTTTATTGCCAAATACAGGCAGCAGGCCAGGCTTAGCCTTTTCACTGTGGTTTGCTGGCCCCTGAGCCAAGGTGGTAGGTTTGGGGTTCTTACATTTTTTTTTTCTTTGAAAGTTGTTTATATGACATACATACTTAATATAATTCAAAATTTTTTAGAGGCCTAAAAAGAAGGTACAAAGCTCCTTTATCATGAGATTTTAGAGTATCAGGGATAGAGACAAAGCAGTTCTTGTACAAAGATTAAGAATCAACATTGCCTGAGATTTGGCAGTGGCAGTTCTGGAAACCAGAAGACAGTGAAGCAGTGTCTTGACCTTCTAAGGGAAAATGATTTCTAACCTAGAATTCTATACCCATCTAATGGAAGCCCTCAGGAGAGAGTGCCAAGATCCCACACCACTTTGCTCAGCTTCCTGGGCCTGTACTCCTGGACTCTGCATTCCCTTTGTGGATGAACCGTCTGTCCTCTCTGAGGCCAGTCACTCTGCTTGTCCAACTTACTTCATTCTGCAATATTTATCGTGACATTGCCATAGGCACTGGGGATTACGGCAGTGAACAAAACAGGCAACAATCCCTGTCCTCATGAAGCTTGCATTCTAGTATCATAGGTCCTCGATAAGTCAGAGGAGTTAAATATCTCGTACGGTAGGAAATGGAAAGTACTAAGGAGTAAAATAAAGCCGAAGAGAGCGGATGGGGAGTGGAGAGTGGCAGGGATTGCAGTTTTAGGTAGATGGCCTCAGAATGCCAACAGGAAAGGCGACACTGTGGTTTCCTTCAAGGAAATTACTCCAGCAGTAAGCAAGCTCTTCTCTCCTGCATCTATTATTATTTTCTCTTCTCTCCTGGCACATTCTTATGAGCATGCCAACATGCTATAGAAGCTCCCAGACTTCAAAACAAAACTTTCTTGACCCGTATCCCCTTTATCCCATTTCTAGTCTCCCTTTCAGAACAGAATTCCTCAAGAGAGTTACCTATTTACTAATTCCTCTGGTCTCATTCTCTCCTCAGTCTTCCATTAGGATTCAGTCCCCACCTGTCCACTAAAACAGGTGGACTTGTTTTAGTGTCTTTTTCCAGTCACCAGTGACCTCCTTTGAAGTAAAATTAAAATGAGTTAATACTTGCATAGCTCTCAGAACACAGCCTGGTACGTAGCTTTTGCAGACGTTTATAATAAATTAATAAATTCTATAATGGGAAATCAAATTTTATTGTCCAGTTTATTAAGGGCCTACCCTACTGGAATGTAAACGTCATGAAGACAGGGATTGTTGCCCGTTTCCTTCACTGCTGTGCCCCCAGTGCCTGTGGTAACACCACGATAAATATTTGTGGAATGAAGACAACCGGATAAGCGGGGTGACTGGCCTCTGAGAGGATAACAGTTCATTTGCAAAGGGAAGGCAGAATCCAAGTCTTAATGTGGAAAATGTGAAACCAAGAATTCGTGATTTAGAAATAAGGAGATAAATCCTGTGTTGAATGTGATTACTTCGAGTGAAGGGTGTAAGAAGAATGGTGAAGTGGACTGTTCCTTTTCATGATAAGCCTTGACTACTTTTTGTTTTGTTTTGAAATCTATGAATATGTATTACTATGACTTTTAAAAGGCTTTTCTTAACAAAGAGTTGATTCTTAACTGGGTTCGAAGTTTCATGGATTGCTGGTAGAAGCTTCTCTGGAGGAGGTGGGGTTCTCCTTGTATGTCACGTGCAGTTGGCAGCATCCTGAGAGGTTCTGCGGAGTTTGGGGATGACGTAGCTGAGCAGACTTCTGTTGTATTCACACCTTTGGACCTCTTCAAATTCAGAATTTGAAAGTTTCCCAATTGTTGCCTTTTATTTCCTTAAGAGTGGCTTTTTATTATCTTTTAGATGGGGGCTGGTGCGGAGGGGGATATGCAAAGGCCATCTCAGCCTGAGATTTTTTGAGGAACCTCTCTTGACAGATCCTGATGTGGCCTGCAATACTTGACAAACCACATTCTTCTCAATTGTGTTTGATAAGATGGAGGCTTAATGCTCCTCAGAGCCACCAAGCACATGAAAGATAAAAGCTGTCTAGCACTCGAGTGCTGTCTTCTATAAAAATGGCTGTGTCAATAGAGACAAACTCAACAATATTTAGTTCAGAGGCAGGTAATATGCATTTCGGGGTTTCTCGGTCAATAACATTGTGATATTCTGTATAAGAAAAATGTAAGTTTTTGTTCTCTTTGCTCAGTTAATGTATATTGATTGTTTTCCTTTATAAATGATAAATAGGGAAGGCTTAACTAAATCTTGTTCTCTAATGTAAATACTTCAGTGTGATTCCCTGTAGCACAAAGGCCCCATTTTTCTTCCATATTTTCATATCTGAGCTTAATTCATACTGCTTTTTGGAACTCTATGGAGAGCAAGTAGGTCAAAGATCTTAATAGAGATAATACAATTCCATCAGCATTCCTAGAAGATAGATATTATTCCCATTTTACAGAACAGCCAGTCCATTTGGAAAGGCGGAATAACTTGCCCAAGGTCATGTCCTAGTCAATAGGAGAGGTGGCCATGAATATAGGTCGTTATGATGCAGTGTCAGGGGAAGGAGGCTTTGGCTTCTGGAAAGGGAGAAACATCAAGGGATTACACACAAACTAATCGTAGCCCCTTCGAAGTGCATGCCTGGGAACCAGGTTATGTCTATTGGGTGCCATTACTTAACACCATTTTCCAGTCCCTTGTGCGGGAACTGTCACAGGAGCCAGAGGCATGTTGTTAGGAATAGCCACCCCACTAAAGGAATTTGAAAATTCTTGTAAAGAGCCAAAAAGATACCCTGAGCCAAATCTGGTGGATAAGGTAACTAGTGGAGCTAGGTGCTGTTGGTTTGGGTGAAAAATAAGACCTGATTGTATAGTACTTAGAGGTTTTTTTTTTTTTTTTTTTTTTTTGTAGCTTGTAAAGCTCCAAGACCACTAAAGAGCATTCACAGAATAAATGTGTAAGAATATCCTTAAGTAGATTCGTCCTCAGTACTTTATATGGGAGCCCCGCCGTTCTCCCCCACCCTTTTAAAGTTCTTTTAAGTTAACCTTTTGAGCCATCCATTTCCTATATGACAGGCACTATGCTAATCATGTATGTGATCATTTTTTTCATTCGTTCTTGCAGCAACCCTAGGAGCTTGTGGGTTTTCTTCTCCCTTTGCAGATGGGAATGTTAGCACCCCCGAAAGTTGATGTGCCTTGTCTAAGATGAGCAGCAGAGATGGAATTAAAACCAGGCCAGCATCCTTGCTGCCTCATACTTCCTTCTTGGTAACTCTTCATTGTCATGAATTCCCTGTGACACTTGTACTTAGAGAAATATTCTTAGCATGACCCTGTTGGCCATGGATCTAAAATAATATAAAGAACCTCTGCCTGGTCGTCGTCACCTTTGAACGCACACCTAAGCTTTTTACTTCAGATTCGGCAAGCCCTGTCTGTGCGCCTGACACTACTCTAGGCACCAGGAAACAGGAGGCAGATCTGTGAATTCCCATTGACACACCCAGTCTGTTAGCCACAGCTCCATTTCCTTAAACACTTCAGATTCCATTCCGTCTGCCCATGCCTTCTTAGACTTGGCTGTCTCCCAGCAGCTCCTGCACCCTATTCCTACCATGAGTGCGGCCTTGGTGGAGCCCTGGGGCGTATCTTCTGTAACTCACTGTGGTTTCAGGGTTCATATATTGCAGCTATGTATCTTTGTCCTATATAATAAAGAATAAAGAACCTTCCAGGGTTCATATGTTGCAGTTCCTTCGAGCAGTGTATCTTGGTCCTAATCACCCCCTTTATAATTTAGGGATACTGAAAGAAATTTGGACAACTAAGAATATCCAGTTAAATAATGACAAAGGCATATTTACTTTCCTGAGAAACATCTATTTGTTTTACCCAGCGGATGCTTTTCAGAAGGAAATATTGTATGGTGGCAAGACCACGACCTAATTAGCCTCTACACCCATAACCGAAAACCATTATTACTTTTCTGATGGTATCTCATTGAAGGAAGACAAAAAAAATAAACTGGCACCCTCTCTCTGTCAGTTTCTTCCTAACTGCGTCAACAAAAATTAGTCCCCAGGCATGTGGGAGCTGGGCAGGACCGGGTACCCTGTGGCCTGAGGAGTGGTGGGTGATACTTCCATCTCCCCACCAGCACACAGTCTGGTCCTTAGGAGATGTTTCAGTATTCGAGTGGAACATGGAGACTTTTCCAGCCTTGCCCCAGTCCTGTTCCACCACTCCCACCGACAGCATCCATTGTCTGAGTACCATCTGGTCTTGAGCCCTAAGAAAGGGCCAGTTTGTGGACTGGGCAGCTTTTCAGATTTGGCTTCGTTTTTGCTACTTTCCTGACGAACGCCACCTTGTCATGTTGACGCCAGCCTGTGTGATGAGCTGAGCACCTGAATGATGTGTGCAAAGCTTTCCTAGCTCTTCTGGACTAGAAAACACTAATCCTGTTTGCTTATCTGCCGCCCTTGAAGCAGAGATGAGAGTGGCAGTTGAAGGAGCTTTGAAATCCTGGAGCAGAGCCAAGGCCTCTTTGCCTGCACACTCCACTCTGCATGTTCCAGCCGTAGGAACAAACTGCATTATTTTGTTTCAAACTGTGCTCAAGGGAAGCCAAGACCTTGTAACTGGAAACTTACCAAACAGAGAATTCTAAGACTAAATTTAGTGTTCTATTTAAAAAATAAAATAAATCGAACATTGTGTTTATCTTTTATATGTTAAAAAGGAGAGAGAGTAACCTAGTTCACACTAACAACCTGAGAAGAGTATTCAAAGAAGTGAGAAGAAAACTAATCCTTTTGGTGAAGAGGGAAATCCTTAAGAAATTATAATGAAGTGGCATGGAATAGAGGCTTTGCAGCCAAACTTCCAAGCAGCACAGCCTCTCTAATCTCCGTTATATACAATTTTATTGTGGTCCAGAGAATATTTAAAACTGTTAAAAAATAAAGGAACTTCCATGGACAGAAAGTAGGAGAGAAGATTGGTGGGTTTTACTTATACGGGCATTCTCTGGCTTTAAAATGTATAGATAATTAATTGCTTGTTGAACTATATTCTTCATTTAATTATGTGTGAATTGGTTTTCTCTTATTCATGTTAAACTCTAATTGGAATGAAGAACCTTGAGATACCATAGAGACTCTGTAATACAGAGTATCAACAGGTTCATTTGTGACACTTTGATGTGACTTCAACCAGCCATGGTCTCTCTGCTAGCTCTTACCTTCCTCTCCTGCCTCTTCTCCCATTGCTTCAACAAACATCAAGCACTTTGGATGAGGCACAGGATTCAGATTGTCAGTGATTCCCCAGTTCTGATCCATGGATTAGCATTATGTTAGAACCACCCAGAAAACTTGTTAAAATGCAGGTTCTTGGGCACCATCTCCAGACATTCTGGTTCACAAAGTCTAGTATGGAACCATGGAATGTGTATTTTTTGAGGTTCCCCGGATGATTGATACACAGCCTGATTTGGAACCAGTGAATAGACA
This sequence comes from Homo sapiens, assembly GCF_000001405.40. Lineage (NCBI taxonomy): Eukaryota > Metazoa > Chordata > Mammalia > Primates > Hominidae > Homo > Homo sapiens. The sequence goes on along the minus strand of NC_000009.12, from coordinate 123,641,766 downwards.
GTTCTCTAAGACAAAAACAATATTTATTCTTTGGTGGCTGTTATTTTGCATCGTTAGACTCATTTTCATGTTGAGACGACATAATAGAGACTGATCAAGTTCATTTAGAAGATGTTTATGCGTACCGACTGGCACTTAAAAAGCTCTTTGTTTCCATATTCTCTTTGGGAGAGCTTTGACTGGGGCCTTGGCTAGTCTAGAAAAGGACCATAGCTGAGTATAATCTGTTCAGGCTCTCAGTAATTTTACGGAATACCAGTGCAGTCCACCGGTGTAATTTGGGGTGCATGTGTGTAAACAGGTGATGTTTCTTTTTTTTTTTTTTTTTTTGCCATTTCATTAAATTCATCCGATTTCTGCCATGGCAGAAAATTTTATTATTTTAGTAATGCGGTCAAGTCATGAAATAAATTGTGTCTTCCTTAGATTGCAGGACTGATAGCTTCTCATATGACTCTTATGAATCAGAATTTTAAAGAATCAGAATTTTAAAGGATAATATTTAAGTCATTGACATCTTAATCTACTTAAAAAGCCCTGCACCCACTTTGGCAGACATGGCTGTCATAAAAGAAATTTTGAGCGCCTACTAGGTGCTTATGACACTGGGAGCAAGGACTCATAATTTCCTGTGTTGTTTCTGCAGACTGAAAGTGTGGTCACTTTGGTGAACCAAGGTAGTGTGATATGAGGTTAGACCATGAAATCATCGGTAAGTGCAGACACGGAGCACATTCACATTTGTTCTTTTCTGCTACCTTGATAGCTTCAGAGTCTACCAGCTAGATGTGTCAGACAGCCCTGCTGGAGGTATCTTTTCCCAAGAAAAAAGACAGCAGGAGTGGAGGAGAGAGTATCAGACTGCAAGTCAGGATGGCTTTGTTCCACTTCTGCCTCCGCCTTGTACTTAATCCACCATGTGCCACTTTCTAGCCATATGGCCTTGGGCAAGTTACTTGACCTCTTGGAGTCCCTCTGTCCTCTTCTGTGAAAATGGGGATAGTATTCACACCTACCTCAAGGTGGTTAAAAAGATCCGGTGACCATCCAGATATGAAAGCACAGAGCCCAGCACTGGGCGCACTATTCACTCTGTAAATGTTACCTGAGGCTGAATCTCATCCTTGCAGGCCATAAACCCCGATTTGACTCTCAGAAACAAGGAGAGCGATAAAGATCCTAGGAGACTTCTGAATATTAGGATCGTCGTAATAGCAGATAGGGAGTGAATCCAAGCAAAACAGAATAGTCACGGCAACTCCCAAGAGGTTTTGCGTACGGACCACTTCTCCCTAGTCATTTAGTCATTGAATAAATGGTCATTTCTCATTCAAGTCCTCACAGAGCTTGAGTGGCCTAAGAAGCTGCTGTGTTCTCTTGACCCACCCTTACCCCCTGACTGGCCTGTAGCTGGGAGGAGGACTAGCAGCTTCTCTGTCTTCAACCTTCAGGGCTCTGATGTCTCTGTCTCTGTGAAGCAGGCCTGATTCTTGCCCCAGGCAGAATTAATGATTCTTTCTTTATATGCTAACACACTTGAACCTCTATTATAGCATCTCTTTCATAATGCTTTTGTGTGGAAGTTGATTGTTTGCATTTTGATCTTTCTCTCTCTATTTTAAATTGCTTGAGGGCATGGTGTGTGCACATAGTGGATACTCAGTAATTGTGGGATTAATATAGATCAGAGCACAGAAGCAGTTTCATGGGGGCTAAGAGCACAGAATCCAGAGCTCAACTTCCCTAGGTTCATATCCTAGTTCTGCCAATAGCTGTGACCTTATACAGGTTCCTCAACACCCAGGAGCCTCAGTTTCCTCATCTATAAAATGGGGACAATAATGCTACCTACCTTATAGGGCTGTTGTGAAAATTAAGTGAGTTAAATATATGTGAAGCACTGTTCTCAGTGATTGGCAGATAGTAATGTGAATTCAGTGGTCATGGTGGTGGCTGTTTTTTGTTTTTGTTTTTTTTTTTTTTTTTTTTGAGATGGAGTTTCGTTCTTGTTGCCCAGGCTAGAGTGCAGTGGCGAGATCTTGGCTCACCACAACCTCTACCTCCCGGGTTCAAGTGATTCTTCTGCCTCAGCCTCCCGAGTAGCCGAGATTACAGGCATGTGGCACCATGCCTGGCTAATTTTGTATTTTTAGTAGAGACGGGGTTTTTCCATGTTGGTCAGGCTAGTCTTGAACTCCCAACCTCAGGTGATCTGCCCACCTCAGCCTCCCAAAGTGCTGGGGATTACAGGCGTGAGTGTGGCTGTTTTATAGCTTGAATCTTTCTTCTGAGGTTTTTTTTTTTTTTTTTTTGGTAGGGGGTTGGGGGGATACGGAGGCTCATTCTGTTGCCCAGGCTGGAGTATAGTGGGGTTATCTTTGCTCACTGCAACATCTGCCTCTCGGGTTCAACTGATACTCGTGCCTCAGCCTCCCAAGTAGCTGGGACTACAGGCGCCTGTCACCACACCCAGCTAATTTTTGTATTTTTTGGTAGAGAAAAGGTTTCACTCTGTTGGCCAGGCTGGTCTCGAACTCCTGACCTGAAGTGATCCGCCTGCCTTGGCCTCCGTAAGTGCTGGTATTACAGGCATGAGCTACCACCTGCGGCCTACAGTCACTTTCTAAGGTTAAATTTGCCAAAGAAAACTACAGGGAACAGTCCTTTTTCTTTTTCTTTTTCTTTTTTTTTCTTTCTTTCTTTTTTTTTTTTTTTTTTTTTTTTTTTACTACTCATGCAAATTTAGTAACTCACCACCTGAAGGTTCCTTAGTTTCTTCATGTGTGGGTACCTGACAGATAGGTACTCACGATTCCATGTTCAGTTATGCTTTCTTTTTAAAAGTATGATTCTTTATTAAAGCAATAGTATAGATCCATTAGCTAAACATAAATTATGATTTATATTGTCAAAGAAATAGAAATATCCACTTAGACTAGATTTGAGGTGGCAAATCGATTTCTTCTTGAGTGCCCACTTTGATCCATTGATCAAAGGTGCATGTGAGGCTGGGCATGGTAGCTCACACCTGTAATCTCAGCACTGTGGGAGGCTGAGGTGACCTCAAGTGTGAGGTCAGGAGATCGAGACCAGCCTGGCCAACATGGTGAAACTCCGTCTCTACTAAAAACACAAAAATTAGCTGGGCGTGGTGGCATTCACCCAGCTACTCGGGAGGCTGAGGCAGGAGAATCACTTGAACCCAGGAGGCAGAGGTTGCAGTGAGCCAAGATTGCACCACTGCAACGCCAGCCTGGGTGGCAGAACGAGATTCTGTATAACAACAACAACAAAAGTGCATGTGAGGAAGGATTGTGGGCCACATCCCGACTCTGTGATCAGTTAGTAATGTCTGTCACAGATATGGCTTGGAGGAGTGGTGGCACATTGGCTGTCCCTGTATTGAATACATTGTTATCAGTCCCCCATGTAACCCTGCCTTTTTCTTTTTCATCTTAAAGAGGAAAGAAAGCTCTTTCCTCACTCATGGTGCTGTGGGCTTATTTACAGTGTGGTTTACCACACCATGGTTTTCTGCTTCTGCTTTGGTAGCTAAAGCTTTTCTCTGGCAGTTTTAGTTGCTTTGATGTTTTAAAGTGTCAAATCTTGGCATGAAAGCTTGTTGCCCCGGTTAATAACTTACTCTAATTACTCTAGTAGATAGCTTTAAAAAAAAATGGAGAGAAGTGATTAAGCAGGCGGTTGATTGCCTGTGTAAGCTTCCTCCTGACTAGGTGATATTGCTGTTGGGGGAAGACGCTTTCCTTCACTCCTTGTTGGGTGGTTTTTTTGGTGTGTGTGTGTGTGTGTGTGCGCGTGTGTGTGTGTGTGTGCGTGTGTGTGTGTGTGTGTGTGTTTATTCCTTCCCTTTCCCAAAAGATAATGGAGAAGGAAAAAAGTAAGATGAGTTCCACCCAGCTGAAAATGAAACTACTGGAAGAACGATTGTTGCCATTACCCCCTGAAAAGCAGCCCTGCATTTCAGCTGCTAAGAAAAGCAAGACACTGTTTGCTCTTTCCTTCTACTCACATGTCCGGCATCTGTCTAGAGTAGCTGAAGGTTCTTTGATTTCTGAGATGTTCTAAGTTGCCTTTCTGCTAGAGTATCTTTGATAGTTTCTTGAAAGCCTATTCATCCCCCACTAAATACAGTAACTACAATTTGAACATAGCTGAACCCTTTATAATTAAAGGTTTTTCTCACAGCCATGGAAGGGTTGAAATAGGTTGACTTCACAGAGTCCCTGCAGATTTTGCTTAAAACGTTTTGATGATTTTAGAGAGGATTTGTCATTTAAGAATAAATTATAATCAAAACAAAAACCACAGCAGTGTTTGAATCATGGCACCATGATACTACGAAGATGGTTTATAATTAAATAAAAGAATCAAGTTCTCAAACTGAGAAAGGGAACAACTTCCCAAGACACACAGCATTTTCTACAGCTGCTCTAAATAAGATGATCCCTGGTCAAAATGAACAAACTTAAGAATGACCTCCCTTTAAAGTCAGTAATCTGGTATCCTTTCTGTATTTATCATTTTATTCATTTCTTTGCGTTTATGTTCAGAGGGGAAATCCAAATGCCTCTAACCCTGTGAAGCAGGTGTTGGTTTGATTATTTAACATTCTGAATTCTAGGATGGAAAGAATGACTGTGACCATCTGATTGTCTTCCTCTGCCAGCTTTTAGAGCTTGGAATCTTAATACTTTTTCAAAACTGTACAGCCTCTAGTTGTGATCTATTAGGCAATTGCAATTTGTTAAATGTCTGGGGCCGGGCGCGGTGGCTCACGCCTATAATCCAGGCACTTTTGGAGGCGGGCGGATCACATGAGGTCAGGAGTTCGAGACCAGCCTGACCAACATGGAGAAACCCCATCTCTATTAAAAATACAAAATTAGCTGGGCATGGTGGCGCATGCCTGTAATCCCAGCGACTCGGGAGGCTGAGGCAGGAGAGTTGAACCTGGCAGGCAGAGGTTGTGGTGAGCTGAGATTGCGCCATTGCACTCCAGCCTGGGCAACAAGAGTGAAACTCTGTCTCAAAAAAAAAAAAAAAAAAAAGTCTGGTAATCTTGCCTATTCTTCCTCATGGTGTGAATCTGGAGGCATTCTCCATTCCCCAAACATTTACTCAGCACCGACTCTGTGTCAAACATAGTAGGAGGTAAGAAGAGGAATATTTGGGAGGCCGAGGAGGGCGGATCACCTGAGCTCGGGAGTTCGAGACCAGCCTGGCCAATTTGGCGAAACCCTGTCTTTGCTAAAAATACAAACATTAATTGGGCGTGGTAGCAGGTGCCTGTAATCCCAGCTACTCAGGAGGCTGAGGCAGGAGAATCACTTGAACGTGGGAGGCAGAGGTTGCAGTGAGCCGAGGTCCCACCACTGCACTCCAGTCTGGGTGACAGAGCGAGACTCCATCTCAAAAAAAAAAAAAGAGGAATCAGATGTGGTCTTGGTCCTTGAACAGCTCAAATCCATAGCCGTCGTGTTCCTGGTCACCTGGGGTCATCTACATCTGAGTTCTTCAGAGTATCAGGGGCCAAGTAAGGAAGACAGCTGTGCCCTGGTCAGGTGATGGAGATGGGGTGACCTAAAAGTGGTGGTTCCTACATAGCTCATGAATTCCAGCTGGGCCCTGGAGCTGCAGAGCTGAGAAAGCAAGACCAGCTTAAAGACAGACCCTGATTTGCTTCGGCTTAGTACAGGTGAAGAAGGTAAACTGGGGTAGAGGAGGAGCCTTCTTCACTTCAAAGGATAGCAATTCCTCTAGAATTGTGAGTTGTCAAAGCTGGAAAGGAACACAGAAATCTTGTAGCCTAGTCTCTTATTTTACATACAGGACAAATTGAGACCTAGGAAAGGAAGTGGCTTGCCCAGGTCAAAAAGTTAGCAGAAGACTCGGAGCAAGTATGTGAAAGGGAACACGACAAAAAGCAAGACTTTCCAACACTTTCAAGCCAGCCTGTCAGATGTATGTACTCAAAAAGGAATGTAAACCTTTCTCTTTGACTAATAATAATTACTTCATTGTCTAGAATTTCCTGTGGGTTAAAGACACTACAACACCTTAGTTAAATGTAACTAATCCCCAGGAAATGATCAGATCTGTGTTTGTTTTAAAAATGATTATTTTCTGTCATTGGTATTTTGTCCGAGACATTTGGACATCTAGCAGCAAGGCAAATGCATATCTGTGTCATTTAACAATGTCAGCAGGTATTGTTACCTCATCTATTTCAGAGTCCTCCACACTGTGGAAGGCACAGGGTATACACTCGAATACTTTTTGAGTTTATTATGCATTGTGGAAACACAGTGGCCATTATATTCTGACAGACCTGGATGTGAGTCCCAGTTCTGTCACTTACTGTCGATGTGGCCTTGGGCAAGTTATTTCACCTCTGAAACTGTTTCCTAATCTGTGAAATGTGGTGATGAGTGTATATGTGTATCAACACACACGCACTCTTTCCTTTAAAACAATACTTTGCAAGGGTCTAAACCCCAACATGGTACCTACACATATTGTGGTTTTGTCTTTGGAGGGGGCATTCTTATTTTTATTTCACGTCAAGTTGCAGAGCTGCTATTAGGATTCAGCGGAGGCATTGGTATCTAAGATTGTGACAATCTGGGCTTTATCTCTGAGAAATGACTGAAAAAAAAAATGTGTCCTTGTGATTTTTCCCACTCCGTCATTGATCACTCTCCGTTCATGTCCTACTCCCACTGCCTTCTCCTCGTCTCCCTTTGCCTCAGAGAAAACTAATGGAGCCATAGAGAAAGCTCTGAGATATAAATGACCTTGTGCACCTTTAATTGAGGACAGAATTTGCTAAAGTGCATCCAAAAATCCACCAGTGGTTTACTGTACAGTCTGTGTCCTGGCTAGACTGGCTGTTGGCTGTATAATTTGTCTAGTTTTGTCTGGAGTCTTAGGCTATTCAGCTGCTTCAGGGCAAAATCTTTTGGGGTGTCATTAAATGAGATTGATAATTGGCTTCTGATGAATATTCATTGTGACTAATGACTTTGGGCAAATTTTACACATACTATCTTTCCATTCTCTCACTGAGTGAGATTTTGATAGAATCATTTCCTTCAACTTGCACTTCAATTATATATTTACAATATCCCTTTGTTGACTACACTCCAAATTACATACTTTCATTACTTTTAAAGTTTGTATTCTGTAAGGAATGAACATAGGCCTTTAGGACTTTTATTTTTAGAAACAGAGTTTAGAGTTATTTTAAAAATAAGTGGCAAGTGATACTTTATAGAACAGAGTGCATTATTTCTGATTGAGTATAGATATATAGTAAGTCTTGTAATCAACTGACTGTCCTTAAGTAATGATGCACATAGTTTATGTCATTTAGTATTTTGGAAAAGAGCCAAATAATTCCGTTTTGTTTGTTTGTTTTCTTAATCAAATGAGTAATGCATTTTACCCCGATTGCAGAAATTTGGCCCTTAGAAAACCCACTAATGAAATGAGCAAACACCTTAAAAGCTTGATTTTTTGTTTTTTTGTGAAGGATAAGTAATTTTAAAATCTTGGCATTGAGGTTGGTGGGTTTGCTTTTGAGGTTAAAAAGACATGAAAAGAACATTATCTGAAGATGAGATCTCTGCTACTTTATGTTTAAATAGGCTTTTGACCCAAACCAGTTTAACCTAAAAAGAGTCACATAATCAAGTTCTGTCTTAACCAGGTTCATTCTATTAAATGACTTTTTCAAAGAGAATCACAAATTAATTCATGTGATGATGTTACCTTCATTTGTATGGGACCTTGTAGATTTTGAAGTGCTTTTATTTATTTATTTATATGTTGTGGAGTTAGAGAGTAGGCATATGATTGAATGAATGGGCGAATGGATGAATGAATGACTTGGTTTTCCAAAAGTGCCATGCTTGTGTGTCTAAGCTTGCTGTTTTTGTTTTAGACATTTTTTCCTTTCTTTCTTTTTTGGGGGGACAGAGTCTTGCTCTGTTGCCTAGGCTGGAGTGTAGTGGTGTGATCTCAGCCCACTGCAACCTCTGCCTCCTGGGTTCAAGCAATTCTCCTGCCTCAGCCTCCCGAGTAGCTGGGACTACAGGCATGTGCCACCATGCCTGGCTATTTTTCTGTATTTTTAGTAGAGATGGGGTTTTGCCATGTTGGCCAGGCTGGTCTTGAACTCCTGATCTCAAGTGATCCGCCCACCTCAGCCTCCCAAAGAGCTGGGATCACAGGCGTGAGCCACCGCACCCAAACTGTTTTAGACTTTGAGTCATGTACCTTACTCTGTGAGACTCATGGGAATGTTGATACACTTCTGTTAAAAGCCAAGTTACTAAACTGTCTTTGTACTGTGAGTATATTCTAAGTAAAAATCATATTTTATTTATTCAGGACACATCCCATTAACTAGTGCACGTGTGTGTGTTGTGTGTTCTGGGCCACTGAGAACATGGAGGTGAGGACAGGATCTTCCTGTACTTTACAGTCAGGAAACAAACATGCAGCCAGTTATGGTCCAGTTAATAATGGGTGCCTATGGGCTGGGTGCAGTGGCTCACGCCTGTAATCCCAAGACTTTGGGAGGCCGAGGTGGGTGGGTCACTTGAGGTCAGGAGTTTGAGACCAGCCTGGCCAACATGGCGAAACCCCGTCTCTACAAAATATACAAAAATTAGCCGGGCATGGTGGCACACACCTGTAGTCACAGCTACTCAGAAGGCTGAGGCAGGAGAATTGCTTGAACCTGGGAGGCAGACGTTGTAGTGAGCCGAGATCGTGCCACTGCACTCCAGCCTGGGTGACAGAGTGAGACCCTGTCTCAATAATAATAATAATATTATTATTATTATAATAGGTGCCTATGCACAGGGAACCAGGGAAGACTTTGAAGAGGAAGTACTTACACAGAGACCTGAGGGAGGAGTTTGCTAGAGGCACAAATCCAGGCCAGTTTGGGGGACGGGTGGAAAGGGATGGGAGGAAAAGGAGTACATGACTCTATCTAAGTGATGTATTCCAAGGACAGACTTGGAGAAGATGGTACAGAGTGTGGCTACAGATGGCTGCTGTAAAGCTAGACCGTGGGCTGGTGGAGCCATCCGGGCCAGGCTTGTCCCCAAAGACTTCTGAGTAGGAAGTGATGGGCCGGAACCTGCACTTGAGGAGGAGCGCTCTGGCAGCTAGTTAAAGATGAGCAGAAAGAGCTGAGACCCAGGGCCAGTGGAACCCTCCAGCCTGACTTCAGGGTGGAATCAGGTCAGAGTTGGTTCATTCTCCACTCACTCAACACCAGCAAGGACTTTTCATCTCTAAGAAGCCCTGAAGGGATTAGTTTTATATATGTGTATTTTTGTATGTGAGATATATATATCTATATCACCCTCCTTTATATGGGTACCTATGGAAATAGAATGTGAAGGGATGGGTTAAACCTGCGAGCCTTGACGGGGTCACTGGGAACTGTTCTTGGGTGCCTGCTGAATCAGTTCCAGTTCATGGCATGGACCTGGCTCAAGAACAGGGTCTGGAGGAAAGAGTCAGGGCAGGTGGGGGTGGGGAGTAGCAGCCCTGGCTTTAACACACAGCTCTCACAACTGTGAAACATCAGCAGAATATCCAATTTAAAGCTGTTCATGTTACACTAACCTCTGGGATTCTTTTAACTGGGCCTTGGCACGTCACTCTTTCGCCACGTAAATGTTCTTCTGTCAGCAAAGGCCAGTTAACAGCTTCCAAAAGAAGCAAAGTCCTCATGGGAACAGGCTTCCCTGAAACCAAAGAAACATTAAAGAAAAAAAGACAGAAAGAAATATGTGTTGTTGGCTTTTGTCACTTCATACCTATATCTCCAAAAGTTGTTTTTTTTCCCTTTCTTTTCACTATATTGAATTTTGTAGCAATTGTATCCCTTTGTAGTATCTTTGTTTCCTAAATTTTTAATTGCATCAAATACTGATTGTATGATGTCTCTAGCTCTCAAGAAAAAAAAGGAATACAAAATAGGGGCAAGTCAAAAGACTGTGGAGAGGAAGGATTAGTCAGTAAACAGTGCCAGAGCAATTGATTACCTATGTGGAAAAAATAAATTCTCACCTCAGTCCTTAAACCTAAAGTAATTCCAGATGGACTGAAGAGTTAAATGCTAGGGGAAAATTTGGAGGACTTTCTTGGGATAAAAGCAGTAGAAACCATCATGGAAGAAAATATTTGTCTACGTAATTATTTAGACCTTCTCTTTGCCCAGAAATTCAAAGAAAATTAAGGATAAATTATTTTCAAAACATTACAAAGGCTGGGTATTCTTTGCATTTCATCAGTGATTGCTTATAAACCAGTAAAAATTACTAATACTCATTTTTAAAGTGGGCTAAGAATATGAATAGACCATTTGTCTATTATATAAATATAGTGAAGAAACATATGACAAAATGTTCAACCTTAGTCCTGATCAGAATAAAAATAAAAGTAAAATAGGTACAATTTTAAAGCTACTAACTTGACTACAAGGAGTAGTGCTGGTGAGGGGCAGGGAGGCCAGAATCGTGGTGTATGGCTGGGGGTCGGGGGTGTAAAGAGCCTCCATCCTTCATCTATTCATTATACTAACATACTTATGAGATATGTATTTATTAAGTGCCTTCAAATGTTTATAACCTTTGTCTCTGAATTCTACATTTAGGAACTATAGATACAAATTATTGACCTGTATGATGATATTACTTAATGGTAGTAGAGTAGCTAAATATATTAATAGCATGGGAAATTCATCGAGTATCATTAAAAGATATTTTTTCTAAGAATATTTAAAGAATATTCTGGATTTGTGCCTTTAAAGCATCATTAAGAGATATCTTTTTCTAAGAATATTTAAAGGAAAATGGCATCAAATAATGTTCACTTTTAAGAAACACAGAAGAATACTGTATAGTCATCCTAATTGTATTTAAAAGGGGAATATATGTGCTTGTGTGTGTAATAACCTACAATGTTAAATCTTCTGATGGTGTGGCATTTATTTTAATCCCTTTCACCATTTTAAAAATTTTCTATTTCGTATATTAGCTTTATCATCAGAAAAAAAGATTTTTTGAAAAGAAAGCTCTTACTAAATTTGAATTAGGGTGATTGAGTTAACTTAGAATGATTTCTCCAGGTTTTTCAGCTTATCATGTAAACATATTGAAGAATTATAGAATTGTATTGCTGAAATCAAATGGCGGTGTCTCCTCCCTTGGATTTGTTCATTGATCTCTGCTTTGCTCTGTTCCAGCTGACTGCCTGCATCCACGGGTCTGCGGCGATGCTCTACCCCATGTACTGGCAGCACGTGTACATCCCCGTGCTGCCGCCGCATCTGCTGGACTACTGCTGGTAAGGTGGCTGGCCCTGTCCTCTGCTTCTCCTTTGCCCTGATCTGACTGGGCGTGTTAGGTGTGTCACTTGTTAATGCAGTTGGTGACTCTACATTAAAAATATTAACTTCATCCAGCCTGGACAAAATAGTGAGAATCCATCTGTACAAAAAAAAAAAAAAAAAAAAAAGCCAGTCATGGTGGCACATATCTGTAGTCCCAGCTACTCAGGAGGCTGAGTTGGTAGGATCATTTGAGCCAGAGAGGTTGAGGCTATAGTGAGCTATAATTGTGCCACTGCACTCCATCCCGGGCAACAGAGTGAGACTCTGTCTCAATAATAATAATAATAGAAATACTAACTTCTAAGTGGCATGGATTTAAGACCACCTGATTGCACGGCCCTTTCATTTCCAGTTTTCTTATATGTCATGACACTCTGAAGAGTACAAGAGAATAGGTAGTAACTTTTCACATTTCTCAGTTTGGGGGAAGCAATGCACCAAAAGGTTGCGTGTTTGTTTGTTTGTTTTTTCCTAAGACAAATTGTAAACTGGGGACAAAAACAATTGAGATCTCCAAGGTCTTCAAGTTTCAGCCATGCCCTGGCACATTCCTTAAGACTTGTGCTCACTGTGGTTTGGGAGCACAAGCCAGGCAGCGCTAAACTGTCTGAAGTTCTTTGAGGAGAATTTCACTGTTCAGTGAAACAGACTTTAGTAGAAGGAAGAAACAAAGGTTTTGGCGACAGCCCTACCATCTTGGGCAAGTCACTTGGCTTTAAGACTTTGTTTACTCATCTGTAAAAGGAAGTTGTTCAATACATAATCATACAAAGATGAAACAAGATAACATATGAAAGGACCCCATGTAGAAAAGCTGGCTCATGGTAGCTCAGAAAATGTTTCCGCAGACACATCATCGTCCTCACTATCTGTCTTCAATAGATTACCAAAACAGACTGTCTTTGTGACCGATTTGGATCCCTTTTCCTCATGAATAATTTCTTTCTCTAGTGTAATGCAGTTAAAGACATTGTCTCCAAACAGTTCAAGTCAACAGAAGTCCGTAAGGGAGCATGGTACACAGACAGGGAAAGGCACTAACTGCGTGCCGGATATTGAGAGCTTCAGGAGAAGGGAAGCCATTTGAGGGTCATAGCCCTGTTGCTTAAGGACAGATGACACGGGACACTGACCACTGGTTCGGAGTGATTGAGTCCAGGTCAGTCATACTTTTGCTGGGATCTCCATTCCATTTTGCAATCATCTCACTGGAAAGGTCCACCCAAGTAGCCAGATTGTCCAAGGAGCTTGAAGGCATTCCACAGTCACTCCTAATTGGAACGTGCTGGGCTCACCCTCTTCCCAAGAGGCCATGGAGATAACAAGGACATAACTCAGGGACATCATGTGAAAATCAGTGGCCCTCTCTCATGCATAGCAGTAAGTGAATGGGCCTGATTCTCTCTTTATTATATGTCTTTCTTATCAAGGTGAGTTATCTTATTTGTGCCTTTCTCCCACCTCTTATGAGATTAAGGGGCAATATGTTTTCTACCATGTGGAGTATAGAATCCTGGCTAATTTTGAATTTCTTCTTGATTCATCAATGGCTGAACCCCACATTTTTTTCACTGTGTCTCTTCATACTTTGGTTTATTTTGGAAACTATTTTCAGTTAATGGTGACGTCCAGGTACTGCTGGTCTAGATTTTGGTGTTCATCCCTTCTTGAGTGGGTAGGAGATAAAGTAATGTTTGCAGATAGGAAAGGATAAGGATGTAAACCCCTTATAACAGATTCACCATGTGACATTAAATGTTTGCGTTTGCTCTGTTCCTCAGGGAGTGTTTTCAAACCCCTGGGCCCATTCCAGACCCCTCCCCTGTACCCAGGTCTCCAGCCTCTCTCCTTCCATTGGAGACTCTAGGGAGTGCTGGACTCTGCCCTAGTGAGGCTGCTCCTTCTGCTCCCAGATTGTTAGACTCCTGTCCCCGCTGCCATGGTCTGGTGTGAGCTCTACCCTGTCATCTGGCTTCTAGCACAGCCCCTAGGAACCTTCCTCCCTCCCATGTCACTGTCATCTGCTTGTCTCTGGGATCTTCATCACCTGTTTGTTGAGATGTCCACATCTCCTTCCCATCTTATTCCCTGCTGTCTTCAGTGGCTTCAGAATCCACACTACTGGCCTCCCCTTATTCCCACTGAGCTCACATTTGCACTGTTTTGCCATCTATAGTGAGATTAATTTACTCCCTCAGAGAGGCCATGGAGTAGCACACACAAGGATAGGACGGGGCTAAGAGGAGGACGCCTGAGTCCCTGTCTCTGCTCCATTACTGCCTGGCTGTGTAGCTTAGAGCAAGTGCCTTTGCCTCTCTGAATCTCTTCTCTGTTGAGGGCTGAAAATACTGCAACCTGTTCTTTAAACTGTTTCTAGGATGAAATAAAATAACGTATGTGCTAATGCACTTTATAGACCGAAAAGCACTATCAGCCACCCAGCAGGGTGACACCTGTGTCATTAACCGTCTGAAGCTCACTCAGCCCCCTCTGGTTTCCTGCTGGCCTCCTTGCTTCAAGTCTTTGTGAGCTTGCTCTCTCTCTCTCTCTCACTCGCTCGCTCTCTCTCTCTTTTTTTTTTTTTTTTTTTGAGACAGAGTTTTGCTCTGTTGCCCAGCCTGGAGTGCAGTGGCACAATCTGGGCTCACTGCAACCTCTGCCTCCCAGGTTCAAGCGATTCTCCTGCCTCAGCCTCCTGAGTAGCTGGGATTACAGGCGCGTACCATCACACTCGGCTAATTATTTGTAATTTTAGTAGAGACGGAGTTTCCCTTGTTAGCCAGGATGGTCTCGATCTCCTGACCTCATGATCCACCCACCTCGGCCTCCCGAAGGGCTGCGATTACAGACGTGAGCCACCGTGCCTGTTGTTGTGAGCTTTTTCAGTAGAGCAGATGTTTCCCGATGCTGGCCATGTCTTAGGCACTGCACTAAGTGCTGGGAAGACAGGGATGAGAGTCAATTTCCAGCAGAAGGAACTCAAACAATTGGGTGTCGAAGACACAGGCCCATAGACAGGCCAGAACTGCTCCTGGGTTTTTCACCAGTTCCCTGCAGGCTGTTGCTTCCCTGGCCTTGCCACTGACCCTGGGCACCCCTACCATTTTCTTATCTGCTCCTTGTCTGGAAGATACTGCTGGTGAAAGTCTGAGAGCCTTTGCAGAGAGGACCTGCTAGAGAGTGGTGCTGCCTAACCTTGGCTTGCCCTCCTTCTCTGCAGTCACCCCTGAGCCCTCACTCTCCCCACCATGCACAGGCTCAGGGATGGGGATGCATTGTCACATCTGGCAAGAAGAGGGGGACATAGGGTCTGTGTTCCCACAACTGCCCTCCTTCTCACCCAAGGCTGGTGCTGGTTAATTGCTGCCTGTCTGCCTCTTCCTCTCCTGCCATTCCTGAGGGAGGAAGAGCAGTCTGTCCAAAGCCATTGACTTCACCTGGGCCTGGGTGCTGTCTCCTGAGGGTTCTCTGGGACCCATCTAGAACTCTGTTTTCTTGGGTATCATTAAACACCCCTTTCTGCTGCCTCCCGCCTCTCCTGCACATGTGCTTAGGTGCCCCATTCCTCAGATTCAACCTTTCCTTAAACTCCCTGTGCTTGAGCTTCTGAGCCAACTCTCTTGGTTTCTTCTCACTGCCATATATCTCCAAGGAAAGGACCAAAAGGACCCTGTTTACTATCCAGTAGTGTTTGTTGTTGTTCAAATGAAAGCTTGAGGGCTGGGCAGAGGCAGACACTGACACTCAGAGAGGAGGAAGGAGATGAGGGGAACTAGAGGGGAGGACAAGGAACAAAACACACACCCAAGGAAGATGGAAGGGAGAGAGAGAGTGAGAAAAAGCAGGAGAAGGGAGAGAGAGAGTGAGAAAAAGCAGGAGAAGGTAGAAAGGAGACACACATCACCCGAGACAGAGTCCTGGAGTGACATCCAGCCCCCTTAGCATGTAGAACCTGCTGCCATCCCCTCTCCCCCCAGACACACAGTACGCTCACAGGAATAGACCCCACACAGACGCGCCCACCTTCATAGACATAGGTCCTTTCCCCATAGACATGTCTCAGGGTCTTCCACAGGGAGAGACACCCCCCGCCCATACACACCACACGCCAGATGTGTGCTCTAAAAGGTAGCCTCAGGTCAAATGCGGTAGCTTATGCCTGTAATCTCAGCACTTTGGGAGGCCAAGGCAGGAGGATCACTTGAGCCTAGGAGTTTGAGACCAGCCTGGGCAAATTGTGAGATCGCCATCTCCACAGAAAAAAAAAAACAAAACCCAGCCATAGTGGCACACAATTGTAGTCCCAGCTACGCAGGAGGTTGAGGTGGGAGGATTGCTTGAGCCCAGGAGGTCAAGGCTACAGTGAGCCGCAATTGAGCCACTGCCCTCCAGTCTGGGTGACAGAATGAGACCCTGTCGCACGGTTCCCCCTGGAAGAGATTCACCAGTGGGTTTTCATGCCGTGCTTCAGGGAGGAATACCCGGGGCTTCTGCAGGGATTGGTAGAGCTGGAAAAATCAATATAGTTCCTCTGCCAAGTGGTAGTATAATTTTATTTTTTAAATATTTGTCTTATTTTATTTTATGAGACAAGGTCTTGCTTTGTCACCCAGGCTGGAATGCAGTGGCACGATCTTGGCTCACTGCAACCTCAGCCTCCTGGGTTCAAGCGATTCTCCTGCCTCTGCCTGCCTAGTAGCTGGAATCACAGGTGCATACCACCATGCCTGGCTAATTTTTGTATTTTTAGTAGAGACAGGGTTTCGCCATGTTGGCCAGGCTGGTCTCTAACTCCTGACTTCAGGTGATCCACCTGCCTCAGCCTCCCAAAGTACTGGGATTACAGGCATGAGCTACCATGTGTGGCCCAACTTCAGCTTTCTATTATTTGAAAAGTTTTGGTTGCTAAATTGTTAGCTAGTTTAAAACAGGCAGCTTACATTCCTGGAACTGTGGAGGGGAAAATGCTCTGTCAGTAACATAAGTGATGAAGATAGCTGCCACTGTTGAACACTGGTCCATCTCCTTTACATCTGTGATGGCGTTGAATTCTTCCAACAACCCTGCAAGGCAGATACTATTAACCCCATTTCGCAGATGATTGGTAGACCAAGGCCCCAAGAGCTTTAGTAACTTTTCCTGATACAGACGTTATGTATTATACTCTATGATCAAATTTTTATTAAGAGAATTATATGGACACATAATACACAAAAAATCGGATGTATATATGTATACATATAGAGAGGCAGAAATCTGGAAAGAAATACACCAAAATGTTTAACAGAGACCCGTGATGGGGAGGCGGGAGAGGATTTCTGCATGCTTTTTATTTTCCATATTTTCCAATATTTCTACACTGAAAAAGTATGGTTTTTATAATTAAAAGCTTTATTTTCACAAATCAGTGTTTTTTCTAGCCAATTGTTCTTCCCAGCTGCCATTCATTTCTCCTTTCATGTTTTCTTGGAGATACATTAGATGTTTTATTTTCCTGTGAAAGCTGATCCAAGATCATTTTTTCAACCTTCTCTAACTCTAGCACTCTGAAAAACTGTTACCAGCCTGACCAAGGGCATTGATGTTGGAAGGTCTAACTTAGAAGAGAAGACTTGGCAAGGAAGGCTGCTAAGTCCTTGTCATCCTAAATTTCCACTCCAGAAAATTAAGGTTGAGTTTTGTATTTACTGGTGCCTGAGTGAGTTTTGAGAGGAGGCACCATCTTGGAAGTTTCTGTTTCTGTAATAGCAGTCTTTCTCCTGGTCTCTTGTTTCCGTGAAAGAACTTTCTGACATATGACCAAAGGATGATTACAGGCCGGTGGGGATTGGTGTCTGTTTGTTAACTGTAAGATGTAAGAATGATGAAATGAAAGACTCCAAGAGAAAAAACACAGCTTCCATAATGAAGGGTTGATTTGACCACCTTCAGCCACTACCACTGCTTTGGTCAGATACTACAAATGTCATGAAATTTGAGTCAATGCTAATAACTTCATTCTATTATGCCCAGTAACTTTCACCACCATTGAGTTTAATCCTTGGTGGTAAGAGCCAGCAGGGATAACTAGCATTTTAAGTAAAGTGCTAGGAGCCTGAAACATGTAAATTTGAAGGAGGTTTGCTACTCTGCAGATGATTTAAATGTTAAGTATGTCCCCATGCAGGGGATACACAAAAAGGAATCTGAAAACTATTATCTCCTGTAGAAATGAACTCTCAATTTACTCACTGCACAGGAAGGGCGGTTTCTAGTCATTTTCACTGCCAGCAGGTGCCCTTTCTATGCATAATAGACTTCACAAGTGTAATTAACACATGAGGACCACTGCTGCCAGTTTTTCTTCAGGTACATGCTGCTAGGAGTTTTCAGGACAACAGTGTAGGCCATAAGAGCTTTTTACATGGCGCCTGAAGATGAAGTCTTCGTTGACTTCTGGACAAAGACATGTTAAATGGAGCTGAGCCCAGACCCTGCTGTTGGTATCACAGGTCACAGTCATTGAGTCCAGAAACCCCAGAAGCTGTATTGCAGCTTTCTGTGGACCAGAGGCCATGACAGCAAAGCTCTAGTTTGCATGCAGTTAATAAATGAAAAGTAGGATACTGAAAACCCTACCATTATGTGGAGGACCAATTGCGCATTCACAAATACGACATACAATCATCTGAGTTAACTTTAATTAGAGCTATAATCACAGATTTTAATTATCTGGAAAAAATCAGTTTAGTACAAATGGGCTGCCCTAAATATTTCTCAAATTATTTTTTTTTGTGTCCCTTCCTATTTTTGGAGTGGACAATAGTGTGGAAAGTGCCTAGGTTTTGGATTCAGGCAGACCTGGATTCAAATCTTAGTCTTATCTCTTATTAACTATGTAACCATTAAAAATCTGTTTTAACTCTGTGATCTGCAATATCTTTCTGTAAAATGGGTATAACTTACCTACTTTGAAAAGTGGCTATAGCAATTAGAGTTATTAGTCAAGTGGCACCTAGGGGCCATTAGTAAATGATGATTGCTTTTTTCACCATTATTATAAACATGGGACATGGATTTTGGTTTCCAGAAGGTTTAACTCACATTAAGCATTATTCTTACTTCTGTTGCCTTGAGAGCTCAGGGGAAAACTTTATAATTCATCTTCTCTTTTTATCCCTCAGATTGTTTTTATTTTGATTTTTTTTTTATTTAACTTGAGTTATTGTATGGTTGTTTTCATTTGCAGCTGTGGCATAAGAATGAAAAGAAAAGAAACAAAAGCAGATGGCAGAGAAAACGAAAGGAGTAAGACATTTCCAGGCCTTATGAATATTTAAAAACATGTGCTGCTGGTTCCTTTCTACTTTAGATCTGTGCCATTCCTTTGACTTTGAAAGTGAAAACGAGAATGTTCCCTACCTTAGCTGATGGTGGCCTTGACCTTGGCCAGTGTTGGGAAAGCCTTCCTGTTTCTGGGAGAAAAGCATTAACTTGCTAATGAGAATCAGCATTCCCTTTCATAATAATCACCATCTATTGAGTACTGTGTGTGTGACAAGCTCTTTATAAACATTATTGCAAATCTTCAAAATCAAGCTGCAAGGTAAATATAGCTCCATTGTATATATTAGGAAATTGAAGCTCAGAGAGGTTTAATAACTTACCTACTGTCACACAGCCAAGAAATAGTGGAGCCTGCACTTGAAATCCAAGGCCATCTGATATTAAAGCTTTCCTTACTAATATCCTCTGAAGTGTTAGAGAATAAATTGTGCCCATCACCGAGATTTTATGAAAAAATTCTTCATGTCAGCTTCTTGATGACTTGCTAATTGTAGACGTATGTTGTCATTCATTAATTATGCATTTATTCAGCAAATATTTATAGAGCACTTATTATGTACCAGGCACTATGCTAATTAAATTTTGCTAATAAAAGGTCCCAGTAGAAACCATATGGTATTTCCCATGTAAATTTCTTTTTCCCCCTTCCTCCTTCAGAAGTAGTCCTAAATAGGGACCACAAATCAATTCTCAACTTGAATTGTATATTTGGTTTATTCTAGGCACTTATTAACACACATTTGTGATAAAATATTTTCAAAGCAGATCAAGACAAGCTCATGCTTTTCCCCCAAAGGACAGTCAGGTCAAAAGCCAAGTTAGTAGCTAGCTCCTGATGCTTTTTGAGGGCATTGTTGAACTGAGAAGTCAAATAGGATATGTACAGTGAAGGTTTCGATTTTACATTTGACTTTGTAAAATGCCTCATATTTCTTGGCATTTCCAGATGACTCTGGAAGCCGTTCTTCCTCTCAGAGTGGGGATGCTCAGATCTCTCTGAGAGATGCTAGTTTCAGGCCCTTTGTGTGCTGTATGTAGGGTTCTGAATCAGCCCCCACATGGTGCATCACATATTCCATGTAGGATTTTCAACAAAAGATGCACAGTCCACATAGGCGATGGGGCATCAATCTGGACACAATTCTGAAGTAACATCCAGTTAATCAGATCTGCGTCGATTCCAATCACTGTCTTCATCGGTGCCATGAAATTTTGCATAGGAAATAGATCAATGCTAGATTAAGTGGAATTGTTGATATTCTTGATGGCAGGGACAGAACTCAAATGAAAGTGTGGTGCGGCGGAAGCAGAAATGTCTGGCCCTCACCTGGCTTCCCCATTTACTAGATTGGAGGTCACTGAGCCAATGTTTTCAGGTGGAGGTGAATAGTGATTACTACTGACACAAAGCAGGTGCTCTGTAAATAGTAAATACTATCTTTGTGTTATTCATAGCTATATAGCTGTATATATAGTCAATATATATTAATGTATCTCTGGTGCTAAGAATTTCAACTGAGGCCAGGTATGGTGGCTCACACCTATATCCCAGCACTTTGGGAGGCCAAGGGGGTGGATCACTTGGGGCCAAGAGTTCAAGACCAGCCTGGGCAACATAGTGAAACCCCATCTCTACTAAAAATAGAAAAAATTAGCTGGGTGTGGTGGTACATGCCTGTAATCCCAGCTACTCAGGAGGCTGAAGCACGAGAATTGCTTGAACCTGGGGGGTGATGGTTACAGTGAGCCAAGATCGTGCCACTGCACTCCAGCCTGGGCAGTAGAGCAAGACCCTGTCTTGGAAAAAAAAAAAAAAAAAGAATTTCAACTGAATTTTTTTTTTGCATCAACTAAATATATAGACTTAACACACAGAATGGAAGTGGATTAGATGGATAGTTGTGGCCAAAATTCTCTTATGTATGCCAAACTCTGGGCTTTCTAGCTTTTGTTAAAGATTGGGTTCCAGTAAGTAAGCAAAAGTTGTATGTCATTGCCATTTTGCAGCAAGTGCTTATGAATACTTACTATATTCCTGGCAGTGGGCATAGGAAGATAGGTGGACATAGATGGTTCTGGATCTGAGGAAACACTACTTCACCAACGAACTCAAGCATCCAGTCAAGATATGGAGAATAGAGATATTTTTTTTTAAGCTAAGAAGCAGCAAGACGCCAAGAGTGG
Source organism: Homo sapiens (assembly GCF_000001405.40). NCBI lineage: Eukaryota > Metazoa > Chordata > Mammalia > Primates > Hominidae > Homo > Homo sapiens. Next base: position 123,620,819 of record NC_000009.12, on the reverse strand, counting down.
AATGGTGCCACTGTGACAGAGCTCATCTGGGAGGGGTGGGAGGGGATAAGGACCAGGAATTTAGTTTCAGACAGAAGAGGAAGGGAAGCTGGGCTGTGGTGGGACTGATGATTAGGAAATGCACACACACATACACAAATGTGTGTTGATTTAATGATCAGAAATCATAGATTACTAGTTAGGTAATTCCTCAACTGAGATTTGGCTAAACTTGACCCTGAGGCTTGAACAGAGAGGCCAAGTGAGAGAAAACAGTTCAGATTTGGAAGTCAAAGTCTTGGGTCCAAATCCTAGACTCTGGTCCTACTAAAGATGTGACTTTGAGTGAGTCACATCTCCTGCCTGAGCCTCAGTGTCTTTTGCTAAGTCATTGCCAGGGAGATAGCTAAAAACATTGCTGTACATGAGGAGCCTGGCACCAAGTAGGCAGCTGGAAAAATGTTTTGAGGTGATAACAGTCACTGAGCCCTACACTGAGATGCACCTTCATTTCCTTGAGCAGCACCCAAGACTGAATGTGCCAAGAGCCTTGTAGGGAAGCTTTGGATGATTTCTTTTTTCCTTTTTTTCTTTTTCTTTTCTTTTTTTTTTTTTTTTTTTTTTTTTGAGATGGAGTCTTACTCTCTCACCCAGGCTGGAGTGCAGTGGTGCGATCTCAGCTCACTGCAACCTTCGCCTCCTGGGTTCAAGCAATTCTTCTGCCTCAGCCTCCCAAGTAGCTGAGATTACAGATATGCGCCACCACACCCAGCTAATTTTTTGTATTTTTAGTAGAGAAGGGGTTTCACTATGTTGGTCAGGCTGGTCTCAAACTCCTGACCTCAAATGATCCGCCCACCTTGGCCTCCCAAAGTGCTGTGATTACAGGTGTAAGCCACCATGCCCAGACTGGACAATTTCAATGTGAACTGTTTTCCAGGTGGAAAAATTAGGTAAAGAAGAGACTGGGCCCTTTGTATTATCTATGTTACAGATTCTGTGCTGATCTCTATACTGAAGACTCTATAGGAAAACTGTCTTTTCAATTTCTCTGCTACATTTTTTAAGTTGAAATTTAATCCACATACCACAAAATTCACCCTTTTAAAAGTATACAGTTCTGGCCCGAACTGCAGTGGCTCACACCTGTAATGCCAGCACTTTGGGAGGTGGGCAGATTGCTTGAGCCTAGGAGTTCGAGACCAATCCTGGGCAACATGGCAAAATCATGTCCCTGTAAAACAAATACAAAAATTAGCCAGGTGTGATGGTGTGTACCCGTAGTCCCAGCTCTCTGTGAGGCTGAAGTAGAAGAATCACCTGAACGTGGAGAGTTGAGGCTGCAACGAGCTGTGATCACGCCATTGCACTCCAACCTGGTCAAGGAGAGTGAGACTCTGTCTCAATCAATCAATCAATCAATCAGTCAATCAATGTATGTATACAGATCAGTGGTTTGTAGTCTATTCCAACTATCTAATCCACTATCCATCTAATAGATATATCACCACCACTAATTCCAGACACATTAGATTTTTAATACAGTCTATATTGTTAGTAAAGTAATACATTCTTATTATAAAAAACTTTTTTAGGCTGGGTGCGGTGGCTCATGCCTGTAATCCCAGCGCTTTGGGAGGCCCAGGTGGGTGGATCACCTGAGATCAGGAGTTCAAGACCAGCTTGGCTAACATGGTGAGACCCCGTCTCTACTAAAAATGCAAAAATTAGCTGGGCGTGGTGGCGTGTGCCTGTAATCCCAGCTACTCTGAGGCTGAGGCAGGAGAATCACTTGAACCTGAGAGGTGGAGGTTGCAGTGAGCTGAGATCGCGTCACTGCACTCCAGCCTGGGTGACAGAACGAGACTCTGTCTCAAAAATAATAATAAGAAGAAATAAAAAACTTTTTTAGCCTTTTAAAGTACATATAGCAAAAAGCGAAAGGTCTATAAAAATGGGTTAGTCTGTGTAGATGGTTGCCATTCAGCCTTTAGCCCTGTCCCTCTAGAGGCACCCCGGAAGGCACCGATGTCAGGAGTATAGCGGGACAGCTCTCACTGGCCTCAGCAGTGTCACTCCCAGCGTTACTGAGACTTTCAGGGTTAAAGAAGACAAGGTGTCCCTTTAACACAGGAGTGACCTTCCCACATAGGGGAATGGTGCTTGTTGGCTCAGCCACCCACCCTTTGGGGAGCTGTCTGGACCACAGCCTAACCACCTCCTGGCTACTGTATCTGCCTCTGAGCCTCTGGACCTGCCCTGCCGCTCCCACCTTCCCCAGCCCCCTCCTTCTGCCTAATGTCGGGAGGGGCAACAGCCCGCCTCCCCTGCCCTAGTTTCTGCTGGCCTCCATGCAACGTTGCTGGCCCCGACTCCTGCCTACCTGCCTGAGCATTGGCCTGGTTTTCCATTTCTCATGACACATTCTGTACGTGAGTGACACATTCCTCATTCCTCCCTGATTTGGAGCCTGGCTTGAACCCAACACTTAGAAAACTCTGGACATTCTGGGGCACAGTATAGGGGGCTCTATAGCAACGACACTCTAGATATGTTCCTGGGAGCCATAGTTCACCCATAAGGCAGAGGCCACAGACCAAGTAACATCAGGGTCACAGGAAGTTTCAGCAGTGCAGCAAGTGACCTCATGGCAGGGCTTCTGGAGATAGTGTGCCTGCCTTTTTCAGGTGCTGGCACCAGGGACAGTATGTGCAGCACCAGCATAGTGATAGGCTCTGAGTGACCTCTCAGCAAGTGCGGGTTCGTCTTCCCTTTAAAACGTGATGAATGGAAAGGCGAGGCTGCAAAGGTAATTGGATGCTATGCATCTTGGCACATGGGATGAGTCCTGGAAAAACAGCAAGAGAAAATCTCCTTTTATTATCAGTTGCGCTATTTTTTTATCCTTTTTTTCTGTTACTTTCTCTTCATTTATTTCTCCATAAGCCTCTTTCTCTTTTTCTCTTATTTATTTTGTGGCTCATTCATTCATGTGTTTCCACAGGCTCTCATGGGCTGCTTGTGGCTCACAACTTGAGACTTCCTTTCCGTGTCTGGCTTTAGCTATTACGGTTCTCATTGAATTCTCTGTGGCAGCAGAGAGCCCTGTCTCCTGACCTTTGCTCTGTGATTAACTTCTCCTGCCGCAGTGGTCTTAGCCACGGAGCCCTTCCTGATGTTTTCCGAGTCTGTCGCCTTCCGGTAGGCCAAGGAGGCTCAAAAGGGCGGGCTACCCCAGGCTTTGATGTTGACCTCTCCAGAATTTTGTCCAGGTGTTATCTTTGTAACTCATGTGTTCATTTCTGTTGGGTCCAGTGGCTTGGGGCTCTAGAAGGCATCTCCACCACCCCCACCTGCATAGGTTACCCCAGGAAGCCACAAAGCCACACTCAGAAGGGCATTGTCCTCCCTTTCCCAGTCACTGATCAGCTCCAGTGATACACGTGTCTTGCATTAGCAAACCATCTCCAGTGCCCACTGGACATCAGTGCACGCTGAGCTCACCTCTGCTGTGGCAGGGCCCCGTGCTCTTGCTGTCGAAACCACAAATGGAAACTAGGCCATCTCTGCCTTCTCCCCTAATCTAGAATTATTCCTGGTCTCCTCATGGATCGTCATCCTCTGTTGTTGCTCATAAATCGGAGAGGGCTGGGTTGGAAACCAGGAAAGACATTAAATACTTTTTCCCCTAAAAAGAAAAAAGCTTGCCTACCTCATGGCAGTTACCCCATACTTTCTACTTCTCACCAGCTGTGACCTTTGTCGAGTCACTTAACCTCTTTGAGCCATGGGTTCCTCTGTGAATTATGGGGACCCACCTTTCAAGATTGCTGCAGAGATGAAATGAGGTCATCTCAGGCCCTTCCGTTGTGTACCCGACAACACCCTGTGCGTCTCCTTGTAGCGGTTTGCGCATATGCAATAATGCGCTTATTTGATCTGCCATTAACTGTGAGCTTCACATGGGGACCAGATCTATTCTATCCTCTTGCCCCAGGCCAGCATGGTGCCTGATATTAGTGATACCTGTTGACTGACTGACTAACCGGCCTGTGGAAAACACTTTTCCCTCCCCAGGAGCCTTTTGAAAATTCAAGCTCCTGGGTGGCTGGTTTATTTTTCTCCTGTGGACACCACAAAACACCTCACAGTCTTGTTTCCCTTTTGGGTTGGTGGCCAGAGTGCTCAGAGCCAAACCTGTGACCATCCCAGCAGGTGTCCCAGCATGAAATAGAAACACTAACCTTGCCACAGCTTCCTTTTTTTTTCCCCTTAGCTCCTATTTCTTTTCATACTTTTGTTGCTATGTTGCAAATATTCATATAAATTGCCTTAAATCCCGCTTAGAACAGAAAAGAGTATCAGTCAATTCCAGCTAGTAAGGCAAATATAGTTTTATTCTGACTATGAACCCACTAGCTATTTTACTTTTTTAGCTATAATTATCCAGTAACCATTTTTTGTCGACAGTAGCATAATGGTTAAGAGAAGTCACTAGCAAGTAAGAGTAGCGTAAGAGACTTGGAAGTAGAAGGATTTGGGCTGGGATCACCATTAACTGGGTGATCCCATAGGCACGTTTTTGAGAATACCTTTTTAAGTCTATAAAATGGCCAGGCACAGTGGCTCACGCCCATAATCCCAGTACTTTGGAAGGCCGAGGCAGGTGGATCACCTGAGGTCAGGAGTTCGAGACCAAGCTGGGCAACATGGTGAAACCCTGTCTCCACTAAAAATACAAAAACCAGCCAGGCGTGGTAGTACGCACCTGTAATCCTAGCAACTCGAGGGACTGAGGCAGGAGAATCACTTGAACCCAGGAGACAGAGGTTGCAGTGGGCCAAGATCGCACCACTGCACTCTAGCCTGGGCAACAGAGCAAGACTCTGTCTCAAAAAAAAGCTATAAAATGGATGGTGTAAATTGGATTATTTGAGGATTAAATGAGATAAGGTGGCTGGAGCCTCCCATGCAGCCCTTGAAATGTGGTGTGTGCTCAGTAAATAGCTCGACTGTTTTACCCTTCCTGCTCTGCACATGGCACCATGGGAGGCTCTGGGAAACAGGATTCTGTGCTTTTGTGACTGACAATCTAGAGTCACCCTTCAAATCAGCACATGCTTTATGCCAAATGGGTAACCCGGACAAAAGCCCCTACCAAGAGAGGTGTTAGCCACCACTGGGCAATCTGAGAGGCAGGCAGCATGGCTTCAGTAGGACTTGAAGAAATAGTGAAGCTGAGGCCTGTGGGGCCACCATGTGACTGAGATGAGCTCAGAGGCACTTCAGGGACCAGAAGCTTCCTGTGATGGAAAAGGTAGCAGGGGAGGAGGAGCTCAGACAGAATGTAGAAGCTCCTAGGTCTTGTCACAGCTGCAGGCCAGCCCTTAGGGAGCAGGTTAGAGAAAACCACCTAACCTCCTTCCTCTGCAGGCTGTGGGAATGCTGGTCTCCAGGAAATAAGAAGCTTGCTTGATCCCCGTATCATGGGCTTGGGTTCTAGTCCCAGTTCTGCCACTTACTAGCTGTGTGACGTCAGATGAATGATTTAGCTTTTCCAATCTTAGTTTTTCCATCTGTGAAATGGTAGTTCTGATAGCACCCTCCTTATGCTGCTATGGTGAGAATCTAATGAGGAAAATGCCTTAGCCTATGCTGGCTCTTGGCAAATTTGCAGTCAGTGGTGGCTGCTCTTACTGGCTTCCTCTCCTACACTGGCAGTTACATTAGCCTGAAGAGCAGCTGTCTCATCGCTCTCACTAAGCCCAAAACCATGATCATTCGCATTCTCCAGCAAGATATGTTCTCTGGTGTCTGTTCTTTTTCTTTTTCCCGTTCTCTTGTCCTTTAACCTCTCTAATAAAGCCAGGCTCATTATTTCGAGCAGAATTTAAAACCACAAGACAATCTGTGTTTACACGTTTGTGTCTTTTACAAAAAAAGAAAGAAAAGCTCACATAAGACCTCCTTCAGAGTTTTTCTTTCTGACTGTGGGATCCCCTTTGCCTGATCAGGGTATTTAATTAAGAAGGTGGTGGCCCTCTGAGAGGTAAGGTGACACTGTGATGTGTATATTGTAACGTGGATACCTATGTGTAAACAGTGATCTTTCCAAATCCCTGGGCTGCCCTAAGCTGTGTTCCTTCATGATAGCAGAGGTGTTGCCCACCTGGAGGTGGAGGGACCGCCTCTCCCTTGTTTCCTCTCCCCTCCCACTTTGTCTTGGGAAGCTGTATTTTTTTTTTTTTTAAGCAGCCAGTGTTCCTTTATTTCACTGGACTCATTTCCAATTAGTAGCTGCTCACCTCAGGGGAACATGATTAACAGAGCCCTGGTTATCTGGGGGAAAGGAATTAAACAAATTGTGAAAGTGCGGTAATAATGAACAAGGACTACAGGATCGTTAGTAAGTCTGCAGTTTCCATATTCTTGCTTCTTCCTTGCTGGGAATAAGCTCATGCCATAGGACTTACCTGTCAGAGAAGCGCTCAGCATCACAGGCCTGGAACCAAGAGGACTGGCGAATAGCCCTTTTGGTACCCCAGCGCTCTTTTCCTTTCAGCTTAAGTACTGAGTATGTGCTGTGTGACCTCATGTGCAGAGCTTGGGCTGTCTGTTCAGCAGCCTTGCGTCTGAAGTACGGCTTCACCACTGACCAGCTGTGCGATCTTGGCAAATTTTATCTTTCTGAGCGTGTTTCCTAACCTGAAAATATGGATGATCGCACCACCTTGCAGAGTTCCCTTGAGCATTATGTGTGTAATGCATAAAGGTGACTGAATTATAGTAGCTCAATAAAAGTTCCTTTTCCTCTTAAGAGGATTCAAACTAAAGATATCTTCCAGGTAAAGGTTATTCTGTTGTGTCTGCCTCAACACCAGCAACAGAGCCCTTTTCCTTTTCAGGGGAGAAGGAAAAAAGAGTCACTTTTACTCTCACGTTTGTAACTGATGAAATCAGATAGTGCAGTAATTCCCAGAGAACAAAAGCTTCATACAGATATACCCCATTCTGCTATTCCAGGATGTACAATAGCATCCTACAATCACTGTCAGTCATACAGCAGTTGTGACATGGTTGTCATGACCTGCCTATGCATAAGTTTGGTTATAACTGTTAATATTATCACCACTTTAATTTAATTATGTGCATTGTTGGTTCTGCACATGTTGTTTAATTGCCGTTTAAAATGTCTTCAAAATTGCACTATGATTCAATATTGAAAGGTAAAGTCACTGTGAATGCTAAAAGGCTCTGGAGAAGAGAAGCAGAGTATATACATTTGCTATTACTGAAGCAGATATTTCCATTCATGTTTTCTAGAACAGCAACAAATAAGTTCTTTCTTGAACCTAAACAGGAAGATCACTTCTAGTAGATGGATTTTGGTTTGGTTTTGTAACTGAGATACCCTTGGAAAAACATGGACGTTTATGCCTCTGAATTAGAAAAGGATTCAGATGTGTTGGATTCTGAATATGAAGAAGTTTTTTTTTTTTAAATAGCTTACCCAATTTATTTTGCTGTTTTATTTTTAATGTATGCTCAAGAGTGATAAGAGGTTTTTAAAAATGTGTCCAAGTGATCAGAAAGTCATGAACCATTGTTTCATTGATAGTTTTTCCGTTATTGGTGGTACATTAGAAAGGAAAGGCACCCTCCTGACGAGAGTGATGAGCAACCCTCCTGAACTCAGTGGAGTATCCGGGAGACAAGAGTGTGCTTGGGAGTCAGAAATCCATGTGTAGAGATGGTGTGTGCCTGTCAAGCACCTCCCATTCCTCATGGCATCTTGACCATTCTTACCAGCAGTTTACCAGGTATCCTAGAGCGGGTATGCTACAGAACCAGGGCTGGAACAAGAAACCATTCTGTGGGTAATAGGAGAGTGGGTCCAATGGTGCCAGCCATGCCAGGGGCTCAGAGAAAACCCTACCATGTGCTGCTGCTGTGCCAGGTACGTCAGAGGTTGTCTCTAATCTCTACAACAATCCTGAAAGATTTCTACTAGGCCAGGTACTGCCTTATTGGAGAATGCTTTGCTAGGATATAACAAAAGATAAGAAACAGCCCTGTCCTTTAATTTTTAGTAATTCGGTGTCTAGGAATTCATGCAACATGAAGGTGTTCATTTTTATCACAGTGATACTTATAGAAAATTGGAAGCAACTTAATGTCTACTCTAGGGATAGCATTCGATAAATTATGATACATCCATATTTGGTGGAATATTATGCAGTCTTTAATAATCACAAAAATTATAGAACAATCTGGGAAATGTTCATGTAGCCAATGAGAAAATAAAACAATGTATGCACTTTATAATTTCAAAGATATAAAGCTGTTAATGTGAGCCAGTATTAGAAAGGAATGCAAAAGAAAAAGTAATTGTGTTAGGATAATATAATCATGGGTAGGTGTTTTTCTCCCCAAACATTTCTTTTAAAAATAAAAAGACAAAGAAGAGGTTCCAAGAAACTGAGTCAGTAGCTACAATAATTATTGAGATACAGTGAGAATAGAAATTGTTTTCAGACTGTACCTAGAATTACCCAATTGGATAAGTACCACATTGAGATGTTCAGGAAATTCTGGGTTTCTTTTTCTTCCCTCTCCCTCTCACCACTTGGAATTCGTAATTATATATTTGCAGAGCAAACATGCAGTAGATTCAGGGAAGTATCTGAGGCTTGATACGTAAATGATGACAATGTAAAAGGTATTTGTCCAAATTTGCATTCATACAAAACATGGAGCTGCTATGATTTCAGAATAAATGTGTTTTAAATATTTTCTAAATACAGAGCTGTTGCAGTTCTAACAATACTTGGCTAAGAAAACTACATTTCTGCGATAGGCCATAATTACTCTTTGGATAATTATTGGGCTTTAAAAAATGCCTATCTAAAGATACTTGAAGAATGAGTTCCATTTTGCCCTTTCTTGCCTCTTCAGTCTCTTCCATGAGGTCCCTTTTTCCTTTCAGGGTATCATTGATTTTTATTGTAGGACAAAAGGGTGTAGCATTAAAGTCTACATACATAAGATCCTATGGTTAAGTTATACAGAGGGGTTTTGCTATACATATTTATTTTCAACCGTTTGAATGTCTTTTTCTGTATATTAACTCATTTGTTGGAATTTCAGTTCTACAATTCTGGTTAAAACCCATGGTCACTGGTCAATTGCATGATTAAATGTAGGAGATGGGAAGGGTGATAAGATTTAGTTAAATATTATGGATTTGTGCTTTCTCCCTTCTATGTGTTAGGCTGTGCTTCTGGTCACATTAATAAGTGGCCATTTTTCTGGAATTTGTACTCTTCCTGCTTCCTTTCATTACATTAGGCAAGGTTCCACTAGATGAGACATTTGCAGTCTTAAGACTTCCTGCCAGGGTTCAGACTTTGTATTTTTGACATTGAAGCTGTCGTGTTCCTGAAGCTACTTAATTAGAAACACATTCATTTCAGTGTACACTGGAAAAAGCTTGGACAGCAGAGCCAGGCACACTGGGAAGTTTGAGCATTTGTGTAGCTGGCAGCTAAACTAATGGTTTACAGTTTAAGGGGAAAAAAAATATCACAGGGCATTTCCTTGCCCCTAGAAGCAAAGAGAAGCTGAATACACACAGCAGATACCTAAAAAAAAGAAGAAGAAGAAGAAGAAAAGACAACTCCACTTTCACTGCAATTGTGTGTATAGTTCTTTCTTTAGCTATTATCAAATACAAAAGTCTTCTAGAATAGTTAGCAAACTGAGCTGCTAATATTCAAGTCTGTTTTACATGTTCCCAAGACATATTATATTACTGCTGAGATCTGTAGTAAGGAGGACATTTTATATTCTGGGGAAAGAAAGGATTTTTGCTTGAATTTTATTTGTTGAATGGTAATGAGGGAATTGTGTCCTTTCTTATTTTTAAATGTTTGAGCAATTTAAAAATATACATGTGATGTTTAGAAACCTCCCTTGCCTATCCATTGCTTTCAGGATAAAGCCTAAACTCCTTAGTATTCAGTTGGAAGCAAACCTCTCCTGTCTCATTACTTACCACTCCTTGTTTCTCCAACTTTGTCCCCAAAGAGCCATTCTTGTCCATCCACCTCTACTCTACCAGCTGCCCCAGAAGAAAAGTACCTGTTCACCCCAGTCTGAGTCAGGTGTCTTTTCTCTAGGTTCACAAAATACCATCTGCACATTTCATAGACTATATCCCATACTACAGAGACAGATGGAAAAGTTGCCAATCACACCCTTCCTCGCTATCCCTTGACCTCCTTCCCCTAACCCAAAGGAAAGCATTGCATGGGGAGTGAGCTTGGGGATTTCAGGTTCTATATTACAAAGTCAGTGTGGCACAAAGGAAGAAATGCATACTTGGGAATCAAATCCCAGGTCTACCACTGACTTTGTTTTGTGGTATTAGGTAAGTGATTTAACTAACCTCTTTAGGCCTAGTCCCTTCTCTGTAAAATGGGTATTGTATCTATGGGTATTGCAAAGTTGTTATGTGGATTAGAATAGATGAATTTAAAGTTCCTCATATAATGTCTAGCACATTTGTTATTGGTAGGTAACATAAATGATAATGTATACACACACACACATACACACCGACCCCTGAAATCAACGGCAGGACCGGTGTATCCAAAATGCCCAGGTTTTAAACCCATTGGAGTTTAGTTCTCATGCCTTTGCTCAGTCACTGACTTAGGCAACCCGTGGCTCCGTGAATGAAGCAGTTGGCAGAGGCTTTCTGAATTATAGTGTCATGGGATGGCATGTGTGCAACTGGGGAGGAGATGCTTGCTGGCAGCTCTCCAAGTACTTTGTCCAATCAGAATGGACAGTTAGATCACATCTCTTGATGACAGAGGAAGCAGCAAATACAAAATATTCTTCTTTGAAACACATTATGCCCTTCATCCAACCTTAACTGCTTTTTCTGTTGTAATCATGGCAATAATCGTTCCCATCTGTATTAGAACTCTGCTGATCATTTAACGTATATTTTCTTTGATTCTAGTAACAACGTGCTGGCTGGAATCCAGGATTCCATTTTAAAGATAAGGCAACTGAGGCTGTGCAGTTGCAGAGCCGCTCTTTAGGGGCTAATATCAAGGTTGATGCTCTTCCTGCTACCCATGCTGTTTCCAATGCTGCCCACGTTTTGAAATTCTTCTGAAGTTTCTAGGCTTGGGAACAAAATGTCATATTAGGATTTTTGTTGTGAAAGGAAATGTAACTATGCATACGTTTATTAAAACAGTTTTTCTCCAAATAGTGAACCATCTGTAATTTTCTGTCAGAAGCAACAGACATTAAAGCAGCTGTGTGTCTCTGTTTCTCTTCACAGTGCTCCCATGCCCTACCTCATAGGAATCCATTTAAGTTTAATGGAGGTAAGTTGGCTTCTTTCCTCCCCAGATGGCTCTACCTGGGGCTTTGTTTCATTGTGTGGCGGTGGAGAGACCCAGTCTCAGCAGTCACAGCTCTGCACGTGGGAGCATGCTGAAGCAGCACCTCCCAGCGTACAGAGCTGAGCGTTCGGTTTGGACGCCGTGCACTGGGCTCTGTTTTCAGGGTTTTCCCACTTTGCCGAGAGACTGTGGATTTTCATGGGTTGAGGGAATGAGAGTCAAGGAGGCAGGAGGAAAGGGTTCTTTAAGGGTTTGAACGAGGGAAGGGAAATGATTTGCTTTTCAAAATGTTTGTTCTAATCGCTATAGCAATATTGCATTCTTCATTGTAGTAAATGTGATATAAAATGTATATAGAATCATGAAGAAGGAAATTAAAATTATGCACAATGCCATTATTCCAGATTGAACCATTGTTAGCATTTTACTAATCTCCCTCTTGGTCTTTAGTCTCTAAATATATGTTTTGTATAAATATGTATAATTGATATACTTTATAATTTTGTGTCTTTATTTTAATTAACATGGCTTGGGAATCTCTACATGTTTTTATCTACTCTCAGTAATAATTTTTAATTTGCCACCTATCATTCCCACTATTTGGATATACCACAACGTAACTGTTTTCCTACTGTTGGACACTGAGGTTGTTTATAATTTTTCACTATTATAAATAGCATTTCAGTGAACATCTTTATGCATAAGGCTTTATCTGCATTTTGCCTCATTTCCCTAGCATAGAACCCCTAAAGTAGAAATGCTTGGTCAAAGCTATGCATCGGATGCCAGATTGCTTTCTGTATGGCTGTACCAATTAGATAGCAATTCTTTTAAAGGACTTTTCTGTGCTTTTGTAAGTGTCATTAGTTTGTAGACATGTACCCTAAGCCCTTTCCTCCTCAGGAGAGAGTTTTAATTTGTACTAGAGCAAAATGAGGCGTGGGGAGGGTGCTTGCCTGTGTTGCACAGGAGATAAGCTCTCAGAGGGAAAATCTACAGCCATGTCCGTCTGCGGTGGTGCTTTGCATGTCTTGAAGGAAGTGCTACTTCTCTTCTTCTGTTCCCTTCATTTCACGTCGACGAGGACCACCTGCTTCACTAACTGTTGCACACTGTGCTATTGTGCTTACGAAAATGAAAGAAGTTGGTTATCGAAAAACCTGTTTGTTTGACATTGAGAATCTTGATCAAAATAGACCACAGAAATCTGCTCAAATTTCTAATTTGACAGGCCGGCCATGTGGCTCCTACATTCTGTTAACAGTTCCTCCTTGTCATCACCCAGCCCTAAGCACATACAGTACACAGTTTATGGACTATCTGGGATGATGTATTTAGATCAGATTGAAGAGATTTCTTCTGTGTTTTACCTTTGTTTGTCAAGTTTGGGGGTCTATTCAAAGCTCCCGTATGAAAAATTGAAATTCAAAGTAAATACTTACCAATGGACCGTTAGTGCCAATTGCTGTAGAGTTTGAAACACTAATATAACGACTATTTGGTCTATCGGAGTCCACAGTTCCCTCCCGCTTGCCTCTCCTCCTGCCTTCCAGACTGCTCCAGCACAGGCTTTTTCAGATTCCTTTTTATGTCCCAGCGCCTCAGCATTCTCCAAGTTTCTAGTTTTGTCTTTCTCTTCTTTTCTATGTGCCCTCTAGTCACCTTGTTTAAGGCCTCTTGCTTCAGCTACCAGGTCAATGTCAATGACTCAGCTGGGGTTCTAATGCTGGTCTGCCTCTCTCTGAGCTTCAGGTCCAAAGTTTAAAGTGCCAGTTGGATTTCACCTGGATGTACTACGGATGTCTCCCCCAGTCTTCCCCAAACAATTTATTGTCTGCACACACACACACACACACACACACACACACACTCTCTCTCTCTCTCTCTCTCTCTCTCTGTGTGTGTGTGTGTGTGTGTGTGTGTGTGTGTCTCTCTCTCTGTGTCTCTCTCTCTCTCTCTAAGCCACTCCACTCCCCTTCCACTGTTCCTGGTCCCTGTGAATGGCACTACTGCCTTCAATGGCACCTAAGTGGAACACACTGATCATGGCTGAATGCTCTTCTTCCTCATCCTCTCTAAATACTCACAAAGCTCCAAAACGTCTCTCGCCCTGTTCTTTCCTCACTGCCTTCATTGACACTTTGCTTTCTTGGATTCTTGCAAAAGCCTTATTCATTTGATAAACAACATGAGGGTCTCTTATGTTCCAAGCATTTTGCTAGGTCCTGGAGGTATGGAGATGAATATAAAGTTCAGTGCATAGTCACAACATTGCATGGGTTGCCCTCCAGCTGGTCACTTGATAACCATGGGCTACATAATACTTGAGGAGGAGCCTTCCAGCCTCCCCTACACAGTCCCTGGGTTCTGCACAGTCTCTCCACTACTGTCAAGCCTTCTGGCTGGTCACTGACCCATGTTAGCTTGTGCTCCTGCTGATCCCTAAACATATCCACATTCCCAACCCTCTGCATGCATCAGCCCTGCCCTTCTCCACCTCTTCCAAGAAGTCCTCCTGCTCTGTTTTCTTCTTTCACTTATGGTGCCTCTTGCTCTGAATAATAGCTGTTTGCTTCCTTGTTCCTCTCCATCATCCCCTGGAGCATGACTTCTTTGGGAACAAGGACTGTTCCCATTCACTGTGGTGTCCTCAGCACCTAACAGGATGCCACACAGGTGATATTCTCTGAGCAAATGCTTTGTGAAAAGAAGCGTTGAGTGAATGCTTGGAAAGCTGTAATTGGGAGCACATTTAGAAGCCCTCTAATAGGCATCACTGTTTTCAGGCAACCCAATGCCATAATTTTACTTACAGGTGCGGGAAGTGAATTTTTTACTTTTTATATAATTGTAAGTAATTTAAAATAAGGCCTTTTGTAGTAAAACATGCAGTGTAAAATATGCGTACATTTTGCAGCTGAAACTTGAGACAGAGTTTTGCACTTACATGAATGGGTGCAGGTCTCTTCTGCTCAGCCTTTGAAGGGCGTTAAGGGAGAAGGCTTAGGAAGCACTGGCCCAGATAGATCTTAGCCCTGCTGATTGACGGAGGCTGGGGAGGAGTTTGCTGTGCTGAACTCCTGTGTAGTCAGCACAAAAATAAAAACAAAAATGGGAGTTGTCCCACTCTTGAAACCAGCCAAGACACTTTATGAACAAAGAAGTGTTTCCTGAGTGTGTAGGGCAGCCGTGAACTACTGAATCTTAGAATTCAGTCTCCTGACCTCCTCCCTGGAATTTCAGCTCAGATTCCGAGTGCTCTAGTTGTGCTTTCTGATGGGGCTTATCTAGTTCGATTGTACCCTTCAGGTGAAAGGGATACTCCTTCTGCGGTTTCTTGCAGGAACCTGTAGCTCAGACCTGGGGCCAAAGGAAAGCCGTTTACGGAAGGTGCTCAGGAAGGCCCATCTCCTCTCGCTACACTAGTTTTCTTACTGGCAATTCAGCAAAAGGCTTATTTTTGACTGTCTTGTTATTTTTTCTTGAAAGCTATAGGCACCTTATTATGCCTTTGCATATGTGCCAGAATTTTTTAAACTTCAAATGAATGTGGCAGATGTTCATAAAAGTTTAGAAAAAGCTACCATAGGAAGACTTTTTAACCATTTTTATGACACTCAAATTTGTTGCACAAAAAGAAATATAAATTACAAACTTGCATTGTTATTTTTAAAAAGGTTATTTTGGGGAAAGACCTAATTCTGGTTCATGCTCTTACAGGATGCCATTAAATGATAACCTAGTCACCTTACAGAGTCCGCCTTCCTCCCAAAGTGACAAGTGTATACCTGATCGCCATTCTTCTCTCTCCTTCTGCCTGTTTATAGTTTCTCTCTCATTTAAGCAATCTGAGGCTAGTGGCATGTTAGCAGAATAGCCAAGGGTATTGGCATAGACCTAGTTTCTTCTTGGAGAGAATGATCATGCTAGCTGGCAGCTAGGAAATCCCAAAACACGGCCAGATTCCACAGTGACTGTCCTTTCATTCAAGCGATCTCAATTTAGCTCAAGAGACATTTATGCAGCCCCTCTTCTGTGCCATCTCTGGTAGCAGGTGCCAGGTCATGTCTGGTCGATGGTGCTTCTCCTGTTTGATAAATGAAGACCTTCCTCCTCAAGCCTCACAAACAATGCTTTGTGTACAGACCTCAGAGTGACATGAGGGATGCATCCAGAAGGTATTTTCTATCCTTCTTGGTGGTGGGATGGTCAGGAAGGAGAAGGGAAAGGTGACAGCAATGACAGTTCCAGACAGAGGATCCGGTGGCTTGTAAATGAAGTTCCACCCATACACAGGGGCAGTGAAGTAGAGCAGTTAGAATGTGACACCTCTACTTCCTGCTTACTTGATCGTGGGCAAGGTAATTGACCTCTGAGTCTCTATTTTCTCACCTGTAAACTGAGGATAATGGCTGTGTCTCCCTTATGGGATCACTGGGAGGATCCAGTGAGATAATGCCTATCAGATGCCCAGCACAGTTCCTGCACATAAAGAGCTCAACAAAGGTCAGCAATCCTTGCTGGTTTTACTTCTTTAGTGGCCTTCAAGCCGTTTCCATTGTTAAGCTGATGGCTTTGAAACTGTGTTTTAGGAGCTCTTGGGTTCCCAGGATCATCATCCTCATGTCCTAGGGAAAGACAGTTTCAACACAATTGGTTTGTGCCTGCCTCGTTTTCTCCTGGTCTGCAATGCAGAGGCACGGTACCAGGCTTGGGAGTGACACTTCTGTAGAATTTGACAAATGTACTTCCAAACCCCTGCTTGACCACTTCCCTGCTGTGCTAACTCCAGCCATGATACTACATCTTTCTGTATCTTGCTTTCTTCCTAAGAGCTGAGTCCTGTATATGGACAGCATATCCCAGTGTCTGGCATGTGGTGGGGACACAATATACATTCCTTTCTGCAACAGAGTTTTGAGAGCTTTCTGTGTACGGGGCACCATGTTTATACTAGGGGCTCTGTATAAAAATGGCAAATGTGATATAATATCCACCTTCACAGGATTGTGTGTAGACCAGATGCAGAAAAATATAAAGTAATTGTAGTGAATTTGGGATGCTGTAGGCTCTGGGAGGAGAGATGCTGACCCTAGCCTTGAGAATAATGCTTCTCAGAGGAAGAGAATGCCCACACTGAAACCTAGTAGATAAATAGAAGAATTAGATAAACCAGGGAGCAGAGAGCAGCATCTGCAAAGACTTAGGTGTAGGCAAAGGGGGCTTTCCAGGAGATATGAGTAGTTCAGCCTCCGATAGGAGCATGAGCTGAGGTAAGCAGGCCAGGCCCAGCCCATCCAGGGCCTTGGAGGCTGCAGTAAAGAGTTTGAACTTTATAGGGCAATGGAGAGCCATTGAAGGGTGTAAATAGAGGAGGGACATGGTCAGGCCTTCTCCTTCTGGGCCATTAGAAACACAGTCCTTCCGTATAAAATGCTTGGAAACCACTTAACCATGTTAATAAAGTAAATTGATATTTGCAAAGATCAAGGTAATTCTTTAGGAAATTACACATCAAAAACATGTACATAAAATTCAGATGGGTCAGTGTCCCAAACCTGAGCTTCTTTGCTACCAAGCTGTGACAGAGGTGTTTGTAGTGATGGCTTTCTTCGAAGTATTAGCACCACTTTTACTAGATTGTGTCTTTTCTTCTATGTTTTCAAGTACTTTTTATGAATTAGTTACTTTTTCTACACCTCAGTTTAAGGGTATGAATGTATTTTATGTACTATGTGGTAGTTCAAGGCAGTAGGTGCAGGGGGAGTGAGACCCAGGGACCAGTTGGGGGGCCCCCAGCTGCTTCTCCCCTCTAATGCAGTTTCAAGAGGCGTGTGATGGGTGCATGGGGAGCTCCTGGCATTCTGCTGCTTTCACCATCTTTTACCTAGGAATGCTTAGCCATGGGTCCCTAGAAGCCTGGTTTTTCAAACATACAAGTGCTTAAAACAGCACTGAGCCGCCATTCAGAGGACAGCATCCAGGTGCCAAATCAAAGCTCATCTTGGTCTCGGGATCCAGAGGCCACATTTGTCTATGTCTACAACAAGGTTCCCAATTTAACTATGGAGCTTTTACACAAAATAATATAGGATTCATTTATTTACAGGCAAGGGGAAAGTAATGGGATTTTTTTTCCTTTGCATTTCAAAGAACTGGAATTTCTGTCAATTGAGTTGGCACTATTTTAACTAGTTTTTTCTTTTCATTTTTCCCCTGGCATAGAAAGTCTTTCATGCTTTGTTCCTTTCTCTTTTTTTGATATTTATTTTTTAACAGAGTAAAGAAGAGTGTTTCTTGTTTACCATTGTACCATTTTGCTTCTTTGTATGACTCCACATGTAGACAGAAGTAAGATGTAGTTCACATTTGTTAATGCTGCAATTGATGCAAAATTCTGAGCCATAGTTACATCCAGGTATAAATGGTGACTTGTATATGTGTCCTCACAAGAACAGAGATGTTCCATGTGACATTTATTAGTGCCAAGTGATCCTATTCTTGCTTTATTAAAAAACAGCCTGGGCAACACAGTGAGACCTCATCTCTACGTAAAATTAAAAACAACAACAACAACAAAACTAGCCAGGTGTGGTGACACACAGCTATAGTTCCAGCTACTCAGAAGGCTGAGGCAAGAGGATCACTCAAGCCAAGCCCAGGAGTTCGAGGCTGCAGTGAGCCATAATTGTGCCACCGCACTCCAGCCTGGGTGACAAAGACCCTGTCTCAAAATAAAATGAAATAAAAAGTGATATTTGCATGAAAAATCTCACCTGATAGTTTCATTCATAGGCTCATGGCAAGAAAGGGAAAGGGTTGGAGGAGACTTTAACATCTTTTGAGTACTTGCCAACCACTGTGCTGAGGACTTGACCTGTTTTCATGTTTGAGCGTTCCTCAGACACTCTCTGCGAAGTAGGAGATATTCACACTTGCAGATAGGGAAGCTGAGGCTCTGAGAGGTAACATACAATTGGCGCTCTGCATCCACAGGTTCCATGTCCACAGATTCATCCAACCACAGATCAAAAATATTTGGAAAAAAATATATGAAAGAATATAAATTAAAAAGCCAATATGGTATTGGCTATTTTTGTATAATATTTGTATAATTGTTGTATAATAGTTGTTATATACAGTATCACAACTATTTAACATTTACATTGTATTAGGTATTGTAAGTAATCTAGAGACAATTTAAAGCATACAGGAGTATGTGCATTGGTTATATGCAAACATTATACCCTTTGGTATCAGAGACTTGAGCATCTGCAGATGTTGGTATTCACAGGGGCCCTGGAACCAATCCCCCTCAGATACTGAGAGACGACTGTAATTTGTACCCAGGCCTTCAGCTGCAAGGGGTTTATCAGAGCCTCTGATCTGCGTACCCTCCCATCAGGCCATGTGGATTATGCCTGTGCCATCCCAGTCCTGGGCAGAGTCCCCACCTGTCCTGGGCTCTTCCTTCTCAGTGCTGTGTGCTGGGGATTGTGGTGAGGAGGGGAAAGGAGGGCTTACAGCTGGTGGCCCCATATTCCTCCAGAGACAAGCTCTGAGTATACTTTGACTGGGACCTGGTTAACTTATCTGGTCCACTCTTACCTGGTCCACTCTTATCTGTAAAATTAAATTGATATTATCCACATAAAAGACTTGTGAGAATTAACTGATATAGTTTATTCAATTAAATCAAATATGAAGAGCTTTTTAAAAATACTATGCCAAACATTCATTTTCCTAGTTAGTAGTATAAAAATAAGAGGCAAAGTTTATATCAGTGAAACCCTGGGTGGAGATTGCTTTATTTTGTAAAGAAAAAGGTAATTGAACGGTGGCTTGGTCCTGGAATTTCCTTAGCATGCTATGTGTTCTCATGCACAGTCATCACTTATGAGTCTCGTACCATCCAGAAGCTTCCTACTGCAAACGCAGCAGGCTCTGCTCACCTTAGGCCTCGAGGAAGGCCCTGGATTGAGTGGATAGATTTCCCTTAGAAGCTGTCTCCTCTTCACAGTAAGCATTTGCTTTTAAAATGAATATGAATCTCAAATGCCACTTATCCTAATGTTGGAATTAGTTAATATAAAACAATTTAAAGCTCTAGCAGTAATTTATGTAATCAAAGGGAACAAGTACTTCTGGCTGAGTTAAGTATCTCTTGCAGTCAGTACGTTTTCAGTCTAACTAGTCATGATGGAAATATTCTCACGTGAGATGGAATAGCCCTCTGTTACAGATGAGAAAAACTCAGTAATGATGAGGAGAATCCCAGTAAAAAAATGTGAAACCATCATTGATGCTTTTGTTTTCGTATTTTCCTATCATCATTTATGTCATTATATATAGGTTGCATTTAGCAATGTTAAAACTGGCTTCAGAGAAAACTTAAAAGTTTATAAATTGTTACCAAGAGAAGCCTGAATGAGTCAAATTCCTGCCAGATTGAGGTAAGGAGCAGTGGGCAGTGAGCAGGGGGACTGTGTAACAGAGAGCTCGTGGGCACTGGAGTCATATGGACCTGAGTTCATATTCTAGTTTCACCACTACTAGATCACTTTAAACAAGCACCTTTTTTTTTTTTATGATGGAGTCTTGCTTTGTTGCCCAGGCTAGAGTGCAGTGGTGCCATCTCAGCTCACTGCATCCTCCGCCTCCTGGGTTCAAGCGATTCTCCTGCCTCAGCGTCCCAAGTAGCTGGGACTACAGGTGTGCACCACCACACCCGGCCTAAGCAAACTCCTTTGTTTAAATCAGAAATCAGTTTCTCAGAGGAAAAGGGTATGGTTACTACATCACACAGTTTGACCACTTTGCACAAAACTATTCTTTTGCTATCCTCTTAAAAGATTCCTGCTGGAAATACCTATACATAATAATCTTGACCATTGAATGAGGGTCTACTAATGTGCATGCCACTTTGGCCGTGTAATTTCTAATTGCCACCACTCTGAGAGAGGTGCCCCTGTTTTGCAGATGGGTACGTTAAGGTGCCTCTTTGAGCCCCAGACTCCTCACTGGTAAAATAGGTAGTTGCCCCATTTCATAGGAGTTTTCAATGAGGAGTAAATAAGAAGGTACATGAAAACACTCAGATTGGTGTCTGACACATGGTGAGTGCCAAATAAATGGAAGTGATTATCAATATTATTTAGGTGTAGAATTGATATCCTTCCCTTACAAAGAAACTAAAAGACTTATCTACCTAAGATTGACTCTGCCCTCCTTTTTCAACCTGTTTTTATTTTTCTAATGAGTGACTTTTTCTAAACTGACATTAACTTAAACTTACTTTTTAACTGAGCCCGGCCACGTGAGACTGTTGACTTCATAAACTCCTTGCAAGTGATTAGGGGCGGGGCCATTGTGGGAGCTCAGAGACCAGCAGTGTGATGATTGAAGAGCCGTACCCTTGGCCTAGACAAATCCCACTTGAAATCTGGGCGCATGTGGTTTTGTTTAACACCATGCTCAGCCGACTCATGGTATGGGTTTGTGACCATCAGGCATTTGTTGTTGATATGTGAGGTCACCACAGTAGGGGTGTTTGTCAACCAAATTAAACTTCCTCTTAATGACCTAAAATAATTGATTTGGAAGGCCGTTAAATGGGCCAGGGCAATGTGTAAGCAAGCCGAAATCCGGCATTTTCTGCACAAATTAATGCATGTTCTTGTTCTGTTTGTTCGTGTTTTGCTTTTGTTGGGGAAAATGTGGCTGGACCATGGGCTTTTTGAGCAGTCAGTGAACCTGAGTTTGAATCCCAGCTCTGCCATTTATCTATCTGTAATTTGGGCAAGTCGCTGAGCTTCTGTGGGTGTGTGCCTTAATATCCCCATCAGCAAAATGAGGACACCTGCCATAAAGTGATGACAATTAGAAATAATATGACCGAAGTGCCATGAACATTACTAGGCCATCACCCTCTGGTAGCTATTATTATGAATAAAATATTTCCAATAGGCATCTCTAGAAGATAGCTCAACAGTCGTTTTGTACAAAGAGGTCAAACTGTGATGTAGTAACCATGCCTTTTTTCCCCCCTGCTAAACTAATTTCTCCACACACTACTCTCTGTACTAAAGTTAAACATCCAGAGAGAAAAGTGTGTTTAAAAATGGAGTCTATAGATCTCTCTTTACATATTGTTTGATTCTCAGCTGATTTCAAGATGAAATTAAAGTTGGACACTTAAGAGATATGCCGTTTAGGCTACAAAAGAAGTAGGTTTTTTCTTTGGCTATTGGATTCAAACATTTATGATCTAAGTTCAGGCCTTTGCAGGTAAAGCTTGGGACCACCATTCTATGTTTGTTTAGAAACAAAGGCATTGACTGGGGGCTTTTCTGAAGTATGATGAACAGTGGCACTGAAGTTTTGTTTTGTGGTTGGAAGTTATCAACATCCCTGAGAGTGGTTTATGTGTCTTGCCTAAAATCCTTCCCTCCATAAACCCAAATATTGACAAAAGCTAAAAGGTGCAGATTGGAGCTGTGCCTAGACTCCTGGACACTTCCTTAGCCAAATATAATGTCTGCTAAACCTTGGTGCCTAGGAGTCCGTTGTTTCCAAAGATCCAGTGGTAATAAATTTATATCCTCCCTCTTCAGCATTTAACTGCAAATATTTTGTACTGACCGAATGGGTTAAATTATGAAGCTTGATAAGTACATATGCACACTACCCATCCCTAGCTTTAGAAGAAGGGGGAAAAAAAAGAAAGAAAAAGATAGCTATGATTTTTGGATGTCATCCCAATTTTTAAAAATAAGAGAATTTGGACATTTTGGCATATGGGGTTTTTTAAATGAAATTTCATGGAACTGAAAACAGTCAATTTTAGGTTTCCAAAAATTGTTTAGATTTTCGCTGGTATAAATTTGCTGCACATGGTTTTGGGGAAGTTCTGAGAGATGCATTTGGGACTTTGGGGTTGGTTTTTTTTTTTTTTTTTTTTTGAGATTTGTGATTGAGTTTTAAAAGGTGATTTTCCCCCCTCCCCCAACCTCAAAGTGTAAATCAGGGGAGATCAGAGTTCCATTTTCTAAGGACACTTTTGGGTAATGACATCATTATGCACTGCTGCACAACTGGACTTGGGGCTGAGTTATTGAGCCTTGTTTCAGCACCATTTGGACACTGCACAGTATATTCCCCTTCCCTGCCTCGGAGTGATTTTGGCCGTGCCATTAGCAGCAGCTGCTGGTGATAAGCACCGGGAGAGTCACCTGTGTAGGGTCAGGCTTATTGCACATCAAGGTTTGGCAGTGTCAGAAGAGAGGGAAGATGCCCAGGAGGGGGCTCCAGGCCACCTGCCGAGTGAAGATCAAAGGGTTGAAAGGTCAGAGGGCTCAGCTCCCTTAACTGTATCTGTCTGTGCAATAGCTATTTCAGATTGTAAATCTTGGCGATTTCATTAAGTCCTCCTGGCTGCTACTGGGGCATTGAAATAATAAAATTTTATATCTATTGCCTTTCCTGCCTCTGGCAGCCAGGCTGATACGTTGTCTGCAAGATGGGGTCGTCTTTATGAAAACCTTCCCTGGAATGATCTGAGTAGCATTAATGAAGCCTCAGATTGGGAAGTTGGGGTTCATAGGACGTCATCCTCAGCAGGAGGGAGGGGGTTTATAAATAAAGAAGACCCACACAAACCATTTAGCAGCCTTTTAGATTTGTGTAGCACCTCTCTTCTGAAAAGCAGGTCAGCAAAATATTACCTATTGCTAAATGTTTAATCTTAGGAGGAGGGGTGCACTTTCTCACTGCTGCTGCTTATTAAATAGCCCCTGTTCTAATGACCCTAGGGCCCATCCTTTTGAATAACCCCAAGAGCAGCTATACAGGTCTCACTTCTCACTCTGCAGACCTTTTGGGTGCTTTTAGAGACATGTCTCCTGAATATGATTTTCCAAGTATTTTTCCTAGATCTTAAAGTTGTTAAGGACTGTGAGGGCTCCTAGGCTCGTGGGTAGGACAAATCAAAGTAATAGCTGCCCCTTTACTGCCCATATGTTTAAGACCCCCTGTAGTTTGTTTGAAAAGTTAAGAGATTTTCACAGTGAAGGTGCCATTTCTGAAATTTAAAGTGTTCCTTTTCACCGCAAGATAAGTTCACTCTGATTAAGTCCGTAATTCTCACTAAGCCATGTTTATGGGGGCAATAAACAATGTTTCAGCGTGCTTGTTAAATTGGGTTTCCAACCTCTCCACTCTTTAAAAATTGACATTTCAAATAAAAGGCAGGTGGAGATGGGAGTCGGGCTTTGCAGTGCTTAGTGATGAATGAATGATGGCAAGTGGCAGTTGTGTGGGAGGAATGAGGTCCTATTTTATGATAGGGTGACCCCAAACCATTTGGGGACTAGGGAATCAACATCCCCCACACTCCCAGTGAAACTCTTAAATTCAAGTTCTATTGTTTCACTTTGGATGGATGCTATTTTGAACTACTGCCAGACACGTTATGCTCATTATTTAATTTTCATAATGCATCTGTGCTCTGGTAGTGGGGCCCCTATTTTACAGATGATGAAATATAGGCACAGAGAGGTTAAGTAACTTGTCCAAAGTCACACACATAATTAGGAGGAGCAGGATTCAAACACAGTTATTTCATTGCATGAAGCAGTTTAGTGTGTACAAAAGAAAACTATTATACTGGCCCTACTTTTAGGGCTTGCTTGCCACTGTGTTTCAGCACTCTGGTAAGTCTATACATGGAGGTCACAAGAGACGTGTGGAAGTGGCCACTGTCCTCAGTATTTGCTTAGCACCAGCTCTGTGCCTGGAAAGTGGAGGAGGCTGCACAGCGAGGAGAAAGGCACCAGGCTTTGGGGTCAAATCCCAAGCTCAAATCTTAACTCTGATACTCTATGATCTGGGGCAAATTACTGTACCTCTTGGAGCTTCAGGTTGTTCTTCTGTAAAATGTGAATAATAAAGCTCATTTCAAGAGGTTGCTTTGAGGATATTTTAAAATAATACATTCTAAAATATAGGTAAATATAAAATATGGTATGTTCAAAAATTCAACACTGCTTTACAGGTACCAGTGGTAAACATTACCACAGTGTATGTGAATAGCGTAAGGTTTAAAGCAGTTATTTTAAGGGGAAAGTGATAGCGCACAGGAAACATCACTAAACAAGTTTTAACTGCAGGCCAAAGAATCTGTTGTTCACTGTGCTTGGCATGGGGTTTAGAGATGACAACCTGAGGCGGGGATAGGAGTAGTCAGGAGGGTTTTCTAGAAGAGCAGGATCTGCTGGGTGGCAGTAACGTGGCGAGCTATCTCTGGGCCATGCTTCTCATCTTATGGAGTGCTCTGCCATATCATCGCATGTTTGTGCTTTGCAGCTGTGGGGAAAGGTGTTGACACCTTTCTTGTCCTCTTTTTACACATGAGGAAACTGAGTCTGCAGCAGTGGGAAGCCTGCTTCAGTTTGAGACAAAACACCAGCAGAGTCAGAGTGTGAGTAGGCTCCCCACTCCGTTCTGGATGGCAGAGTGGAGGCCAGGCTGGATGGAGGTTCTGTGTTGGGGTGGATTTCTAGAGTGGATTGCTAGGAGGACTGGCAGAACCCAGCTCCCAGAGGGGGGCCAGCTGGCACTGACCGAGCGTCTGCTTGATGGTGGACTCTGTATGAAACATGTGTTCCCAGTGTCTCCCCCAATCTTTTCAACAACCCTGAAGGTAAGGAGCATGACCTCGGCTCACAGCAAGGGAAACTGGTGCTAGAGAAGGCTGAGTGCCTTGCCTGAAGCTGCCTAGCTGGTAAGTGAAAAGGCCAGGACCCCAGCCTGGAGACTTTCTGGCCCTGGGCCCAGGACCATGTCGGGGAGAGAATGGGGCTGGTGGGTGAGTGGGAATGGTCCACTGGTCTGCTGCATACTACTGTGCCCTTTCTCAGATCTACCCACAGCCCATCCACAAGGAGAGGCGGGGAGCCCCTTGAGTTCAGAGATCATGGTTTAATCGTCTCTGTGTCCCTAAGACCTAGCGTAAAGTTGACATGAATGACGGCTCCATACGTGATGTACCAAATGAGTGAGTGAATGAACACCCAGTGGATCGATGGCCAGGAAAGGGGCCATTAGAGGAAGAGCCCCTTTGCTGACCTGGCTTGAGAATCCCTGGACTTGTTAATGAGAGTCAGTGCCTGTTACCTTGTGAGGGGTGGATTTGGCCTGACCTGGGAGGTGCTTACACCACTTCCCTCCTCTGCCAAGCTTCTGTTTCTGTTTAAAGCACACTGGGAAATTCCAGCGGTGTTTTCAGGGCTCCTCTGAACTGTCAGGCTTAGATTTTTAATTTTGTGGAGCAGGAAGGAGCAAATCAGCGACTCTTGGCTCCAAAGAAAAGCCACTGCGTTCATCAACTGCTTGGCAGCTTGGTGACCTTTGGGGCCTGAGGAAGGGAAGGAAAATGTCACTCTTCCCTCTTTGTGTATCTGAGATTTCAGGAGGAAATAAAGAGTTTAGAATACCTGAATGTTTGCCTTTCCTTTCCTGTCCTATCCACTTTCCCTCTTATTTCTCTTTCCTTTCCTCCTAGGAGGCCACCAGCTTCCCATGCTGTTCTTTGTTATGTACTCATATATATGCACATGCATTTGGGCACATTTTGTGCATGCTGTGTAGTGGAAGGAACACTGGCTCATGGAACCCAGATTCAAATCCTTTCTCTGATGCATCCAGTTGTAAGAACACGGGCAAATTATTTAATCTCTAGCATTGTTTCCTCATCCATCAAATGGGTATGATTCTGTAGGAAAGTCTCCCCTCCCTGGGAATTTTAGTGGAGTCTGGGTCAGGCATCAAAATACTTAAGGGCTTGATTAATCTGGTATGCCTAACAAAGGTCCGTTATATTAGTTGCTCAGTATGTTTGTTGATTGAAACAATGTGTCAGAGCAAATAATGCCATGCCTTGGGTAGAATAAAGGTATTGCTGTTCATCTCAATGCCTACAGCCAGTGTTTCTTAGCCATGTGATTTCCGACGAGTTATTTTACCTCTCTGACCCTCAGTTTCCATCTCTCTCCACAGGGACTTCATGGGAATTACATTAAATGATACTTGTAAGGAGTTGGGCTGTGGGAGAAACACAACAGCTAGTGGCTGTAATTTTGTTGTTGTGTGTGTCAGTAAGATGATGGATGCAGAGCATGTCACACAGTTCCTGATACACACAGGCCTCTGTAACATTGGCTGTGGCTTGGACTGATACGTAGCCATAGGAGTGCAGTTGGAGAAGAGAGGCATGTATTAGTCCATTCTCACACGACTATAAAGAACTACTTGAGACTGGGCAATTTATAAAGAGGTTTAATTGGCTCAGGGTTCTGCAGGCTGTACAGGAAGCATGGCTGGGGAGGCCCCAGGAAACTTGCAATCATGGTAGAAGGCGATGGGGGAAGCTGGCACATCCCACATGGCCAGCAGGAGAAAGAGAGAGAGAGGGGAATGCTACACACTTTCAAACAACCAGATCTTGGGAGAACTCACTCACCATCACAAGAACAGCAAGGGGGAAATTAGCCCCCACGATCCAGTCACCTCCCACCAGGCCCCTCCTCCAACACTGGGAATTACAAGAGGGCGTGAGATCTGGGTGGGAACACAGAGCCACACTGTATCAAGGCACCTGCTTGGAACCCAGCAACAGTCATTTAGAATAAAATTTTGATTAACAAGCTACTAAGATGTAATTTTTGGTTTAATTTTAGCCATATTCTCTCCCTTTAAAAAAAAGAAAAAGAAAAGCTCCCAAGAAGTCATACTTACAGGGGACATATAGTATAATGTCAGGAGCCACATCAAGTGTGCCCCTCTCACAGAGGGATCAACTTAGACTTAGTTTGAACAAATGCAAAGCATGTTGTGGGCATGATAATAACACATGACACTGTGCCCTCTCAGAGCAAAGTGTCTTTGCAGGAAGCCAGCCTAGACCCTTCCCCTTTGCTTGGAGGTCCCATTACTGCTCTCAGAGGTGCTGCCTTGGGTGCTGTCTTGGCCATGAGAGTAGATGATGCTTACTGGCTTTAGGCGTCACCCAGAAGAGAATTTTTTACTTAATCCTCTCACAACCCTATGTAACAAGTTGTTATAGACCCATTTTATGGATAAAGAAATTGAGGTTCAGCTAGGATTAAATCATTTACCCTTGGTCCTGTAACTAGGAATTGAGGAAGATAAAATCCCAAGCCCAATCTACCTGACTCCTGCTCCTCCTCAGGACTGCAAAGACGTCTCAGAAGGACCCCAACAATGTTGCAGCTTTGCCCTTCCCTGGAGGGAGGCAGTGCAGACTGAGAAGCAGTGTGTGTCCTGGAGCTGTCTGCCTTCACAAACACATTTTCTAACAGTGAAATAGAATCTCAATTGAGTCACTTCTATTATAGAATTATTGCTATCTTGATTTTTTATAATAATAACTAATACCTAGTGCTTCTGATACACCAGACACTATCCTAGGTATTACACATATATTAACTCATTTAATTGCCAAAATAACCTGGTGAAGTCCGTATTTTTTTGTGTGTGTGGTAAACATTTTCTTGAAGTGTGAGGGAAAGATGCACCCATCCTAAATGTACAGTTAAAGCTGGGCACAGTGGCATGCACCTGGAGTGCCAGCTGCTCAGGAGGCTGAGGCGGGAGGATCACTTGAGCCCAGGAGTTCAAGTCCAGCCTGGACAACACAGCAAGACCTCATCTCTCAAAATAAAATAAAATAAATCCAAACCAACACAGAAACCCACTAAATGTACAGCTAGCTGAGTTTTTACAAGGTGGACATATACATGTAACCACCACCCAGATATTGAAACAAAATATTACCAGCCCCCCAGAAACTCCTCTTGTACCCTATTCTAGTCAGTTTCCCCCCAGCCCAAGGATGACCACTGTCCTGGATGTCAGTGCTGTTTTTATCTCATTATACAGATAGGGAAACTGAGGCACAGGAAGTCTAAATAATTTGCCCAAGGTAGCACAGTTTTAATTGGCAGAGTTAGGATTCAGACTCAGGCAGTCTGGCTCCAGAGAATGCACTTTTATATGAGACATAGCCAAGAAAAGAACAATCGCTTGGTGGTAGTTTAATTTTTAATAGCATGAGAGTATAATAATAGAGACTTATTCGCATTTTCCTTTGTTCTGAAAATCAGCTGTTTAATTCCTTAGTCTTAGAACTCTAATCCATTTTATTGACATAACTTGCAAATTGCAAGGATAGAAACTTGCCTTTAATAGCCCCACATTTATTGATCACTAATTGCAATCAGACATTGTGTTAAAATCTTCATACCTAGTATCTCACTAAATCCTCGCAACACAGCTGTGCAGTATTATCCCTATTTTATTGATAAGAACACTGAGGCTCAGAAGTAAAGAACTTGCTGATGTTTACACAGTACAGAAGCAGGGCTTGAATCTGGCTGTCTTGTTCCAGACCCACAGTCTTAATCGCTGTGTTAACTCCTATCTGGCTTTCTGTGTCCACTGTGAATTAATTCTACACTAATTAATCATGCTAATTTTACATGATTGTTATCATTGCCATCGTTATTATTATTATTCCCATTGCACTTCCTTGAGCAAACTCCGATTTGCTTTCGTTGAGCTGACATTGTCCATTCGGGCTTACATTGACATCTGCTGCCAGGCAGACCTCCCAGTAGAGTGGATCTAGCCACAGTCGTTTCTCATTCCCCAGTTAATGAGCACTTGCCTTGTGTCAGGCACTGTGCTGGACACTGGAGACAAATAAGACACAGCTCTGCCCTGGAGATGGTCCTGGTCTGAGGACAGCAGAAAAGATTCACTCAGTGCTGGCCTGTTTACTCTATGCATGTCACCTCCCTGAACCACACAACCTCCATCCTAGAGAGGGTGTCCTGTCTTGCTGCACAGCTGTTGGACGAGCAGAGGCAGAACTGAGCCCCTGCTCCTCAATGTCCAGCCCCACGCTCCCAACCCGGCTGAGTGCTGCATGCTCCTGGCCACTCTTCAGATCCCCCGGCTGACATTGCCAGTGCACACCCTTGCCTTTCATCTTGTGGCTTGCTTTTAAGTACTACCTTTTGTCACTAGCTGCCCAATTCCCTCCTTGGACAGGTAGGACACTCCCCCGCACCAATCTGTGTGGGCAGCTGGTGTGGTTTTAATTAGTGTAGCTGATATTATTTTATATTTTAGGGAGGAAATCCCATTGTTTTCATACAACCAACTCTAGAAAGTAAGGCTCAATACCATCTTGGCTACAGAAAAGACACCAAAGATAGAGTGTTTATCAAACAGACCCCCTCCTTTGTATAGGGAAGTCTATCAGAATCTCTAGGGACATTGGCTTTTTATATTTATCCTAAGAGGGCTTGAATTGAAAAAGTTAAAAATCCTGGACTAGATGAAAAAGTTAGGGGACAGGGAGCCAAACACAGCCACAGATCAGAATGTACACTGGGTGGTGGCCCTGGGGAGAGTCACCTTGTAGCGTGGCATTCATTCACCATTGTTCGCACACTCTTACCTTGTATGGTTGGCTATGATTTTATTCTGTGTTCTGGAGAGAGTGCTAATATGTTTATCAACTTCATTGAGGTATAACTGATCACAACCCATCCACTTAAAGTATATGGTTCAATGAATACCTTCATTGGGGTATATTTATCACAACCCATCCATTTAAAGTATATGGTTCAATGCATTTTGACAGTTTTATACGATCATGAAACCACCACAATAAAGATACAGAATATTTTCATCACCCACAAAAGATCATTTGTTTTTATTTAACAAACACTTATCTTGCACTTCCCATGTGCCAGGCACTACTCCAAGTACTTTAAAATATTAACCCATTGAATCCTCACAAATCTGTGAGGTAGGTACGGTTATCATCCCCCATTTATCAAGGAGGAAACTGAGGCACAGAAAGATTAAGTGACATACCCAAGTTGGCACAGCTGGTGGATGGTAGAGATTAATTAGAACCCAGACTGGCTTTGGATCTATGTTCTTCACCTCTGGGCTCTGCTGCCTCTCATTCATTCATTCACGAATTGTCTGCTCTTGGGCAAATATTGGAGTAGGAGCTGAGAGTAGAGAAATCTGATTCCCAACCCCCAAAAGCCTGTAGACTAGGGAAGGAATCAGATACCTACCTAAGTAAGTCACAGTCAACGTGTTATTCTAATTGTGCAGATAAACCTTAGGGGAGCACAGGTCATGGGAGGCTTGCCGCTGCCTCAGTCTCTCTAGCCAGGCATGGCTGAGGTCTAGGAACCATCCAAGGAGAGGGGACGGGCAGGCAAGAGAACTGATGAGTGCCTGTTAGGGCTATTCTGGGAATTATGCTGAATCTTTTACATACATTAGCTTATCAAAGCCTCACACAACTCTGTGAGATAGGTGGTGTTATGATCTCCATTCTACAGATGAAAACCTGGAGGATTTATGCAGTCAAGCCAGTTGCCTACAGTAAGCCCCCTGGTCGGGGACAAGCCAGAGGTGAAATACTAGAGCTGGTGTCCTCTCAGCTGCCCCTGACCACTCCCCATACTACGGGTTTTCCCTTCCCTGGCCTGAAAGGCAGGGGTCAAGTTCAGACTGTCTGTGACAAAGCAGAAAGAGGAAGACATTCTTCATTAACAATATATATGGGAAAGTGCCATTTTGTGTGTGTGTTTCTCTATGTAAGAAATGCCATTTGGAAAGCCAGTGTGCATGTCAGTTTTTTTTTTTTTTTTTTTTTTTTTTCATTCTGAGAAAAAGCCTATAGAGTCTGGTGGGGGGAAGGGTTTGCAGCTGGCAGGAGCTTTGGCATATGCTGTAACTAAAAAGAGAGGGAATGTGTTGGTGGGACAAGCTACCGGAGAGCTGTCTCGGTGTGCCGCAGTACTAGTAAGTGTTTTAATTGGGTAGGGTTTTTGGAGGACTATTTTGACATCTGCTCATGTCTTTGCTGATTTTTCTTCACTTATAGTAGGAAACACAAGCTGTGGATAAAATGACTTTAAAATAATTGGAAGTAAAGATATCTCTCTCAAAGTCGAATTTGAGAGGGACACTTTTTAAGAAGTGGAAACTAAATTCCACTTCTAGGAATGCATCCTAAAGCACAAAGCTTTATGCCTACAGATTTCATGACGATATTATATACAGTAATTTCTTCAAAACTGGAAATAACATCCCACAAAAGGGGCTTGGTTGAGTTTGTTTCCATGTAGTAGGGCACTCTGTCGCAGTTAGTAATGATCCACGCAAAGTTCTTAATTAAGTGGATCACTGCTTATATCAGAATCAGTGAGAAAATCAGAAGTGTTAAGAATTATTTCAACTGGCCAAACGCAGTGGCTCACACCTGTCATCCGAGCACTTTGGGAGGCCGAGGTGGGTGGATCACGAGATCAGGAGATCAAGACCACTTTGGCCAACATGGTGAAACCCCATCTCTAGTAAAAATAAAAAAATTAGCTGGGTATGGTGGCATGCGCCTGTAATCCCAGCTACTCAGGAGGCGGAGGCATAAGAACAGCTTGAACCCAGGAGGCAGAGGTTGCAGTGAGCCAAGATCATGCCACTGCACTCCAGCCTGGCAACAGAGCGAGACTCCCATCTCAAAAAAAAAAAACAAAATAGAATTATTTCAACTTTGCTTTAACACGTAGGAAGGGAGAATATGGAAGGAAATAGACCAAAACATTGTCTCCAAATGGAGGGACTGGGATAACTGTAATTTTCTTCTTTAAACTTTTCTCTTCCCCCCCCCCCTTTTTTTTTTTTTGAGATGGAGTTTCACTCTTGTCACCTAGGCTGGAGTGCAATGGTGCAATCTCAGCTCTCTGCAACCTCCGCCTCCCAGGTCCAAGCAATTCTCCTTCCTCAGCCTCCCAAGTAGCTGGGATTACAGGCACCCGCCACCACACCCGGCTAATTTTTTGTATTTTTAGTAGAGACAGGGTTTCGCCATGTTGTCCAGGCTGGTCTTGAACTCCTGACCTCAGGTGATCCACCCGCCTCAGCCTCCCAAAGTGCTGAGATTACAAGCGTGAGCCATCGTGCCCAGCCTTTCCCATTTTTTAATAGTAGGCATCTATAATTTTTTTTTTTTTTTTTTTTTTGAGACAGAGTTTCACTCTTATTGTCCAAGCTGGAGTGCTGGAGTGCAATGGCTGAATCTCGGCTCACTGCAACCTCCACCTCCCAGGTTCAAGTAATTCTCCTACCTCAGCCTCCCGAGTAGCTGGGATTACAGGCATGTACCACCATGCCTGGCTAATTTTGTATTTTTAGTAGAGATGGGGTTTCTCCATTGGTCAGGCTGGTCTCGAACTCCTGACCTCTGGTGATCTGCTCACTTCGGCCTCCCAAAGTGCTGGGATTACAGGTGTGAGCCACCATGCCCATCCTATTTTTTATGATAAAAAGGAAAGTAGTATTTTATGTAAGAGAAAGCAGTCTCTGAGCATGTTGATATAACTGTGTGTCCTGAACAGTTAGGTACTCATTCTGATGTCTGAGCGATCGGATTAGGGGTATCTTCAGAAGAAAGTCAGCTTTGGGGTCAGACTGTTTAGGGAGACCCCCTGAAACTATTGCTACAGAATAAAAGATGAAATGCTCCTGATTATTGTAAATACAAAATTGCATGCAGGATTGTGTAAAGACAATGCCAGGTTGGACTGCCAAAATGAGCCAACAGTGTGTGATGTGCTTCCCCATGCAGAGAACCTATGAATGGACGTGCAGTCAGGGAGGTTTCACATCACCAAGATGTTCATAGCTCTGGGAATGGAATACGACCCTTGTGGAGAGCCTATAAACGGACGCATGGGGGGACGCCTGTCCATATGGATAAGATAGGGCTATAAATGCCCTCATCTTGCCACGGCTCTTCTAGGCCTCTTTAGGGTTAGGGCATACTCCCTTCTGAGAATTTCTGGTCTAACTGGTTGTCTAGCTTCACGTCCTGTTTCCATGGATTGTTTGTAACCAGCTTTTGTTGCAATTGTTACTGCTGATTAATAGCTTGCTAATCATAGGTTACGGAAAGATTGTGTTTCTGTTTTAAGGCTCTGTTAGAAATTACTGACGCACACACTATATTGTAAATTCTTATCTCTGTGTACTCTATATACTGAGCCACTCAGTTATGCTCTGTACTTCTACATACAAATGCTATGTTAAAGAATTACTTCATCCCCATGTGACCATCTCACCGCATAATCAAATGACCCTAAATCCCTCACTAACCTACCCCCGCCTTCACTAAACTTAATAATAAATGCTGGTATATCCAGTGCATTGTTGGCACCGCAGGACCAGAAGCTGGTGACCCCCCTGGACCCAGCTTTCACTATCTCGTGTGTGTCTATTATTTCTCAACCTGCCGATCCACCTGGGAACAAAGAGAGAGCCCCGTTGCATTGCGGGCTGCTGGCCAGATCCCGCAATAAGACTGTGTTCAAAAGTTGACTGCTGCTTCCTAGCTCTGACTTTGGGCAGCTTGTTTGACCTCTCTGCGCCCCCACTTGGTTCCCATGCAGAGATGCTAGTGTCCCTGACTGATGGCATGGTTAAGATGAGAGGCACCGGCACCTGGCGACGGTCTGGCTTTCTTCTCATCCGCGCTTCCTGTCCCCACCCCCAGTTTGAGTTTTTCTTGCCTTTCTTCATTCCCCTAGTTGCCTTGATCCTTTGGGGGACCGGGCACTGTCCAGCGAGCTGGGCTCCAATTCTTTCCTTGGGAACAGTGAGCTTCAGGAAGGCCCTTGAGTCCACGCCAGCCCTTTTGGAAGAGGCCTTGCCACCAGGAGGGCAGCATTGTCCTTCAAGAGGAAACTGTGCCGTCCCAGCTCCTGCCTGGAGCCTGGTGCTCGGGGCATTTTGGTTACTAAGGGGACCCTGGCCTGCTAAGTTAGAAAAAGGGGCCAGGTTTTTTCCTATTCTTCAGCCTGCTGCCATTGTTGAAAAAGTAAACACTCCACAGAGCTTAACCGGCAAGTCCTCCAGCCAGGAGTGGGAAGAAATCAAAAGCCTATTCCAGCCCAGCCGTGGAGAGCCTACAAGGGCTGGTCTGTGCCACTGGGGCCCAATGGGAGCACAGAAACAAGGCCTGATTCTGGTCCAGAATCAACATCCCATTCATGGGGCCATTCAGCCCTGGAGGCTTCTCTCCAATGGCCATCATCTCCTGCTCCCTTCTGTTTGGGACTATTTGGAAGGTCAGATGAGGCAAAGTAGTTGATTCTGGGGTGCACGGTCCTCTGTTGTGTCCTGGAGGCATCACGTCCTCCAGGATGTTGTGAGTCCTTCTCTGATTCTGTTTCCTGTGACTGACTGTGCATAGCCTTTGAAGTGAGAGACCAAGCAAGAAGGGGCCCCAAGGATTTTTGCCCTCGGGCCATTGCCACTACAGCCTTCCAGACTGGCTGTGGCTATTGTGTGTATTAAAAAGTAGTAATAATAGCCACGATTTATTACATCCTACTGTGTGGCCAGCATTGTGGGTGTGTTTGCTCTCATCACAGCAGCCCTAGGGGGAGTGAGAGAAGCAGGGTGGCCACAGTTAGCATTTTAATTTTACAGACGCAGCCATTTAATAGACACATAACCTTGGGCAAGCTACTTCTTGGAGCCTCAGTTACTCATCTCTGAAATGGGGATAATGGTATCTCACCTCCAGCCCCATTGATGGAATGAAGGCATCTGTGTGGCAGTGCTGTGTGAGCCTGAAGTGTGACATCAGTGAAAAAGAGGGCCATTGATGCTGTTTTTGTACCTTCCTGCTAGCACACTGCTGGGCATTTAACCTGTTGGGTTGCAGAGTGAGCCAGCTAGAGAGTCCTGGACAATCCCCTGTGAATCTCAGCATTCTCATGTGTAAAATGGAGATTGTGCTTCATATAACAAAAGCGCTGTAAAATATGAACTCGTTTTTTGTATCATTAGGTTGGTGCAAAAGTACATTCTTTGCCATTACTTTGGTAAAAACTGCAATTACTTTTGCACTAACCTAATACAATCAAAGTTGTCCATTCGCTGATATCTTTTTACCCTATAAATAAGGCAGCAGGTAATAATGGGTGTTGGGGTTTGGAGGAAAGAATAAACTCCTACATCGGCAATTGTGTCCCTCCTCTGTGGTTCTCAGCCCATAGTAAGCACTTAGTAAACTATGTTTAGGAATTGATGGATAGGTTTATGGACAAGCCCCAGAGGCGTGGAGAAGTTAGTGGATAGCAGAAGGAGTTGGAGGCTCTGATGGTGTTAAGTGGAAAGGTTCCGGGATTCTGCTGCCTGGGAGTGTTTTTTCAATCCTAGTGAGGCTTGTGACCAGTGTGGCTCCACCCTCCTGCTGGGAAGAATCTTGAAATATTTACTTAGGTACCATGTTCTGCCCTAGAGGCTGTGGTTTAAGAGAGTGAATGTCAACCAGTATTAGTGTACACTTACCGGGTGCCAGTCATGTTGTCAGGGACTGGTTGTTTTGCAGTGGTGAGCCACAGATGAGCCCCTGAAGGAGCCCACACCCCAGCAGGGGAGGCAGGCAGGCAGAGAGGTGCTGGGGCTCAGAGTGACAAGGGCTGTGCGGAGGTCAGTCTCCCTGCGGGTGTCTGACGATGAGGAGGTGGATGGTGCAGTACACAGAGCATGGCCTGGGGAGGCAGCCAGGCCTGTGGTTGCCTCTGCCTCTTACCTCAGCACTCTGAACCTCATCTTCCTCAAGTTTCAAACATTGAGGGCAATAACATCCACTTCACAGGGGTTGATAAGAATTAAATGAAATAAGGTGAGTAAAGCACAGAGCAAGAGCTAGGAAGCTTCTAGTATATGCTACTTGTCCATTTCCAGGGCATTGGAAACTGGAGCTTGAGCAGCCATTGGATGTCTGCCTCTGTTGCCAGCCTACACCATGCTCTGGGGTGAATTAGGAAAAGGCATCTGCCCCCATTCCCCGACTGGTGCCACTCGGCAGGCACGTGAGTTGGCAGATTTCAGTCCTAGCTTAGGTGGTTGGCATCTGAGGAATGCATACCTGCGCAGCCACATGCAGCATGCTCAGAGGTTGACCAGTAATGGAATTGATCCTTTATATGCAGTGACCACAGGTCCCATCGTGTGCCTGTTGCCCTGGTGTAAGATGAGGTCTTTCACATCCAAATGTATCCCAGTTTAGACAGCAAATGATAGGCTCTTTCTACGCAAAATAAAATAAAGACAATAGTTCTAATGCCTCTGACTCAAAAGGAATACGCTTGATACGTGATGGGGAAGGAGGATTGAATGGGACCTGGAGTGGAGAGTAGGCAGGAGAAACACAAAGATGGATCTTAGTAGCGGATAAATAGTGTGATTAAAAATTTAAAACTCAGGCTACACCCTGTCTTGGACTCACATAGGCTATGGGGAATTGCTGCCAGATTGGGGGCAGGATTCTTTTTTTCTCCATATTGTCCGTTCATCCCTTCTCCTGTCACCAAGCATGAAAACCTTGTAGGCATGAGTTTCCCTCATCTTTTCTATTACTGTGCCAGTAGAATAATGGCTTATGGCCAGAGCTTCTGAGCCATTACTAACTGGATATCTGTGGAAAATGGAACCAAATTGAAAGTGTGACCTTCCTACTTGGCGTTTAAGGGAAGTGTTAACAGTAGGCCACACACAATATTCCATACCCAAGAATGACAGGATCCAAAAGAGAGATGGGCAAGTAGCCTTTGTTAAATTAGGGGGCTGGATTGAATGGGGATATCATAAGAACACAGCCGTATATCAGCATTCCTGGGGACAGAGCTTTTGACCTCAGCGTCTGTTAAATATATAGGGGAAAAATGATGATGGGGTGTAATGATTCCTCTTACTTTCTGGCTATGTGACCTGGGGCATGTTACTGAGCCTCTGTGAACCCTTTTCACTCCTGGGACTTGGGGATAGTCATGCAAGCTCACAGAGATTTTATGAGAGTTCAGTGAGCTAACAAATGTGAACCTCCTACCATTGGGCCTGCTGCAGAGTAAGACTTTGTCAAATGTCACTTTCCTTCTCTATGCCTCTTCCCCAGAGAAGGCAGGGGAAGTGTGTCTTGATGGCACCTCAATGACCTTCTCTTGTGGATTTTTTTCTCCTTGCAGAAAGTCAGAAACATGGCCCTGGATGATGTCGTGATCCTGAATGTGGACACCAACACCCTGGAAACCCCCTTCGATGACCTCCAGAGCCTCCCAAACGACGTGGTAGGTAATGAGCTTGCGAGGATCTCACTTCTGTGAGCTCCTGCAAAGGAAATGAACGTGACTTTGGGGAATGGGGAAGGAGGGGAAATAGCGAGGGTTTTCCTGTGACCTGAGAACTGCAGTTTGTTTCTGCATTGAAACCTTTGTCTCAGTGTAGAAAGTTGGAAGGTGGCCAGGCATGGTGGCTCACACCTGTAATCCCAGCACTTTGGGAGGCCGAGGCGGGTGGATCACCTGAGGTCAGGAGTTCGAGACCAGCCTGGGCAACATGGTGAAACCCTGTTTCTACTAAAAATACAAAAATTAGCCAGGCATGGTGGTGCATGCGTGTAATCCCAGCTACTCGGGAGCTGAGGCAGGAGAATCACTTGAACCCGGGAGGTGGAGGTTGCATTGAGCTGAGATTGCGCCACTGCACTCCAGCCTGGGTGACAGAGCGAGACTCCATCTCAAAAAAATAAAAAAGAAATGGCCGGGCACAGTGGCTCACACCTGTAATCCCAGCACTTTGGGAGGCCAAGGCGGGCAGATCATGAGGTCAGGAAAGTGAGACCATCCTGGCTAACATGGTGAAACACAGTCTCTACTAAAAATACAAAAAATTAACTGAGCATGGTGGCATGTGCCTGTAGTCCCAGCTACTCAGGAGGCTGAGGCAGGAGAATTGCTTGAACCCAGGAGGCAGAGGTTGCAGTGAGCTGAGATCGTGCCACTGCACTCCAGTCTGGGCGACAGAGCAAGACTCCATCTCAAAAAAAAAAAAAAGAAAGTTAGAAGAAGGTTTATTTCTTGAGTCTATTTTGACTTGAACTTTCATCAGAAAGACTGTGAAGTGACCTTAGTGTCCAGACCTCTCCTCTTCCTGTGGGAGTCTGAGAGTCTCGCCAGCTCTCCCCAGCACGCTGCCACCTCTAGAGATCAGGGCAGCTCCCTCCAAGTAACAGCACAGAAGGCAGCTGGCGGGGTTTTCAGTGTGAACAATTTGGGGTACTTCAAACCTACATTTTTTTCCTAGACCATCTAGAACATGGTAGAGTATCGGGTGGCAGTGCTGTCAGTGTAGCTGTGCACCCTCCGCATTGCACTTTGTTGCCTCAGGTCTACACAGAATGTGGGTTCTATTGAGCAAAAAGTAGCTGGCTGCCACATTTGCCATGCTAACATCTGCCTATACACCTGTCTTCTGTTGCTACTTGGAGCTGCCCTGTAGGCAGCTGTGTGAGGTAGACCCATTCTCCCCTTGTCCATGCCAGTGAGGATTGGGCCTCACCGGCAAGTGTGGTTTTGCTGTTTCTGCTTTGGCCTCCGTAGCTCTGCCTGCAAGAAGATCTATAGAGTTATCCTGACTTCCAGAGTGAAACGGGTTGTTGTTCCTGGCCATGTGGTGCTCATATGTGTCCTGGTCGGGGAAGTGTTTTACCTGGTGGGCATTGGTGCACCATCACTGCCAGAAGGCCCAGTGGCACCCTGTGGGTAGCTGTTCTGAAAGGATTGCTATTAGTTGATGAAGTCTTGCAGGAGAATTTCTTTCTTTTTTTTTTTTTGAAACAGTGTCTGGCTCTGTCACCCAGGCTGGAGTGCAGTGGCACTATCTTAGCTCACTGCAGCCTCTGCCTCCTGGGCTCAACTGATCCTCCTACCTCAGCCTCCCAAGTAGCTGGGACCGTAGGCACATGCCACCACACCCAGCTACGTTTTGTAGAGATGGAGTCTTGCTGTGTTGCCCAGACTGGTCTCATACTCCTGGGCTCAAGCAATCTGCCCATCTCAGCCTCCCTAAGTGCTGGGATTACAAGCATGAGCCACTGTGCCCAGCCGTAACAGGATTTCAAACTTCTCTCCACCTAACTCACTGTGAGATTTTGGGGGAGTCATTTGTGCCCTACAGCAGTGCTCCACTTATAATTCAACAATGGCTGCCATTCACTGGCTCACTGCACTGAGCTCCCATCATTGACCTCTCATTTACTCTTCATGCCACTCTGAGGATGGTCTTTTCCTTACTCCCGCTTGACCCACAGAGCTAGAGAGAGGAGGAGCCAAGGCATGAACTCAACCCCGTGGGTCTGCAGAGCCCACATGGCCCCTCTGCCCTACTAGGTGTCTTCTGCGTTTAGGATGTCATTCATCCTGAATGACAGTTAGTGTTGTAGCCCTTTGGAACAGGTGATCTCTCCTTTCTACAGAGAGGAGAGAACCTCAGAGAGCACGTGCCTTGCCTGAAATCCTGTAGGTGATTAGGGGCACAGCTGAGATTGGACCCCCAGTCTGTGCTGCTTCTACTCTATGTATCCCGCCTCCCTCTGAGGCAGCAAGAGATGACAGAACTTAGGAAAATTTAAAGTGTCAGACAGGAATGAGGACCTGTGAGGTGTGAGAATCATGTCAGGACAGGGTAGTACATGGTTGGTACCTTAGGGCCTACTAGCTATAATTTGAGTTCTTTTGGTCCAAGGAATCTGAGGCTCCCATCCCTGTTTCCTTTCAGTGGACAAGCACCTCTTGAAGCCATGGATATCTCAGGCATGGACCAGGCAAATGCCTAGTGAATGTGGGAAGTGAACCTGAGGTCTGTTAGGTGCAGGAAATGGCCAAGGGCCCTGGGGCAGCATGAGATGAGTGACTGGCAGCTCAGAAACCATGGAGTGGACTGACTGGTCCCACCTGCACTGCTCTGACCCTGTGCTGGCACTGAGCAGCAAAGAGAAAGCAGATCTTCAAAGATTGTATGTCAGTAAAGGAAACAGATATGTCAATTACATATCTATTACAGTATAGCATAATAGAGACCACAGGGAAATAGGAGTCGGGCACAGAAGGGCCCAGGAGAGAGAGTAACAAAATTTTGGGGAGGATAATGGAGTCTTTCTGAAGATGGCAAATTCCAAGATGCCTTTTAAATGACAAAATGAGGTAGCCTCAGGGAACCAAAGTAACTTGGGTGAGTTATTTTCCCTCTTTGAGCCTCAGTTTTCCACATTAAAAGAGGAGTACCAGGCTTGCTCTGAGGATTATTATGGCAAACAGCTATGGTAATGATTATCAAATGCTTGGCACAGTGCTTGCATGTTGTCAGCATTCAAGAAATGGTACCTGCATTTGTTTTTAATAAAATTGTTGCTGATAATTATAGGCAAGATTGGAGGACAGTTAATAACCTCTATGTCCTGACAGTCTCAGCGTGCACAAATGGGACCTCCTATATGCAAGCTGGTTTGTAACAGGGTTGAGAATGTTCTACAGCAGTGGTTTCCAGCTTGGGCCTCTATACTCATTAAGGATTCTGAAGATTGTAATGGGGGGAGATGTGGTCTGTAAGGTATTTATTGTATTTCAATGGAATTCACAGCTTTGATTCTGTGATGCTACATGAGCTATCAAGAGGAGAAATCGTGCCCTGCCTGTCTTTGTGTCCCCTGCATTTGGCATAGGACCTGGTAATTTTAGTGTATCAGCCTATCCATCGTTGACCTTAAAATCTCCCCTTTGGCCAAAGTTGTGTGTTTACTCTGACAGATTCTGCTTCTTAAACATTTGGTAAATCCACATCCTCTTCCTCATCCCTCCTAAACACCACCTAATCTAAGCTTTTATTTTCCCCCTGCATTATTACCAGCAGACTCAAGACTGGCTCATCTGACTCCAGCCTCATCCCTCCAATCTTTCCGCCTCATGCCCCAGAGTGACCTTTCTAAAAACATAAACTCCATTTCCCACCTAACTAAAACTATTCCATCAGTGAATGTAATTTTTCAAAAAAACATTTAAGGACAAAAAAATTCTCCTATAACTTCCCATTACCTAGAGATTCAAGGCAACTTCCCTTTGTTGGCTTTGAAATCAAACAGACCTGTTTTCACATCCTGGCTTCCTCACTTCATGTCCGTGTGATCTTGGGCAAAATTACTTAAGCTCTCTAAGACTTAATTTCCACATAAGGTTGTTTGAGAATTAAATGTAATATATATAATATATTTAAAACATATATCCTATCAGCACAATCGACAGTAGCTGATGATGATGAATTATGGATGTGAATTATGATCCGCAGGGCATTCAGCCCTCCTTCATGATACCCCCCTGTTTTTGTTTCTCCATAGCTGTAGTTCTCTCTCCTCCCTGCTTTAAACTCTGTACTGTAGGTTTTTAGAACTGTTAATGGTTGTCCCAAATTTACATGTTGTTTCATAACTTCATACTTTGTATGCAGCATTTCTTTTGTCCCAGTGTCTTACCTCATCTATTAATCTCTCACTCATTCTTCAAGACCTGCTCTCAAGTATTTAATCACACACACACACAAACACATGCACACACACACACACAAACACACACTGAATCTTTTCTGACCTTCACGTAGATTTGACCATATCTTTCTCTATGTCCCCACAGCCCCTTGTGTACCTTGTGTAATTGTACTGATTTATTGCCCATTTCCCTTTTACTTGTCAGTTTTTTGGAGTAGCAGTAATTGAGTTTTATTCATCTTTGTTTTCCAAGAATCTAGCAGCCACTGAATAGATAGATGGAAGGATGGAAGGCACATATGGATTGGGTTATTATGGTAGATGAAATCTTGTAAAACATGGCATCTACGCTGGAAACTTTATTAAAAGAGGCTTGGGGCCAGACATGGTGGCTCATGCCTATAATCCCAGCATTTTGGGAGTCTGAGGCAGAAGAATTGCTTGAGGCCAAGAATTCAAGTTTGCAGTGAGCTGTGATTGCGCCACTGCTCTCCAGCCATGATAGAATAATTGGAACTGGATTAATCCTCCCACAATTTAAAACTCTGGACAAATATGAAAACAGCTGTTTTCACATGTTGGACAACAGACAAGACAAGATTGTTATCCCTGAGTGAAAGGAAGCCAGTGAGGTGAGGCCTACTATCCCACTGGCTTTCTGCCTTGAGGCATTTTCTGGATATTGGTACTAGAAGGGGAATCCCCAGCAAAGCACAACAGTCTTGGGGAGCTGAAAGATTAAAGAACAGTTTGAAGGGGAGATGGTTTACATTTGCAAGTGAGAGTATCAGACAGGAGGGAGCTACTCAGCTGAAGAGCTCCAGAAACCTGAATTGACAAACCTGCTGAAGACTAATCTGCCCATATGTAGGGTAAAACTCCTGACAGGAAACTATAAGATGAACAGTTCTCAGAGCTCACACAAGTCTAGGAATCCTGCAGGTTCTGACCAACCAGAGTCAGAGATCTTGTTGGTCATTCAGGACAATGATAAGAGACACCAGTAGGGCATGACTTGATAGTACATCTAAATTAGCTATAAAGATCATTTTAGCCCTGCCCTGAAAGAGCTTAAAATTAAGCTTTGAGAGGCACAAGAGAGGGCTTTAGGGGTCCTAAAATGTGCTGGATTTTAATCTGAGTGCCAGTTACATGGGGGTGAATTCGTCAAGCTGAGCACCAATGGTGTGTGCATTTTTATGTGTGTATGTTAAACTTCGATGAAAAGTTTTAAACAAACCTATTTCTTTTTAAAGAAGTCTTTAAAAGATCAATCTGATGTGCAAGAAATCTAACCTTGTGTCAAAATAAACTTCAACCCTCTTTAAAAGAAGGCAACACAATCCAATATTCGATAACATAACATTCACAGTATCTAACATCTTATTTTAAAAGTGCAAGACATGTTGAGAATGAGGAAAATGTCACCCCTAACAAGAGGAAAATTAGTCAATAGAAACAGACTCAGAAGTGACAGATATGATAGAACTAGCAGATAAAGACTTTAAAGTAGATTTTATGAAGACTATAAATATGTTCATGAATTTAAAGGAAGACCTGATTAAATGAAGGGAGAAATGGAAGATATTTAAAAATGAAAGGGAACATCTATAAGCAACAAATACACCTAGAATGAAAAAAAAATCACTTATGGGATTAAGAGGATATGAGATACCACTGAATAAAACATCAGTGAATTTGAAGATATAGCAATAAAAACTCCTCAATATGAAGCCAAGAAAGAAAAAAGACTGGAAAAAGTTAACAAAACTCAGT
The DNA here is from genome assembly GCF_000001405.40 of Homo sapiens. NCBI lineage: Eukaryota > Metazoa > Chordata > Mammalia > Primates > Hominidae > Homo > Homo sapiens. The sequence continues at coordinate 123,577,145 of NC_000009.12, read as the reverse complement.
GATCCTATAGCATAATATCAAGAGGGCTAACATACTTGCAACTGGAGTCCCAGAAGGTAAGGAAGGTGAGGAAAGACAGAAAAAATATTTTAACAGATTATAGCTGATTTTTTTTTCAATTTTGATGAAATTATACTCAGAGCTCCAAGAAGCTCAATAAACCTGAAACACAATGGACCCAAACAAAACCACACAAAGATACATTTTGATTAATTGCTCAAAACCAAGAAAAGCTTAAATTAGCCAGAGAGAAAAAGGTATGAGAAGTAATTCTAGCAGACTTATTGCCAGAGACCATTTAAGGCAGAAGACAATGGAATGACATTTTTAAAGTAATGAAAGATAATTTTTATCAACCCAGAATTCTATATCCAGTGAAAATATCCTTCAAAAATGAAAGCACTGAGGCAGGTGGATCACCTGAGGTCAGGAGTTCAAGACCAGCCTGGCCAACATGGTGAAACCCCGTCTCTACAAAAATTAGCCAGTCATGATGGCGGGTGCCTGTAATCCCAGCTACTCAGGAGGCTGAGGTGGCAGAATCGCTTGAACCCAGGAGGCAGAGATTTCAGTGAGCCGAGGCTGCCCCACTGCACTCCAGCCTGGGAAACAGAGCTAGAATCCATCTCAAAAAAAAAGGCAAAACTAGGACTTTTTAAAACAGATACAAAATTGGAGAAATCATTGTCAGCAGACCTGCACTACAAAAGAAGTTCTTCAGCGGGGAAAAATGATATTATAGGGAAATCTGAATTGTAAGGAAGTGAAGAGAACCACAGATAGTAAATATATGGATACATGTAAGAAATTTACTTTCTCATTTGTAATTTCTAAAAAAGTTAATTGAGTATTTCAAGTAAAAATAATACCAGTGGAGGTATTCTGCTGGTAATAATACCAGTAGGGGGTGGAGAATAGAAGTATTCTGTTTAAAGGTTGTTACGTTACCTGTATACAAAAACTGGCATAATATTATTTGAAGGTAGACTGTATTAAGTTAGAGATTTATGTTGTAAACCTTACAAGGGCCACTAAGGGAGGAAAAAATAAGACAGAGATATATAGCTAATAAGCCAGTATTGAAGGTCCAAAACATTTTGTGGGGAAAGAGTAAACATGACAACAGATGGAACAAATAGAAAAGTTAGCAAGATGATAGATTTATTCAACTATGTTGGTTTTTACATTAAACATACATTGTCTAGACACTCCAATTTACAGAGGTTATTATATAAAAAAGCAAGACCCAATTGTATAATTTCTGTAAGAATTCTACTTTAAATATGAAGAGTCAAATAGATGAAAAGTAAAAGGATAAAAAAGATATACCAGCCAAATGCTGATCAAAAGAGAGTTGGGGGGCAGAGAAACAAATCATCCTTATACAAGTATACCAAATAATATTTGTAAAGACTGTCCTGTCCAGAAGGGGCTTAATCGCCCCTTGCCCCTACTTGGGTGTGGGCTAGAATGTATTTATTCCTAAAAAACTGTGTGTGTAAAGAGAAAAAGAGTAACTTTAGTGGAGAAACTGGCAGACACTACCTTAACCAAACGATCAATTTTAACATCACCAGTGATGTCATGTGGATATCATATAACCACTGATGTGATGTAATGAGGATATTTCACTTCTGTGGTATTCTTTCCAAAAATCCACTCTAATCATGCAGAGACTTCTGAGAAATTCAAATTTGGGAACATTCTGCAACAGGGGTCTCCAACCCCTGGGCTGTGGATTGGTGCCAGTTCATGGCCTGTTCGGAACCCAGCCATACAGTAGGAGGTGAGCAGCGAGTGAGCATGACCACCTGAGCACTCTACCTCCTGTCAGATCAGCAGCGGCATTAGATTCTCAAAGGACCATGAACCCTGTTGTGAACTTTGTATGCAAGGGATGTAGGTTGTGTGCTCCTTATGAGAATCTAATGCCTGATGATCTGAGGTGGAAGAGTTTCATCCCAAAACCATCCTCCCTTGCACCTCTCCACCACCCCCAGCAGTCCATGAAAAGATTGTCTTCCATGAAACTGGTCCCTGGTGCCAAAAAGGTCGTGGGACTGCTGTTCTACAAAATATCTGACCAGCATTTCTCACAACTGTCAAGGTCATAACAAAGGAAAGACAAACTGTTCTAAACCAGAGGAGACTAAGGAGACATGACAACTAAATGCAATGTAGGATCCTGGATTGGATCTTGGGATAGAAAAATGGCATGAATGGAAAACTGATGAAATCACAATAAAGTCTGGAGTTTAGTTAATACTAATGTGCTATTGTTAGTTTCTTAGTTTTGACAAATGTGTGGTGGTAATCTAAGATATGCAAGCTTGTCCAACCCACCCCACTTTGTTGTTGTGGCTGTTCTGTTTTGTTTTAGGCTTTTAGCAGCCCAAAGCCATAGCTTTTAGTTTCTCTCTCTAGTGATAAGTGGAAAAGAGGGATGAGGAAGAGGCTTTGCCGGCCCAACCAGAAACAAACTAAGAACCCATGACTGCATTCTCTCCCTTTAACACCCCTGTTTAGGGGAAACTGAAACTGGGTAAGGAGAATATGGGTCCTCTTTGTACTATCTTTGTAACTTTTCTGTAAATCTAAAAATATTTCAAAATGAAAGTTCATTTTAGAAAAAGAAGGGAGTATTATGAATAACTTTACAATTTTGACAAATTAGGTAAAATGAACAAATTCCTTGAATTACAGAAAGTGACTCAAGAAGAAATAGAAAAATGGCACTATTTCTATTAAAGAATTTTAAATCTGTAAAACTTTCCCACAAAGAAAACCCTAGGCCCAGAGAGCCTCCCTGGTGAATTCTATCATATATTTAAGAAGAACTAACACAATCTTATCACCAACTTTTTCAAAAAACAGAAGTAAAAGGAAGATGTCTCATCTTATTTTATGAGGTCAGCTTTACCCCAACTTGAAAACCAGATAAATAATTTACAAACAAAAAAAAAAAAAAAAAAGGCAACTACAGACCAATATAGATGCAAAAATCTTTAACAATATATTATCAAATTGAATCCAGCAATATATAAAAAAGGATAATAACCTTTTTTAAAAGATGTGAATACAGGTTGGCTAAATATTTGAAAAACCATGTAATCTATTATATCAGTAAACTGAAAAGGAAAATAATAACAAGATATATGAAAAAAAAAATTTAGGAAAAATTCGGCAATATTCATGATAAGAACTCCTAGAAAATGAAGTATTCTCACTGTGATAGAGAGCATCTAGAAAAGACCTACAGCTCACATCATACTTAATGGTGAAAGACTGATTTCTTTCCCCCGAGAATGAAAGAAAGGTATCTGCTCTTCTTATTTCTATTCAACATTGTACTGGAGGTTCCCACCAGTTCACTAAGACAGGGAAAAGAGGTAAAGCCTTAATGATTAGAAAGAAGTGAAATTCTCTTTATTCAGACAACTTGATCGTGTATATGGAAAATTCTAAGGAGTCTCATAAATGAATTTAGTAAGGGTGCAGGATAAAGTCAGTATACAAAAATCAAATGTATTTCTATATACTAGTAACAAGCAATTGAAAATGAGATTTTTTAAAGTACCATTTAAAATAGCATACAAAACACAAAATACTTAGGAATAAATTTAAGAAAATATGTTGAAAATTTGTATCCTGAAAGCTATGAAACATTTCTGAAAAAAAATTTAAAAGACCTAAATAAATGGAGAGCTATTCCATGTTTTGGATTGGAAGACTCAATATTTTTTTACTCAATATTTTTAAGATGTTAATTTTCCCTAAATTGATCTATAGATTCAATATAATCCCAACCCAAATTCCAGATGGCTTTCTTTTTGGTAAACTTCACAAGCTGATTCTAAAATGTATATGAATATGCAAAAGATCTAGAATAGCCAAAACAATGTTGAAAGAGAAGAACAAAGTTGTAGGACTTATATTACCTGTTTGCAAGACTCACTATAAAGTTACAGTAATCAAGACAGTGTAGAAACACATATAAATCAATAGAACAAAATTAAGAGTCCAGAATTAGACCTACACATAAGTGGTCAATTGATTTTTCAACAAATATGCCAAAGTAATTCAAAAGGGAAAGAAGAGGGATCTTTTATTCCAACAAACGTGCTGGAACAACTGGATATCTATATGGAAAAAAAAGAAGCCTTGACTTTTACCTCATGCAAATATTAGCTCAAAATAGACTATAGACCTAAAAATAGAAGCAAAAACAATCAAATGACTAGAAAAAAAATATGAGAGGGAATCCTCATGAATTGGGGGTAGGCAAAAATTTCTTAGGACATAAAAAGCACACATCATAAATAAAAAAGTGATAAATTGGATGTCATGAAAGGTAAAAACTTATGCTCCCCAAAAGCATCATTTAAAAAATGAAGAGGCAAGCCACAGACAAAATGAGATAAAATATTCTTAACACTTATACCTAAAAAAGGACTTTTATCCAAAATATATTTAAAAATTCCAAAACTCAATAGCAAGAAGATAGCTCAATTAAAATGGGTAAAATATTTGAAGAAACACATCACAACATGCACATGAAAAGATACTCCGCATCGTTAGTCATGAGGGTACAAATTAATGTCACAACAAGGTTCTACTGCATACCCACTGGTACGGCTAAAATAAAAAGGCTGAATTTCTTATAGATGTATATTTTAAACATATGTTTACTGTATGACCAGGCGATCCCACACCTAGGTATTTGCCCAAGAAAAGGAAAACGTATGTATGTGTATGTTTTTAGCAACCCAAACCAGAAACAATACAGACGTCCCCCAACTGGTTAATATAAAAACAATCAGTGGTATACCCATAAAATAGAAGGCTACTCCACAATCAAGAAGAAGAAACTAACTACTGATCTATTCCACAAAATGGATGAATCTCAAATACATTAGAAGTGACAGAATCCATTTATTTTGTATTCTGGAACAGGCAAAACTATAAAGCTAGAAACAGCTGAGTGGTTGCCAGGACTAAAAGTGGAACAAGGGAAATTTGGGGGATGATGGACCGTCTGTATCTTGATTGTGGTGATAGATATATGACTGCATGTATCTTTCAAAATTCTTAGAACTATTCACTAAAGATGGTGAATCTTAAGGTATGTAAATCATACCTCAATAAACCTGACTTTAAAATTATTTAAACACTGGCAACACCAAGTATTGTCAAAGATGTGGAAGCATTTATGTGGAGCTTTCATCACGGCTGATGGGAGTACAATACGGTACAACCACTTTGGAAAACAGTTTGTCAATATCTCATGAAGTTAAACTTACGCCTACCATACAACCCAACAATCCCACACCTGGCTATTCACCCAAGAGAAATGAAACTATATCCAAACAGGCTTGTACATGAATGTTTATGGCAGCTGTATTCATAGAGAACAATAACTGAAAGTAACCGAAATGTCTATCAAATGGTAGATGGATAAATAAACAATGTATTATATCCCTTATGTTTATGTATTTACTCAGTATTCTGTAGTAACAAACGTTTGATACACCAAGCAACATGAATGAATCTTAATTCACACTGAGCAAAAGAAACCAGACACACAGCACTGTAGGATTTCATGTATGTAAAAATAGAAGAGAGAAAGCTAGTCTATAGTGGCTGAAAGCAGATCAGTGGTTGCCTTGGGCTGGGATGGAGGAGGCAGGGCCTGACTGCCAAGGGGCACCAACCAACCTTCTGTGGTGAAGGAACTGTTCTGTTTCTTGATTGTGGAGGTGGTTACACACGTGTAGACATTGGTCAAAACTCACTGGACTGTGCTTTTTAAGTGTATGCATTCTATTATATATCAGTTATGACTTAGTTAATTTTTAAAAGTAGCAGCCTTGGAAATTAATTTTAAAGGTGGAGTTCCAATATTAAGTAGCTTTCAGAACAACTCTGCTGATTTTTAGATGATTTATGTACATGAGCAAAGGGTTACTTTGGAGGCAGGATGGCTCGGCTTTGTGCTAGATGCCTAGACAATTTAGTCTCAAATGTATAATCTTGTCTGAGTTAGCTTTGTTTTACCCTAAAAAAAAAAATGAGGTTGGCAAGGTTAATGCCTTATACCTTGCTATGTTCCATGAAAGTTGCCAAAGTAGTGTTTTCACTGACAATATTGCATTGTTCCCTAGCTATGGATTTTGGAGGAAAAATATGGCAAGAATACTCCTTCTTTTAGATCTAAAGGCGTGTTTACAGACTTCATGTTTATCTCAAGCCCTGGCCTTCTCCACGCCATATTTCTTTAAAGGCCCAGAACCCTCAGACTCTCGAGATATTCTACAGGGCTTGTAGGAACTGGTGTGTGATCTTTCCCTGTGAGTCAACAATGCATTTGATTCCAGAAGCGAGGGACTAGGCCTTTTTATGGACTTGATACTTCTACCCTGTTAATGCATTTTTGTTAGTATTTTCTGATAGAGTGTTTATTCATTCAGCAGGCATTTCCTGAGCACCTACTATGTGCTAGGCTTTATATTGGGTATAATGAGTATGGAGGTGATTAAGACATAACCTTTATTCTCAGTGAGGTCCCAGGCTGGTTAGTAGAAAAGCTAATGCAGGCTGGACTGCCAGTCTTGCCCCCACTTCTCCAGTCCCCATCCATCCTCCAGGCTATAAACAAAGGTGTATTACAGAGCATGGAGACCACTCCCCAACTGAAAACCTTTAGTGGTGCCTCATTTTTCTCTTGGTGAAATTCAGGCTCCATAATATGGGCCTTTGTAATCCACTTTCTGCCCATCTCTCCTACCTCATCTCTTGCCATTGCTCTTCTACCCATTTATACTTTTTACTGACAGCTTTGCTTCCATACACAGGAGACTCTGGATGTTTCTAGTTCAGAGTCTTCCAGATGGGCAGATCTATAGCCACTTCAGGTATGGAGATTATTTGTTCATTATTCATTTAGCCAAAGTTTTTTGGGTGTATGCTCAGTGTATTGAGCCATGGGGACATGGAAACACTTGAGAAACAGTCATCCTTCCTGGAAAGGAGCGATGAGCACACTGGGGGATGAGAACTGAATGCATGGAGGTTGGAGGTGTGAACCAGGAATTAACAGTTTATTACGGCTAGAACATAGGGTGTGTGGTTGGGAGGGACAAAAGATGAGACCCAAATAGACAGGAGGGACCAGATTGGGAATGGTCACAAAAACAAGTTTGGACTTCAAGTTTGGGGCAGTGGGGCATCTACTAAGGTGATTAAGCCAGGGAATGATGTGATAAAATTCATGCTACCAGGAGTCCCAGACTAAGGGTCGAGTGTTGGATCCCACCTCTTGCTGCTTTGCTGGTTGCTAGAATCTGACCAAAGCTTTCCCCCACCCCACGTCTACTGATATTGGACTTGGGGTCAGGGGACAGTGTGCTAGAGAGAATTCTTAGTAGCACCTGTGACCAGCATCCAGTCATTCATCCCTTGTGCTTTTCAGGAGTTGTTTGTCCATCCCTGTTCTGTCTTGGGCCACTTGGCGACACTGTCCATGCTGTGACTTGTAAATTTCATTCATTCAGGAAGAGAGCATCGTGATCCAGTGAGCCTTGCCCTAAGCGTGTGTGTATGATTTGTCAACGATCGAGGATTTTATGGGAGTTTATGGGACTTCATTAAAGATGCTGGAGCAGGAGCACTGTGGGACATCAGAAGAGACCTCAGCAATAAACCACAATTCCAAGCTTTGGAATGCAGTAAATGTTTAAGAGACTTCCTTCCTTTCATTACTGAATTTTACTTTACTTTCATACCAGTAAAGAGTTGTGTTTTATTGGTTGAAATTTCTTGATTCTGTTTTTCCCAGGTCTGTTTAAAAGCTACATTTTATCTTTGAGGATGTTTGGCTCGTGGTGGAGGAAGTGCTGCCAGCGAATTCAATTAACTGGCAGAGCTCACAGATATTGTACACGGATTTCTTTTTTTCTTCTTTTTCACAACTGCTACATAAACACAGCTGGGTTTAATATTTGTCGTAACAAAGATTTAACTTGAATCATTTTACCCCGGGTAATTAATGCTTGGAATCTTGGCTACTTTTTCGTTCGTTTGTAATCCTCTGCATTTCTTTACTCTAGCTATCTAGATAATGAAGTGTGCTCCTCTAGGTCTTTGCCCTGCCTTAAAACTGCTTAATATTTGGCCGTTCCCACTAGAGAGCAGATGCTTTTCTTTGCAAGAATTGAATTTCTGTCAGCTCTTTTATGCATCATGTGTTTGGAACTGTAAGTGGATCAAGTTGTTCATCACAGCGGGGACACTGTGAAACACATCTATTATACACACTTCCCACCCCCCTTCCTGTTTTGTTTTTTTTTCCTCCCCTGAGGAGGTGGAGATGCCCGGATCCCCTTGGGAGATATCTCGCTCTGTGTGGATGTATCCATGTGATCCACCATGAATCCGGCCTGGCCACATCCCTAAGCAGGGAAATCTGTATCCATTCAGCCCAGGATTGTGGCTGAGACAAACCCCACTTTTATCTTTGTAAACACCAAGCTCTTCATTAACTCCCAAATACACACCAAGTTTGGGTCACTAAGTAAATCCACTAGGCTCAGCATAATGAGTGACATTTCAGTAATTGATGCCCTAGAATATGTTCATTGTGAACCCATGATTCTTTTCGATGCTAAAATAAAGGCTTGGGTAGTTTTGGCTTTGGAGTTGAGCTAGCGCAGAAGAATAGTCACCATCGATTAGGCCCCTACAGTGTGCCAGGCACTGTGCTAGGGGATTTGAAAATCTTGACATTTAATCTACATAAGAATCCTGCAAAAAAAAGAAGGGGAGGGTACTTTATCCCCTTTTTATAGATGAAGAAAAGGGGCCAAGTAACTTGCCTAGAGGCATCCAGATAATTGCCAGGAGGAGAGCCAGAATTTGAACTCAGGTCGGGCTGAGCCCAGAGTAAATCCATGTACTGTAAAGTGTGGTCCCCTCATGCCTAGAGGTCACTAGAATATATTCATCCATTGATCAATCAAGACATTGATTTATTATGCATGTTTATGACATGCTGCCATTGCTCCATCTGAGTTGTCTCATTCCATGTCAGGTCTGAAGTTTGGTTGGCATTTGTGAACACCTTTGTACTCATCTAAATCTGAACTCCTGGTGGTGACTGGAATAGTTTTAGTTTTGCTTTTCTCTCAAAGCTCAGTGCAAATACAACCCAAGTGCCCCAAGCAACCTACTGTTTTCTTAGAGTTTTGTGAATTTCAATTTCTAGCTGTGAACTGATGGTTAAAATTTCTACACCTCTATGGTTTAGTTTGTTAACACGGCTTTAGGGAAGCAGGCATCTTGGTGGCATTCCTGCTGTGATATGCTCATCTTTTGGGCCTCAGATAGTGGCTCTGAGGGCAGAAGTGCATTTTGGTTCATTTTTAATATATGTCATTCAATTTGCCAGAGTCATTGTGAGACATTCACATGTCTGACTGAGATACTGCTGATCTGTAGAATTAATTATAGTTAAATGGAAAGGTGGCTTTTGCTCATGAAGAAAGTCGTTAGTCTCTTGATAAACATTTTTAATTATGATTAACTTTAGTCTTCCTCCAAATACTTTCCATTAGAAAAGGCATTAATGTTCTGGTTCATTAGAAATAGAGCAATCCTTTTATTTTTGGTTTGCAGTCCATTTTGTTCTTGAAAGATATTGGTCCACTTTTTTAAAAAAAAATTGGTGGATGTTGTGTTGTAAAAAACATATAAGTTTCCTTTTGCAAGTGCATATCAGTTTTTTCAAAGGTAACTTACACTTTAATTTTGTGTGTTGTGTTTGCAAGAGAATGCTTCTTGGTTTATTCATGTTGACAACTGAAAAGCCTTAGACCTAATTAAAAGAATTTCCATGAGCACCTTTACTGAACCATTTCATTACGCGGCACTGCACAGATTGCATTGTGAAACATGGTGATAGTTTAAATCTGACCTTTAAACCTGAACTGCCAGAAGTATGGGGGGAAAACCCTTCTTTGAAAACACTCCCCGGATAAATATATGTGTGTGTATGTGTATGCATACATGCATGCACATATTTGGTTAGAAGCAATCTTTTTATGGAATGACCACCTAATAATATAAATACACATTTACTTTGAGCTCAGATCTTGTAGTCTCCTGTAGCTTGGGTAGGATTTTCTAGCTACATTAATTGTGTGTGTGTGTTTGTGTGTGTGTGTGTGTGTGTGTGTGTGGTGTGTTAAAGCTAAATTGTTGTATAAGGAAAACAAAGATAATTTCACTTACTCTGGGCCAACAAAAAAAAGTATTTGGAGGAAGGTAAGGTTTACAAATAGAAAAACACAAAAGTCTTCACTACTGTGTGTTTCAGTTTCAAATGGTGAGATACTCAGATTAATCTCATGGGGAGAGGGCTGGAGTGTATATGTGTGGGCAAGACTCCTCCTGAGCTTTATTTGGCAGATAGTGGAAACAGGCCTTTTTTGGTTTTGTTTTAAAATTGCACTTTTTTACTCCAAGGATGTCATTCTAAGGATTTGATAGCTTATTCCTGGGATGCTCAGCAGAGCCACTATAGCACATAACGAAGTAGCCATTCACATAATGATAATTGATGCTTTTGTCTGACAAAAAGCTGCCTGGAATTCTAACTCTTGCCACTAACTTTCTGACATATACACAGCCCACAAGTTGTCAGGGGAGAGGGAGGGAGCAGAGACCCGGGCTCGTAGGGTCATAGCCAGCTCCAGCATGGAACTCCACATAAATAGCACAGCCCTCACTCCCCCATGGAGAACCAGGATCTTTGAGGGGAGAATGGGATGCAGAAGAAGCAATTAAAGCCAACTGAGGTCAAGGTACAACCATGTTCTCAAGAAAGAAGCAGGAAAGCAAGGAATGAGAGGAAACAATAATGGAGATATATTAAATCAGGGAAAAAATAAACCAGTATCATGGACATATCTAATTTGGTGGTCTAAGAAACCCTGGCAGCAGTGAGAATCAATGGACTAGCACAGACTCTGGAGTAAGACAGACTTGGACTTGACTTTGGCTTCCACCCTTGCCTTACTGTCAGTGTGATGTGGAACTGGGTCTTACTTTCCTCATCTGTGTAGTGGGGATAGCTGTGCCTACCTAGGCCATTTGTTCTGAAATTTTAATACAATACTGGATATGAAAATACTTGTCATTGTCATTTGGGAACTAGTAGGGTGCTTGATAAATACTGGTTTCTGTTCCTTTCTCCTGATAAATTTCTTGTTCTTACAGAAACTATTCCTGGGAAAGAGACTAGGGTGTTATTGCTTTGACATATTAAGACTTTTTGTTTTGAATTTGAGGCAAGAACTAAGGAAGGCATAGGTAGATATGCTTATGTAATGGAAGTGACAGTTTGCCATTTCTCATTGCCAGTGTGAAAGTGGCAGAGGGAGCCAATGTTTTTGTGCCCCTGAGGATGGGAAAACAAGTCACTAATCCTTTCTCCCCTCTCCAGACGCACACATTCCCTATGGGACTTTAGAAAAAAGCCTTGATGCCTACTTTATCCAGGTAAGGAAGAATTAATCAACTTGCCTTAGTCCTTAAAGGGGGGAGGAAAATGTGACTCTGTTGCCCCTCCACACCTGCTGCTGTGTGTCTAATTTGTAATAATAATAATAAAAAATCTTTCAACTCCAACTGTGACACCCAGCAGTTAATGCAACTCCCAGGAAAGAGAAGCAGTACCTGCACAGACTAACTTGAGCCGGGCTTTTAGAACTGTACCTCTCAATGAGGTGCGCCAGCACTGAGGGTGGACATGGTTCCTCCCTTCCTAGACTGGTCAGTCTAATAGAAGAGACAGACATTAGGCCGGGTGCGGTGGCTCACGCCTGTAATCCCAGCACTTTGGGAGGCCAATGGGGGTGGATCACTTCAGGTCAGGAGTTTGAGACCAGCCTGGCCAACATGGTGAAACTCCATCTCCACTAAAAATACAAAAATTAGCTGGGCGTGGTGGCACATGCCTGTAATCCCAGCTACTCAGGAGGCTGAGGCAGGAGAATTGCTTGAACCCAGGAAGCGGAGGTTGCAGTGAGCCAAGATGGTGCCACTGCACTCCAGCCTGGGCAACAGAGTAAGTGAGACTCCATCTGAAAAAAAAAAAAAAAAAAAAAAAAAGAAGGGACAGACATTAATTGGATTCTTGCAGAATGCATCATTATACATTGTTGTGTGTCCCTAAATGAAAGACACAGTGAGAATGTATAATAGGGGAACCTTCGTCTAGCCTCAGCAGTTCAACAGAGGAAGTGATATTTGAACTGAGACCTGAAGGATGAGTAGTAGTCAACCTAGGGCCCTGTGTTGTCCAATATGGTAGCCACTATTCACATATGGCTATTTAAATTTAAATGGATTGAAATGAAATAGAATAAAAGTTTCAGCTTCTCAGTCACACCAGCCACATTTCAAGTGCTCAGTAGTAGCTAGCATATTGGATGGCATTGGATAGAAGACAGATTATTTCCATCACTGCAGAAAGTTCTGTTGGACAATGCAGAATTCTAGGCAGGGGGGCAATGGTGGGTGAGAGCACTCCACACCGGAAATAACCTATGCAAAGGTCCTGGGGTAAGGGGGAGGCCAGTGGGACTGGAGCCCAGTGTGGGTGGCTAAAGCCACAAAGGAGGATGCAAGAGCCTCTCATCTCAGAGACTGGCCAAATCAAACGGGGCCTTCCAGGCCAGGCTAGGGCTTTAGTCTTTTTCTCCAGAGCAGTGGAGAAGAGCTGAGAAATCTTAAGGTGCCAGCATTGATGGAAAGAGATAGATAGGATTGTCTTAGAGGTGAACACTCAATAGTCTGCCATCCACTCCCAGGCCCCAGAAGTTGCAACCAAGTGATAAAGGAAAAACACTCTACTTGTTGAGCACTAATGTGTATTAAAAGGGTATTTTCATTCTCCTGGGGAGAAAGACATGTAAACTGCTGGTATATAAAGGGCTAAAGAATAGGATGATGGTTTATACAACATGAGAACCCCTTCTGAAGTAGCAGTAAGCTAACTTGTAGCCGATTTGTAGGGGCTAAACTGGAAGTCCTTGGGAGACAGGCCCTCCCTCCTCTGCAGTTCCGTTTCCAGCACATCTCCAGCATGGGACCTGCAAAGATTAGGAATCAACAAAGGAATAGGCCATCATGCCCTGAGAAAGAGCTATTTGTTCTGACAGAAAGTTGGAGGCTTGTATTTTTTAATAAAAAGTTTGTTAGAGAATACGATAAAGAATATCCCAGGTTTGCGAATGGGTTTTGAGGCCTTTGAAATCAAGTAGAAGACAAAGGTGCAAATGGAGCTTGAGCCAAGCCCATAACAGGCCTTAAATATTGTGCTAAGGAATTTAGACTTTATTATATTCACAGTAGGGAGCCACTAAAAATTTTAGAGGGAATGACATGATATAACCTCTTGTTTTAGGAAGGTAATTCAATGCGAAGGATGAATTAGACTAGGAAGAGAATAGAGGAAGAGATACGAGCTCAAAGACTGTTGTAATAGTACTGGTAAAAGATGAATCTAAACTAAAAAAAGCCAGGCACTCTACTACATCCATTCTTCATTTTATATCCATTATATTTTACTCCTCACAATGTATACATGTTGTACATACTTCATTTTACAGCCAAAGAACTAAAGCTCAGAAAGGTTAAGAAAGTAGGGAAGCCAGGTCCAGCGAAGCCAATCTTAGACCTAGGCTTCTGTGATTCAAACTCTATGTTTTACTGCCTGAGGAGTGCAGTGGGGACAGAGGAGTAGATGAAGCCAGGGGACCTGAGAGGTTGAGAACAGTGACCAGTGAAAGGAGGAACAGGGGTACACGGTCGGGTGAAGGCAGGGCCGGGGCAATACTGTGTGTGTTACTGGATGTGGTAAGTTTGTGGTTGTATAAGACCAGTCTCCTTGTTCCCTCTGACTCATTCAGCATGCAGATAGATGTTCATTTCTCCTGCCATTGTGGTTGTGTCTTAGCAATGGCATTCTACAGAAGAGGAATGAATATCACTTTCTCTTCCCATCCTTTCCAACAGAGACCAGTTTCTTCTAATGATCCGTCACTAAAGAATGTGATCCTAGACTTTCCTCCAAGCAGAGAGGCTCAGCCACTGAAAATGCCTTTCACAATGTCAAGCACTTGCTCATTCGTTCTTTCATTTGGCAGAAAGTACTGCATGAGTACACTGAGTCAAGAACTGTGCTGGCTGCTGGCCCTGCGGGGAACTCAGTCCATCAGGAAAGGAGGTAGAAACTGCAGCTCACCATGGAACCACCTGCTCAGTCCAAGGAGGCCCAGACTTAGTGGTCAGGGCAGGCTTCACAGATGGGGGGACATCTGGATTCCCTCTTTCCCTTAACCCAAGGCAATGGGTAATTTGACTATTAAAGAAAAATACCTCATTTTAATTCTTTATTATAAAAGTAACATATGCTTTTTTATAAAGGATAATCAAAACAATCAAGTGTGTAAAATAGAAAGTGAAAGCATCCTTGCATGGTTAAAGTTTGGTAATGTAGCATTTTAGATTTTTACTGCATATATATTTATATATAATTTTTAAATGGTTCATGCTGTACATGTTACTCTGCAACCTGCATGTTTTTCCTCACTCGACAGTATTTGACAGACATCTTTTTGTGTCAGTTCATAGAGTACCGCCATGTCCTTTTTGGCAGCTATGTGATATTTCCTGGTGAGGATGCGGGATAATGTATTTCAGAGGCCCCCATTGATGGAGACTTGGATGGTCTTTCAGAGGCTGAATAGATGTTCACAAGCAGGACAGGAAGGGACAAGAGACAGCCAGGACTGAGCTAGTGACATGGAAATGGGCTGAAGAGTAGCCTGTGCTTCTGGACATCCAAGTTTAACATTAAGTGGGGCAGGTGGAAGTGAGGCTGATGGAGGACAGCCTGCACAGTCTGCTCGTGGAAGTTTGGATGTTTTTCTGAAGGTGATGATGGTGAAGGGCGGGGGCACCGAAGGGTTTTGATGGAGGATCAAAGTGATTGGATTTGGATTTTTCCAAGATTACTAGGACAGATATGGGTGAATGGCATTGAGGAGAAACTGAAGGCAGAAGAAGGCCCACTGAGGAAACCGCTCCACTAGTCTGGGCCAGAGAGGGTGATGGAGCTGAATTTGCAGGGCCAATGTCATGGGCACTGAGAGGAGAGGATGGATTCAGGGCATATCTGGGTTGGTGTTGAGGAGATGTGGAGAATGTTTGTGGGAAGGAGGGAGAAGTAGGGAATCTGACATCTGACGCCTGGCCCAGGAGACTGGCCGGATGATGCTGCGGTAACCAAGATGGCACACAGAGGGGAAAGGGCGTCTTAGACAGAAGCTGGCAAGTTCAGTTTTGCCCCCTCTTTCCTTTGCCTTGTCTTCCTCCTATAACACCCGATTAAAGGAGGAAGCCATCCTCACCAGCACTTACAACACACCCAAATTACCCCTGATGAATCCCGATGTTAATGATTTGACCAGCACCCCTCGGGGTACTGAGGGCAAGTTCAGCTTTAGATATATGACTCTGTGTTGTTTAAACCTGAAATTGTCTTCCCTTACTTTTATTTAAAGGACAAATGCTACTCCCCAGCGATCAGATGCACAGATACTTGCAGTTTCAAAGTTTGAGGTGCTGGCAGGTCAAGACAAAAGCTTCTCCATGTTTCAGGGTGACAAGAGGTCTTCAGAAGTCCTGGCCTAAGTGGTCACAGGGGCATCAGGAGCCCAGGACCACTTGGCTAGTTTCAGACCAGCTGGGGCAGGCAGGAAGGGACACACTCGTATTTGCTCAGTTACAATCAACGACTCCTTCTTTGTGTAAAATGGTAATGAGGCCATTAGGAGAGGCTCACCTGAAGTGCAGCGTTGTGAATCCAAGGTAATTAAACACCTCCCGAATGAAAGAGAAAGGCCAGGGAAGGTTAAGTGAGGAATAATCTGCGGCACAGGTGGCCCAAGGCCCTTGAGGAGCCAGAAGGAGAGCGACAGTGGCTTGCACCATTTCAAAGGATGGAAATGTCACTGTAGTCCCTGGGAGGGGAAGGATTTTTATTTTTATTTTGGGGGCAGGGGCAGGGAGTGGGTAGTATTTTTAGCATGTTAATAGAGCATGCTGCTTTTTCATACTTCTCTTTGTAGGTGGAAGTCCATGGCAGAGTCAGCCTGGGTGCTGAGTGGCCTGCATTGCTCCTCAGGGGCTCTCATCACTGTGGGGCTGGGGCTTATGTGTCCTTGATAAGGGGAGGTCATAATAAATCAGTTATAGATACCCGGATGTTGAGGTAGACTTCAAACTGCTTCCAAAGGAATTGTTTTCCATGGTCCCCTCTTGGAGTAGAGGTGGGATAACTACCCCCTCAGTGTATGTTCCCAGGGCTTTTTACTTTTCCTTTTTTTTTTTTTTTGAGACAGGGTCTCACTCTGTCACCCAGGCTGGAGTGCCACGGTGCAATCATAGCTCATTGCAACCTCAAACTCCTGGGCTCAAGCAGTCCTCCCACCTCAGCCTTCTAAGTAGCTGAGACTACAGGCAGGTGCCACCATGGCTGGCTAAATCTTTTTATATTTTTTATAGAGATGGGATCTCACTGTGTTGCCCAGGCTGGTTTTGAACTCCTGGCCTCAAACGATCCTCCTGCCTTGGCTTCCCAAAGCGCTGGGCACGTCCCCATGGCTTCTAACTTATCAGAGGAGGGTATCAGTCCCATCTTCACTCAGTTTAGTGTCCAAACATGAGGCACGCCCTTTATCAACAGCAAAGGATTGTTTTCCTGTACACAGTTCACATTTATGAATGGCTTCCTAGGCACTGAGCACTGTGCTTGGTGACTTCATGTATCCTTCCAGCTTGTCTTCATTGCATAAGGTCTGGCAGAGGATTTTTGCTTTTCAGATTGTCACCTCAAAATTTCCATTGTCTCCACACAAAAGCTTGCACATGAATCTTCGTAGCAGCATTATTCATAACAGCCAAGAAGTAGAAACAGCCCAAATGTCCATCTGCAGATGAACAGATCGATAAAATGTGGTCTATCCATACAGTGGAATATTATTTAGCCATAAAAAGTATGAAGTCTTGACACAATGCTACAACATGGACGAACCTTGTTCATAAAAGCACTGTGCTAAGGGAAATAATCTGATGGCAAAAGACTACCTATTGTTAATTCCATTTATATGAAATGTCCAGAGTAGGCCAACCTGTAGAGACAGAAGGAAGGTGAGTGGTTGCTTGGGTCTGGTGTGGGGGAAAAATTGATAGGTAATGGGGAGTGACAGCTAATGAGTATGAGGTTTCTTTCGGGGGTAATAAAAATGTTCTGGAGTTAGTAGTGATGGTTGTACAGTCTTGTGACTACACTAAAAACCACCGAACTGTGTACTTTAAATGAATGAATTTTATATGTGAAATATGTCTCAATAAGCTATTAAAAGTTTTTCTTATCAGAAGCTTGGGTACAAGACCTAATGTGCGTGGATCATTTCTAAAGTATGATCTAGTCCTTCCCAGGTCGGATTTTTTTTTCCCCAGACTTCTCAGCAAGTGATTCTTAATATTTCTAGGGTCACAGGCACCTTTAGGAATCTGAGGAAAGCTGTGGATCCTGCGCCCAGAAAAATAATCTTCACTCATTCATACTAAAAATCTGTAAAGGATTCATGGACCACCTAAATCTAATTTTCTATTTTATCCTAAGTTTTGTCTTTAAATGATGTCATACCAGTAGCTGGTCTCTTACAGAATTAGTTTCTGTGAAACGTGCTCTTGATATGTTACCTGCATGCTTAAAACCAATCATTAGTTTTCTGTTTCTCTCTCAAGATGAAGGAAAAAAATCCCTTCAGGCCCCTGCCTTTCTCTCCAGCCTCATTTCAAGCCATATTCCCCTCATTTTCGCCACCGAAGCCAGGGTTCTTTCTGTTCCCTGAACTCTTCTTCGCTGCAGGGCCTTTGCACACCACTCCCCGTACTTAGCACGCGGTGCTCACCCCTCTTTGCTGAGTTAACCACCCTCACCCATCCTTCAGATCTTAGTGCAAGCTTGTTGCCCTCCAGGAAGCCTTCCTTGACCTTCTTGACAAGCTCTGTTACAGGCTCGTCACAGTAGCAATGGCACATGCATTCCTGTTTTTCTCACTAGAATGTCAGCTGAATGAGGGCAAGACCCACGTGTGGTTTCATTGTATCCCTTGCATTCTCAACACCTAACATAGTCCTCGGTACATAGGAAATAATAAATATTTGCTGAGTGAATGGATAACTCGAGGTCACCACGTCGCACAATTCCTCTTATGGGGAACGCAGCGTGAAAGGTGTGCTCTGAAGCGTGGCATCTTGAGATGAATGAAGGGCATGTTAGAAATAGTCCGGGAAGCTTGATGTTGAGGGCAACAGCCACCATGTCACACAGTCTTTCCTACATTGTTTTTTATGTCTCACTTTTCAGGAAAATCTTTATTCCATTTGGCCAACGGGTTTGTTTGTAGTACGTGGACCTGTGGAGTCTCACAACCTTCATCTTTCCCTCCTTGCTTTGGCTACTAGGAGGCTTTTAAGTCAAATTTAAGCTCATTTCTAGCCACCATGTAAGACCTGGTGGCTTACATTTATATACCAAATGTATTACGTGCTTCTTTGCCCATTACCATCACTTCCGAGTTTTTTGTTTTAACCTCTTGAGTACATGTCTATTAGTATAAGCTGCCACACTTCCTTTAGAGTATGATGTGTGAGAAATATAAATAAGCCTTTATTCTAACATTTGTAAGTAGCTTTAAGAGGGGATAGAATGGGAACTGAAAGTCTGAGTTTGGGCCCAGACTACAAGACTTTGATTGGAATGTGGCCCATGTCTTGAGTTTGTTGCTAGGTATGTAGCCTAACCTCCCTGAGGCTGTTTTACCCTTGTAAGATGGGAACATTAATCCCTTCCTCACCGGATTGTTAAAATAACTAAATTGTAAAATGTATGCAAAAGTGCTTACCTGGCATGGAGTAAGTCATTAAAAATTGTTTTTGTTTTTATTAGACATGTTCTAATAGGAACAACATTCATTTAAATTTCAAAAACATGCCCTAATTCTGAACACTTTTTTTTTTTTGAGACTGAGTTTCTCTCTGTCGCCCAGGCTGGAGTGCAATGGCGCAATCTCGGCTCACTGTAGCCTCTGCCTCCCGGGTTCCAGTGATTCTCGTGCCTCAGCTTCCCAAGTAGCTGGGACTACAGGTGTGTGCCACTGCACCCAGCCTGAACACGTTTTTGTCCTCCCAGTAACTGAGGTATCAAATGGATCCTGCCATCCGTAGGATCTTCCAGGGCTCCATATGTAGTGGGCTTAGTCAGCCACCCTACTTTGACCCTGTCCTCAACCTGTGTTTTCCTTCTCTCCATCACCAGATCTCTTCCCTGAAGAACAGGCTGAAAAAGGTCTCCACAACCACTGGGGATGGTGTGGCCAGAGCGTTCCTCAAGGCCCAGGCTGCTTTCTTCGGTAGCTACCGAAACGCTCTGAAAATCGAGCCGGTGAGTAGCCTTGGCATGTCACAGAGCCTGTGTTTGGTCAGGGCTGAGAAGCATACCTCAGGGGCCACAAGAAATGCCATGATTCTTCTGGTTTCCAGATTCATCTAGAAGAGCTTGTGTGTGTTTGTGGTGGGGGACAGTGTACTCCCCTTGCCATACCTCTCAACACAAGGAGGCTGTGCTATCATGTGTGAGACCCTCACTGCTCTGGGGGCTGTTATGCCCTGTGCACCACCCTAGACAGTAAGCCCCAACCGCGTGTCAGATGCAGCGCCAGGCCCCTCACACTCACCTGCTCTCCCTGGGGCTTCACAGTGCACCTGTGCAGTAGCGGTGATCAGCTCCACTTTACAAATGAGGAAACCAAGACTCAGGGAAGAGAAACAACTTAGCCCGGAAAAGCCAGATGGCCCCGGAGCCCCTGCTTTCCCACTGGGCCTCGCCACCCCTGTTCTTTCACGGGACCGCTCCTCCACGCTTGAGAAAGCAGAGCCTCCTGGGTCTCACGCCTCATGGCTCCTGAGAGTGGTTTTGGTGTAAGTGACCACAATGAAGACCGGGAAGTGACCTTGCCCACCTCTGGCCCTTCCCCCTTTCTGGGCCTCGTTGACTTATCTATGTCCCCTGCCTGCCTCAGGAAGTGACTCGTGATTGCAAGGATGTGAAGACAGCAGGTCTTCTCTGAAACCAAGGGCAGTAGCAGTCCTCTTAGCTTCAGAGAGAAGTTCTTCTTTGCTGTTTCTCTCCTCGGCCTACTCTTGGCTTTCTGGTTGAGGAGAATGCAGGAACTGGCCTAGGGACCTGGGTCACCCTGCAGAGGGGAGAATGTTGGAGGGAAACCTTGCCGACAGGCCTGTTCTCCCAGGAGCACAGGGCTGCCTTCGTCTTGAACGGGTGAGTGACGCTGTCACACCCAGCCTAGTCGGAGTCAGAATCAGAGTTGGGTGTAAGGGACCAGCACTGGCTTCACTGCCTATAGGCCGGGGCTGTTTGTTTCTATTTTTACTTTAACCTATAGCATTTAATTAGATCAAATCACAAAAGATGAGGGGATGTGAGACAATGCATTCTTTATAGAAATTCTGATTGTGAGCAGGGGTCACGCTTCCTTGTAAGCCGCAATTATACATTGGTAAGTATCTTTACTGCTCTGACTCCGTCGTGTATTCAAGTAAAACACAAAGAGTAACAGCAAACACCTTGTTTCCCCATCACCCAGGACCTGCTCTCTGTGAAGTGGCCGGGGCAGTGGGTGCTCAGGGAGCAGCGTCCTAACCCCACCCTCCTACTCCTTTTTATCCATCTAGCACTTAGGCCTTACTCTCTAGGCTGCCTGAGCTTTGGGCAGTGCCATCGTCACTGTGTGCTCACATAGCAGAAGGGATACACTCTCTTTTTGCTTCCTGAGACATATTTCCCTTAGGTTTCTCGAAAGCCCTTCAGCTTAAAGCCAGTTCTTGATAGTGTCCTGCTAGTCTCAAAGTGACATGGCTCTGATTACTTGTCACGATCTTGGGTCCAGCCAAACCAATCAGGTTCAAAGCAGTGACAGCTGGCACAATTCAAGGAAAATACAGTTGTCTTCCCCCCTTTAAAATGGGAATGAATAGGACAACTGGCCCAATCCTTTGCTTGGGTTGCTGGGAATGGACAGACTTGAAGTATTTTCACTCTTGCAGTGATCTCATTGTTGGCCTGTGTGCATCTGGAATCCAAAGGCAGCTGAAGTTCGGGACATATTGCTGCTGCAGGATCTGGGCACAGGCTCCTCCACGGGAGGAGTTTATCGTTGTACTTGCACAAGGTGCTGGAAGGCACTGGATTTAAGGACAGAAGCCCTGGAGTTTCAAGCCTGGCTCTGCACTTCTTAGCTGTCTAAAAGTTGAGCAAGCCATTTAATCCATTTAAACTTCAGTTTCTTCATCTGTGAAATGAGGATAAGCCTGCCTGTCCTTCCTGAGGATCAATTGAGCCATAACACATTTCATCAGGAAGGTGAAACTTGAACTGGGTCTGATGAGTAAGGTTTGGGAAAAGAAAGAAGGGAGCATCCCTTCCTAGAGTGAGGGTGGAGGTAACTGAGGAAGCAAAGGCTTGGAGACAGGGCCCCTCATAGCCAGTGAGTGCGCCATTTTCTTTGGAGCAATTGGGTGGGGAGATGGGGCTGCAGGAGAGGATAGAGCCAAATTTGGCGGAGCCTTGGATGCTACGCTAAGAGAGTGAACTTTACCCTGTGAGGAGTGTAAGTTTTTGAGCAGAAATGTGACATGACTGAAGTTGCCTTTGAGCAGTAGTACAGTGATGGACTAAAAGGAGAGCTGGAGGCAGAGAAACCAGTTAGAGGAGTGTTATGGGAACTCAGAAGAGAGCCCCGGGTGGCTCCACCAGGAACAGGGACCATGAAGGAGGAAGTAGCAAGACTCCGCAATAGATCAAATATGGGAGATGAACAGCAAGAAGTGTCAAAATGTCTCCCAAGATTTGGAGCCTAGGAGAGGATGAAGACACCCCTAGTTGCAAAAGGAAATGCTTAATGCCAAGGTGTTCACAGTAGCAGCATTTCTAATGGTAAAACACTGGAGTATACTGAGTATCCATGTTAGGTAACTGGTGAAATAAATTAAAGTCTGTCTTATGATAGTTTTAATGGCTATGTAATATTCTATCAGCTTAGAGATAACATGATGGATTTAGATGGAGACATGGCACTTGTCCTTGAATGTAAGATGCTGTTCAGTCATAAGATGTACTATTAGTTTATGTACCATTAAGAAAGGGAAAAGAGTGGTGCCAATTATAATCGAAGGATGCCACCAATTATAAGACACATCCAGATTTCAGAAATGTTACAATGGGAAGTAATTTTCATCTTAGAATCAATGAAATATGGCAGACCTGTCAGCCTTTCAATCCTGTTCATCTGAACCACAATGGCTTTCTTCCATAAGGTGGAGAAGGAAACCAGAAGGCCTGGAATTTTCCAACCAAGCTTCAAGTCGTGGTCATCACCATGTCACCTAGATGGTTTTTAAACTATAGATTTAATTTTGGCAAATTCCCCTCTTCTAAAATATGATGTAACAACATTCCCCATGTAAGATTGCTTGGGGCAGCCAGGCATGGTGGCACATTTAAGACCAGCCTGGGCAACATAGAGAGACCCCATCTCTACAAAAAATAAATTAGCTGGATGTAGTATCACATGCCTGTGGTCCCAGCTACTTGGGAGGCTGACAGGAGGACCACTTCAGCCCAGGAGTTTGAGGCTGCAGTAGGCCAAGATGGTGCCACTGCATTCCAGCCTGGGCAACAGGGTGAGACCCTGTCTTTTAAAAATGTTGAGCGGATTAGTTTAAAATAATGACTGCAAAGTACATATGAGCCCAAGAAATAGGGAGGAGGCGTTGGCTGCATCGGGGGGAGGATGGTGCCTTGAGTGAGCCTGCCAGGGTGTGCTGAGGCCCTCCCCAAGGCCACTTGTCTTTTTGTTGTTTCTCTGGTTATAAAAATAGCACCTGCTCTTCATTGGCTCACGCCTATAATCCCAGCACTTTGGGAAGCCGAGAGAGGTGGATCACAAGGTCAAGAGATTGAGACCATCCTGGCCAACGTGGTGACATCCTGTCTCTACTAAAAATACAAAAATTAGTTGGGCGTGGTGGCACGCACCTGTAGTCCCAGCTACTCAGGAGGCTGAGGCAGGAGAATCACTTGAACCCAGGAGGCAGAGGTTGCAGTGAGCCAAGATTGTGCCACTGTACTCCAGCCTGGTGACAGAGCAAGACTAACTCTTAAAAAAAAAGGTTTGAAGTAACAGGACTAGAAATGAGAAAGCACCACCCATAATCCTATCGTCGCAAGGTGAGATACAGTGGTGGCAGGTTTCCATCCAGCTTCTAGGATTTTTCGTTTCTTTTGTTTTTACATTTTTGGGTTTTGGTTTTTTAACTTCCTTCTAGGCAGATGAGATATGCCTGAGAAAGCAATCCAGTATCCTAGTTATTAATATTTTTTTTGCCTTTTAGTTTGTGTAAGCATTTTCCACACCACATAAAAACTCTTCTTAGACATCATTGACAGTGGCTGAGCAGAGCCTATCAGGTGACCCTTGTGGTTCCCAACCCTGGCCGCGGATCAGAATCACGGAGGGATGAGGAGCGGGGGGGGGGCGGCTTTTAAAAAGGCAAATGTCCAGGCCCCCCTCAGAGATTTCTGTCAAGTTCCTGTGATCTGAAATCAGAGCCAAGGCCCACCATCTTTTCCTAGTGCTGGTCTTTAAAAAAAAATTATTTTACTATTGTATTATTATTATTATTTTGAGACGGGGTCTCGCTCTATTGCCTAGGCTGGAGTGGCATGATCATGGCTCATGGCAGCCTCAACCTCCTAGGCTGAAGTGATCCTCCCACATCAGCCTCCCAGCTAGCTGGGACTACAGGTGCATGCCACTGAACTCAGCTAATTTATTTTTAATTTTTGTAGAGATAAGGTCTTGCTATGTTGCCCAGCTGGTTTCAACTCCTGGGCTCGAGTGATCCTTCAGCCCCAGACTCCCAAATCTCGTGCTGAGATTACAGGCATGAGCCACCGTGCCCGGCATGCTGGTCTTTTTGATTGTCAGTAATGTTTCATGATACCACACTGTGCTAAACATCTTTATATAAATCTTTATGCATGGTTTGAATTATTTTCTTAGGCGGATTCCTTGACATGGATTTACTGGGTAAACGGATGTGAGTCCATTTAAGGCCTTTGGCACATAAGGTGTGAGAGAAAGCTGGTGAGCAGACACAGGGGGATGTCTGCAGGGAATGGCCCCTGAGGCGGGTGCCAGGGCAGGGCCTGAGAACAGTAGGTCACTGGGGGCAGAATGAGCCTGCAGGGTAGAAGGCCAGGTATGTGAACGCCACGCAGGGCAGCCCAGCTGCAGTGCTACCAGCCCTCTGGCTCACCTGTGCTCCCTGCTTCACAGTGCCTCCACAACAGTGCCCACCATGCAGGGTCCTGGGGTACTGCCCATACAGGTGGGGGAGGTGGAGGTGGGGTCATGGCTGTCAGGTTACTGCAGTCACAGTGCTGTGTTTTGTTGGAAACAGAAACATGAGGGACCTAAGCGGGCTCCTGTCTGCTCTGCTTCTGCCTCCCTGGACCCTGAGCAGTTATTCACCTCTCCAATCCTCAGTTCCCCTTCCATAAGGTGGATGTGTAATCCCCTCCTTGCAGGAGTGTAGTGAGGCTTAAATAAGCCCAGCACGGTGCCTGTCCTGACGGCCCTGGGAAGATGGGCAGAACCCTGCCCTCGCCCACCTCCTCCCTCTGAGGAGGACCCTGCCAGTCTGGAGCCCGTTGGGGGACAGCTCCAGTCCGTGGCCTGCCTGGCTCTGTAAGGAGGGGTCGAGCTCTGGCCTGAGAAGCAGAGGTGGGCATCTCCTCCTCTGCAGTCACGTCTGAAGAACTTTTCCCTGGCTCAGAGCTCCCTTGAGATTTTTACCACCTTGGCCTCTCTCTCTCTCTCTCTCTCTCTCTCTCTGTCTCTCTCTCTCTCTCTCTCGCTCTCGCTCTCTCTCGCTCTCTCTCGCTCTCTCTCTCTTTCCTAATGAAAAAATTCAGAATGCAGCTGGCTGGGGGACTCCTGAGCTTTGTTTTCTTTACCAGATCCAGAAGGAAGAAGGAAGGGGACCGCTTGCTGAGGCCCAGCCCTGTGCCAGGAGCTAGGCTTCTCCTCCCCATCTGTGCTTTCTGCGGGTTTGTTGGGGAGGCTGGGTGCCCGGCTCAGGGCGGGGAGGGCCAGTGTTGGCTCCCTGGTGATGTGTGTCTTCAGGGCCGGGTGAATTATTCCAAAGGACTCTCTCAGGGTCAGAAACTGAGATGCCAGGGGTGTCCAGTCACTGCCAAGTTCACCTCAGTGGCCTCCCACAGGGTCAGCACTCAGTTCAACTCCGAGTTGCTTCCCATCCGTGCTCTCAGTAATTCTCCATCCCAGCCCCTCACTAGCCCTTTACACACAGGGGATGGAGCGAAGGCTGCAGTGATTCCTAGGAAGCAGCAGAGCCAGCAGACAGCCTCCAAACCCAGGTTCCCTCCAACACATCCTCCCGCCTGTCTTTGTTCTAGTTTCCACATGTTCCGTGTTAGTAACTCTCTGCATTTCCAATACCAGGCACAGGTCGTGGCACCGTGTGTAGGTATCAGTGAATATATTTTGGAATAATAGACGGGAGAATGGGTGAAGGAAATTAGGGAATAGGGAAGCATTTGAGGCAGAGGGGCTCCACTTGGCCTCTGGTGCATACACATTGCATCCTGTCCTATCTATGGGCTTCAGAGGTTGCTGCTTCCTGATAGAGGGGAAGGTGTCTGCAAATCACAAGGGCATGTGGCCCATTTTTCGGTCACCTGGAGAAAATCAGATGCAAAGCCCAAGATATTTAACAATATCAGTCAAACCAACTTGTCCTTCTCGACTTAAATGACAGAGCTACCAGCAGCCAGGCAGCCCCATCCAGAGAAACCCCCTTTATCCATGTCAAGCGGCAGCCCAGGCTCCAGCTCATTTATTTAGGCCTTTCTTGCTCTCTGACACGCCTCCTAGCAGTTGCCAGGCAACTCTGGGAGTAGCAGTGTGTGTTAGGGATTAACTAGTTAGGGCTGGGGTCCTTTTTGGCAAGAAGGGGATAAAAGACAAATGAGTTTAATTGCTAGGCCGAGGGTCCTTTCTCTGCATGGTAGAAGATTGCAACTTTTGGAGGATATGTGTAGCAGTATGGTTCTAAAATTTGCCTTGAATATTCCTCCTTCCTAGAGAGAACGAAAGAATTTTTTAAACAATCTTTTACCTCACTCCTTTGTTTAAAATTATATCATCATGAAATCTGAATAAGGCTAATACACCCCCCTCGAAACACATTTCACACACGCTGGTCTCAGTTTTAAAGAACTTTTGCAGATAGATTTGTGTGCTTTCAATTCATCCCCTTTTCTGCTTAGAGTTTCTTATTTCATAACCCATGCTGCATGACGGTGCATGTGAGGGTTCCTCTCCCCATGTCTGGCCCACCGCAGGTCCTTGGTATATGTTAGGTTAAAGAGCAAAACCCATGGGTATTGGTGTTTGAAGACGCGTCCTCTTCTGTGCCAGTGTCTGTGGAAAGGCCAGTGTAGATGGAGCACTATGGGAGCTGTTTATTCAGCTAGCTTGTGTGGCCCTCTCTGGGCCAACCTGCTAGCTGGGCTTCCCTAAGATAAAGGGAACAGAGCTACTGCCCACAGGGAGCGAATGCTGGGTGGGGGCAGTAAGCAAACTGTTTAAACAGGCAGCAGCCAGCTCACTCTGGTCCCACTTGCTTAGTTCATCCCAAGAGGCCAGCTTCCAGATTCAGCTGTGGGTACACTGGTATCATCCACCTTATAGCCCATGATTTTGCATGTGATTCTGCTGAGTCATATTTATCCACCTAAAACCCCTGGAGGACGCAGAAGTTGAGATAAAAGCAGATTGATAGCCTGGCTTTCAAGGATGAATGCACGAGGTTGTGTTGGAGCAGGTTGGAAAAACACCACATATATCTGTGTCCTGATTGAGTAACCCTGTTGATCTCAAGTTGTTTATGAAAAAACAATAAAAACTGTTTTCGGATTTGTTTTTGGTGTAGTGGAAAGCAGAAAAATATTTTTAAAGTAGTAAAATCAAAACAGCACCATAGTCCCACTGATTTTTACTACATATGCCTTTTGTATTTACTCTTTATTTTTTCATTATGCAAAGGGTTTACATAGGTACAAGCAAATCTCAGTTAAAAGTTAGTTCCCCGCCCCCATTTAACAAGATTTCATATGCATTTTTACATAACTGCAGAATATTCCATCAAGTATAACTACCATAATTTCCATAACCACCCTCCCTTGTTGGACATTTAGGTTATTTCCAGTCTTTTGATATTATAAGTAATACTCCACTAAACATCTTTGTGAATAAAGCTTTGAAATGCTGTATTTCAAAGCCTTCTGAGTGGAAGAACTGAGTCTGTGAGCAGGAGCCTGACTGTGGGGGCCAACTTGTCACAGCATCGCAAGAAAGCAGATTTCGGTTGACTCAGCCTCGCGGTGGCTCAAGATGGAAAAAGAATCAAGAACCCTTGATGGGTGGGAGGGTGCGCACTCCCTGCCCTCCACACAGACAAGCAGAGGATTCCCAGAACACACATAAGGGATGTGACTAATTTGTCTGTGCCCCCATCTTGTGCTGAAAATAGGTTTGAGGAACCTTAAGACACTATGTACAGTACAGCAAGATGAGAGATAAGGAAGCAAGGAAACCGGGAGAAAGAGGAAACTGCATGACGCCTGGAAGGGACTGATGTGTGTGTGCAGCTGTGTGTCTGTGTGAGGCTCTGTGACCCTCCACACAGGTTGGGAGTGGTGGAGCTGGGACTCACCCCATCACACCCAGGTCTGTCTAAAGAGCCCATGCTTTAAGGAAAAAAAATGTAAAAAATACATATAACATAAGATGTGCTATTTTAACCATTGTTAAGTATACAGTTCATTGGCATGAATGGCATTCACAATGTGCAACCATCACTACTGTCTATTTGCAACATTTTTCATCACTCCCAACAGAACCTCTGTATCCAGTGAGCAAGAACTTCTCATTTCCCTTTCCCCCAGCCCTTAGTAACCTCTAGTCTACTTTCTGTCTCTATGAATTTGCCTATTCTAGATAGTTCATAGAAGCGGAATCATTCAATATTTGTCCCTTTGCCTGGCTTATTTTGGTAGCATCATGTTCACCAGGTTCATCCGTGTTATAGCATGCATCAGAACTTCAGCCCTCTTTAAGACTGAATAATATTCCACTATCTGTATATACCATATTTTGTTTATCCACTCACTTGTTAATGGACACCTGGGTTGTTTCTATGTTTTGGCTGTTATGAGTAGTGCTGCTGTGAATGTGTGTGTATAATTAATAGTTGAACACCTGCTTGCAAGTCATTTGGCTATATACCTAAAAGCGCAGTTGTGGGTCATCTGGTAATTCTACGTTTAACTTTTTGAGGAACCTCCAAAATGTTTTTCACAGAGTCCGTGCTTTTGTTAAGTGGGTAGCAGTGTCTGTGGGAAGCACGAATATGGACCCAAGAATATCTGTAGGAAAAGTTCATGAAACATTTGTTTTATTTTCCGGTATATTTTAGGCAAGTGGATAAGGAATTATAGCCAAAACCTACAGGCCGGAGCTAAGCAGATTCATTGATGGGGGAGTGTAAAGGGGACTGCAGAAGGGGCTGGTAACTTGCTAATTAACATTTTTTCCCATTTTAGTGGTCATCTGAAGTCAAGATCATGTCCTGGGAATGAAGCAAGGATAAGGGGAGGTGCTTCTGCCCCAGGACTTCAGGGACCATCACTATAGCTCTGTGGCTCTAAGTGGCTAAGGAGGCCACCGAATGTGATGGAAGGAGTATGGCCTTTGGAATCACCTGGGTTTTAATTCTAGTTCTGTCATCTACTAGAAGATGACTCTGGAAGTTACTTCACCATCCTGAGACTCACTTTTCTCATGTGTAAGATGTAAATAATGCCTAGCTAGCAGGACTCTTGAGAAAAATAGCAATAATATGCACCAAACACCAGCATAGTGCCTTGCTGATAGTAGATGTTAACTAAATGATAGTGACCATCCCTGGGTGACAAAGTAAAGGAGGAAGGGAAAGATGAGACTGCGACATTCTAGAATAGTGGTGTCCATACTTGTTCAACAAGTGCCCAAGAACCTGGAGCCATGCAAAACACCCTGAAATTATTCTGGCCCATTTAATTCTTTCTTTTGAACTAATTGTGAAAGTATGGCTTTTATCTCAAATGATACATAAAGGATTTGAAATAAATCACATATTTAATTATTTCCTTTAATATTTATTTATTTATTTATTCATTTTATTGCCCACCAGCAATTATGGACAAATAGGGGTGGAAGGTACCAAGAGTTGAAAATCAGAGTCATTTAAAAAATTACAGTCAGGTTTTGTTTTTGTTTTGAGACAGAGCTTCACTCTTGTTGCCCAGGCTGGAGTGCAATGGCGACATCTCAGCTCACCACAACCTCCGCCTCCCAAGTTCAAGTGATTCTCCTGCCTCAGCCTCCTGAGTAGCTGAGATTACAGGCATGCGCCACCATGCCCAGCTAATTTTGTATTTTTAGTAGAAACAGGGTTTCTCCCTGTTGATCAGGCTGGTCCCAAACTCCCAACCTCAGGTGATCTGCCTGCCTTGGCCTCCCAAAGTGCTGGGATTACAGGCGTGAGCCACCACACCCGGCCCTACAGTCAGTTTTTTAAATGCATATGAGAAAATATAATTGAGGCTTAATTCATCAAAACATTTGTTGCCTATTGAGAAAAAATGACCATTGTTCAATATTGGCACCAAATCTCCACTGCCCACGTCACAGGGACACTGATGTTGTTCAGAACCCAGTTTGAGAGTCTTGTTACCTTGGAGTCACACAATAAATGATCAATGAACTGGGAACCATTGTTCTAGAAGTAGACTGCCCAAGTAAAAAGTAGCTCTCTAAGTGAGAGAAGATGGGAACTAGCAGGAAATCCACTTAAACACTATGATCAATCTCAACTGAATGATTTCAAAGAGCATAACTGAATATGATCAAAATGAAATTTCCCATATGTTCAAATGAAATTCATATGAAATACTTGAAAAATAAAACATAGCTAGTATATCTTGCACCATCCTGGAGGAATTCTAGGCTTTAACTTGATCTCATTTAATAATCCTGGCTCCTTTCTTACTTTGCTCCTTTAAAGCATGGGGCCATGTTTTATACACATTGATGTCCCTCACATAGTCTGGTATTAGTAGGTGCTCATTAAATGTTGACTGACTGGATGAACAAATGAATGACTGATACCTGTTTCCCCATGCTATACATCAGAAAGGCTGGTGGTCATATTTCAGTGTTGCACAATAGAGATACTTAGTTGTTGTTTTTTTTTTTTGAGATGGAGTCTCGCTCTGTCACCCAGGCTGGAGTGCAGTGGTGCGATCTAGGCTCACTGCAAGCTCCGCCTCCCAGGTTCACACCATTCTCCTGCCTCAGCCTCCCAAGTAGCTGGGACTACAGGCGCCTACCACCACGCCCGGCTACTTTTTTTTTTGTATTTTTAGTAGAGACGGGGTTTCACTGTGTTAGCCAGGATGGTCTTGATCTCCTGACCTGGTGATCTGCCCACCTTGGCCTCCCAAAGTGCTGGGATTACAGGCGTGAGCCACCTCGCCCGGCCAATACTTAGTTTTAAAACGTATCAGCTGCAGCTTCATCTTAGAACCTGAGAGGAATAAGCCACACAAACACCACATCACGAATGTGTAAATGTAAAGCGAAGGCACAGCCCAGCAGCTGCATGGTGGCTAACCACAGGCATTTAGAGTTAGGGAGGATCATCTCCTGCAGAATTGTCATGACCAGTAAATATTCTCTTCTAGTTAGAAATACACAAGAGAGGACTATAGTCATGGATTAAGCTGAAGCCACCACGGCAGTTTTAAATACTCTATCTTTGTGGAAGCAGTGGCAAAGAGAAACGGTTGCTGCTACTGGTGTTTTAAAATCAGATGTTCTCACTTTAGGGTCTCTCACTTTTTCAGTGAGACTCTGAAAAGGAAATCTTTCTGATCCATTTTCAAGCAATGATAACATTTGACAATTTGCAGCCTGAAATGGTGCTAAGTGACTTCATATGCATAGCTAGACTATGAACTTCTTAAGAACAGGAGATCTTGGGAATGGGCGTGGTGTCTCACACCTGTAATCCCAGCACTTTGGGAGGCTGAGGTGGGCGGATCATGAGGTCAGGAGATCAAGACCATCCTGGCTAACACAGTGAAACCCCGTCTCTACTAAAAATACAAAAAAATTAGCCAGGTGTGGTGGCGGGCGCCTGTAGTCCCAGCTACTCAGGAGGCTGAGGCAGGAGAATGGTGTGAACCCGGGAGGCGGAGCTTGCAGTGAGCTGAGATCGTGCCACTGCACTCCAGCCTGGGCGACAGAGCGAGACTCTGTCTCAAAAAAAAAAAGAACAGGAGACAGGAGATCTTATTCCTATGCCCCCAGCACACAGTTGATGGAGGGATGGTGGATTTGTTCTGTATAGGACATTATGATATCTGTGATGATTAGAGGATACAGTTGTGTTGATTTCATCCCCACCCTCAGTTCTTGGATATATATCTTCACTGATTTTCTGTGGGGTGCGGTTGCATTCTCTGAAATATATGACTACATGACATTCAGGCTTAGGCTACCCTTCCACAAGAAAATTGAAGCCTTCTCCAGAAGACAGTGGAATGTCATGTTTACTCATGTATCCTTGGCACAGAACCTGATACATAGAAGGTGCTCAGTAGGATGTGAATGAATGAAGTTGTCATAGTTCTTTTTTTTTTTCTTTTTGAGACGGAGTCTTGCTCTGTCGCCCAGGCTGGAGTACAGTGGCGCGATCTCAGCTCACTGCAAGCTCCACCTCCCGGGTTCACGCCATTCTCCTGCCTCAGCCTCCCAAGTAGCTAGGACTACAGGCGCCCGCCACCACGACCGGCTAATTTTTTGTGTTTTTAGTAGAGACGGGGTTTCACCGTGTTAGCCAGGATGGTCTTGATCTCCTGACCTGGTGATCCGCCCACCTTGGCTTCCCAAAGTGCTGGGATTACAGGCGTGAGCCACCACGCCTGGCACATAGTTCTTATTTATAATGTCCTTAGTTGTTTGGAAGCTATAAAACAGCTTCGTTAAATAAATCATTAAGACCTGAAGTCTTAAGGAAAAGAAAAGAACAGCATTTGTTATATGCTAGGCTCTTTATATATATTCCCCTTTTTACAGCCCCCCTGTGGAGAGCATGCACAGCCCCATTTTACTGATGAGAAACTGAGGCTAGGAAAGATTGTCACTTTTTAAGAAGTGGCAGAGACAGGATTGGCCCCTCCATCTGCCTGGTTCTGGTGACCATGCTCTTTTCTCTGACTGCACTCCACAATGGTGATTACCATGTGGTTCATATTACATGTGATTTGAGGGCATTTCAGAAGAAAACTGAGTTGGTTCCCTCTTAGGAGTCAATTTCTCTAATCTATACAAGTGTTTCTTGACAAATACAGGTTAAACTAACAACCTTTATAAACTATTTTGCAAGGGGTAATGTCAAAATTTTATATATCTTTTTTAAAACATTCCTTTAATAGATAATTTTAATTGGCTAATATTTTGTTGTTTAAATATTTGATATTTGTAGTGATAATTGGATGAAAACTTAAAACGCTGGGAAGTGTAGCCCTTCCTCCTCTTTTCCTGGGCTGACACCTAGTGGCTAGCTTTCTCACAGCAGTGTTAATCCATATTTCTTGTTGGTTGTTTTTCAGTTGATGTTAGGATTTTACAAAAGCAAATTATTGACAATCATGATAAAAGCCACATTCATATAAGGTTTATTTATTAGGGATTGTATTAACAATGGAATTTTGATTTATAGTGAATTTGAAGTCTATTATAGTCAAGCCTTGTTAGCACAACATGGAACAAGCATTTGAAATCTTACAATAGTGGTCCCCACCGCAGACCTGACCAGGGCACTGACTTGCACACACACTGACAAATAAGACCTGGTCACTGTTAAAGACAGTGAGAGGCAGAGAAGGAAAGGAAGCAGAGAGTTGCAGTAAGGGGTGGGAACTGCTATAGTAGAATGTGCAAGCTGGGAGACATTTCAGCACAGGGCTAATCACTGCAGATTGGGTGCTGCGGGGAAGCTTCCCAGGGACGGATGTGTCTGGAATAAGGCCTTACCGGAGGAATAGGAGCTCCCCAGGAGCAGGGGGCAGGAAGTAGCACATGCAGAGGCAAGCGGCCTTGACAGCATGTGGCACGGTCGGGTACTGTGAGTGCCCCTGTGGCTGGAGCAGGGACAGAAGGAGCGTGGCTGAGGACGAAGCAGAGGAGTGGTCAGTTTCCAGGCCATAAGAGACTGTGTTGGCCTCTACAGGATTCAGCACTAATGTCATAAGCCAGCATTTCCAGAACCCTGTTCCTTGAACTATTAGACCCAAAGATATTGATATATTTTCTGATCCCATAGAATTTGGAATTGTTACACTTTACATCTACTGTAACTTTTTAAATACATTAACAATGTACACTACTGAAGCCCAGCTGTAGAGAAATCTGGATCACTTTGTTTAACCCAGCATTTTTCAGACCTTTTCCACAAAATACATATCAGCATTCCATGCATCTAGTACTCCTCACAGCAGTTTACGAAGCACTGCTAGAGCTAATGGCTGATGGTTAATTTTTCTTGCTCTGAGACCATGGAATTAGGATACCAGCTGGGTTCATTTTTACCCGTTCCATGACTGGGAATCTCAAAAACAGGAAAGCACATTGTTTTTCCAAAGCATTTCTTGTCTGGCCAGACAGAGGTTTGGGGCCAACAGGTGGTCCTGAGACGCAGAGCTGAGCCGCCATTCGGCTTTCCCAGCTCAGGACGGCAGGCTGCTCTACTTGGTCCTCTAGGTCCAGCAGCTTAATCAGTGTGTCAGTCAGGATCTAAGGACAACAGAGACTACTTTCATTGTTTACAACAGAGGGGAAATAATGCAAGGAAGTGGTTACACAAGTGATGGAGGAGCTGAAATTCAAAAGAAGACAGGGAGGCAATCCAGAGATTAGTAACAGCAGAGGTGGTGTTCGTGAGGCCAGAGGCCAGGGTCACTTGACCACAGCTGGTCCCTGCGGGTCTGTGCAGTGGGTGCTTGAGTCAGGGAGGAGGTGAACCATTGCTAGACAGCCCACCCAAGCAGAGAGAGCGTGAAGAGATACTCAAACTTTTCCCTTCCACTTTCCTCCTCCTAATCTCTCGCTGGTGCCTTGCATGGGCCAAACCAAGCGGAAACCAGCTGATCTGGGAGCCCAGGGAACTCAGTGTGCAAAGGTCACCCTCCTGTCTGTAGAGAGCAGAGCAGAAAAGTGGGGTGAGTCTGAGGTCAAGCAGGCTGAGAACCAGCACTGCCAGATCCCAGAGAATAAGGCTATTTGGTGATCGCTCCCCCTCATCCCTTCCCCAGGCAAATGAATAGCATAATGAAGTGAAAGACCCCTTGACTTGAAGTTAGACTTGATGCTAACCTGGACTCTGCCTTTTCTAAGCTGTGTGACTCTACACAAGTTACTATACCTTTCTGAACCCTATTACCTCAACTGTACAATAGGTAAGGGAATCTCGACTTAAACGATACCTTCATAGAGCTTCCTTGACATGTGTCTGGCTGGTTTCTATTTTATAATGAAATAAGAATGAGGTATTTAAAACTTTATGGGCTTAGCCTGGAGCTAACAGGAATGTCAAAAATTCACATATGTTGATTGACTACCCCCCAAACTTCAGTGAATTTGCTGACGTTTTATTAGCTACCAATTACTATCTAACAGATGTCTAATTTCTTAATGTATTCTCTTTCTGGAGGCACACAGGTAGAGGAAAGCTTGCAAAGTGTTCGATGGAATATTTGAGTGTTGGAGAGGCACTGTGTGTGCACTGTAGTTTGGTACTGGCTAAGGAAGGTTGAGATTCCAGGAGAGCTACTTTTTCAGAGCTATGAAACTTTGGGAAGCCCTCCCTCCTCCCTGAACCGCAGGTTTTTCATTTGTTAAGTGGGGATAAAAATGCCACCCTCGTAAAATTGTTTTCAGAATTAAATGCGATG
The DNA here is from genome assembly GCF_000001405.40 of Homo sapiens. Lineage (NCBI taxonomy): Eukaryota > Metazoa > Chordata > Mammalia > Primates > Hominidae > Homo > Homo sapiens. Next base: position 123,541,792 of record NC_000009.12, on the reverse strand, counting down.
GCAGATGGGAAGTACTCGTCCTCTGTGCATCTTTCCTGCCCTCCACAGCAAACTTTTTATCCAGTGAATGCCCAATTCACCAGCAGTCACATTCCATGGAGGCGTGGCAGGATTTTTGGAAACCCTTTAACTGGAGATTATTTATGTTTGGCTTGCTGGTCCCTGTTAGTGATGTGACCTGGCAGGTCTCCACTCAACCCTGTTTCCATCAGTCACAGCTCACTGGCATTATTCATAAGCTAGTTGCTTGGGACTTTTCTTTGCTCATATTCCTACTGCGAGGAATGTTCACTCTCGTCTTCACAATAAAATGGTCTGGAGGTTTTGAGGTTGTCTTGAGCAAGTCAGCTGCCAGCTTAAAAGGTCATTATCTGTTCTCTGAAGGGAAACTTTTATCCCGGGTTGATTAGTTTTATCCTGGGTTGATAAGTGTTTATGCAAAAGAAGTAGGGGTAGGAAAAACCTGGTACTCACTGAACTCCTACTTCTTGCCCTTTATGTATATTTTCTTGGTTAAATGTACACAGTATTATCCCCAACTTGCTAAATAAGAAACATAAAGCAGAGAGAATTGAAATTACTTAATGCAACAACTTTGCTCAAACATTTACCAAGACCCTACTAAACCAGGGGACTATTCTAGATGCTTGGAATTGCAGCAGTGAACAAAATGAAGTCCTAGTCCTCAAATCTCTTCTACCTTAGGAAGACACAGAGAGTAAACAAAGATGAAAATCAACATATAATATGTCTGATGGTAATAAGTGTTATGCAGAAAAAGAAAGCTAAGGAAGAAGATAGAGAAAGCTCCTGGGTGAGGTGAGGTAGGTGCCAAGAAGAAAGAGTCGGACTAGAGCCAGGTCTGTCTGCCTCTAGAACTCACGGTTTTTCCACTGGTCCCATGCTGCTTCCGATCCTCTTTGGTGATGGTTTCCAGCATCTAGGGAGGAAACATGAACTCCTCTAGCATCTTGCTTCTTAGTCTAAAGCTGATAATTCAATGTGTCAGGGTGGTGACTTTGCATTCCTGGGGTACAGAAAACATTTTTGCCGTACTCCCTGCTGTCAGCAGCATGTAGCTGTTTCTTTCGTCTCTCTGGTTTCACAGACACATTTAGTCTTGATGCAGAAAGCATCTTGCCAGCTTGGACTCGAGCCCTAGTGCTGAGGAGACCAGTCTGTCCTAAAGGAGGGTCTCTGTGACTGCTGGGCTCAAAGGAACTCATCACTTCTTTTTTCTCTTCTTCCAAAAAGTGATGCTCCAGGGAGTGGCTTATGTCATCTTAATACCTGTTTCCTGATCTTTAGGACTCACCAAGACAGTCTAATTCTATTTTTAAAAATGCTGCCACCTCCTCTGTACCAGGCCCAGTGGCAGGCACTGAAGAAAAGAGATGGAACCTACTTAACAGGAGTCAGCCAGACCTGGGTTCCAAGTACCACTTTTCTATTTCTGTAATTTTGGGCATGCTACTTAACTCCTTAGCTTCAGTTTTGTCATCTGTAAAATGGGAAGAATAAATGTAATCTGCCTCACAGGATTGGTGTGAAGATTAAGTTAGATAATACAGCATGGTACCTGGCTCTTCGTAAGAGCTTAATATTAGTTTTTAAAATATACCACAGTAACCATTTAATTTATAGCTGAGTTTACATTTTGTCCTATGAGGAAACAGTTGGGTAGATACAAGATTTTCTTTCTCAAAGTGTATGTATTTTAGTGGAAAATACAGTAATAATCCTCATCATGCTGACACTGTTTACAAAGAAGTGTTGGCATTCAATCTTTATAGTGTATTTCCCACTAGGTAGGTACCGCTATACCTTTAAAAATCTATTTATTATAAAATAAAACATAAAACTGCCTTAATCAAGTGGATGATGTAATGAATTTTTTTTTTTTTTTTTTTGAGACGGAGTCTCACTTTTTCACCCAGGCTGGAGTGCAGTGGCGCGATCTCGGCTCACTGCAAGCTCTGCCTCCCGGGTTCACGCCGTTCTCCTGCCTCAGCCTCCTGAGTAGCTGGGACTACAGGCGCCCGCCACCGTGCCCGGCTAATTTTTTGTATTTTTAGTGGAGATGGGGTTTCACCGTGTTAGCCAGGATGGTCTCGCTCTCCTGACCTCATGATCCACCTGCCTCGGCCTCCCAAAGTGCATGAATTTTTATAAGACCAACACTTTCCAAAACAAGAAACAGAACTTTCCTGCCCACCCTAGAATCCCCTTTCATCCCAACTCTTTCCTTTTCTCCATAAGTAACCACTATCTTGATTTCATGCCACTATCTTGATTTCATGGTAATCACTTCCTTGCATTAAAAAAAAATAGTTTTATTACCCAAATGTTTATGCCTGGAAACTATAGGTGACTTTTTCTGTTTTAAAAATATATGACTTTTAATTCTCTTTCAACTTATAGGTTCCTCCTCCACCCCTTTCATTTACTTACAATTTATTTGTGTATGAACTCAAGCCTGTGGTGATTTCCCACTGTGTGAGTTTTGCTGATGGCATACCATGTTCCTCTGTCCCCTGTATTTCCTGCTAATTGACAGTTGATCCAGAGATTGGATAGACTGAGGTTCAGTCCCTTTTGCAAGACTGTAGGAGGCATACCAGGTCTTGTTTTGTCTGTTTTAGTGATCTTAGTAGCCAATGTGTTTAATATCTATATCTGTTTATTCACTGGGAGTTGAAAAATGGTGATATTCTAAGCTTATAATTTGTTTTTCATTTATTGGTTGGAATATTTTTATAAAGAGACAGTTTCCCTCATTTAATATTTACTCAGTGTTAGCGTTCATACAAGCCAAAGCAAAATAAATGTTTGACTCTTTCTCTTTATTTACCACTTTTTAATATAATGAATTGTTGGTTCCCTATCATCCTCCAAAGGTGACAATTGATACATACATAAATATGTATGAATTCATATATATATATATATATATATATATATATATATATATATATATATATATGTATGAGTTGTCACCTTTGGATTCATACACACACACACACACACACACACACACACACACTCACACACATAATTGCCTGGTGGATTTCAACATATTTGATGGATTTTGGTTCATTGCGATTGTCATTTTTTATTTAATTACTTTTAATTTTTAATTATTAAAATAATTATTTTATTAAACTCAAACCCTCCCATCTTTGGTCAGTGAGAAATACTTCAGGTTGACACCTGAGTACTTTTTTTCTACATGAACCTAGTAGTCTTTGATAGCTCTCTTGCTATCTGATATTACAAGAGGTTCCAGGCTTATCTTGTACATCCTACCCCCAAACCTGGAATCAGACATTTCTTCAGGAAGCACTGGTTTCTTTTTAGTGAGAAATTATATCTCAAGACCAAAACCTGGCTTAGGATACTCATTGCTACTGAGTTGGCCATTGTTTCTAGGCCTTTTCATTGAACAGAGCTAGGAAACATATGCTTATGTACGTAAATCTCTTGTCGTTCATATTGATACTTCCAATTAAAATTCAAGACTACAGAGCTTTTACTTAACCTCTTCTCTATTACATTTGTATTTCCTCTCTCCCATATGAAAATTCTGATTCTCAAGGGCAGAAGGAATAATAAAATACTCCAGAATTACTAATTTAGTTTCATAATCTCCAAAAATAATACACATACTACCATGAGCATAATTACAGAAAACCTTTTAACTATTTTTTGGTATGTTCTTTCCTCCCATTTTTGACTAGTTCCGCTGTATTTACATTGCTAGAGCATGCAGCCATTACGCAAGACACTGTCTCCCTCTCAGTCTTCAGGGGACTCTGTCTGTTACTGCCAGTCCTAATGGTGATGCCTCTGCAGTCATTTTTTATTGCCTGACACTTGCTCCCTGGTAAATCCCCTAGGAAAGTTCCTGGGAACAATATTCTGTCCGTTGTTAAAAGTTGATAATCACTTTTCTATGTCCTTTAAACATGTAAGTCAGTTTTGCTGGATGGAAGATCCTTGGCTCATACATTCTATTTTGAGTATCTTGAATGTGTTACTTCATTTTCTTCTCGCAAAGTGTTGCTGTCAAAGTTAATGATAATCTCAATTTTATTTTGTTAATAAGTCACTTTTTTTTTTTTAACTACATGCCCAAGAGTTTTTTCTTTGTTTTTTTGTTTTTAAGTTCAGCAATTTTATTAGATTGACTTTGGTAGTTGTTCTGGTTCTGTAGACCAGGAATACAATTTCATACATCCTTTTTTTTTAATTTCAGGAAACTTTTCTTGAATTAACTTTGGTTCTGATTATTACTTTTTCTTCTTCAGGCACTCCAGTTAGCCGTATATTCAATCTTCTTTGCCTATTTTCAATATTTTTCACCTTCTTTAAAATCTCTTTTATCTCTTTATTTCTTTTTAAATATATTATTGAGATGTTATTCCTTTTGCTGTATTTTTGAATTTTGAAGTTTTCTGGTTTTCTTTTGTTTTTATTAAGGCATTGTCTGTTGAGTTGATTTGTTCTTATATTCCTTTATTCTGAATATAATAATCTAGTTCTTTTTTTCTTATATAGTTCTTATTTCTGAAAAGAGTTTTCATTTCTAATATTTTCCTGAGTTCTATCCCCTCATTTTTAGGTTTTTGTAATTCAGATTTATGTTGGTTTTTCATGCTTTATGCCATTTTCTTAGTGTCTTTAGCTCATTTTGACACAGTAGGTTGTAGTTTTAATCTGTTTTGTGGGCATACCTCTCAGGCATGCTGTCATTGTGTACAAGGCTGTTATTCTGTCTCTTTTTATTTTTCTTATAATAACCTTATGTGGGATTTGATCTCAGTGTTTTGTTGTTGTTGTTCATTTTTATGTGAAATTAGGTTTCCTGACTTTAGAATGAGAAGAAGTTCCAGAAAGCTTTTCTAACTTCACTGAGTTAACAGCTCTTCTGTTGTTTTTGGTGGTGGTCAATAATGTGACAGCTGCTTTCTGGTGTTTTGTGGGTTCCCTTCCCCTACTTTGATCTAGACCTCCATTTCCTGTCCTCTCTCTCTCTCGTATCTGTCCTGCTCAATCTTGGTTCCATTCCCAGCAGTTTCTCCCCATTGTGGACCCCTGTCCTGGAAGGAGGTCCTCATGCATTTTCTCGGGAGTTCCTAGGAACTCCTAGCATTTGCGGAGGCTGGACGGCTCGGTCTCCTTCAGTCCTTCTTACCATGGGCCCCTCACACTGACCTGCTGTTGCAGAGGCCAAAACACTTCCACTTGTAGAAGCTGTTCTCAGATTGACTCACTGAGCTTTCTGCAAGTCGCTGACAGCTTTTCTTTTTCTTTTTTTTTTTTTTTTGGAGACAGAGTTTTGTTCTTGTTGCCCAGGCTGGAGTGATATAATCTTAGCTCACTGCAACTTCTGCCTCCCGGGTTCAAGCAATTCTCCTGCCTCAGCCTCCCGAATAGCTGGGACTACAGGCATGTGCCACCACGCCCGGCTAATTTTTGTATTTTTAGTAGAGACGAGGTTTCACAATGTTGGCCAGGCTGGTCTTGAACTCCTGACCTCAAGTGAGCCACCTGCCTCGGCCTCCCAAAGTGCCGGGATGTGAGCTACTATGCCTGTCCAATGTTTTGAGGTCTACTTGTGCTGAGGTCTGTCAGTGCAAATACCAACATGAAGCCAGTTTGGTGGTGGTTTGTACTTGCCTGCTTGCATTTGGGGGTTCATTGTTCACCTGGTTTTGTTGTAACTATTGCACATATTTGAGGTTTTGCTATATAGTCAGTTTGCCTTTTTTATGTGGAGGTTTGAAGAGGTTGAACAATTATACTACCACTGCTGCTACCACTGCCAGATTCCCAGAATCCCCCTTTTCTGTTTTCCCAATTTTTCCTTAGAAATCCTAGGAAAGGTAAAATATCTTTCATGAGTGTAGTAAGTGCCCTCTTGGAATTTACATTCTAGTGGAGGAAGACAGAGAATAAACATGAACAAAAAATAAAAGAAGATGAGTTCAGATAGTGATGCGTGCCATGAAGAAAAACCACTGTAAAGGGGTAGCAAAGCCAGGGGAGGTGTTTTTCTGGTACTGTTCTCCAAAGAGGTGGTATCTGAGCTGAAACCTGAGTGATGAGAAGTCACCGGCATTCAAATAGCTGGGATCTGAGCATTCTAGGCAGAACAGACAGCAAGTACAGAAACCTGAGGTAGACACAAGTTTGGCCTGTTTCAGAGATGGAAAACAAGGCAGCATGGCTAAAGCAGAGTGAACACAGAGAGAAACATAGGAGACAGAGGCCGAGAGAGGCAGGGGCCAGATTGTGAAGGGTCTTGTGGGCTGGGGAAGAGAGTTTCAATCGTTGGGGGCTTTTTTAGAGACAGGGTTTCTTGTGTCACCCAGGCTGGAGTGCAGTGGCACGATCATAGCTCACCACAGCCTCAAACTCCTGGACTCAAGCGATCCTCCCACCCTGGCCTCCTGAGTACCTGGGACTACAGATGCACACCACCATGCCCAGCTGTGAGAGTCTGGATTTTAATCTAAGTACCGTGGAAACCATTGGAGTGACTTTAAGCAGAAGGGTAGAATGATCCAGCTTAAGTTTTACGACACTTATTTTGGCTGTTGTGTGGGAAAAGGGCTGTAGGGACAACAGAGTGAACGTCAGGTAATAGTCAAGGGTCTAGGGAGAGACCACTGTGGTCAGTGGAAATGGTGAGAAGTGGTCAGATTTGGGGTGTTATTTGGGTAGAGGTGACAGGATTTGCTGATGTGTTCGATGAGGGAAAGAGAAGAATTAAGGATGTCTTCTGGGTTCTTGGTCTGCCTCCAACTTTTTGTCCTTTTGAATCTTAAGAGAAGGCCAGGTAGCACCTTGGTCCTAAATAGTCACTATAAAGCAAGTGAAGGGGGGGAAAAAAGCCACAGACAGGAAGATAATACTTGCAACTTTAGCTGACAAAAAAGGCTTGGCGTCCAAGATCATGTAAAGTATTTCTATAAATCAATGAAGACTAAAACAGGGGAAAGATATGATCAGACGTTTCACAGGAGAGTTAACATGAATGGTTTATAAACTTAGGAAAATACACTCAACTGATAATCAAGGAAACAAGACCAAGACAGTGTTTTGTTTTGCACACATTCAATTAGCAAAAATCGGGAAGGCAGATACTTATATTGCTGAGGTAGGTGTGTGGAGCAACAAGAACTCTCATTTTGCTGACAGCAGTGTAAATTGGTACCAGAATTTTGGAAAACAATTTGGCATTATCTTATAAAGTTGAAACTCTTGCACATTTAGGCTAGGAAACATACACAAAAAATGTTCTTATCAGCAAAAAACTGGAAGCAATTCAAATATATGTTGAAAGATAGTAGATGAATAATATTTACGTGATGAAATATTATACAGCCATGAAAACTAGTTACTTTAAGCTATAAACAACAACATGAATGTATCTTAGAAGCATACAGCATGATACTGATTTTTAAGGCCCAACAGTAAGCAAAACTAAACATTATTTGAGCTACATACATGTGTGGTAAAACTTTGAAATTCTCAGAAACAGAATTGAGAAAAAGTCTTAGTAGGGTCAGCAGGAAGAGGCAAGAGGAGGCAGTGGAAAAACTCTTAAGACAATGTGAGGAAGACGAAAATGTCTGTTTCTTTAGGAGGGTAGGTTCGCAGATGCTCATTGTGTTATGCTATGTTGCTTAATATAAGTTCCATATAGTCTTTCACATATAAATTGTGTGATAAATGACATTCAATGGAATTACAAAATAGATGAAGTATTAATAATTTCCAAATCTTGTCTTTCATAATATCATGTTTAAAATCCAGCTCAAAAATTCTGAGGTCCAGACCCCTCTAGTGTAACACATTTCAAACTTTCCAAGGATCTTGAAATATGACTTGACCCCATATATTGAGGTTCTGGGTTTCCACAGTGGCCGTGGAGGAGAGGGAGTGGTTCAGCTTGAATGTACGTAAACATTCTTTCCCACATTTTTAGTAACTAAACACAGGAAATCCCACTCACAGCCCTTACCCTTTACTGACCTTTCTAGAAAGAATTCAGAAACTCTATTGGACAAGTAAATTCCTTCCTGCAGCTTTGAACAGAGCATCTCCAATGGGTCCCCCTCTGTAGTGGCAGCATCCAGCACTCTCCACCTACCTGACTGGTTGGAAGACTCTCTCCCTCCAGTTCGCAGTGCTTGAGACATTGTACAAGTACACAGACACCAGACACCAACCTCCAAAATCCAAGAGGTCTGTCTTTCTGCAGTCCATGGATGTGCAGCAAATGGCAGGTGAGCTCTGGGCTCTGAGAAAGCCAGGCTTGAGTGCAGTACCATTTCTTCCTCTCCTGTTCTAAAACTCAGAATGCCCAAAGATATTGGAATAGTCCCATGGATTCCATAGCCATGTTTTTCTTGTGCTAAAGAGAGTGGGCGAATGAATTTGTGCCTTTTTATTTTTAATCAAGATAAAAATCCAGGTGGGAGAAAGAAGCCCACCATGAAAATAGAGTAAAAGCATTCTCAAAATGTGTACCGAAACATATCTTGAGCACCTTCTATGTGCTTGGCACAGAGCTAGGCACTCTCTGACCACGTGGCTAGTAAGTGGTAGAATTAGGATTCAGAGATAGGACTTGATTCTGTAGAAAATGTGAGTTTCCTTTTGCAGGAGAATTCAACAGCAGAGATAGAGAAAGCCAGAATGAGATCTTTCTTTCTCATTTTGATATACATTAAGCTGTAACCCTGCATTTCCTACATAAAATGTCCTATGTGTACTTGTGTGCATGATTGTTGTTTGTGAGTGCCAACTCCTGGTGAAGCTACCATCTGCATTATTTATCCAGGTTTAAGATGCAGCTTCTTTGATTCATGCTGAGCTCTGGCCTGCAGCCTTATTAGTTTCTTTTTGTTGATTAATACACATTGCAGCTCTTAGAAGATATAGTGAGACCTCTAAAAACAACTGTCTGGTGAGTGATAGGTACTTCCTATACTTTGGGCTATAGGAAGCCAGTTTACTTTCTGTGGCAGATGGGTTTTCTGTGCATCTTTTAGTTTTTAATTCTCTTAAAAGAAGGGACTTTTATTTTAAGGGCAGTTGGGTAACTGCCATTTTCTAGGTTTCCCAATGTAGATTTCACTTGATTTTTCAAAGGGGTGCTATGATAAAAGACATAGAGCCTACCTTCATACTTGAATCACTTTCAGGAAGATTTCAGTCATTAACAGTGCTTTCACTAACAATGACAGATTGAGGTAAGACTAGAGGGTTTGACCTGAATTGAGGGACATTCTACAAAATAGCTGGCCTGTACTCTTCAAAATGTTAATGTCTTGCAACAAAGGACAACCCAAGAACTATTCTAGATTAAAGGAGGCTAAAGGACAGGACAACGGAACGTGGTGTGTGATCCAGGATTTTCTTTTGGTATAAAAAGTCATTATTGGGACAGTTGGTGAATTCTGAATCAAGTCCAAATTTTAGATTTGTATTGTATCAATGTTAATTTTCTAATTTTGATCATCGCACTATGGTTATGTAAGAGGACATTCTTGATTTTAGGAAATATAGTCAGTTTGTTATAATGCCTGTTTTGACAACACAATGTTCCAATGCCATCAGTATGTCAGGGAGCAATTTGAGCATAATGTGAATTTCATTTCATTTGATTCATTTGATTGTACAGGGTTTCACCTATGAAAAATTCTAAGTGAATGAAGAAAATTGCCCCCAGCTTAGCCAAGATGCACATGCACAGAACACACATGCACACCCTTCAGGTATTTGCCAATTACCTCCATTCATCACATGTTATAAGCCACATCTGTCCTGCCCATGTCTGGTGCTATGATTTTCTGTCCTCTTCTCGCCACTTCACCATATACTCACAAGCTGCAACCCTCTGCCCCTTCCACAAACAAACTGTAGATCTTTTTCAAGGTAAAATGACATATTTATTATGGGGTTTATATATTTCTTAACCATTTGCTATGTGTAAAAGTAGGCTACCATTTTTAAGTTTCTTATTTCTAGCATGTCACTGAAGTTTTTGAGTGTGGTGAAAATGTGATGATTTTTAGGAATGCTTAAGTATTTGAGGGTAAAAGGATATCATGTCTGCAATTTTTTCTTAAATGTTTTAGGAAGACATTTTATATGTAAAACACATATAATTGCCTTCTGTGTGTGTGTGTGTGTGTGTGTGTGTGTGTGTGTGTGTGTGTGTGTGTAGAGAGAGAGGGGGGAAGAGAAGGATAAAGCCAATGTGGTAAACTGTTAACATTTTGGGTAATCTGGGTGAAAGGTCGGTGGTAATTCTTTCTATTATTCTTGCAACTTTTTCATAAATATGAAACTATGTCATAATAAAAAGGTGAAAGGAAGAAAAAGACTCAGGGAATGGAAAAGATTTTTTAAAAATGAAGTCCAAATGTAAAAAACTAAGGAAGGCAAAAGGAAAGGGAAAATGATTCAGCTGGGAAAATAATGAAAGCAGAGTGGGAGAGAGGATCTTAAACAAACCTTCTACGAAGTGGATTAGAACATGAGTTTAGTTTGATGCAAGCTGTTTGTAAAATATCATAGGAATACTACGGCTACAAAATGGGAAAGAAACATTTGCTTTCCCAGAAAGATTTTTTTGGAAGTCTAACCCAGAATAGTAAAAAACAGAATAGACCCACATATATGGAAATCATATAAATTAACAATTCTAAATGTATTTAATATCTTTATCTCTTCCTAACAATACAAAGACTTTGATATACAGTAGTCTCCACTTATCTGCAGTTTCACTTTCCATGACTTCAGTTATCAAGGTCAACCATAAAAATATTATGTACAATAAGAAATTTGGAAAGAGAGAAAAAGACCACATTTACATAACTTTTATTACCATATATTGTTATAATGGTTCTATTTATTTTATTAATTATTGTTAATCTCTTAATGTGGCTAATTTGTAAATTAAACTTTATCATAGGTATGTATGTTTAGGAAAAACATAGTATGTTTAGGGTTCGATACTATCTGCAGTTTCAGGTATACACTGAGGGTCGTGGAACACATCCCCTGCAGATAAAGAGGGGACTACTGTGCTTTACTAATTGGACACTCACATGTACAAATCTTAGTGTTATTGCAATTTTATCTTCACTTTTAAAAAAACTAACAAAATATTGACAGTAGTTAGTTGTACAGTCAACATCCATGTTCACTATTATTTTCCCATGAGTTTACTTTTCTTCTTGCTGAATTATATCTTTTAATATTTCTTTCAGTGAGAGTCTACAAACTAAAATGTCTTTATTTTGCTATGACGCCTGAAGGATAGTTTATCTGGGTATGAAACGGTACATTGACAATTATTTTCCTTTTGCCCCTTGAAGATTTGTCTTCTCTCATCTGTTTCTATTGGCAAACAGTCTGTTATCAATCCAGTCATCATTCTTTTATGAAAAATCCATCTTTTCTCTCCGGGAACTCTGAAGATGTTCTCTTTCGCCTTATATTCTGTGATTTTACCCTGCTGCATCTAAGTAGATTTATTTATCATACTTGATACCTAGGGCTCATGTCTTTCTTCAATTCTAGAATATTCTCAGGCATTATCTCTTCAAATACTACTTCTCTGCCAAGGCTAGTTTTTTGTTTTTTTATTCTGGAAACTCCTATATAAACATGTCGGCATTTCCCAATTTATTAGCCATGCTCTTACCTGCTCTTTCATCTTCCTTTACCCTTGATCTCTCTGTTATTTGTTCTGGCGAACTCTTTAGTATTATCTTTCAGAATAGGTGATAGTGTCCTAATTTTCTGGATTAAAAACAAGCAAACAAGAAAAATTTCAGATTGGATTTTTCCCGAGGTAAAATAGCTAGTAAGAGGTAGAGCCTGGATCTGAATCCATGTCTGCCTAACACCTGACCTGTATTCTGTCCTTTGTGAATTCATGAGTTCATCCTTAAAGTTAAAACCCTAGCATAGTGAAGTAGCTTCACATCACTGCATTATTCTATCATGTGGGTGGATGAATTGGGAAGATGAATGTGACTTCAGACCCAGACTGTGGGATGTCATGTGCCAGAAGACCTGAGAAGTGTCAAGAGTTATATCTGGCCTCTTTTCCATTTTCATTCTAACTTGTTTCTGAGAAAGAAAACTTTAGTTCCTTTTTATCTTTTATGATGCGCAGAATTTCCATCTTTCACGTTCTTTTGGCTGTCTAAATAGACTGTTTACTGAGGTTTGTTTGTATACCACTTGTCTCTTCTCGGTAGCAGAATTTTGGTTTTATTTTATTGGGCAGATGTTGTTAAACTTAGAATTTTTCAGCAACAGGGAAGTGATGAAATGTTTACAATGCTAGTCTATAAATATAAAAAAAGTCTATTGTTGTTATTCAACATTTGTTAAGCGCCCACAGAGTGCTGAGTGCTGAGTATCACTACAGTCGGGGGAGAAGGGGTCTAAGCTCACACAGATTGTTTCTTTGTAAATCACATTTCTTATAATTTGTTTTTAATGTATCTATTACTTGTCTCAAATAGTTCAGTAACATTTTTTAGGTCCTCATACCACCCAGCTTGGGCAATATAGACAAAGATGAGGGTGACACATACATTACTTTGTCATTCATTCATTTGTTTAAAAAAATATTGCATTGGTCATATGTTATTTGACAGGGGAACTCACAGGCCTATAAGGAAAACAAACATGAAACACAGTTGCAATGCAATATGATGAAGACTATAATGAAAGAAGCTGCTAAATAAGAGAGTGACACAACGAGGATGTGATTAACTCTGCCAGAGTAAGTCAAGGGCAGAGGAGGAGATACTCACTCGAAATGGGTCTTGAAGGAGAAGTTTTCCAGAAAGCAAACAGTTACTTCAAATAGAGGGAATGGCATGGGTAAACATTTAGGAAAAACTGAAGTTGTTCTCCGTGGCTGGACTATGAAGTGTGTCTTTGAAAGACGACACTAAGAGGGGCTAGTTTGGAATTGTTTGAATGCCTTACCAGCTGCCACCCAAAAGCTTGGGTGTCCTTGTGGTTAGTAAAGCCACTTAAGGGTTTAAAACAGGGAGCATTTCCCTTTCTGGAGGCAGGGAGGAAGCTGGTTGGAAGATGACAGCATGGCAGAGGCCAGTGAGAAGGGCATTATATTAGCTCTGGGAAGCAAAACCAGCTCAAAACTCTGATCAGTGGAAATGAGTGAGAAGAACACATCTGAGGGAGATTGAAGAGAATCAGTCAGTCAAAAAATGTGCAGCTGGAGGGAAAGGGAATGGTCTAGGATAACTTCTAAAATTCTAGCTAGGGATCCATGTGGAGATTTTTTTCACACCATAAGCCTCCAGCAATAAATATATGGCAAATATTTCTGTTTTTATCTCAGTTTCTGCCAAGCAACTCCCAGTCCTGGAGGAAATAAAGAATATTGGTTTCCCCCAAGAACAGTATACTGGAGAAGCTGCCCAAGAAGAAAATGGCTTCACTTTCTCAGTAGCTTGCTAGGAAAGTAATGAGAATAAGGTTTCAAAACTTAGTTCCTCTAATTTAATGTCTTTGGAGGAATCGGCTCCTTTGCAGAGAATAGCTTTGATATTGAGTTCATGACTCCTGCCTTTAGCTTTCTTTCATCATTGCAGATGGAGTGCTGGTCATGTGTGTCTTACTAGCCAGCTCTATTCTCATGTTCCCCAAAATGTTCTCTTTGAATAATTAGACTTTTTCACTTAATTTTTAAAACATGTCTGATGCCTATTATGAGCCATGTGTGATGGCAGGTGCGTTCACATGTCATCTCATTTAATACAGCAACCTGAGAGATAGATAGCAACATCAGTTTTACAGATGAGGAACAGATTCTGAGACATTAAACAATCAGTCGCAGAGCACAACACAAGTTAGTTGCAGAATCAAGGTTAGAAGCTGATTCAAACTCTTTTCTAGCATTCATCTTTCTTTGAGATTTTTGTTCATTCATCCATTCATTGTTTTAATCATATGTAGCTCCTCTTGTGTGTTAGTATAGTAACCACATTGGGCACTGGGTTGATGGCAGGGAATGGGTCAGACCAGTGCAGAAAATGACAAGCATAGAGGCAGTTATAATACAGCTTAATGAGTCCTCCAGATGGGTGCGGGAGATCCAAGGGGGGTACCCAACTAGGAATTGGGGCTCAGCAAAGTGCCCTGGAGGAAGTGATACCCAAGCTGAGAGATGAAGAATAAATGAGTGGGGTAGCCAGGGATAGGTGAGAGGGAACATCCTCCAGGCAGAAGGAGAAGCAGACACAAGGGAGGGTGTGGCAAGAGATGAACCTGAAAGGCAGTCTTGGACCAGATCAGAGAGGACCTTATAAGCTACATCATGAAGCTTAAAATGAATCCTTAGGTCATTGGACAGCTGTGGAGAAAGAGTTTGTAAGGGAGGGAAGTTATATGAATACACAGGAATTTTTTAAGGTGGCTATGGTAGTAGTGTGAAAAGAGAAATGATTAACAGTAGGCAAGCTCAGAGAAAGAAGCCGCCAAGGAGGCTGTCACCATAATCCAGCAGAAAGAAGATGGTGGCCTGGACTGGGGAAGTGACTGTAGGGATGGAGAGAAATGGATGGGCTTGGGAAATGAGAAGGGATAGGATCCACAGGGCTTAGGATTTGAGTGAATAGAAAAGAGAGAGAAAAGTAAAACAAGACCAACCCAGGTAACTGGGTGAGGCTATTCCCACCCACTAGGATGAAGGGAGAAGAACCAGTTTGGGAGGGAAGATGACTTCAAGCTTATTCATGTTGAGTTTGATATGTCAGTGGACAGCCAAGAGATGTCCACTTGGGCAGCTTTGAATGAGAATCCAGGAGACCAGAGGGGAAGAGTGAGATGAAGATACGGATTTGAGTTGTATCAACATATAGATGGTAATTAGCTAGAGAAAAGGTACAAAGTAAGAAGAAAAGAGCATAGACCAGAGAACAGCTAATGTATATTTAAGAGACTACCAAAGAAAGAGGGGCTGGCAAAGAAGTCAGAAAAGGAATCTTCAGAAAGGTGAGGATAAATCCAGGATAACATGCCAACGCCAAGGGATGCGAATGTCTAGGGCCACCAAAGAGAGGTTAATCAGATAAAGACAGAAAGTCCCCTGTGTGTTTTAGCCATTAGAAAGTCTTGGGGATCTTGGGTGAGACCAGTTTCAATGTCGAGGTGGCGGAGGTAGAGTCCAGACAAGCCCTCGGGGCATTGTGGCTGGGGGAGAGGGAAAATGATGACAACCAGATGGTCATGTAGGGCTGAGGGAAGACATGGGAGTTCCAGTGTTTGTTGGTTGTATTAACATTGGAAGAGACTTGAGTACATGGAAATGCTGATGAGAGAGCACCTGGGGAGATAAGCGTATTCGGTAGGACCAGGGCCCTGGGATGGAAGGGGTATGGCGAAGCCAGGTGAGTGGATTGGCCGTGGGACTGAGAATGCAGGCTCTCTTGAGTATCAATGGGAAAGGAAGCCAGAAGAGACCAGATCCAGGGAAAGGATGAGGAGTCAGAGGGAATTTCCATCTAACAGCAGGCATGGGGGTGTGTGTACGCATATGTGTGTGTGTGTGTGCACATGTGCAGGTGTGTGCATGTGTGTGCATGTGTTGGGCAGTGATACTGGCATAGAGGGAGAAGGGTCAGTGGTATGGGGAGACTGGAGAAGGTTTGAATAAAGAATGGTGGAGTGGCTGAGTGCAGCAGCTCACACCTGTAATCCCAGCATTTTGGGAGGCCAATGTGGGAGGATCACTTGAGCCCAGGAGTTTGAGACCAGCCTGGGTGACATAGACCCTGTCTCTACAAAAAAATTTTTTTTAATTAGCTGGTATGGTGGTGTGCACCTGTAGTCCCAGTGACTAAGGGGCTGAGGTGGGAGAATCACTGGAGCCTGGGAGGTTGAGGCTGCAGTGAATCATAATCACACCACTGCACTCCAGCCTACGTCACAGAGCGAGACCCTGTCTCAAAAAAAAAAAAAAAAAAGGTAGACTGCACTAGCTGGGTGAACCTAAGTTTATTGTTTTCTTTGGCCCTAATGCTGGGGGATTTACCCATTTGTGAGGAGAAAGTGGACTTTCCACCAGCTGCCTTGTTTTGTACTGTGTTTGGAGTGTGTTCTTATTTTCCCCTTTAGCTCCTGTAGAGCAGGGTCATAGTGCCAGCCGGTATTGTTCAGTGAGTTATTGATCAGTGAGAAACGGATCCGGTTAAAGCTGTCTTCTCTCTGTCCTTCTGGCTTGTGGCATTTATCTGCTACCTACACGAGTATACAGGTGATTGAGGCTAACTCAAACAGTGTCTTCTCTCTTGGAGTTTTGATGGTTAGCATGTTTTTCAGAGATGCCCTCGAAAAAAGAGGCTGGGATTCTTGCTGTGTTCCTTCCTTGTAGTCATCTTCCCACTTACCCCCAACAAGAGTAAATTTAACCGAGCAGGCCAGAATCTACCTAATAGCAGGCCCTAAAAGTTAGCATAGAACTTTCTCTCTGAAGAGGGCTGCTCCCTGGGTCCTGGTTCCCATGCAGCCTTTCCATAGAAATAGAAGGTGTGCTTAGAAGGACAGCTTGCCTGGTTTCAGATCTTGGCTCTGCTGCTCACTTGCAGTGTGACCTCGAACACGTCTCCTCCTTTTTCGGAGCCTCAGCATTCTTATCTATCAAGTAGAGTGACTATGCCTGTTTCCCAAGGTAGTCAGAGAAGCTAGTGAGCCAAGGGCTATGGAACGCCTTAGCGATAAGAGGTATGCAGTGCCTATCTACTCCCTGTCCTTCCCTCATTTTTCAGTTATTAAAATGCAATTCTCTAGCTTTCCAGGTGTGAAACAGTCTGGGTTGAAATTCTTCCCATCTCCTCCTGCAAGGTAGCTAAGTCGGAGGTAGGCGTTTGGTTATATTCCCCAGTTGCTGTAACAAGAGCACATACCACTGTCTGCTCACCAATCAGTAAAGAGCACAAAGGTACAAATGTTGAGTACGTGGGACAGTGACCCCCTCTTGAAAGACAGCCTCAACTGTTACTGCCCAGCCTCCATCAGAGGGCAGCCTGAGACATTGTCATTGAAGAGATTCCAGTCGGGAAGACCGCCCTGGTTCATCTGCCACTTTACCAGAGGTCAAACTGGCAGCCTGCAGGCCAGATTCAGCAAATTCAGCCCTTAAATGTGTTTTGTTTGTCAAGTGCTGTGTTTGTAACCTTTTTTTAATTGGATGCTTCTAAATATTTGGAGACAGGGCATGGCTCATCTGTGTTGGCCACCACTCACTGTTGTCTTACACCCTGCCGCCTTCACTCAGTTCTATTCCTTGTGGACCCATGAAGGCTTTTGCGTTTGCAGCCTTTCTTTCTAGATCCACCCTGGACTTATTCCTATCATAAGCCCGACCATCCAACCCGCAGATATCATTGAAAGAGGTTTTGAATCCTTTTATTGTGTTTGCTGAAGCATATTGTTGACAGCATGATTCGTTTATTATCCAAAGACTATTTACTGAGTGCCTACTCTGTGCAGTGTAGGATGCCCTATTCTCAGTATCTCTGAGCATCCAGAGGAAGCCCCATCAAGTGGCCTCTTCTCCACAGACATCAGGAAGGAGTAAGGTTTCCCCCTGGGTAATTATAATAAAGACCTGGCATTCAGTACCAAGGCAGCACCCTGGGTTACGTGTATTTTTCATCCCTGACATGCCAGCAGATTCTTCACTCTTTTTCTCTAATACCACATGCTCCAGTCATCCCTTCTGTCATCACGCTGTTTCAGCAGGCACAAAAGGGCCTGCTCTCTTGTTTCCTTAATTGTTAGAGAGATTCTAGTTGTTGAGGGAGTTTCAGGTCCTCTGCCCATGATCACCTCATAGAAACTCAAGCTTCTGGACTAGAAGAGTTTTCATGCTTATCAACTATAATATTGATTCAAAGAGCAGACCGAGGTGCTTTCTGCATATAGCCCATACATTGAATACTTTTCAGGCCAGTTGATTCTAAAGCCTGACCTTGGAATCATATTCTCATTTCCAAGTCAAAGTAGATGGAGGAGCAGAGCCCTTTGCACTGAGCCACCAACATTTCTGGCCTTCGCTCTTCCACAAGCTGCCACTGTAAGTTTTTGGCTAGTTTTCCTTTTCATGAGAAATAGGTTAACTTTACAGTATGAAAGTACAGTTTTTCAATTTCAACTCTAATATTCCAAGAACAAGCTGTGAACTTTTTCACCTGGTGACCCATCGATCTGAATCTGTAGCCTAACACACAAATACTACAGGTTCCTTAATTGGGATGACTTGAGTTCAGATCTCTAACTCTGTAACGTATTATCTGTGTAGCAGTAAAAGCAAGTCAACGATTTGAGCTTTGGTTCTGTATCTTCTTATACACATGGAATAAGAGTTACCGCCTCGCACGGTTCTTGTGGGGCAGGCCTCCACAAGATGAGGAATGTGGAGCGCTGAGCAGAGCACATGGCATGCTGTTGGGGATTAGCCTAAGTGGCCTCCATCCTGTTGCTGTCACACGTAAGGGGGTTAGAGTATTGTTCATCCACAACACAGCTAACAGACCTAGCCCATGGACTGATCGGAGGCAACACTCTCTAAACATTTAACCCTCCCTCCTTTACCCCTCCTGAAATCTGTTTTGGTTTGTTAAGTATGTTACCAATTGTGGTCTCCTAACTCCCATATGTTAGCAATTAGATGTGGCCTCACATTAATGCTTTACCTCCATGTTTCTCTGCCCCACTAGACTGTGAGCTTTTGGAAGGAAAAGAGAGCTCAGTTCTTATTCACGTCTGTATTCCTAGCACATAGTGGGGCCTCTTAAAGTGTTTGTTCAAGACTTGGCTCAGATGCTGCCACTTATCAAAAGCAAATCTGCTTGTGGCTCCATCTCTCTAGACTTCAAGCTTCTTGCAGGCTGTGACAGCATCCGGGACGTCTCATGTTTCCAATGCAGATATAGTATGCTCCCAGTCAGTGTCAGCTGAAGGAATTAAGTGATATTTTCATCAGCCCGGAGCCCAGGACATAGTAGGAGCTCATTAAAAGGTAGCTGAGCTGCAGTTGTAATCATTAACACCAAGAAGAAGAAGAAAATAAAAATGGGCATCTGGTCACCCACTTTGGTGTGAAGTATGGACATTGATTGGAAGACTATTTCAGAGAAACAAAATGGCCCTTTATTCATTTTGGGGAAGGGAGGAGGGTTAGTAAAAGAGGGTCTTTTTCAAGTGTTTGCTCCATCTTGCTGCCACTTTACTATGTGTGGCTGCTGTTGCTATGGCAATTCTTTAAGCAATTGAATAGAACAGCACTAGTTGTTGCAAACCAGCTCTAATTGCTCCCATGCACCAGGCCTGCCCACACGACCACTCTCTGCACAGCATTCCCTTTTTCAGATACGTATTTTCATAAACCTCTGGGCATTGTGCAGCTCCCTTGCTCCTGTGACATTGCCATCCTCTGGCAGAGGGCACAAGAAGCAGCTCTGGGTGGGAGAGAGGGCTCCGCCAATTTTCCCTGTGTGAATGAGCAACACAGACCCCATGTCCAAGGGGGTAGCAGGATGCAGGCTCAGCAGGGCCTTGAAACCAAATAAAACATTTGTGGGGTAGGTTTATTATATATATTTGCCATTGTTGGGCAATTTAGTCATCTTTTTAAAGCCAACCATACCATTCCTGTGCCCTCCTGCCATGAGGGCCCCATTCATTGTGTACTGAGAACTTCTGGTTTTAACCTGAATGTAATTGGGGAGAACTGATATTAGAAGAAATGGAAGGGAGCCGGCATGGGTGGTGTCCCTCCTGTGTGCCAGGCAGCGTACTAGACACTTCCCATGCGTTGTCATTTCTTACACAGATTCACTGGGCAGTGGGTCGGGATAGGTCGGGGGATGGTAGCATCCCTGTTACAGATGAGGGAGCTGAAGGGCAGAGATTTAGTATGGAACCCATGGTAACAGCCAGTGAGTATATGGCTGGGATTAGATCCCAGTCTGATCCCAGTCTTACAATCACTGTGACGGATTCTGAGACCTGTGTTCTTTTCATTGGGCCACACTTCCTCTAGGAAGGAGGCCAGCCTTTGGTGACACAGAGAAGCCAGATTTCAGTGGACTGGCATTTAGCCAGCTCCCCTGTCCTTCCGCATGGAAGGCCCTTCTTTAAGGAATCATGAAACTTAAGGATTATCTTATGAACAATTTTATTGTAATTATAGCTTGTTTGGAACACTGATGCTATACCAAGCTCCAAGCTAAATGTCATATGGGTATCTCACTTAATCTTATTTTTTACAAATGGGGAAGTCGATGCCCAAAGAAGGTAAGTGACTTGCCCAAAGTTGTAACAATAGGGGTGGCAGAGCCAAGATAAAAATCCAAATTGGACTCTCAAGCCCCTTAACCACGAGGCTGCCTCCCACGGGCTTATTTGAGCATGGGTGTTGCATATGTATTTGAAACCTTTCATGATAATACTCCAAGAATCCTGATAACCAACAGAAAAATTGTCTTCCTATTCCTGAGATATTTGTAAAAATTAAACTTACCCGGTGCACTGGCCCCTAAAGGCAGAAGCGTAGCATGGGCACACAGGGGAGCTGGATGAAATTTCATCTGGGGAACCGCGTCTTGGTAATGTGTCTCGGCGTGAGGATCTGTGTTTACAATAAGAACCTGTACTCCAGCAGCTCAGTCCTGTCATACATGGTAGAACCGTGTTTGAAATTTCTTCTTTCTCCCTCTTTTCTTCCTTTTTATTTGAATGTAGTTTGTACAGTAAAAAGGTGAGAGGGAAAAGAAACAAAAACCAGACACTGTTCTCATAGAAGTGAACCTACACTAACAGCAAGGTTTTTCTCTTAATAATCTACATTAAACCCTGATGAATTCATTTGAACAAGGGTTTCTAAATGCCTACTGCGTGCCAGACACCACTTTAGGTAGTGGGAACAGAGTCAGGTACCAGGAAGCATTCAGTTGTGGGTAACAGAAATCTGGCTGAAATGATTATGAACTTGATTATCGAGCATTGGAAGGTCAGAGGCAGGCAGTTCAGTGATTGGCTGATTGAGAAACTCACTGATTATATCGCAATATCAGAGCCAGGATTCACATCCAAATCTGACTCTCAAGAAATCTGACTTTCCTATCCTTTCATTCTTGAGTCTGCAGGCATCAGCCTACATGCCATCAGGCAGGCTTTGCTCATGAGCTCAGGGTGGCTGCTATTTCACCTGTGGACCTTACACCCTCACCACAATTTCCAAAGGCAGCAAAAATTTTTGTTGTTGTTGAGATGGAGTCTCGCTGTTGTTGGCCAGGCTGTAGTGCAATGACACGATCTCGGCTCACTGCAACCTCGCAGGTTCCAGCAGTTCTCCTGCCTCAGCCTCCCGAGTAGCTGAGATTACAGGCACCTGTCACCATGCCCGGCTAATTTTTTTGTACTTTTAGTAGAGACAGGGTTTCACCATGTTGGCCAGGCTGGTCTTGAACTCCTGAACTCAGGTGATCCACCCACCTCAGCCTCTGAAAATGCTGGGATTACAGGCATAAGCCACCACAGGTGGCCTTTTTTTTTTTTTTTTTTTTTTTTTTTGAGACAGGATCTTGCTCTGTTTCCCAGGCTAGAGTACGGTGGTAGTCAAAACTGCAGCCTCATGAGCTCAGGCAGTCCTCCTGCCTCTGCCTCCCATGTAATTGGGACCACAGGCGTGCACCATCACACCCAGCTAATTTTTTAATTTTTTGTAGAAACAAGGTCTCACTTTGTCACCCAGGCTGGTTTCAAACTCCAGGGCTCAAGTAATCCACACACCTCAGCCTCCCAAAGTGCTGAGATGACAGGTGTGAGCCACCGCGCCCAGCCTGGGTATTTCTTAAGATTCAGAAGGGCTTTCCCAGATGCTCTCCTGGTGACTTCTCCTCCAGTGCCATTGACCAGAATTGAGTCACATGCCATGCCTCTGCTCCAGCCCATCACTGGCAAGGAAGTGAGGCCACCAGGTTAACTTAGATATGAGGACCCAGGCCAGGTGTGGTGGCTCACATCTGTAATCAAAGCACTTTGGGAGGTCAGGCAGGCAAATCACTTAAGACCAAGAGTTCAAGACCGGCCTGGCCAACATGACAGAAACCTTTCTCTACTAAAAATATAAAAATTAGCCTGTAATCCTAGTTATTCAGGAGGCTGAGACGCAAGGATCACTTGAACCTGGCAGGTGGAGGTTGCAGTGAACCAAGATCGTGCCACCACATTCCAGCCTGGGCAGCAGGGTGAGACTCTGCCTCAAAAAAAAAAAATTTAAAAAGATATGAGGACCCAGCCCAGCTCTGGGGATGGAATCTGAAAGAGTCAGCCTCATGGAGGAGGAGGGAGGCATGAACAAATTGGGGGTTCTGTTAGGCTAGAGAGAGGAGGGAATGAGGGCTGGGTGGGCAGCCAACAATAGTGACTGGAGACAGATGATCCCCTCCTTCAAGGAGCTTACACTGTAGGGAAATACAATAGTAAACAAGGAGACAGACCGATGTACCATTTACAGTTCCATCCGCGCTGTACAGGAGGTGAGCAGAGTTTGGTGCTTCTCCTTCAGATGGTGCATCAGGGAAGTCCTCTTGGAGCTGACATCAGCCATCCGTGTTGGGTGGAGGGGAGAAAATGTTCCAGGCAGAGAAGGGAGGCAACACGGCCCCTAGGAGGGACCGAAGGGAACGGGGGAGCCCAGGATGTAGCAAGCAAGGTGAGTGGCTTGAGTTGAAGTTACAGATTTAGGCAGGTTCACGTCATGCAAGGTTTTAGAGGCCATAGAAAGGAGTTTGGGTTTTATTCAAAATCAGTGGAAGGCCAGTGTAGGGCTTTTTAAAATGGGTGTGACACAGTTAATTTTATATTTGTTAAAAGTCCTGCTGGCTGCTCAGAGGATGGCTTTATGAAAGCACAGAGAACAATTGGAAGGTCCCTGTGATGATCACCTAGACCACCTAGACAGGTGGGGGTGGCATGGACTGTGGTGTCAGTGGAAATGGAGAGGAAAGAGCTTTTTTGGAGATGGGATCAGTAGGACTTGCCAGGTACTGTGCTAGCTCCATTCCCATGGGCTCTCTTGTCCAGTCTTCTCTGTATGCCTAGACAGTCATTTTTTAAAATAAATTATTATATCCCCTTTGCAAATAAGAAAGTTCTGAGGAGTGGCCTGCCCTGGGTCACAGCATTTAGCTGAGCCAGAGTAGGGAGGAGTAGGACAGCTGGATTCTGGGGTAGGTGGGCAGGACCAACTCAATTAGCATTTTACTGGGATTGTTTTCCTAGATGAAGCTTTTGTTTTTGAGGGTGATATTTTGAGAACTGCTGTCTCCGTGGGAATATCTTAGTTGTGTACAGCAAAGCCATCTCTGCATCTACATTTTCTTGTTCAACACATGGCTGTCTTTATAATGAGTGCCTTCTTTATATGGGGTTATCAGAGTAACTCTGAGTCTATTTTACAACTAAATTAATGATGTCGAGGAAACATTTATTTGGCTCCCTTTCTATTATAATATTGTTACCAGCTAATTGCCTTTGAATATTCCTACTTATAAGGTCCTTTGTGCCAGTTTAAATCTACCCCGTGTAGGTGAATCCCTAATGCCGCTCAGGGCTACTCAGTCACTTGGAAAGTTTCTCTTCTTGTAATAACAAGAGCAATCATGAAAATTTATGCCAGGAAAAAAGGGTCAGCTTGAGACAACACCTAAAAAATAATAATATATATTTTTTTCTGATTATAAAAGTAACATTTTTAATGCAGAAAATTTGGAAAAGACAGAAAAGCATAGAGAAAGAAAGGTCACTCACATTTCCACCACCCAGAGGCGTTCCGCATTCAATTTTGCTACTTCTCTTTACAAGTGTTTTTTATGCCTTTTTAAATAATTGAGTTCAGTCAATATCATTTTTCTTCCTTTTTCATGCAATTATATGGATTTTCCTCACACTATGAGATATTGTGTGTAAATAATCAGTTGTAAATGGTTGC
Source organism: Homo sapiens (assembly GCF_000001405.40). Taxonomy (NCBI): domain Eukaryota; kingdom Metazoa; phylum Chordata; class Mammalia; order Primates; family Hominidae; genus Homo; species Homo sapiens. Next base: position 123,517,725 of record NC_000009.12, on the reverse strand, counting down.
GCAATTCCTCTGCTTGAATTTGCCTCACTGTGCCACAGTTTATTTAACTGTGCCCCTCTTGTTTTTTTTGTTTGTTTTGTTTTGTTTTGTTTTGCTGTTGTTTTTTTGAGACAGGGTCTTGCTCTGTTGCCCAGGCTGGAGTGCAGTGGTACGGTCTCAGCTGACTGCAACCTCCCCCTCCTGGGTTCAAGCAATTCTCCTGTCTCAGCCTCCCAAATAACTGGGAATTCAGGCGCACCACCATGCTCAGCTAATTTTTTGTATTTTTAGCAGAGACAGGATTTCACCATGTTAGCCAGGCTGGTCTCAAACTCCTGGCCTCAAGTGATCCACCCACCTTGGCCTCCCGAGTGCTGGGATTACAGGCATGAGCCACCATGCCCGGCCCTCCCTTCCTGTTTAAATTTTTGTTGTTGTGATATGAATGGGTTTTTTGGGGGGGGTTTTGTGGGTTTTTTGTTTTTTTTTTTTCTGAGACGGAGTCTTGCTCTGTTGCCCAGGCTGGAGTGCAGTGGTGCGATCTCGGCTCACTGCAAGCTCCACATCCCGGGTTCACACCATTCTCCTGCCTCAGCCTCCCGAGTAGCTGGGACTACAGGTGCCCGCCACCACGCCTGGCTAACTTTTTTGTGTTTTTAGTAGAGACAGGGTTTCACCTTATATATAAAGATTCATTGAATTTTAGAGTTTTTCCTTAAACTAAATTCCCAGCAATTCCAGTTCTGGATTAAAGGATATGATTATTTTTAAGGTCCTTGAGACACTTGACAAGTTTCATTTCATAAATGTTTTACTATTGTCCGTTCTTTTTTTTTTTTTTTTTTTTTTTTTTTTTTTTTTTGAGACAGAGTCTCACTCTGTCACCAGGCTGGAGTGCAGTGGTGTGTGATCTCAACTCACTGCAACTTCTGCCTCCCGGGTTCAAGTGATTCTCCTGCCTCAGCCTCCCAAGTAGCTAGGATTACAGGCACACACCACTGCCCAGCTAATTTTTGTATTTTTAGTAGAGATGGGATTTCACCATGTTGGCCAGGATAGTCTCGATCTCCTGACCTCGTGATCTGCCCACCTTGGCCTCTCAAAGTGCTGGGATTCCAGGCATGAGCCACCGTGCCTGGCCTACTATTGTCCATTCTTATTAACATTCCATAGATGGCCACTCTTGACTACAACTAGGAGTTTTTATTTTTTATATTTGCCAATTTAATAGGCAAAGAGAAATGAATTGTTTTAATTTTTGTTTCCTTGATTACTAGTGACATTGAACTGTTATTCATGTTTATTTGCCAGGTGTTTGTTTTTTCATTATGAACCTGACACTTCTCTACTGGGCTCTCAGTGTTGTCTTATTTTTATTTACATAAGCTCCTTTTATATTTTTTAGTATTAACCTTCTTATAAAATTGTAACAAATACATCTTTCTGGACTGGGATTCCCCACCCCAGCCCAAATACACGCAAAAGTACAGAGTACACACCCCCCATGTACCCATCACACAGCTTCAACCACCATTGACATTTTGTCATATTTGTTTCATTTGTTTTCTACCCTACTCTCCCCCCAACCTTTGTGTGTGTGTGTGTGTGTGTGTGTGTGTGTGTGTGTGTGTGTGTGTGTATGTGTGTGTATATATATCTATATATATATAATTGAGACAGGGTCTCACTCTGTCTGCCAGGCTGGAGTGCAGTGGCACAATCATGGCTCACTGCAACCTCAACCTCCCAGGCTCAGGTGATCCTCCCACCTCCCAAGTAGCTGGGACAACAGGTGTGCACCACCATGCCTGGCTGATTTTTGGGTTTTTATTTTTTATTTTTTGTAAAGACAGGGTTTCCCCGTGTTGCCCAGACTGGCCTCAAACTCCTGGGCTCAAGGGATCTACCCACCTCCTTCCTGGGCTCAAGGGATCCGCCCACCTCAGCCTCCCAAAGTGCTGTTACTATAGGTGTGAGCCACCACACCTGCCACTCCTCACTTTTTTTGCTGGAATATTTTAAGAACAATTTAAGTACTTCATTTCATCTTTAAGTTATATTAATTAGTAAGCATCTCTAAAAAATAAAAATTTGACATTTTCTTTTTCCTTCAACTTTTCATTTAAAAAAATTCAAACCTATGGAAAAGTTGAAAGAATAGTACAGTGAATACCCATTTACCCTTCACCTATGTTCACTGATAATTAATGTTTTACAAATGTGCGTTGTATTTCTAAATATATGCACACTGTGCCTTTTGTTTTGTTTTTGTTTTCATTTTGTTTGCTTTATTTTTGCGGAACCATTTTAAAGTAAGTTATTATGACGCTTCACTCCTAAGTATTTCAGCCTGTATTTTCTAAGAAGATAGGACATTCTCTATCCTAATCATAAAGCCATTATCGTTCTCAAGATATTTGAAATTGTTACAATAATATTATGTAATGGAAATATCACTTTTAATAGCAAAAATCGCAGTTACTTTTGCACCAACCTAATAGACAATCTGTAATCTACATACAGTTTTCCCAGTTGACTCCAAAATATCTTTTCTAATCATCTTTCTTGCTTAATGTACTTGGGCTCAAATCGAGGATCACACATTGCCTATGGTTGTTATGTCTCTTTAGTACCGTTTCATGTAGGATAGTCTCTCTTGCTTTTTGTTATGTTTTGGTCTTCCAAGGCATTTACATTTTTGAAGAGTCCAGACCAGTTGTCTTGTAGCCTACCCCACAATGTGATTATGTGACTGTTAACACATGACCGTATTCCACCCTGCCAAACTGCCTGAGGTTCATCTTGTGCATTTCCTGTCTCAGATCTGGAGTCAGCCCTTTCCTCCGTGAGTCCTGGTTCCTTTTAGTAGGGAGTGATACTTAGAAACCAAGATCTAGGCACCAGGTATACTCATTCCTACTTGGTATTACTGATGCTAGGCCCTTCTAGTTGATACAGCCAAGGAATGTGTAACACACCCAGACCCACGATAGGCACTTTATGTCTCTGTTTCTGTATCCATCTTCCCATACTGAAGGCCGTGGGTTCACACCAATGGTTCCTATTCCAGTCCAACATAGGAATTATTCTAGTTTTCTCCCTTTACATATCTGTGACTACTTTCTACAAAAGTGAAAAACCTGGCCTATATTTTCCTAATATATTTGGTTATTTGTGTGGAACCACGCTTCTGTCGCTGCCCCTGCCTCCATCCCCACCCAGATGCTCTCCTTGCCCTCCCTGACTCTGACATCCGAGGTTAGGCCTCCTCTGTCTACTTCCTCACCTCAGGCTCTAACACCCCAGCGCTAGACCACTGCCACTGCCTCCCTTCTCACATGGATTCTTCTAGATCCTACTTAAGTTCCAACATCCCATGCCAACCCACCACCTCCACTCTCTCACATAAACATCCTCCTCATCTCCCTCAGGCTCTGACACCCTGAGCCAGGCTGCCCCCTGGCTCAGGCCCTCCTTGCCCTGCCATCCCTTCCACGTGGACCATTCCATGTGGTGCATTCCTCATTGCACCATTCAAGGTCTGATAAGCATGTTGGGTCCATGACCCAAACAGATACCTTAGTCACCCACCTTAGGCTGAGACACCCCATGCTGGGTGTCATGGACACACACACAGACACACACACATACACACACACACACACACACACACACACACACCTCAAAATAGAACCCTACCTTGCCCAACCTTTCCAGTGACTTTTGGACTTGGGGAGGGAATTCTGTTTTTAATAAAAACTCTTCCCTCATGTTCTAATCTGGTGACCAGCACTTTGCAAACAGTTAAGCCTTTGGGGATCCATGTTGGGCAGGCTCCAGTTAGGAGGGGAGAAAGCTTTTAAGTTCTCATTTAAGATCTACCTGAAGCAGACATCATAGTGGGCAGTGCAGGACATGATCAAAAGGGTATGTGACACTGTTCTGCACAGTCATTTTTCTGTTAGTTGCAGTAAATCCATCTGGATTGACCAGCCCAGCCTGTCTGTCAAGTGCCTGGCTAGCTGCTTCCTGTCAGTCATCAAGAGCAAGTCTTGGTATGATGCTGTCTTTGGGCCCAGAACAGGGCAGCATCAACCCAAAGCAGTTCTTCCAATCCCTCTTTTGGTCCTCAGTGCTTCCAGCAGTGAAAGGAAGAGATGGATTGTATGACACCCAGCGGCTCTTCCCGCTCTGGCGTCCTCAGACCCTGGGCCTTGGTGTGTCCTCTTAGCAACCAGGGAAAGATGTGCCGATCTCAACTGAGAAAATTAAAGGATAGCACTCAAGTCTGTAGAGAAAATTCCAGTGCCTCGGTTCTGTAGGATCTCACCTGTCCTCTGGGACCCACCCTAAAAAGTGTTTCTTACTTGAAAGTTTGAGTAACATGCATCCGACGTATAAAGAGGACTTAGAAACAGACCTTTTATCACAGTGAGTCAGTGGGAGGCTGGGGCTTCCAATCTCAGTCTCTGGCTCTGAAGCCTGAGCTCCATTCAGTGTGCCAGGCTGATTCTCGTGTGGGTGTGGGGTGAACAAGGAGGACCGGGCTGCCCTGAGAATCACAGTCAACAGAGGAGCCCTTCCACCCAGAGGTCAGGCCATGGCCACCTCACCGGACTCCGGAGAAGAAGGGCCAACAGGTAAACAGGCCTTGAATGACATTTCGGTAGTAATCAACTTGAACGATCCACATTCCTATAGCATATTCAGAGAAGAGCTACAGGTTATGTATCTCTTTTTCTGGCTTCCAGAATTCTGAGACTGTTTTAAGATATGGTAGCATGTCTTTTACCTGAGTTGCACATCTGTGAGGCAGACACGCTTTCAGACACCCTCACATCTCATTTAATTTAATCCTCACAGCAGCCCTTAAGGGCACGTATTATTATCCCCATTTTCCAGCTTAGGAAACTGAGACTCAGAGAGGTAGAGGAATTTCAACCATTACCAGCAAAGCTGGTATTTGAACCAGTGTCTGCTGACTCCAAATCTGCCCCTCCTTCCACTGTCCCAAGTCACCTTCAGTTCTTTAAGGCGGCCAGCCAAACTTATGCACATGCCCACCCCACATATTCGAGAAGCTTCCAGTTGCATCCATGCCACTAGGCTTCTGGCTCCTGCTTTGGGGAGGTCTGTGACGCTCTGTCAGTGCTGGCTGCAGAATAGCCAGTGGGACCGTGCAGCAGGAAGGAGCACTGAAAAGTGCCGCGAAGGAACTCTAGTCCCCACGATGCTGAGGAGGACACTCACCTCTCCTCATTTGAATCTCCAAGTCCAAGTCCCAGGATGCTGTTCTTGCCCGAGACCTGCATCTATAGAGGCCTCGGAGCTTTCAAGTGAAGTGAGCCGAGTGCCAGCCCATTCAGTCGCACCCCACTCCCATGGCCAGGGGCCACGCTCCCCCTCGAAGCCAGCACAAGGCGAGGTCCTCATGGGGCCTGGCCCTCTGCATTCACGGAGGAAAAATGAAAGTTGCTTTATTCCCCGGCCTCTTCATATCTCCTATTATGAGGAGAGGGCTCCACAGTGAGGAGCCGGGGCTGTGATATTTCCGCTGCAGCATGAGAGATTCATATGTTTGACTAATCAATTCTTTGGCACTGACTTCCTGGCCTGCATTTTGTTCTTTTGCCTTTGATCACCTGTTTGCCTTTTTGCCATTCTGCTGGTTCTTGTTTGGAGCTTTTAGTTTCCAGGAACACGGTGACCTACTCGATCCTCTGTATTCTTCTCCTCTCTCCCTTTGTCATTTTCCTCTCTGATTTTGGTTCCCCTTGTGATTGACTGCACACGGCTTCCACATGTAAGCAGAGTGGAGACCCTCAAGTCACGAGACCCTGATAACTGCTGGGTTTTGTTTTGGGAGCCAAGGGACACTGGACCACAGACAATCCCTGCAACCCCCAGCCAAGCTGGGCTGCAGCTCTTCTGTCTCTCCTGTCCCCATTCCCGCCTGGCGCTGCAACATTCAGTAGCTGTTGTTGGCTTGGCACTCTGTGGTTCACAAAGCCTTCTGTAATGCTCACGGCAAACTGGAAGTGGGTGGGGGTGCAAATACTAGCATCAGTCACGTTTTTCAATGGGAGAAACTGAGTAGTGGAAATATGAGATGATTTTTTCTGGCATTCAGAGCTCATAAGTGTCCAGCCCTGAAGCCAGGCCTTGTGCTGCTGCTATGGTGGTCAGTTGATTGCTAACTTCACCATCCTCAGCCAACAGTGACCGAGCAGCTGCTGTCCTCAGCCCTGTGCTGGGGATGAGACAGGGATTCTGAGTTAAATCGGACATGCTTCTTGTTCCCAGCACAGTCTAGTCCCGTGCAACAGGCAACTGCACTGTGCACTGTGGCAGCAGGTGCTTCCTGAGCACTGACTCTGTGCCTGACATGGCACCTAGCACCCCCGCTGTGTTAGCCCTCAGATCCTCACCATAGCCTAGGCTCAGGACAGTGAAGTAGCTTCCCCAAAGCCACCCTTCTGATGCCAGAGCCAGGACTGGAGCCCAAGTTCGAAGGCCTCAGACATCTGAGCCCTTAACTGAAGAGTTACCTGCATAGGACTGTGGAAGCATGGCAGAAGTCCCTACCCAGAGAGGGACTCTGGGAAGTCTTCCTAGGAGTGGGGATATCTGGGGCCTTGAGGGATGCATGGAGGTTTGGGAATCAGAAGAAGGAGGGGAATGTAGCTGGCCTCTGCACAGCCTGCTTCTGGGCCTGTTCTGAGGTCACAGTGTTTTCCTAAGCAACATTTTGCATCTGAGAATCCCAAGACTGGAAGGATTGTGTGGCCTTATTGCCTATTCCATGCTCGAGTCTCCCCTACAACATCCTCCCATGAGGCTTTCCAGCTTCTCTTGCATACCTCTGGTGCCAGGGAACTTACTTCCTTCTGAAGCAACCTTTCCATCTTTGAAATGCTCCTGTTTTTAGGAATGTTTTCTTATTTTAGTGTAAAGCATCCCCTTTCTGCTCCTCCACCTTCTGTGTTAAGAAAGCCTCAAGGCCACATCTCCTATCCTTGGAAGCAGTGGGTACCTTTGGCTGAACTGTGAGCAGGAACTGAGGCTTCTGCATTTCTAGTTGCAGAGAGTGACATGGCAGGGGATGGCCTGTGGTATGGAGTCTAAAAGGCCTGGGTCACATCTCACTCTACCACCTGTGCTGTGTGCCCCCATACAGGTCACTTTCCTCCTCCAAACTTCCTCACCTGTAGAATGGGAACACCAGTCCCTTCTCTGCCCATCTCATGTGGCTGCTATTCACAAAAAATGGCAGGTGCATACATGCTGCTTAAAATGGAAAGTGCCACACAAATGTTTCCCCTCTGTATCCTGTTGTGATGGGACACAGTTGGGGATGTGTCCTTGTGTGCTCACACTGATCATTCTATTGTGTATTTCCCTTTATCAGATGAGTTCATATGACCGCATAACATGTATAAAGATGTAATCAACAGGTTCAACCCACTTGCCTAGACACCCACTCTGGGTCCAGCTCTGGGGTAATACAAGGAGCACAAGGATCAATAAGAGGTCATCTCTGCCTTTGAGGAACTCCACGGTGGTGAGAGATGAGGAGGAGGTTGTGTAGCGACTGTGTTTTCCTGGGCTACAGCAGAGAAGTGGGAAGGCGCGACTCACAGGGCAGGCCGCACTGCTGGGGCCATGGCGGGCAGTGCAGTCATAGGACATTACTCTGTATTTTTGAGCCAAGTCTTTGAAGGGGACAGCTTTCTCGTCCAGGAGAGGAATGACAAGGCATGAGGAGGCAGAGATGTCTTGTCGACACCTTACAGGTAGGTTCATCTGAGGTAGGCAACTTCTCAGAAATAAGGAGAAGGAGATAGAGGCATTGGAGATGACCCTGGTCATAGAATCCAATGAGTCAGTCAGTGGAGATTTCCTTGCCTGAGGTCAAGAATGCAGCAGGCCAAAGGGTGGGGGAAAGAAGTGTTCAGGATTGGAGTGTGGAGTTTGAGAAACATGTGGGTCCTCCAAGTGTAAGCATCCAGCATACAATGGATAGAACAGGTCTTGCAGTTCAGGAGGAAAGTCTGGCCTGGAGCTGGAGAATTGGAAAGCTCTCATCTCATGTTCAGGCTCTTCTATAATTTGAGGGGCTTGCTTGGTGCCACCCAAGAGTAGTAAAGGACTGAAAATGCAAGTGACCTTTCTTGCATGTTCACTGGGGATGTGCCATCCATCTGTGACCCAGAGAGAAGGCTCAAAAACGAGGCCATAAAGGAAGATGGTGCAAGAGCACCTCTCCTGTGTAAGACGCTATGCTACGTGACCCCTAATGCTCCCAGCAGCCCTTCCCAGTATTTCTCCTCGCTCTTTACAGAACCTGAGGTTCAGACAGGCTTAGTCAGCTAGCAAGTGGCAATTTAGAAGACAGACCTGTCTGACTCTCCAACTCCATGTACTGTCCAGGAAAGCCAGGTGTCCCATCTCGTGCTTTCTGTTGGTGAGAACGTCTTCTGCGAAGTCTTGTTTGCCTCGCTTCTTTTCCCTCAGAGCCAAAATTTGTCCACAGTACATTCAGTATCCATGAGCCATCTTAATTTTGCAGCTGCTCTGTGTGTACGGGCTTGTGTTTGAGTGTGAGGATGATCATGTGAGCCATCCCCTACTCACCTTTAAGACAGTGCCCCTAGTATATCAGATCAAGCAGAGGCACAGGGCCTCTTCCTCTCTCTTTCTTTCCTTCTTCGTTTCATGTTCCATTCCTTCACGGTGCCTTCTAGAGGCTGATTTTGTATGGTGACGTACATGTGCATTTTGTAAGTCATAATTTTATTTTGTATTTAAATAAACTGTGTGCACACAGAGTGTGAGATATTTGGAGGACACAGCCGGGGGTACTCTGCTCTGAATTCCTCTGGCTTCAGTGTTCTTTTCAAGTTTGAAAATGTGTTAGGAAAAAGACAACATTATGATAATTGGGAATTCAGTATATCTGTCTTTTCCCTCTATTCTTTTATACTTTTTTTTAGATACAATTAACACTTCACACTTCACCTGATCTCTCCTCAGTTACCTTTGACACTTCCTTGATATTTATTTAGATGTTCATGCCACGTTCACTTTGAACTCTGTGGTTAAGAGAATAACTTTTAAAACAAGCATTTTTCCTCACTGAAGATGTGCAATTAGCGAATTACACACATGTGGATGTCCACTTGTCTTTTTTTATTTGTCAAAAGATCATGGCACAATTACAAGAAAATTGTAAAGAAAAGTGATTATCATCAAATCAAAATACCTGCTGTGAAGTTGCAGAAACAGCTCATTTTATTACAGTTTCTAGAACAGCACATTTCACAGAAGATGGGAAAATGCTTAGAGATATCTTCATGGGTGTCGTCTTAGAATTTACGAACCATGAATAATGCATTTAATTTAAAATGGCTGTATTTTCTGTAAGCATGTATGAATGCAAATGGCAAAGACACAGTGGAATTTGACTCTGTCCTATCAGGTCCGGACAATATGATCCCGTTGTCATCACCAAAAACGAAAGTTAAAAATGTGCTTTTTGCCAAAACTTTTGCTACTTTTCCAGTTTCATTTTAGGAGCCTTGTCTTGTATAACACTGGCTCTGGACTTACTAAGTCTAGCTGAGGCGGTGTTTCTTGATGAGTCCCATCTCTCTTTGCCTGTGTTATCTGGGAGCTGTCAGATAATGTCACCATTAACCCATCGCCGATGTGCTTGAAAAAGAATACTGAAACTCTAGATGGATTTTGATGCTAGAACTTGAAAGATAAAAAGCAAGTTGTTTTCTGAGTCAATGCATTTTAAGAGGAACTGAATAAAGTCAAAGCTTCACAGTAGCAATGGAAACTGTCTTTTAACTCTCTGAACACTAGTAATTTTAAGACAAAAAATATTTATTTATTTATTTATTTATTTATTTATTTTGAGATAGGTTCTCACTCCCATTGCCCAGGCTGCAGTGCAGTGGCCTGATCATGGCTCACTACAGCCTCAGCCCCCCAAGTAGCTGAGGGCTGCAGGAGTCTGCAACCACGCCTGGCTAATTTTCTTTTTTTTTTTTTTTAAGAGATGAGGGTCCCGCTATGTTGCCCAGACTGGTCTCAAACTCCTGGGTTTAAGCGAGCTGCCCCCCTCGGCCTCCCAAAGTGCTGGGATTACAGGCGTGAGCCACTGTGCCCAGCAAAAAGTAATTCTTATGTTAAAATTTTCTGCTTTAGTCTACTTGGGAGGGAGAACTTGTAATCTCACATATCTGGAAGGGCTCTCAGCCTAGAACCTTGCACATAACTGCCTAATGAATGAGTTGGTCTGCTAATTATAACTATTGTTAGCCTCAGTGATTATAAAGATGCAAACTTTAAAATTCAGATCATTTACTACATCAGATGACTTAGGTCATCCTTTTGTATATAATAAGATCTATTTAGAATTCCTTTTTGGCCAGAAGTTCTAGATCTCATAAGAAAAACAGTAGTGGTTACAACAACCTTGTTCCTCTTAGCACAGTTACCCGTGTAAAAATATTATGTTTCTTTTCTTTCTTTCTTTCTTTGTCTTTTTGAGACGGAGTCTCACTCTGTCGCCCAGGCTGGAGTGCAATGGTACAATCTTAGCTCACTGCAACCCCCATCTCCCAGGTTCAAGCTATTCTCGTGCCTCAGCCTCCCAAGTAGCTGGGATTACAGGCACGTGCCACCATGCCCAGCTAATTTTTGTATTGTTTTTAGTAGAGACTGAGTTTCACCATGTTGGCCAGGCTGGTCTCAAACTCCTGACCTCAAGTTATCTGCCTGCCTCAGCATCCCAAAGTGCTGTGATTATAGGCGTTAAGCCACTGTGCCCAGCCTTTTTTTGAAAGAGCATAAGGAAATTTTGAGCCATCTCTGGGTTCTGAAGCTTGAATATGTGTTTATTCTGTTTGCCCTCAAAGCAACATCTTTTGGTGGGAAGAACCCTGGACTGAAGACAAACCTGGGTTCAACCCCACTCCTGTGACTTTCTGGCTATGTGACCCTGTACAGGTAATTTAATCTCTCTGAGCCTATTTCCTCGTTTGTGAAACAGTCATAATTACCCTAATCTCTGTAAGTTGTTATGAGGATAAATGTGGATACACTTATTAATAATCATCATAGTAATAATTCTTTTTTTTTTTTTTTTTTTTTTTTGAGACAGAGTCTCACTCTGTCACCAGGCTGGAGTGCAATGGCACGATCTCGGCTCACTGCAACCTCCGCCTCCCTGGTTCAATTGATTTTCCTGCCTCAGCCTCCCAAGTAGCTGGGACTACAGGTGCACGCCACCATGCCCAGCTAATGTTTGTATTTTTAGTAGAGACAAGGTTTCACCATGTTGCCCAGGATGGTCTCGATCTCTTGACCTAGTGATCCGCCCACTTCGGCCACCCAAAGTTCTGGGATTACAGGCGTGAGCCACTGCCTGGCCAATAATTCTTAAATAGTGCTTACTCCGTGCGGGGCACTAATTAAAGCACTTTATACATATTACTCATTTAATCCTCACAACCACCCTGTGAGGTAAATAATATTATTTTTTCTGTTGTGCAGATGAAAAAACTAAAGCACAGAAAAGTTAATTGATTTGCCCAAGGTAACACAGCTAGGAAGCATTAAGGTCAGAATTGTAATGCAAAATGTCTAGCTCCAAAGTCCTTGCTCTTAATCACCATACTGTGTGGGCTCTCGGAGGTGTTTGGTGAATGCTTATCATTTCTGGAAACTTTCGGCTCAGGCGCATGAAGGGGGCACACTCACTCACGTTGAGGAGCAGCGGCACAGAGGATGGCATTGCTAGCCTGCTCCTCTTGATCACAGGGCACTTGTCTAAGGGAGGCCACGTTGTTGAAGAGAAGAAATAGCATCTCTGACCCAAGGCCATCCGAGAGCCTCGTGTCGCTGGGGGACCTTTAAATATTCTATTTCTAAATTTCAAAGCTAGTTTGGGCTATATTTACAGCATTTAACATATGAAAAATCATTGGGAAAGTGGGCTTTTAAGTGGAACGGTTGTGTAATGGAATATTTCACGTTCCGGTTCAGCCATAAAGCTCAGGGCTGATAAACAAAGCATCTGAAGCCAAATGGCTCCTCATCTGACCCCAATTAAAATAAAGATTTCATTCCATTCTGTCCTGACAGAGAGGAACATATTGTTGCCTTTAAGGGAGTTTGGTTTAGTTAATGAAATAATTTTATTTCATTTTTCCCCCCAAATACAATATCTAATTAAATAAGATTCAATTTGTTAGGACTTCTGGTAGGGATATGTTAACTCTTTTAAAGCTATGTTGCCTACATGCCTCAAAATGTGGAGGGTGCTTGTGAATCCCACTTCGCAATCCATTGTTTAAAGAAGAAATAAGCCCAAGTCACTTTAAAGACAAACATTATCTTCTCCAAGGTATATCTGTTTACATCTCCACTATAGCAACCTGTGTATGTAAGTAAGTAGCATGGATTCTGTACAAAATATCACATATTTACATAAAGCCCCATTTCCTAGAAGCATTTGTACTTGTACATATTGTAATTTACCAATCACCATAGATCTGTCCATATAGAATATCTCACGCAGGGAGTTGTAGCTGCTAAAATATGTTAGGTAACATAAGTTGGGTATTGATGCCAAATTATCACGGAGTTCCTTCAGAGTTATCTTGCAGAAATATGTGACTGTCTAAAGACTTCATTATTTAACATTAAGAGTGAACACCAGCAAAACTCTTCTTTTACAAGGGGGGTGGGTTCTTGTGTCATGCTGTCGCCGCTTTCTTGTAGTCTTTTCTGTATGTGCTGTGGTTCATCGTGACTGTTGGGTCCATAATTACCAAGCAGAACATGTTGGTGTCATTATGGAGAAGTTCTCTTCAGCTTAGCTAGGCATGGGGAGGCATTTGGATTGTGAGGCCCTGATTGGTCACCTCCATGCCCCTGAAGAACTGCCTTGGTAGTCCACAGAGCTGTAGGGAACTGCTGGCCTGGGCATCAGGAGTGCCGGCCCTGCCTGAGCGCCTCTCTTCTCTGGGCTTCAGTTTCTTCGTCTTTAAAATGACAGCACGGGGTCAGCAGGTCTCCAAAGACCCATGGCTCTGCCTCCCTCAGATTCTGTATTCAGTAGAGCAGAAAGTACATGATGTTCTGAAATCCACTAAGAATTTGTAGTCAGATGCTAAGGATTTATATTCTGAGAAATGAAAAATTTTTTAACTGTATAAAACCTAAGACATTTAAATCAGACTTAAAAACACTCTGTCATTTTCCAGTGGCTCCTTCTGATGTTCTGTGAGCATTTGGTCAATGTTATAAGCATGCATCCCGTGCAGGCCTAGTGTCAGGTATACAAAGACAAACCATTCATGGTCCTGCCTTCCAGGAGCTTACCTCCCAGTGGGGGTGAAAAGAGAGTCAAGAAGTCATCCCTTGTTAAAGTACAACAGGGTAGGGTAGGTGAGATGAGGTGAGGGGCAGGTGTCCCAGAGGAGGGGATATTTTGGCGGGACCTCGAAGGGCGAGTGCAGTTTCACCAGATGGCGAAGGGCAACTCATTCCAGGCTGAAATGCTCAAGAATAGACGGCACAGCCTACTGGGGCAAAATGATCATTTCTGTGTGCTTGCAGCATGGAAGTGGGCTGAGAAAGAAGCAAAGAGAACGATAAAACCAGAAAGGAAGGCTTGTGAAAAACCTCAGAATCATAGAAGTTCCTTTCAAAGGAGTATGGCCAATGTTTTTCAAACTGGTAGAAATGGGTATTCTTTGAATAAAAAGAGCCAAGACCCTGGGAGTACAGATGACTCAGTTCCCCTGTCAGAAGCACACAGGGAACGATAAAGACCCGACAGGACCCTCAGCCATTGCCCAGACTGAACTTGGCTTAACCCAGTGTGTCTCAGACTCATTGACCATCAAGCCCTCCTGAGGCAGAAGACCTGTTGGTGATGGGGAGATGCACTGGAGCTCTAGTCATTAGAAACACAGAATCCAATCAGCATTTTAGAAAGACTATGCTGGCCTACAGGGGTGGGAAAAGGGAAGGGAGGATGTCATAGTATCAGAAAGTATCAGGCATTAGACAGCTAGTTGCACTTGAAGTTTTTCAGGGTACATTTCAAGGAGAATCTCCTCTGAATGTAATCTATACCTTCTCAATGCTGATATGTGAGTTTTACGTGAGTCCGATGAGCTCAAGACTGGCCAGATGCTGCTATTTAAAGTCATCTGCCTGGCAGCCTTTCAAGAGCTCATAGATAACATTGGTGGCTGTTACAGAAATGGGCTGAGTGTTAAGAGGTTGCAGGCAGAAGATGAAGACTGATGTTAAAGATTTCCATGGCTCTTTGAAGCCATTTGTTGAGGGCATACCAGTGCCAGGGGCTGTGCGAAGTACTCTTAAATACACTCCCAGCTATTCCTTGAAACCATCTAAAAAGATATTGCTGTTGTTCCACTTTGATGAATAAGGAGACAGAGGCATAAAGAGAGTAGTTGACTATGCCAAGGTCACATGGCTGATATTCAGGTCTCAAATCCATCTGACTAACTCCTAAGTCCATCATCTTAACACTGCGCTTCTGTAGATAGCATGCCGTAGATAACCTCCATCTCAAAGCACTGACCACCTGCCAGGTATTATGTGAAGCACCTGACATAATGATATTTAATGTACTCTCCCCAAAAAGCCTAAGAGGTGAGTGGTATTATCCCTGCTAAATCAATGAGCAAACTAAGGCTTCATCATAGCAGCCATGGTCACGGCTAGATCTTGCAAAGCTGGGAACTGAGCTTCAGTCTGTCTGCTCACTACTCCCCCTAAATAATTTTTAGAAAGTTATTCATGTTGCTCAGAAATGTTTCTCTGTAGCCATGTTAGAAAGTTAGTGGGCTCAAAATAGATCAAGACCTAAATTTAAGACCTAAAACTATGAAAACCTGTGGAAGAAAACATTGGGCAAAAGCTTCACGACACTGGTTTTAGCAATGGCTTCTTGGCTATGACACCAAAGGCACAGGCTACGAAAGAAAAACTAGACAAATTGGACTTCATGAAAACTTAAAAATTTTGTCTATCAAAAAGACAATGTCAACAGCTTAAAAAGGTAACCCACAGAATGGGTGAAAATGTTTTTAAAGCATATATCTAGTAAGGGATTAACATCCAGACTATATAGAGAATTCCTAAAACTCAACAACAGAAGAACAAACAACTGATTCAAACATAGGCAAAAGACCTGACTCGATATTTCTCCAAAGAAAATGTACAAATGGCCAATAAGCATATGTTCATCACTAATCATTCAGGAAATCAAATCAGAATGACAATGAGATACCACCTCACACCCATTAAGATGGCTACTGTTAAAAAAGCAGAAAATAACAAGTGTTAAAAAGGACTCAGAAATTAGAACCTGTATTAGGGTTCTCTAGAGGGACAGAACTAACAGGACATACATATGTAGATATAGATGTAGATATAGATATAGATATATGGAGCCTGTATTATAGTCAGGGTTCTCTAGAGGGACAGAACTAACAGGAGATAGAGATATGGAGCCTGTATTAGTCAGGGTTCTCTAGAGGGACAGAACTAACAGGAGATATATATGTAGATATAGATATATAGATATGGAGCCTGTATTATAGTCAGGGTTCTCTAAAGGGACAGAACTAATAGGAGATAGAGATAGAGATATGGAGCCTGTATTAGGGTTATCTAGAGGGACAGAACCAATAGGAGAGATATATATATATAAAGGGGAGTTTATTAAGTATTAACTTACACTATCACAAGGTCCCACGATAGGCTGTTTGCAAGCTGAGGAGCAAGGAGAGCCAGTCTGAGTCCCAAAACTGAAGAACTTGGAGTCTGATCTTCAAGGCTAGGAAACAATCTAGCACGAGAGAAAGATGTAGGCTGGGAGGCTAGGCCCATCTCTCCTTTTCACGTTTTCCTGCCTGCTTTATATTCACTGGCAGCTGATTAGATGGTGCCCACCAGATTAAGGGTGGATCTGCCTTCCCCAGCCCACTGACTCAAATGTTAATGGTTTTTGACAACACCCTCACAGACACACCCAGGATCAATACTTTGCATCTTTCAATTCAATCAAGTTGACACTCAGTATTAACCGTCACAGAACCTTTGGGTACTGTTGATGGGAATGTAAAATTGTATGGCTGCTGTGGAAAACAGTATGATGGTTCCTCAAAAAACTAAAAATACAGTCGCCATATGATCCTGCAGTTTCACTACTGAATATATACCCAAAGGAATTGAAAGCAAGGAGGGTCTCAAAGAGATATCTGTATACCCATGTTATATTTGGTACCCATGTTCAGAGCAGCACTATTCACAATAGCTAAAATGTGGAAGCAACCCAGGTGTCCATCCACAGATGAGTGGATAACAAAATGTGGTATATACAAATAATGGAATATTACACAGCCTTAAAAAGAGAGGAAATTCTGACACATGCTACACCATGGATGAACCTGGAGGACATTATGCTACATACATTTAGCCAGTCACAGAAGAACGAATAGTATATGATTCTACTTGTACGAGGAACGTAGTCAAAATCATAGAGACAGACAGTGGACAGGTGGTTGCCAGGTGCTGGGAGGAGAGGGAAATGGGGAGTTATTATTTCAGGCCTACAGAATTTCAGTTTTACAAGATGAAAAGAGTTCTGGAGATAGATGGTGATAATGGTTACACAATAGTATGAATGCATGTAATATCACTGAACTAACCGTACACTTAAAAATAATCGGCAGTAAATTTTATGCTATATGTATCTTAACACAGTTTAAAAATTGGACAAAAAAGAAAGTTAGTAGACATTATTTTTGATGCAGCAACCCTCTAGCACTCTGAGCTAAGTTGAGCCCACTGGTTAGATCCTGCCCTTGATACTGGAGATGAAACACCCAGATTTGAGTATGGTTCTGTCTTTGTGTGACAGCGTTTTTGCATTCAATTCATTGTGTGTTACTGAGCTCCTACCCTCATCCTGGCACTGAGCTAGAAACATGAGTGAACAGAACACTGTCTTTGCCCTTCATGCTAAGAGGGAGAGGCGTGCGGAGAACTCTCAGTGCAGGTGTTAAGTGCAAATAGAAGCCTGTTCAAGTGACCCAGAAGGGGGAGAGATTAACTCCATTTGAGAGAGCAGGATAGGCTTCACAGGTGTTATGTCAACAGTGGGTTTTAAGGGATGAGTAGGAGTTCATAGACCAGACAGTGAAGGGGGGAAATGCCTGACAAGTTCATTTTTCTTTCTTGGACTGAATATTGAAGATTCACTTCAGAACAATAGCAGAACACATTGACAGCTTGAAATCGGTACCCTTGTTGCCTCAGTTTCCTTTTAAGAAAAATCTAATTCCACCCTATCTGCCAAGCTGATGTGATTGGAATCCTGAGACGTGGTGGCCTATGAAGGGCTTTTGTATCTGTCTTCTCTGAATGACATTTACAAGTGTTTGTTCATTTTGAGACAAAGATCATGGCATATCCAGGTGGCCTGCTTCATTTAAAATAGTTCAAACGATGGAACCTGGGAAAAAATAAGTGACTTTTAGACTTTTCTTAACTTTTATTTTAGGTTGAGGGGTACATGTGAAAGTTTGTTGCACAGATCATTTCATCACCTAGGTATTAAGGCCAGTACTCACTAGTTATCTTTAGATAGTAATTAAACCCCTATGTAGACTGGCCCAAAGGGGTATAGGGCTTTCCTTTGCCCAGTGTGAAGGGAGCCCATGCTTCCTTGCTCATCGATTCATTCGGCAGTGGCAGGATGCTCGCTCTGTGCTGGGTGCCAAGCGTACAGAGAGGAGAGGACCAGATCCTGCTTGCCAGGTGCGCATAGACAGGTAGAGGAGTCAGGAGCGTTTGCTGTGAGCCGGAAGAGCTGTGGGAGCAGCCAGCTCAGCCAGCAGAGAGGTTGCTCGGCAGCACTTCCCTGAAAGATGCCTGAGCTGAGCCTTGAAGGATGAATTTCCAACATCAACACCACTGTCATAACCATCTGCCGTAAGCAGGAGAAGATGGTGGTGAAGTGTGTGGGTTTGGCGGTAAATTGCAGGCTCCAACTGCCAGCCCTTAGTGTCCTTGGTAAGTTTTTAATATCTTTGTGCTTTGTCTCGTCATACAAAATGGGAATTGTAATCATCTCTACCTCTTGGGGTTGTTGTGAGGGTTGAGTTAATATATATAAAGTGATGAGAGCGCTGCCTGGTGCTCAGCAAGGGCTGGGGGAAAAGTAAGCAATACTGCCGTGTACCATATGCCATTTGCTAAGTACATTAGCTCCTCCCCACAACCCTTTATGATATTCTGGTCTTTTTCCTATAATTCAGATGAGGAAATCAAGTATTGAGAGAATGGCTAAGTGAGGCCGAGCGTGCTGGCTCACGCCTGTAATCCCAGCACTTTGGGAGGCCGAGGCGGGTGGATCGCCTGAGGTCAGGAGTTCAAGACCAGTCTGGCCAACGTGGTGAAACCCCCTCTCTACTAAAAATACAAAAAGTAGCCAGGCGTGGTGGCGTGTGCCTGTAATCCCAGCTACTCGGGAGGCTGAGGCGGGAGAATAGCTTGAACCTGGGAGGTGGAGCTTGCAGTGAGCCAAGATCACGACACTGCACTCCAGTCTGGGCAACAGAGTGAAACTCAGTCTCAAACAAAAAAGAAAAGATTTTTTTAAAAAGGCGGGGCACAGTGGCTCATGCCTGTAATCCCAGCACTTTAGGAGGCCAAGGTGGGCAGATCACTTGAGGTCAGGAGTTCAAGACCAGCCTGGCCAACATGGTGAAACCCTGTCTCTACTAAAAATACAAAAACTAGCCAGGCATGGGGGTGTGTGCCTGTAATCCCAGCTACTGGAGAGGCTGAGGTGGGAGAATCACTTTAACCCAGGAAGTGGAGATTGCAATGAGCCGAGATCACGCCACTGTACTCCAGCTTGGGAGACAGAGCGAGACTTTGTCTCAAGAAAAAAAAAAAAGAGAGAGAGAGACTGGTTAAGTGATTTGCCCAAAATTGCATCTAATAAGGGACTACACTTGCCCATTGGACCCCAAAGCCCTGGCCCCCATCTTTACTGTGCCCCTTCTTCCAAGCTCCCAGATATTTTGAATAGTGTTTGGCTTTAATGGTAGTTGAAACTCTTTTCATAAGAAAAAAATTGTTGACCTTTGGTAAGACATGGTACAGAGTAAAAGAATGGGCTTAGAGATAAGAGAGACCTGGATTGAAATCCCAGCTCTGATCTTGACCAGCGCTCTGCTGATGTTGGACAAGCTCAGCTGTTGACCAGCACGCTGGTGATCTTGGACAAGCTCTGCTGTTGACCAGCACGCTGGTGATCTTGGACAAGTTCTGCTCTTTATACAAGTTACTTCCCTGAGCCTCCTCAGTAAGACAGAAATAAGAATTCCTTCCCCACAGGGATGGTCTTAAAGACTAAATGAGAGAATGTGTAGAAAGCTAGTCTGTACCAAGTGCACATAATAGGGACCCTATAAATGTGAAGTGTTCCTCCATTTTTCCCACCCTCCTATGTTGTACAGAACTCTTCTTTATAATTAGAATTCCCCAGTGGCTATTTCACCCAAGGCTTTACATATTTAAGCTATCTCTTAGTTGTCAGCATGGAAATTCTTCTATTACAAGTGTCTTTCTGACATGAGCCCTAAAATTGCGCATATCTTTCTTCATCCCTGTGCATCTCCACACACATTCTTAAGGCTCCTTGCACAGTAATTACAACCTTTCTCTCTGCTAGCATGGGGTCTGGGTTGATGAAGTAACTGCTCCTTTTGTGGCTTTGCTTATAAAATCAGTGTCCCATTTCCTAAGATTTGAGCCTTACTTGAGGAGTAGAATGATAGATTTTTTCTTTTTTTTTTTTTTTTTTGGATGGAAGAGAGATTGGACTGTGGAAATAAAACTAGAAATAGCCTGTATTTCTATATGGTGAAACAGAAGATAGATGAGGATAGTGCTAACGTAGTTTTTTGGGTTGAAATAATGCTCATAAGGCTCTTCTGTGCTACTGATAGGAGTGTTGAAGTCACTTAGCAGTTTATATCAACAGTCTTAGAAATGGCCAGGCACAGTGACTCATGCCCTTCTATCCCAGCACTTTGGGAAGCTGAGGCAGGAGGATCACTTGAGACCAGGAGTTCGATACCAGCGTGGTCAATATAGTGAGACCCCATCTCTATAAAAATTAAAAAGAAAGATTTAGCTGGACATGGTGTTGTGCATCTGTAGTCCCAGCTACTTGGGGAGCTGAGCTGAGAGGATCCCTTGAGCCCAGGAGTTTGAGGCTACAGCAACTCATGATCATGCCCACTACTCTCCAGCAGCCTGGGTGACAAAGTGGGACCTCATCTCTTAAAAAATAAGTAAATAAAAGAGCCTTACAATTGTTCGTGCTCTGTCAGCTTCAGGAAACGTTTTCTGAGTCACTGCACTGTGCCTGGCCCTGTGTTGGGCAGTCATCCCTAAGTTCTAAATGTGCACACTTGAGTAAAGGAAGTCGGCTGTAGATGCAAACACTTCCAACACCACGTGGTCCGTGCTGCCCTGATGGGGACTGTGGAGCCCCACAGAAGACATCAAACTCAGCCTGGAACAGGGATGCCTGGGTTCATGTTAAAAGTTGTCACTCAAAGGAAATTTGTGTAGGGACCCAGTCACGGAGGTAAGCAGCAGTGGTGTTGTGTGGCTGGAACATACCAGGGGAGATAGGGAGTGGTGGGAACAGACAGGGTCCAGATTTGGGGAAGCCCAGAAATGCACATTCTGGTCCTCAACCCAAAATGACAGTGGGCAGTATGACCAGTGAGTTTGATTTCAGCACTATGTGAGCAGCCCCGTGAAGACAGCTCCCACCAAGGGCACCGGCAGCACACAGGCTGCGGTTTTCCCCCTACGTGTACCAGCGCATCAATAACGGTGTCCCAATAGCAGCTTCTAATTAAATTTTATCACAGTCCTGAATGCACCGCTGACCCACACACTCTTCCAAGTGGGTCCGATTCACAGGATATTTGCGCAGTTCCGCAGATCTGCAGATTTGAAGAGGTATTTATTCTCATTTCTGCCTTCCCAGTCCAGCAGAAGTTCTAATTTGTGGACGGCAGCTTTGGTAATTAACAAAGTGTGTTCTGTGAAGTGAAGCAGGAAAACTCAGGACTGGGGAGTCTCGCTTTGGGTATTTATATGCTTAGTTGTAAATACCAGTGAAATCTTTGAAATGAAGACCTGTCTGTCTTAAAAATAAAAATAAAAACCCTTACCATGCATGTCCTCTTCAAAATCACTTGCCAGAACTGAGTTATTTGAACTCTGACTAGTACTTAATTTTAGCTACTTTTTTGTTAAAAGCACCAGGAAAAGCAGTGAGACTTTCAGATCTTTAAATCTCCTTTTTTGGAAGCAATGACAATGCTCCTCCAAAGTTTGTTTCTTACCTTTGCACCTTTGAACAATTGATTTTGATTAGAAACATTACACCGAGCATTTACTTTGACATCCCTGAGTACAAACAGTCATTTTAATGGTTTTTTTAAAAACAAAATCATGACAGGAACATCAATCCTTTGCCTGGTGTATGAAGGCCGGGTATATTAATTGGCTGTCAGATTCTGAAGAAATAATGGATTAATGTGCTTGATCGTAATGCTCTGTTCAGAGACTGAAGTTTGATCCTGATGTCCCCAGCCTCTCTGCTTAACGCAATTACAGATATGCATTCAGGACATTTGAGTGGATTGCATTTCATTAATATGATTTGAGCGGACAACATTAAGCTGCTGTCGGGTCCTCTCTGACAGCTAATTACTAGAATGAAGCATGTATACCGCTAAGGAACAATGGTGCCCTTATTGGGGCCATTATAACAATAGGAAAATAGTGCTTTAAAATACTTGGATAGTTACTTTCCATACGTGTCATGGGCCATGAAGATAGCTTAGTGTGGGGAGTTAGAAGAAAAAGGATGGACAAGAACTGGAGGAGTCTGTAACAGCAGGATTCTTGCTTGTCTTTAAAAGAATCTAACAGTCTAACCTACGGTCCTTCTAAAGGAATTGAGAAATCACTTGCTTCATATTGATCGGTGGGTTCTCTCAAGATGTAGAAGTATCATGGGCTGTGACCACACAGACCTGATATTTTGCTCTCTCCTCTTTGCCTCCTCCCCCAGATGTCTTTCATCCTGGAGAAAGTGGCCATTTGTAACACCCGTGGTTTTTTAAATGTTTCCTTTGAGAAGGAAAGTGGGCCTTTGACTCGTGGTGTTGTGACTTAGCCACATGGGCCATTTGAATGTCCACCCAAGGCGGGAAGAGCTGCATGTGTTAATGAAAGCTCATCCTCTCAGAGCTATTCCCAGCTCTCAGAATTCCTGGATTTACTGAGACCATGCACTCAACACATTCGTTTGGCTCCCAGTGTCCAGCACTGCTGGCTACTGGTGATAAAGAGGTGAATAAGGCATGGCCCCTTGTCCCCAAACTCCTCAAGCCCTGTGAGGGAAACAGACATTATAAGAGAGAGAGAGAGAGAGAGAGAGAGAGAAAGAGACAATGATGGGTCATAATAGATAGACATACAAGAGAAGTACAAAAGGCCAGGTGCAGTGGCTCGTGCCTGTAATCCCAGCACTTTGAGAGGCCAAGATGGGCAGATCACCTGAGGTCAGGAGTTCAAGACCAGCCTGGGCAACATGGCAAAACCCCGTCTCTACTAAAAATACAAAAATTATCCTGGCGTGGTGGCACACACCTGTAATTCCAGCTACTCAGGAGGCTGAGGCATGAGAATCGCTTCAACCCGGGAGGCAGAGGTTGCAGTGAGCTGAGATTGCACCACTGCACTCCAACCTGGGCAACAGAGTAAGACTCTGTCTCAAAAAAAAAAGTACAAAAAAAGGGCCTGAAGGCTTCTCAGTGGAAGAGGTAATAAGTGAGGCAGGTCCTAAAAGATGATTAGGAGCTTATTGAATAGTTAGAAGGTGGGGTAAGGCTTCTAGGCAGAGTAGGCACTTGTGCATAGGCCAGGAAATGGGATCATCAGACTGTGTTTCCTTTAATAGGGATGATCTGGCTTAAAGATCCATCTGAGGACCAGAAGGAAATCGTATTCTTAGCTGCACTTTTAAGGGTGTGTTCTGTAACCTTGAGCCACCCCTGACCAAGGCTCCTAAGAGGCTCTGGAAAATCTTGAACTCAGTATCAGGAGTCCTGGTTTCTAGTCCTAGGTCTATCCCTTAAAAGTCATTTGGCCTCAGTTGTCTCATCTATGAAACTGACGTACCCCCACCATGCCAGCTTCATAGATGGCCCAGGTTTGATCCAAGAGGGTGCGGGTGTATTCCCAGGACCTCCAGACTTCCGGGGAATGGCAAAACCAGGAGTTAAACTCAGATTAGGCCAACTCCAGGCCCATATGCTTCGCACTGCTCCAGGTTCCTTTGGACAGCCAGTGTAAAAAAGTCAGTTTTATTAGCAAGTAGGAAGCTCTAGGCCATCCAGCCTCATCTTTGGAGCCTCTTCCAGCAGTACAAGGTGACATGAAAACGCCTGACAGTGAAGCAGCTGTCATTTGAGAGACCCTGAGCCCTGCCCACTCAAAGCAATTTCCTAGGGGAATGTGCCATTCTTCTAGGAAATGTGGGGGGCCTCTGGCTACTTGCCCAGACCCCTGTTTTCCTGGGATGTAGCATCCCTGGTGCAGAGAAGTTCCCCCCAGAAACCTCAGAGTCTTTTTAGAGTCCTAGAGACAGATCATCCCAGCTTCTCCCAAGATGTTTGCTTTTCTTTCAAATTGCTCTCAGGAAAGAGAGCCAGAAGCTATTGGTGAAGCAATGGAGGGGGCGGTCCAAGCAATGGTCGCCTGGTGCTTCAGCGTGCATGCCTTCCCCTCCGCCCTGGCAGCCTCCACTCGTAGTCCCTGAGTGACAATTCATCACCCGCAGCTGGGCTTCTCGGGCTATTCTTCGGTACCACTAGGGGCAAAGTGTCTAAATTTGACCCCCAGAAATCAGATCCCTGATCCAAGCCAAATTCCTCTGGGGACTAGAGATTCTTCACCACACTGGATGGAAGAGCATAGGGCAGGGACTCCCTGTAACGGACACTCTGTGGATGTCTTCTGGATGAAGGAGTGTCTGACATCTGAGAGAAGTGGCAATGGAGCAGGCATTTCTGGTGTGATGGCCCCGCTCTCTGGGCACTGTCAGTTGACATCATAGCAGTTCCCACCCCTCCAAGTTTTCATCCGGACCCGCTGCACCGCCCATCCTCTTTCACCCTCTCAGTATTCTGAGTGATTGCCATGACAAGAGGAACTTGATGCTAAGCAAAGTAGCAAAGAATCGATTCACAAAGAAACCAAGTCTCCCCCCAACCTCCCTGGTTGCCCACAGATGTGGAATGGGGGTGATGAGGTCTGTCCTGCCTCCCTCAAGGCTCCAGTGCCACCATGTCAGGGAGTGTGAGCTTCCTGAGGATGAAGCCGTGTCTTAGTCATGGCCCCATCCCTAGTACCTGACACAGTGCCTGGGGAGTGGTTCAGACTTGAGGATCAGCTCTTGCAAGGAGCCTGAGCATCCCAGCCCTGCCTGAGCATCACTGCCCCTCCTGGGAAGGACCCTCCTACTCACCTGAGCCTGTAGTAGACCACTGGGCAAGTCAGCTGCCTCAGCAGGGGTTCCTCAGGTGGTAACCATGTGTCATTATTCCCCAAGAGCCTCAATGGGTAAGCACAGAAGCCCCTGCTTTCTTCCCTGAATGTTTTTTGCTAATTTCTCAATGGGTAACACAGCCCTGCCAAGATCCATTTCCCTCCTATTACCAGGCTAGCGTTTTTCTAATGGCTCCTTTCCTAGTGATCCTCAAACAAAGAGACGATGTTGGAGGGTGACACTCCAGCGCTGCCTCTCACTCCCTGGTCATTCCTGCTAACGGGCTTAGCTGCGCTTCACAGTCATTATCACATGTCGCACTGTCTTTGGGATGCAGAGATGATTTGCCAGCTCCATGATGCTTCGTTTTTACTAAAATGAAGGCAGAACAAGAAAAATTCTTGTATTTAAAAAAGTGTACAATTACTCCTGACAGATCTCATCCTAAAACTCTCCTATGTCCCCTAGTCCCTATATGATGGTGTCTCACTCCTTGGCCTGGCATCCAAGACCTTCACAACCTGGCCCATGATCTCCACTTTCAATTCCCTTCACATTCTCCTCCCATCACTCCAAGTCCCCTGGTGCAGCTATGTTCCTGAGTGCCTTGGGCTGTTCCCACCTGCATTCTCTTTGCCTAGAACACCCTCTGTGGTCTGCCCAGCCAGGCTGTCAAGGCTCAGCACACGCTTCCCTCCCTCTCTGGTCCTCTGTGAAGCTCTTCCTGACTGTGTGCCTGGGAGTGACCCCCTCTCTTCCTTTGTGCCTCCTTTATACCCAGCAAGCCTCTGTCCTGACACCTGGGCCAGGCAGTGCCCTCATGTGCCTGTCTGTCTCTCCCATGAGGCTGAAAGCACCTCAGTAACAGAAGCCACGCTGGAGTCCTTGGTGGCCCCTAGTGCCCAGCACAGAGCCTAACTCACAGTTAACCCTGTGAACATCTGGGGAGGGCAAGGAAGCCATCTCTGAGAGGCCTTCTCAGGCTTTCTATGTAGAATTCATCTCTGTCTTCCTCTCTTGCTCTGAAGGAGTCCCTCGGAAATCTTCTCTTCCAGCTGTTTCTTTAGAGTTACGTGTCCCTCTCCCGTAAGGTAGTAAGATCCAGCACCCAGTGGTCAAAGACAAAGCCAACTGGCCCAATAGCAAACTCCCCTCCCACTCCACCCAAGTCTAGGGTTACAGAGGAGTATGTTGGAGGGTGAGGACAGAAGGAGTTTGGTTTGGGACACGTTGATGTTGACACAGCACATTCAGGTAGAGATGATTAGTAGATAGACATTCAAAGGAGAGTGCTGGAGAGATCTAGGGCTCCCAGGGTCCTGGATGGGCTGGAGGACCTCTAGCCTTGAAGTCCGTGAGAACAACTGGAAATGTTCTTTTTCTGTGAGATGCAGGAAGAGCAGTCACACAGGATCTGTAAGTGGGGAGGAGCTCAGAGACCCTTCTTCTTCTTTCTGTTGACTAGTCAGCTGAGACCCAGCAAGCTAACATTATACTAGAGCGTTCATGGCAGACCCTCACTTATAAGCTCCTTGAAGGCAGCAGCTGTGCAAGGTAAGGCCCCACAATGCGGGTATCCAGCCACTGGAATTACCTGTGAGGCTGGCCAGAACAAGCCTTGACCTCCCAGAAGACTACCTGAAGGAGGAAATGTCTCTGGGTGTGTACATTCTGGTTTGTTGGCTAGGCAGCCAGTCATTTTCCTTCATGTTGTTACTTAGCATCTCAGAGCCTCAGATCAGAGAGGACATCAGCTTTCTATCCACACAGATAGCCTCTTTTGCAGGCTGTCTGGCCTTGGCCTACACCGTTCCTTCTGGTGTCAGGGAACCTCATTCTAAAAAGGGCCCAAATGCCATCATCACAGTTTTCATGCCCTAGTCCTAGTTCTGCACTCTGCAGCCACATAACACCGGATCATTGCTGGTGATTTCCCCACTAGTGCTAGAAGGATCCAGTTCTTTTCCACTAACCGTTCTCACTCCCAGTCCTTCAGATAGTCTTAGCCAGGCTCTGGTTTATCATTGTCCCTCCTAAAAGGCCTGAAATACCAGATATTCTGGATGTGGTTCTGTTGAGAACACAGTGCAGTGGACTTATCTCCACCCCTACTCCAGCCTTGTCGCATTCAGTACAGTGGCCTCTGGCTACATGTGGCTGCAGAGCACTTGCAATGTGCCTCGCCCAAAGGGAGATGTGCCGCAAAGGCGGAATACACAGCAGTTTCCTGTGGCCTAGGATGAAAAAAACAACGTAACTCTCATTAATAATTTTCTATATTGATTAAGTATTGAAATTATAGCATATATTGTATAAAATAAAATACATTATGAAGATTAATTTACCTTGTTTTTTTTTTAATGTGCTACTAGACAATTGAAAATTATGTATGTGACTCACATTATATTCCTGGTTTGTTTTTGTTTTTGTTTTTTTGTTTTATTTTTAGATGGAGTCTTGCTATGTCACCCAGGCTGGAGTGCAGTGGCATGATCTTGGCTCACTATAACCTCTGTCCCCTGGGTTCAAGCGATTCTCCTGCCTCACCCTCCCCAGTAGCTGGGATTACAGGTGCCCCCCACCACGCCTGGCTAATTTTTTTGGTATTTTTAGTAGAGATGGGGTTTTACCATGTTGGCCAGGCTGGTCTCTAACTCCTGACCTCAGGTGATTTGCCCACCTCCGCCTCCGACTGTGCTGGGATTACAGGCGTGAGCCACCTTGCCTGGCTGATATATTCCTGTTTCTAATGGACTCCACCACACTTGAGTACAGCTCAGGATTTTCTACTTCTGTGAATGTAGTGGGTCGCATTATTCTTTTGTTTGAACTATATCCTACACTGGCCATTGCTGAACCATGTATTAAACATAAAACTTTGCACCTTGTACACCTACCATGGAAATTGTTTTCAAAACAGGCCGGCCTTAACTAGTACTTCTAAAGGTGATTTTTTTTAACCAAAGTGTAGGAATTCACAATTGTCCCAAATACACCTCAACTTGTTAGTTTCAGCCTATTGTTCCAGTCTCCTGAGAATTTTTCTGGTCCTTTTTGTCACCAGCTTCTTTACAGATTTTATCAGCGTTTTCTGTGTTTTAACCTAGGTGACTACTGATGATGTCGGTTGGGATCAGAACATGCAGGGAGCGTACAAAGCACCTTCACCAGCAGTGTTGACAACAGCTACTAACCCACTGTCTAGCTGTGGCTGTTCAGCCCGTGTTTTTCCATTTTGCCCATAAGGAGACTGAGTTTCTCCAGTTATCTCACTGACACCAGCTTGTGCTGTGTCTAAAGTAGCCTCGTCCCACTGAACCCAAGCCCCACTCCCAAGCCACCTGACCACCTATTAATAAAAGAAACTTGCCCTTCACTGCTTTTAGACACCAAATGGATGAACTAATTTTCACTAGTGTTAGTGACTGATAAGAGCCAAACTTGACTTTTATGTGAAACAACAACAAGCTGTAACTGGGGCCTTCGGTACCACAGGCAGAGGAAGAAATTTATTTGGAGCTTATGCCACTGAGGCAGAGTTAATAGAGAAAAAGTTGGGGGACTTAGGCGAGGAAAAAGTTCAGTGCCCTTCAGGCCATTTCTCATTGCTCTTGCCGAAGGATGAGGCTTCCTGCAGCTAGTGGTGGAGACCTGGTCAGGATCATCTACTCAGTGCCAGGATTCATGGATGGAAGCATTTCCTGTGTGTGCCACTGCTGTGCTAGCGGCTCACACGGAGTGCCTCCACCTAAACTCTCTCTCCCTTACTCTCCTTTCATCATAGTAAGTTTTGGGAATAGGACTAGAACTTCTAACTTCAGATCACTTGCTTTTGGCATGACCTTTATCTGTGGTCTCAAACATAGTCCCCTCCATTCGAGCTAGGTCTGTGGTTTTGGTTCTCGCCTGCAGCTGTATGTGTGCGTGTCTGAGGTGTGTGGATGTGTGTGTGTGTGTGTGTGTAACAGAGGGAAGAGGAAGATATTCTCTCAGCTGGCATAGGGCAGAGGGGAAATCTTTATTCGCTTCTCTACCTTTGAAGCCTTCGCTATAGGAAATGTTTTGAGTGTGGGAGGCCAGAGGGGAGCATTTGCAGACCTCCTGCCTGGCCGAATTGTAAGCATTAGCTGTCTTTCCCGGGTGGCTCGGCAGGCCCTCTCTCCCTTTCTTTGGGGATGATAGATGAAGGCAGGCACCACGCAAAGGTGCCTGTTTTCAAGCGCACCGCATGAGGGATACTCACTTTATCTCGGTTTGTGGAGCATCTCTCCCCCAGAGGACAGAGTTTACTTTATGTAATGTTAACGTCTCGCTTTAATGCTGTCTCCTTAAGAGAACTACATCCTCTGCTTTGGAGATTTGAGGTTCATGTCCAGAGGGTCTCTAGTCCAGGGACGTGGAGTGGGGAGGCCCCCTAAGGACCTCACAGAGGGTCTCTTACAGAACTAAAACTGAGGCAGGCTGGGGGATAAGCCCTTGAGCCCCAAATTAGTAGAGGTTGTGTATTTACTAATCTTGCCCATCAAGAAGAGAATGATTTCATGATTTAGACCAAACAATTCTGGTCCACTTTTCAAATTGTCAGTTACAAATCAGACTCCCTCATTGGGATCTGTCTCAGAGGCTGTGGTGTCTTTTGCATTTGGAATTAGCTGGATGTAATGAATTCTGGATTTTACATATTTATTACCATTGTCCATGCTCCCTCTGGTCTTGTAACCACTTCTGCTACCCAGCCTGACTCCCTCCAGGGAGAACAAGAGGGAGGCTCGGAGGCAGCTGGGGGAGGGGGAAGCACTGTCTCACAATTGAACAAGCAGGGTTCACATCATGACTCCATTGTCCATGTGTTTACTCCAGCAAGCATTCATTGCAGCCCTGTCCAGGCTAAGCCTTGTGCTGGCGGATAGGATCTAGAGGTGAATGAGTAATGGTGTCTGCCTTGAGATCCCATCTAGTGGCAGAGGCTGCCCCGTACCCAGCAGGAGGACACCCTGTGGGAGCTGCTGGCTGGATGTCTGTGGGTGCTCTGC
Source organism: Homo sapiens (assembly GCF_000001405.40). Taxonomy (NCBI): domain Eukaryota; kingdom Metazoa; phylum Chordata; class Mammalia; order Primates; family Hominidae; genus Homo; species Homo sapiens. Next base: position 123,488,001 of record NC_000009.12, on the reverse strand, counting down.
CGCTGGTTCCGGGAAGGAGGCTTCAGGTCACATGGGAGGCAACACTGGCTGGGCCTTGAAGGAAGAGGAGGAGGCATTTGCCCAGCTCTGTGTTGGAAAGCAAATTAACCTCTGAGCCTCAGTTTCTTCATCTGTTCTTCACCTGTAAAATAGGGATAGTACATCAAACATAAGGGCTCCAGAAATATCAGCAGTCCCCTTTCAGCATGCTTGGTACTTACATTTAATGGGAACAAGTCTTTTGTTCCCCCAGCCCCCCTCTTTTTTTCAATTCTTTTAAAGCTGTTGATTCTGCAGGACATTGTGTATGTTTATATTTCTGTGGTCTCTGTTGTCCAGACTGGGAAAATGGTAGAAAAGATTCAAAGGGATCTCAGGAAAGACCTTTGAGAAACAGGGGTCTTTATAAGGAGCATGTGGGACAAGAAAGTGTCCACAGGACAATCGCATCCAGGAAAGCCATTTGGGGGCCATGCGCATTGGTCTGAGAGTAGCCTCAGGTTCTGCCGTATCTTTGCTCATGGTTCAGGGAGAAAACCAAGAACTGTGACCTTGGCTCGTAACTAAAAGACACAAGAGAGAAAACATTCTGAAGACCCTGCTCTAGTTACCAGCAATAATATTGGTGTGGAGGGGGCAGGTAAACAAACCTGCCAGCTGACTTGGGCCCTAGACTTGGTTAAACCCTGGCTTGCCTTCCCTTGATTGTAGATGGTAGAAGCCCAACTTAAACGAACTTGAGCAAAGAGGATAGGAGGGAGAATTTCTTGGCTTATATAACTGAGACATCCCGGACTTGTCTTGCTACCAGCATGGCTGGATCCAGGAGCTCAAATGATGTCTAGACTCTCAGTGACCTCTGTTTGGCTTTGCTTTTCATTATCTGTTTTATTTTCAAACATTCTCTTGCTTTGCTATAGAAATATGGGGGCCTCTATGGTCCTTCTAGCTTGAAGTGAGTCCCTCTCAACTCCAGTGTCTGTGCAGCAACTCTCAGTGGAGACTGCTCAAGTTAGTGTCGATCACTTCTGGGCTACCCTAAACTCATTGGTGTGACCAGAGGATGGAGTCCTCCAGTCGGCTCCCAGGGTCGCATGCCCACCCCTGTGGCTGGGCAGGGGGTTGGCAGGATCAGTCCCAATGGGAAAAGAGAGTTTTATTACCTATTCCCAGAGGAGTGTAAGAGGCAAATGTGTGGTCAATAGGAGGGTGGAGGGTGCCCAGAAGGTTGGGGGACCATGGAAGGTATGGGAACTAACATATGAGGTGGGGGTGAGGAGTTGGATATCAGGGATGGTTTCACCAAGGTGCTTGCACCAGCACTGGGCTCTAAGGACAAGGAAGATGATGCCAGCACACTCATGCTCAAGGCTTGCTGGCTGGACACATGCCATTTAGTTGGTGCCAACTTTCCAAGAGGCTCCTGTTGGCCATGGCTACAGGTTAGAAGATCAAAGGGGTGCTTTAGGGAGTGGGACTCATGGGGGATGCAGGAGCCAGCTGCTTCCTTCCTGGCCTCCCAGAAGTCTCGGTGTGTATCAAGCTGAGGCAGAAAGATTCCAGGGCTGGGCTAGCAGCTCTGGGGCTGGCGGCAGAGCCCAGAGCCAAGGTGACGCTGTCTGTGAACAGTGCAGAGATGCCCCACAGCGCTGGCATCTAAGAGCACAGTGTTCCGGGGGCGAGTCTCTGTTCCTGTAGCCTTGACCTGGGACACGTTGCCCTCTGACTAGCTCAAGTTCAGGGTGGGGCCTTCATTGGATTTACCTGCCCACTTGCCTGACATTCAGCCTCTCCCCATTTTTACTGAAATTTTAAACGTATTTATGATTGAGCTTCTTTTACAGAGGAGGAAATTAGGGCTCAGAGAGGTTGTGACTTGGCCAAAGCCACAGAACTGAGAAAAGTGACAATGCCAAAATCCATCGATCTCTTCTCTTCCCACCTGCTCCCATGCACCCCACCATGCAGCCAGTGATCTATGGCACCCGGGGTATGCCAGCCACTGAAGATCCAGGGGAATCAACCCCTTGTTCCCAAGTCACAGAGCCCATGGGCCAGGGAGATGGATTCAGAAAATGAAATCTGCTGCAGTGCTAGCTAAATGTTAGCAATGGCTAGAAAATCCAGAAGCCTAGGCATGAGAGTTTAGCCTCCGCATGTGGAGGCCAAAAACAGAGTCTTTGATCCATTCCTTATATCCAGGAAACTTTGTAAAACCAGCACATGCTCCTCAAAGGTGAGTGCAAACTGAGAGCAAAGCGTCTTCTTGGATGCTCAGGCTTCTTTCCCCGGCAGCTGACCCCACACTGCGTGTGTGTGTGTGTGTGTGTGTGTGTGTGTGTGTGCGCGCGCGCGCGTGTGTGTACGCGCACACACACACACGGTGTCCCCTGGTGGAACCTGGCAGGGGGAGAGGTAAGGTCTTTCAGCCTCTCCAAAGCCCATGGTCAGGTACTCAGGTGGGGGAGCCCTGCTCGCAGCCCCGAACCTGATCTGCTGGTGTTCAGCGGAGGAGATTACAGAGCTTAATGATTAGCTCCTCCAAGCTGCAGCTGATGCCAGCCCCTACCCCCTTTACACCTAATTACTCTCATTAATGAGCTCCTCTGCTCTCCATAGAGAGAGTTTCCTCTTTGGAATAAGAGGCAAAAATACCTTGCCCAGGTAGATTGCTGAAGCCTTTAATTATTGCCCACACCTGCTAAGCCTTGTGACTCACACCTAGTGATAGTGCGGAGCTGAAATGGAGCTTGTTTATAATCACGAGCAGATTTTAACTCTTTCAAAGCCAAAAAGCCTTCTGATTTCAAGAGACATGTTTCCCCAAGACCTCACACATGCTCATTTCATGCATGCACGCCAGGCTCTGCTCCCCCAACACTGGGGATCCTGAGGCAGCAGAAGTGCAGCTCCTGCCCTGAGGGAGTGCACAGTCTAGGAAGAGTGACAGGCTAGAAACTACACAGACAATTATAGTGGCTACCACTCACCACTTCCCTACATCAGGTCGCCTGTAGCCCTCGAAATAAAACTTTGAGGCAGATGTTACTACCTCCATGTTACAGAAGAGGGGAGGGGGCGCAGAGGGAGGATGTCACTTGCCCCAGGTGCCACAGCTAGGGAGGGTGTGAGGAGAGTGGGATCAGGTCTGCTGGGCTCCATGGCCAGTGTGCACCCCACTGTTGCCCAGAAGCTCCCTTGCATGCCAGACTGTACTGAGGGCCACAGTGAAGTCACTGCAGGACACGGTGAGGTTAGGAGGAAACAGGACTATGTGAGTAACAACAGAAGGAACAGGAGCAGAGGCTCAGGGGAGAACTGAATGCCTTGTGCATTCGTAGACCTGCAAGCACTCAGTGTGGCTAGAAGGTGCACTATGGGGTGCGGAGCAAGGGGCAACAAGGCAGGAAGGACAGGCAGGGGCCGGGGCAGGGTCCTAAATGCAGGGGAAAGACCCTGGACTTCCTATCCGCTGCACCCTCCCCAGTACCTCACAAAGCACCCAGTACATAGCAGGTCAGTACATGTTGATGAATGGAGGGACAGCCATGCTAAAGGCATGATAACCATTGAAGGATTTAAGCAGGGGAGGGACAGTACCAGAGGGCTGTCTGGAAGAATCTCTGGGCGGCTTACTCTCTGAACACTGAGATTCAAGGGCAAAGTCCTCACCACAGCCCTTTGCCCCAATCGAGAGGTCTGCGCTAGGCTGTCTAGTTGCTCAGTGTTAGAGGTGCGATTAAACCCAGATCTTTGTGTCTGCAAAAACCCAGCTCTGTCTCCTTCACCTTGTGTCCTGCTAGATAGAAGATAATATACTAAATGGCTTAGAACAGAAAGACAAGAGTTTCCCACCATGGCTGCTAGGATTCTGAATGAGAAACTTTCAGGATAGGAGCACAGGTTTCTAAAACACCAGAGCTGCTCAGACATAACCAAGTCCCTCTGACCAGATTTAGACAGATTGTTAGATGAATTGATGTAATATTTAATAGCATGTATGGCATGGCTCCGATGACCAGGAGACACTAACCCGTTTGCTACAAGTCCTAGGAGACTAAAAATCATTTTTAAAAAAACACAAAAAAAACTAAGCTGTGTCTCAAACAAAGAACAACAACCCACAACTGAGTCTCTCTTACACATCTGGCCTTGGGGCAGGTACTTTATGTGAAATCTGTCTGTGCCTCGCAGCAACTCTGGGAGGTAGATGGAATTATCCCCATCTTACAAACGAACTGACCTGTGACTTGGGGAGCTAAAGACTTCCCCACAGTCACATGGATAATGAGCGACAGAGCCAGGAGTCTCAGCCCAGCCTGTCCCACTGCAGAGCCGGAGCCACCCCAGGACACACTGTCCCTCAGAAGCTATCCATCACAAGACATCAGTCACCACACATGGAACCCGGAACAGACCCTGGCAGACTTGGTGTGTGCATGCGTCTGGTCAGCCCAGAGCTGGGGAACCCAGCAAGTGCTAGGCCTGGGAAGCCTGTGTGTTCTGGATAGAGACTGTCTGCACACAGAGGCTGGCCTGCAAGACCCAGGCTTTGCTCTGCTTGGGATTTGTCTCCTGAGTTCCTGGAGGCTGCCATGGTGGGGGTCATCTGGCAGCCAAGGGAGGACTGGAGCAGCAGCGGCGGCATGGCCCCCCAGCATCTCTGGACCACCATCGGCATGCCAGCCCCTGCTCTTGGGGTAGGGATTCCAAGGTACTGAAAACATAGTCCCTGCATGGGGCCTCTGCTGGACTCTTAGGAAGGAGGAGACCCTGGCGAGTACTACCTGGTCCTACTTGCCTCTCCAAAGCACTCAGTGTAGTAGGGGGAGGTGGTCAGTCGGCTAGATCCATCAACTCTTGCATCCAAGTCAACTCTTGTCTCCTAAAGCCTCTCTTGAATTCCTCCCTTTCCATTCCTGCCTGGCAGCTGCCTCAGTGGACACAGTGCTTCCTTGGCAGATCACTGGCCTCACTGAGATCAGAATGATCCTCTTGAAGTGCAAATATCTACACTCCCTTCCCCCAGCCACCCAAATTTTAGGGTTCCCTGTTGCTTTAGGACAACATGACCTAAAAAGACCTGCATGATCCATGCCCAGGCTTGGTTGGAGCCCCTCCCCCTCTGCTGTCCTGTTCCAGCCTCTCTCATTTCCCCTGGCACTCCTCCATCCCACAGAGGCCTGGGGCTTCTGCCCACCTTCCCCTCTGAGCACACAGGTTACTTTCCCAGGAATGCTTTCTGCAGCCTCCAGGTGTCTTCTTGGGACCTTGTTCTTTGTTCTCTGCACAGCAGGAACCTCTGCTTCAAGGCCATTGTCCCAGGGGGTAATTGTTCCTTTATGGGGCTGCTTGACTATCCTCAGGTAGCTGACTGTGATAGCTCCAGGGGCTGATACCCAGTAGGCTCTCAACAACTACTCACTGAATCAGTGAATGAAAGGCAAAAACAGCCACCCTTCCTCACAAATTTGGGAAAGGCTTCCCATAGGCAGAGACCTTTGAGTTGGGTCCTGAGTCCATGTTTGCCAGGCCAAGGGAATGATAGGCAAGAGGTATTTGATTTGACCATGTGTGTGTTTGTGTTAAAAAATAAAGATAATGGGCCGGGTGCGGTGGTTCACGCCTGTAATCCCAACACTTTGGGAGGCTGAGGTAGGCAGATCACTTGAGACTAGGAGTTCAAGACCAGCCTGGCCAACATCACAAAACCCTGACTCTACTAAAAATACAAAAGTTAGCCATTCATGGTGGTGCACACCTGTAATCCTAGCTACTTGGGAGGCTGAGGCACAAGAATCACTTGAACCTGGGAGGCAGAGGTTGCAGTGAACCAAGATCGCGCCACTGCGCTCCAGCCTGGGCAACAGAGCGAGACTCTGTCTGAAAAAGAATAAAGGCCGAGCACTGCCACTCATGCCTGTAATCCCAGCTCTTTGAGAGGCCGAGGCAGGTGGATCACTTGGTGCCAGGAGTTCGAGACCAGCCTGACCAACATGGCCAAATCCCATCTCTACTAAAAATACAAAAGAAAAAAAAATAGCCAGACATGGTGGCACACATCTGTAATCCCAGCTACTCAGGTAGCTGAGGCATGAGAATTGCCTGAACCTGGAAGGCAGAGGTTGCAGTGAGCAGAGATCACGCCACTGCACTCCAGCCTGGGCAACAGAGCAAGTCTCTGTCTCAAAAAAAAAAAAAAAAGAAAGAAAGAAAAAAGACAATATGCATATTGAATTACAGCTTTCCTAAAAGCTGACACCCCTTTTCTGAATAGGCATAAAGAAGCATAATCAAATTCAGCTCAAGTGTTCCCCCTCCAGGAAGTCTTCCCTGATCACCCCACCTGTAAATAGCAGGGGCAATGATGCCTACTGCAGACCTCTACTTAGTGACTAGCTGATGGCAGGTGGCTGGTAGGACCTGACCCCACCACTCCTTATTTGGGTTTCTTAATCTCTCAGAACCTCAGTTTCCTCACCTTTAAAATAGGAATAATGATAGCTGCTGGGCAAAGGCTGAGTGAAGGACGGCCTCTTCGGCAGCACCTGGCACAGGAGGGCCGTCTGTAAATGCACGCGTCCTTCCTGGTGCCTGGGCTTCCCTCACTGTTTCTTCCTCCCGCTCCCGCTTCCTTGTTTCCACGTGTTGCTATGCAGCCTCACTGTCCTGGTAGGTTTCTAGGTAGTTGCCATCCCCACCATTGCCACCTCCACCAACTAATAGCTGCTGTTTAGCTCACACATGCATATTTTAGCCTCATAATTTTTCTTCCTGAGTCGGCCTCTGCAGATTCTAATCACCTCACTTTCTCTTCCCTGAATTCCCTCCAATTTGGAGATTCAAAAGAGGCGCTTCTCTGCATGAACATGCTGTGATTCAAGTTGAAAATAAATTTCTGCTGGCAGCAGCCAGCTTTCTGAAAAGTGACATTTAAGACTGACAGTGGACAAGATTGTAAACAGGTTTCCAATAAGAAAAAAAAAGTCAGTGTGAAGTGCATTCTATGAATTTTTTTAAACAATGTGTGCGCATGTCTATAATTGCAGCCTTGCTGTGACGCCGTCTGCTTCAGGAAGAATTCTGGGACAGTGTATGTCTGTTTGAAACTATCTTGGTATCCTTTTACTTTTCGGAAAGCAGCTTCATTTCATGGGACTCACTCCCATACAAGAGTGTAGCGTATTCATTCATTCGACACACGTGTGTTCAGTGTGCCATTGTGTGCCAGGCTGTATGCTTGGTAAGGTCATGAAGACAGTTCCCTCCCTATCTGTAGAGAGTTCACATCCTCAAGGGGGAGGCTGGCGGATAAGCAGGTGACTTTTATTTAATAGGATAGAGGTAAGCTTAGAGTGCTATGGGACCCCAGAGGAAGACCCCAAGAGGGATGGCTATGGGGGCAGGGACAGCTTCCTGGAACTATGGCACCTGAGCATGGCTTGTAAGATGAGATGTTAGCCTAACAAAGAATGGAGGAAGAGGCATTCTATTCTAAGCAGAGGGAATACCGTGAGCAAAAGCAAAGAGGTTTGAAAGCACAGCGTATGGGAAGCTCCAGGCCTGTAGCAATGATTGAGACTTCTGGTTTGCAGGGCTAATGTCAAGAGGTGTGGCTGGAGGGGCCTTGGGGGGCTGGCACGCTAAGCTAAGAAGAGCCTTGAAGCCTCTCACAAGGGCAGTGCCGGGCTTCCGCAGGTGTGGCGTGAGCACATGTCCAGAGTGGTGCCTTGAGGAGGTCTCTCGGGAGTGTCGAGACACAGGGTTGGGTGGAGAGAGTCTGGAAGCAGGGGCCCTGGGAGGAGGCAATTGCCGCTGTCCAGGCAGAAGATGGGGAGGCCTGGGAACCCTCACAGAGTCAGATGGAGGGCTCAGGGGATAAGAACATTTAGAAAGTAAAATAGCCCATTGGCAGAAGGTCTGTTATTTTGTATTTCTCCCAAAACAACCTTGTTCATGAGTACCTCAGATTATCAGCTCCTACTTCGGTAGGGGAGTCTGCCCTGACACTAGGGAATATGTTGCTAGTTAAATGAATTCAGCTGACATTTGCCTTCCCCATTCATCATGACTAAATGAAAGCTCTTTTCTGAGTTTCTTGGAATGGTCTTTTGACAGTCCCCTGGCCAGAACCACAAATCACCCTGCAGTTAGCGTCTAAAGGAAGCAAGAAGCAAGAGGCTCCCAATGTGTAATACCACCAAAGCAAGTGGAAGATTCGTTTGATCCTTGTAGGGGGTTTTTGCCAAAAGGCGTTTGGGGTCCTGCAGGGGCAGACAGGCCAAGTGGGCAGACAGGGAAAGGCATGGCACTATCTAGTCAAAACTCTGGCATCCAGATGCTCTCTTGGGGCCACTTCTCTTTCCGCCCAACTAACCAGTCCCTACGTGTTTCAGTAGCCGTGGGACAGAGGGGAGCAGAGGGCTGGGCAAACAACCTGTCACTTCAGACCTCACAGGTCAAACGGGCTGAAAACTACAGGAATTCCAGGCTATCTTTCAGGGCTGTGTGCAGGTTAAATGAGGTAGTGATTGGGAAGCCACCTGAAAAGCCGAAAGGTTTCCCAAATGAAAAGAATTTCAACAGCAGCCATCCATTTCCCAGCTTTCTAAGACAGTCTGATGAGAAGCAGGGCTGAAAAGCATGGCTATAATGGAGTTCAGGAGTGATCCTGGGATGTCAGTTTCCTTGTAGCTCCTCTCATCAAGAGCAAATGAGAGGCGATCATGTTGGTGACCTTTTGAAAGGTGGCAGGTGACAGAGGAAAGAACCCAGACTTTAGACTCAGACATGTCTCACGTGAACCTGGCCCCAACTGCTTGTCATGAGGACTTGGGCAAGTTGCCTGGCTTTTCAGAGCATTATTTCCAGATCTGTGAAAAGATGGTAGATGCCTTACCATGCCTGTCACATATTTATTTCCTTGTTTATGTGACCTCCCCACCCTCTCTGAGAGGAGAGACCTTGGCTGGTTTATTCATTACCATTCTGGTGCTTAAGCAGTGCCTAGCCTGTAATAGGTGTACAATAAATAGTTTGGTTTTCATTTATCACTCACTTTTAATACCTCCCTGTCACTGCATCAGCAGTAAACTGGATTAACACGAAGTCTCATTTGGTGTCAGTTGTGGAATAACACAGTCAGCTACCACTCGCATCCCTTGAGGTTCTGGCTCTTCATGTCCCCTTGTGGATCTTCCCCAACATTTTATTATAAAAATTTACAAACATACCGAAAAGTGGAAAGAATTTTATGGTGAATACCTGCATACCTACCATCTAGGTTGTACCATTAACATTTTACTAGACTTCCTTTATCCCATATCTGTCCATCTGTGCATCTATCAATGCATCTCATTTTTCTTGCATTTCTGAGTAAGTCACAGACATCAGTACACTTTACCGTAAACCATTCAGCATGTCTATCAGTAACTAGAGTAAATACTGTTTGAACGTGAGTAGCAGGCACTCAGTAAATGTTCACTGCTATTTTGGTTATTGGAAAGGAGGGAGGGAAACTCATGGCAATTCAGTCTTCCCAAAATGAGACACCTGCTAGCCAGTGTTGGGAATGGCCACCATTTCCCAGGAACCAGACTGCTGTTATTTCACAGGCTAGCCTCGGGCAGGGAAATGGCTGGGAGTGACAGCTACCATGGTGCCCCCAGGCACAGACTTCGGCCCTATGCCCTGGACGCTTATTCCCCTAACAACCGCCAAAAGCCTTTTGAAGACTTAATAATGTGACTGGAACAAGGGAGGTTGGGATTCTCATGGTGGATTTCTGCAGAGCACAGTTGAGTTTGGTTATCTGGGTTCAGTCCGTGTCAGGTCCTACTTGTCCAGATGCAGTCCCAACCCTCTTTTCTCGGCATTGCCTATCTCAGAAGGGACACGGGGATTAGGAGATCATAAATCCAGGTTCTAGAAACTCAGAATCTGGGACCCTGACCAGCAAATGCCTTGGCCTTGCCTAGGACTGGTATTTTCCACATGTCCCAGTGAAGAGCCCAGGGATGAACAGACCCCTCTGAGAACTTGCACTTTTCCAAGAACCACGTGGAGCCATCATCTCAATTCATGTGTTCACGTTCTATCAACAAATACCATTGAGCACCCTTGCCTTTGAAGTTAACAACCTTGGGAGAAACTGAGGCAGTCCCCGAGCAGGATTTGGAAAGCAATTTCATTTAAAAGGGGCTGGAGGGAGGGGGGAGGCACTCGTGTTCATTTAATCTTTTTTTTTTTAATTATTTTTTTTTAAGTTCCACGGTACATGTACAGGATGTGTTTGTTACATAGGTAAACGTGTGCCATGGTGGTTTGCTGCACCTTTCAACACATCACCTAGGTATTAAGCCCAGCATGCATTGGCTCTTTTCCCTAATGCTATCCCCCAGCCACCACCCTCCCCCGACAGGCCCCAGAGTGTGTTGTTCCCCTCACTGTGTCCATGTTACGTCACCCAGGCTGGTGGAGTGCAGTGGCATGATCACAGCTCACTGCAGCCTTAACCTCACGGGCTCAAGTGATACCCTGCCTCAGCCTCCCAAGTAGCTGGAACTACAGGGGCATGCTATCACACCCAGCTAATTAAAAAAAAAAAAAAAATTTATAGAGATGGGATCTCACTCTGTTGCCCAGGTTGGTCTCAAACTCCTGGCTTAAAGCAATTCTCCCGCCTTGGCCCAAAGCAATCTTGCCTTGGCCTCCCAACGCACTGGGATCACAGGCGTGAGCCACTGTACCTGGCATATTTAATCTACACCCATCTTCTGGAGCAGGAATTTGCTCTCACGTCCCATTAGGTTGCAGCAGGAGATAAAGGAGCAAGCCAGGCTTGGCCTCAAATTCCAGTCTCTTCACTCACTATTGAAATGACCTTCAGCTGCTCATGGAATACCCTGCCCTCAGTTTCTTCATCTGAAAATGGAGAGTAGTGAGACCAGCTTCCTTGGGATGTAGTAAGATAGAGCCTGTGCCAAGGGGCCTAATGGTTTCATTGACATATTGACCACCTACCCTGGAAGGTTCTATCTGGGGCATTGGGGATGCAGCCATGAGGAAGAGAAGTAGAGCCACCGCCCTCTTATGCTACCGTCTGGGTCAGGCACGGAACCAAGCATGACCACCTCGGTTTAAATCCTGCCCATGTGAATCTAGAGAAGTTATGTGGCTCAGTTTCCCAATTGTAAAGTGGACACAGCAACAATATCTAACTCATGGGTGGTTACGAGAATTAAATGAGTGAATACATGTAAAACACCTAGAAGGGTACCTGGCACATGGTAAGAGCATACAAGTGTCTGTTACCCTTGTACTACTAGACCACCACCACTACCGCCTCCCACACCTCGTTCCCAAATGCGTTAGAATCATCTGAGCAACTTTGTGAAGGTCTAACCCATGGCCCAGGAACGGGCATTGAAAAGAACCTCCTAGGGGAATCTCTATGTGCTGCTGGCTGTAGGAACCACTGATCAGGTGACCAACAAATGTTGGGTTCCAAAACACAGGTACAGAAGCTGAAACTCACAGGGAAGGAGCATGCTCAGGAAGACACAGCTAGGAAGTGCTAGAACTAGAACACCATGGAAGGCTGGAGACTCCCACATCCAGGCTCTTGGGTAGACACTTGCCCAAGATCAGTCAGCCCAGCCTGCTGGGCCTTAAACCAAATCTGGGTTCTCCACACCATCGTGACCCCTTTATCAGCTGGAGGAGATCATCTCTCATATACGGAAATCCCTGTATCTCAATATTAAGACACTTACCAAATATTGTAACCAGGAATCTCCCGAACATTTTTTTTTTTTTTGAGATGTGGTCCCTCTCTGTCACCCAGGCTGTAGTGCAATCGTGCGATCTCAGCTCACTGTAGCCTCCACCTCCCAAGTTCAAGCATTCTTCTGCCTCAGCCTCCAAAGTAGCTGGGATTACAGGAGTACACCACCACGCCCAGCTAATTTTTGTACTTCTGGTAGGGGACAGGGTTTCACCATATTGGCCAGGCTGGTCTTGAACTCCTGACCTCAAGTGATCTGCCCGCCTTGGCCTCCCAAAGTGCTGGGATTCCAGGCATGAGCCACCATGCCCAGCCCACCCAAACATTTAAACTCCCTGAAGGAGGCGTATAAGAAGCTGTCCCCCCAGATGATCACCTCACCTACATACGTATATGGAGGAGTATGCATGCCACTCTGGCATTCTATCTGGGCAACTCTTATAATTAATATTTACTTAAAACAATCATTAGTCTCTGTTGGGCGACACGAAGCCCACGTTAGCAATATTTTTAGCCAGGCCTTCCCCACACCTGCGATGGCAGGCGAGTGTGCAGCAGCGGGAACCCCCACAGTGCTTTATAAATAAGCCTCTGCCTGCACCTGGACCACTCAGGCAGCAGGCCAGGGGGGCCTCGGATGGGGTCCCAATGTGCACTCAGAGCAGCCCGCGCTTCAGTGGGTGTCCACACTTTGCTTTTCTTTCCAAACACTAAAAATGCAACTCTGTCCCTCGACACAGTGTGGCATCTACCCCAGGCTAGACCTGCCGAAAAGGTATGATTTTTCCTGAAGTGGTTGAGGATTTCTTCAGTAAGGGAGAGGGGGATCATAATAACCGTTTATCGGATGCTATTAATAACTTATTTATGTTCGTTGTTTCTTTTAAACCACGCAACAGGCCAGATGCGGTGGTTCATGCCTGTAACCCCAGCACTTTGGGAGGCCGAGGTGGGCGGATCACTTGAGGCCAGGAGTTCGAGGCCAGCTTGGCCAACATGACAAAACCCTGTCTCTACTAAAAATACAAAAATTAGCCGGGCGTGTTGGCGGGCGCCTGTAATTCCAGCTACTCAGGAGACTGAGGCAGGAGAACCACTTGAACCCAGGAGGCAGAGGCTGCAGTGAGCTGAGATCGGGCCACTGCACTCCACCTGGGCAACAGAGCAAGACTCTGTCTCAAAAAAAAATAAATTAATTAAAAAACCCACACAGCGGTGTGACAAAGTAGGTCCTATTTTTATCCTGCTTTCCCAGAAAAGGAAACTGAGGCTCGGAAAAGATGAGTGCCTCCCCAAGGTCATGCAGTGAGCAAGTGAGATTCTAACCTAGGCTGGCTGAACCCATGCTTTTCACTGTCCTCTTCCTCAGCCTCAGCCTTTTTTTATTCCATTAAAGGAACAGGGTGAAGGTATATGCTAGGCAGTTTACATACATTGCCCCAGTTACTTCTCACAACTGGAATAAGCTCATGGGAGCTAAGAACAATGATTCCCATTTTACAGAGGAAGAAACCAAGGCTCTAGAGAGTTTGAAGTCACTTGCTCACCATCACACTGCTATTAAGCTTAACAGCCAGAATTCAAAACCAGCCTGATCCTCCAACACCAGACAGTTTCCCACCTTATCAAAGGCATTAATGAGAGACATTTGCCATACATGTGGGTAACAAAGCATCACTTTATATAGACCCTAGGATTTTCTCATTTTCCTACTGCGCTGCATGAGCTTTTTGCTTAAAATATTTGAGCTTTTTGCTTAAAAATTTTTGCTTAAAATTTTAAACTTTTTGCTTAAAAATTTTTATCCCAGTCAAAAACTGCCACGGTAATAACAGCTGATGTTTATAGAGAGTTTTATAATTGTCAGGGTTCTTCTGTAATTATTTGATCCTTAAAATAATGCTGTGAAAGTAAATGTTACAGGCTGGGCAAGGTGGCTCACGCCTGTAATCCCAACACTTTGGGAGGCCGAGGCGGGTGGATCACTTGATGTCAGGAATTCGAGACCAGCCTGACTAACATTGTGAAACCCCATCTCTACTAAAAATACAAAAATTAGCTCGGCATGGTGGTGCATGCCTGTAATCCCAGCTACTCAGGAGGCTGAGGCAGGAGAATTACTTGAACCCAGGAGGCAGAGGTTGCGGTCAGCCAAGATTACACCATTGCACTCCAGCCTGGGAGACAGAGCGAGACTCCATCTCAAAAAAAAAAAAAAAAAAAAAAAAAAGAAAGAAAGTAAACGTTACCCCATTTTACAGAGCGGAACCCTGAGCTTGGAGAGGCTGAGTGCAAACCCATGGCCAATACCAGCAGAGCAGAAGCTCAGCCACCGAAGCCTGCGTCCTCCCCATACTGGGCGCAGTGTTGCTCCAAGGCCTGGATCTCTTAGATGGGGCCTAAACGGAGATTTAGGGACTTTTAGTGGAGAAAGAGACTGGGATGGGAAGCCAGCAGGGGAGCCTGGCCCTGGAGGACCCCCTCATTATAGGTGGTGACATCTCACCAGAGGAACAGGCCGAAAGTTGTGGTGGTCAGAGAACTACAAAAATAGCAGCCCTCATACTGCTTCCTACACAAGAGGAACGGGTGGTTCCAGGGCAGATAAGAATGACTTTACAAGATGAAAATGATCAGTGAGGGCACACAGGTCTGGAGAGGAGCGGAGTTGGCATTTTTTGGCCCTGCAAATAGCTGCCCATCTGCTCTCTGTCAGAATATGTTAGGGGTGCATCTGGATTGCTGCCCCTGAGTCTCGGCTCCAGGCTGGTCATGTGGTTGTCTCCACGACAACTCCAGGAGCGGTGTAAACGGCTGCGCTTGGAGCCAGATGCTGCTCTGCACATGTGGTCTAATTAAACGGTGTTCCCTGTCTCCCTCCGCCCTCCCCTGCCCCTCCCAGCACACACATACATTCTCTCTTTTCCATCCCTCCCTGCACCCCTCCTCCTTACATCCTCAGTCAGCCTGTCTGGCTCTCCACCCTGTGTGCCTCTTCTTCAGAAATGTTCCTGTTGCCTGATTTGCAGTAGAATAATTCATGCAACAAGCATCAGAGCGCTTGCTCTGACCCAGGCATGGGGCTAGAAGCTGGAGGTGCAGAGGCGAGTCAGACACGGCCTGCCCCTGAGGAGGTCACCATCTAGTAAGGATCTGACCGGCAGCCAGGCAATGTAATGCATGGCAATAAATGCTACAGCAGAGGTGAGCGTAGGGCTGCAGAGCCCAGAGGAGGGACACTGACCCAGCCCCGGGCAAGGAGGAAGCATCCCAGGGCAGCTTGCCCTGGGTTAATCCTCCAAGGGTGAAGGGCAAGGGGGACTCCCCAGCCTGAGTGGCCTCCCCACAGAGGGCCCAGCACACACAAAGGCAGGAGACTTACAGACCTACCTGGAGAACCGTGGCTGGCCCCGTGTTATGGGAATGCAGGAAGTTTGGGGAATGAGGAGCCGCGGTGGGCGGGGTGGGCAGGGTCACACCTTGGGGGGCTTCTCCCCAACTCCATACTCTGCTTGCTTCTGCAGGCACTGAAAGCCAAGGAAATGGGAGCAACTCAGTGGCTGCCTGAGGGGGACAAGGGGCCCTGAGTGAATGAAGCCTCCTGGGCATGTTTCCCTCGATGCAGTCCTGCCCTGGACACTCGAGGCACTGTTCAGGGCTGGGCGGGGTGTACCGGACATGCTGAGGAGCTATATTTTTGTGTGTATTTTGAGGGTCTGGCACCCACCACATCTCAGATCTCTGGCTCTCAAGAAAGATGCCCCCAAATGAGGAAGAGGGGAACCAGCAACTCCCTTGCTCACCCTGTCCATGACGTGCCCGCCAGCCCCAGTGACACAGCTCCTCGCTGTGAACCGCCGGCTGGCTGCCCCACCAGGCCCTCCACCTGCTTCCCAGTTAGGGAGCACTTGCTTCTTCCTGGTCCTTGGTTTTTATGCCTCCCCCTCCCCCAGTGGCCTTTCTTGGACCCCACCCCACCTGGACAGAGTCACCTCAGTCACCCATATTTGTGGAATGACAGGTACAGAAGGCCCCATCCAAGACATGATGCCCAGCTCACAAAGGGCATCTCAAAAGAGCCACAAAGGACGTTGATCTCCCCTGAGCACCTGCTGTGTGCTCCAAAGTACGGGCAGCTTGACACACACCATATCACCTTAAACCTCACAATAGGAAGTAGGTAGTTTCCCCAATTTATAGCTGAGGCAACTGAGCTCAGGGAAATTCACTTGCTTCCCCATTTCTTCAGAGCCCCTGGGCGGTACAGAATCCCCATCCAGAGATTCTGGATTCCTCGGTCTGGGACTGCAGCTGCAGAACATGGAAAAGGACATTTTTGTGTAGAAAATCGTCTGACATATCTTGGATTTCCTAGAAGCCCAGGGGAAAACTGTGTTTGGGTAACTGAGCGTGCTCAGAGCTCGGGGGTGTCGTGGGAGGAGCCTGGACTTTGGGGTCAGAGAACTGACTTCAAGTGCGACTATGGTTCTTCAGCTCTGTGGCCTTGGTCAAGTCACAGCTCCTTCCTCTCTAAGATGAGGCTCAAGAGCCTGTCTTTGTAGGGTTCTTACGAGAAGTCAACGTGCAGCCACAGAGAGTTGCCATGTCCTGCGGCGTCCCAGCCCTAGCAGGCAGCTTCGTGGAGGTTCCTTTTCTTCTTGCTGTACGTTGCGGTCTCGCCTCCACTGCCCTGTCACATGTCCTGCACAGGTAGCGCGTGTCACATGCACTGAAATGGGGCTGCTTGAGTACAATCACTTGCCATCTGCTTTGGGCAGGAAACCATCCTAATTTGGGGTGGAAAACAGATCCTTTCTTAGCCCCTCCGCTAAGAGTCAAGCCCCCCACTAGGCACTTTCCATGCCTCGATTGTCAATCCCCACACAGCCCTGTGAAGTAGGAAGTAGCTCCCCCATTCGGCAGATGAGAAGGTGGTCTCTGAGGGGTTAGGGACTTGCCCCACGTTCCAGACATGTTAAGTGGCAGAGCCTGCATTCCCACGCAGTGTCTTTCACTGTTCCCGACTCTCCCATCATGCACTGTGCATCGTGACACATTTCTCTATGAGAGGTTGTGGCAGACCTCGTAAAGAAAAGCCTTTTCTATATCTAGAAACAACACATTCACATTAGAAAGCACCTTGGAGACTTTCCAAGCTTCCCATTTTACGGAGGAAGAAACCGAGGCCTAGGCAAGGAAAAGGAATCCAGACCAAGTCAGGCATTTGACTCCCCTGGCGCTCTTTCCAGTTCCTGATGCTGCCACGTGCTCACGACTAGAAACTTCCTACCGAAGTCTCCTGTGTACCAGGCCCGTTTCAACACCAGAGACTCAGCCCTGCATGAGTGACGTTCGGAGGAGGAGTGATAATAAATAAGGGAGTCATGGGGCTAATAAATAATTCTGACAATTAATCATGTGGACAGTGCCACAGAGCACCCCCCAGAGGACTGTGTCACCAAGCGATGGGTGGGCAGCACACCTTCAGGGGGGCCTGTCTCCTCAGTTAGGGGGTTAGGGCTTTTCATTTGTGGAGACGAATTTGTGCCTCTTCTGTTTTATCACCATGTCCTTTTTTACCTTGAGATCCATGAGTCTCATATTCCCATTGCTGCAGCTACATGGGTTCTGCGGCTGATTGCGTTTCAGATAGATTCTGTTGCTCTAGGGGCCTATCAGGTCCCTGACACGTGTCCTCTCTCCAGTGCACTTCCTCAAACCGTGTTCTCCTCACTAGGGAAACAGAAATCTCTAATCAGCTTGGCGCTTCCTTTCTTGGGACTTTGGATGCAAGTGTCATTGTGTTGAAACCGGGAATCTGGCCCCTGGTGAGAGTGAGGCAACCCCTGGCGCTGGCCACGTGGTTGAGCCAGCAGGTGTTTGAGGTTGAGATTTCAGTGGGCCCCCATTTGGTTTCTGTGCTAGGGAGAGAGCTGTAGCTCTGCGGCAGCACAGGGGTCGTCACCGTCTCACTCATGTCAGCTCTCACCTTGCGCCACCGCTGCACTGTGGACTCACCCTATGTAATGGGGTTGAATGCCTAGAGCATGACATAGCTATTACCTCTATTGTATCTGTAAGAAACAGAGGCTCCAAGAGCCGAGATGGCTACAGCAGGCATAGAGTGCAGCCAAAACCCACTTCATTTCTCCAAAGCCCTTTCTGTTCAACATCACCTTAGAATCCCTGTCTGAATTGCTACTAGGGCAGCCCTGAGTGGCCATTGATATGTCAAATACAATCTTGTGATTACCTCTCTTAATCAAACATAAATAATATTGTGCTGCATGAGCCCCAGGGCCAGACAGACTTCGTTTCAAACTCTGGCCCTGTCATTGCCCAGTTCTTCACCCTCAGGCAAGTGACGTCCCCTTTCAGAGCCTTGATTTCCTTATCTGTAAAATGGAGATCATCATCCTACCTACCTCACGCGATGCTGTGAGGAGTAAGTGAGCTAATGCATGTAAAACCACCCAGTGCTGGTTTAGGGCTCAGCAAGCGGTAGCTGTTTTTAATCACTGCACCTGCTTTCCTCTTAGAGCCGATTCCCATCTGCATTTCTTATGGGAAGAAAATCTTACGCTAGTATGCATGAATACCACCTTCATTGTGTCTCCTTAGCTTCCACAGGCCTCCCAGCTCATCTGCCGTTCCTGCACTAATCAGAATTTCCTGACTTCTCCCTGTTTGTCTCGGTTAATGCAGAAGGAAGGGGCTGCTGGCACAGAGGAGCCGAGGCGTGGGCCGACACGCCTGTGATTTGAATGTCTTTACTGTAATCTAGCAAGCGCGTGTGGGGGCTTCTGTCAATACCAGAGCGGCCGGCCAGAATGGGCAAATACTGGCAGCCCGGCCATGCCTGCCCCTGCAAATCATCAGAGTAGCTCTGGGCTGACACCCACATTTCCCCTAACTTAAATCATCTGAACAGTGAGCTGGCTTCACGATGAGACATTGATTCTTTGTTTAGGGCTTGTTATAGTGACAGGGGCCCAGACTGGGAGTCTATTTCTGACATGCCTCGGCCACCGTGCAAATGGTTCAGAAAGCTGCCTTGGTCCTGTCACCCCAAAATGTGGCATGTCCCCACCCAGCCCAGCCAGAGTCATCTGACTATAGCCATGCAGTGACCCACCTTCCCAAGTCCACCTGATGGTCCTGGGATCCCTGGTAACCCAGGCCCTCTGAGGGCAGGGAAGGAGTGTGTGTGGGCTCAGGGGTCATTAGACCATGAGCCCTGGGACCTTAGGCAATGTGCTTCACCTGTATGGGCATCCCTTCCTTATCCATGAAGTGGAAATCATTTCAGAAGATCTCCCTTCTGGCGAGGATTTGGTGAGTGAAGGATGCAGGTCATCTGGTCCCAAACAGGAGCTCAGCAGACCTTGGCTGCCTTCTCCTCACACTCACGCCAGTGTCTGGCTAACCTGAAGTCATTGTCATCTAAGCCTGCTGTCCCCACTCTCTCAGCTTTCTGGTAAACAAGGTCTTGGCATTCTTTAGGCCAGACACCACACTAGCTTTTTCCATGTTGGCCGGGACCTCACCCTGGCTCCTTGGCAGCTGCCACAGCTGACCCTGTAAGAAGAAGCCGTCAGACCAGCACAGCGTTCTCCTCCCAGCTCTGGGAGGGATGCTGAGGCCCCAGCAGGGAATTTGGAGGCATTTAAACAAAATGCAACTGAGATGGGACTGCTGGTGAGAAATAGGGCCAAATTCCCCAGCTTGCTTTATTCTTAAGTTTTTAAAAAGGACTGTCAAGTGGGTCCAGGCTCTGTGCTGGTCACTTTCACCTGTACCAGGGGTTGTCCGCCTTAGCTGCACTGGAGTCAGTTGGGGAATTTCAAAATCTGTGACTCTGGCATTGGGGATTAAAATAACCCAGGTAATTCTGGTGAATAGCCAAGGATGAGATCTGTGAACCTCCACCATCTCATTCATCCCTGCTTAATCCCCCAGCAGTCCCCGGAGGCAGGTAGCTCTACCCACATTACATGTGACAAGAATGAGGATCTAAGAGGTGTAGTCACTTCCCCAGGGTGGCACCAAGAGCAGCAAGGAGCAGAGCTGAGAGTGGAACCCCCCAATCTGCCACTTCTCAGAGTGACCATGAATCAGAGCCTGCCTTCTAGGAACTTGCAGTGTGCTGGGGACAGTCCACCTGGGTACAGGTGGTGGTTGGTGGAGACATTTAGTGGGAAATGAGGTCCTCTTCATCTGAATGATTCAAGTAAGGTTTCCCCAAGGAAGTACCATGAAGAAGGCAGCCAGGAGTGAGAGTGCACAAAATGCTCAGGGTGTGGTGGACAGCCCAGAACCTCTGCAGGAGGAGATGTGTGTGTGAGTGAGGTGGACAGGGTGTCATAAGCAAGAAAGGCAGCTGGAGAAGGTCACTTAGAGCCTTGAGTGTCATGCTCAGGAACCAGGCTGGCCCCACCTGCATGGACCTGTGCAGTCACACAGGGCCCCAGGCTTGGCTTAATGCTCTGCTGTCACCGTCCTGAAATTCCTAACATTTTTACCTTTGAACTGGTGTGGGGATGTTTTGTTTGTTTTGTTTCAAGACGGAGTTTCTCTCTTGTTGCCCACGCTGGAGTGCAGTGGCGCGATCTCGGCTCACTGCAACCTCTGCCTTCTGATTTCAAGCGATTCTCCTGCCTCAGCCTCCTGAGTAGCTGGGATTACAGGCGCCCGCCAATATGCCTGGCTAATTTTTTGTATTTTTAGTAGAGATGGGGCTTCACCATGTTGGCCAGGATGGTCTCCATCTCTTGACCTCGTGAGCCACCCACCTCAGCCTCCCAAAGTGCTGGGATTACAGGCGTGAGCCACCACACCAGGCCTGAACTGGTGTTTTATAAATGGGACAGTAGAGTAAGGACATTGGCAAAGGAGACACGCACAGAACATGTGTCTCCATGGGGCCTCGCCATCCCAACCCCATACAATTTTCTAGTGCCTGCAGCACCAAATTCCAGTGGACCCAGGATGTGGGGACATTCAGCAGGACTCTACGTGCTCACAAAGTAAACATGTCCATGTCTGACAGCCCCAAGAGGCCACACTTTCCATTAGAACCAGAACTTGCTTCAAATACAGAAAGAAGGCAATAATGTTTTTTTGTTTTGTTTTGTTTTGTTTTGTTTTTGTTTTTTTGGGTTTTTTTCCTGAGACGTCTTGCTCTGTCACCCAGGCTGAAGTGCAGTGGTGTGATCACGGCTCACTGCAGGCTTGACGCCCTGGGCTCGAGACTTCTTCCTGCCTCAGCGTCCTGAGTAGCTGGCATGACAGACTTGAGCCACTAGCCAAGCCCGGCTAGTTTTTTTTTTTTTTTTAAGAGATGGGGTCTAGACGGGGTCTCTCTGTGTTGCCCAGGCTGGTCTCAAACTCCTGGGCTCAAGAGATCCTCCCCACTCAGCCTGTGATGTTCTAAGAAACATGAATGACCAAGGAAACCTATCATATTTCTTATTTATGTTACTTTGTACTTAGCCAACCATTTATCCTGAAAATGATGACATAGAAGGAAAGGCAAAGATAAAACAACCATGGTTCCTTTACCTTTCTCATCAGTAAGCTGGAGATAGATAGAGAATGTGCAGATAGCAAGAAGTGAAATAGGCCAGGTGCAGTGGCTCACGCCTGTCATCCCAGCACTTTGGGAGGCCGAGGCAGGTGGATCACTTGAGGTCAGTTTGAGACCAGCCTGACCAACATGGTGAAAACCTATCTCTATGAAAAATGCAAAAATTAGCTGGGTGTGGTGGCAGGTGCCTGTAATCCCAGCTACTCAGGAGGCTGAGGCAGGATAATCACTTGAACCCAGGAGGCAGAGGTTGCAGTGAGCAGAGATCACATCGCTGCTCTCTTGCCTGGGAGAAAGAGGTAGACTCTGTCTCAAAAAAAATAAATAAATAAAAAGGCAGGCACGGTGGCTCATGCTTGTAATCCCAGCATTTTGGGAGGCTGAGGCAAGAGGATCATGAGGTTAGGAGATGGAGACCATCCTGGCTAACATGGTGAAACCTCACCTCTACTGAAAATACAAAAATTAGCCGGGTGTGGTGGCTGGCGCCTGTAGTCCCAGCTACTCAGGAGGCTGAGGCAGGAGAATGGTGTGAACCTGAGGTGGAGCTTGTAGTGAGCCGAGATCGCGCCACTGCACTCCAGCCTGGGTGACAGAGCGAGACTCCATCTCTAAAAAAATTAAAAAAGAAAAAAAGAAATAAAAACAATGGCGTTAGTTTTGTGCAGTGTTTCCACTGTCTGATGAGAACAAAATACAAATGTATAAATGCATGTACAAGCTATAAAATACAATTGTACATATGAGTTAGCATTTAAAACTGGCATTGCACAAGGCCAAGCTAAATGACAAAGTTCATGCCAATATAATTTACATTTTTATTTTTTCTTATAATGACATTAAATAGTACATTTAAAAGCATCATGATAGGTCTAAAAAGACACCATAAAAGAAAAAAGGTTTATATTTTAGTTCGGCACTTCTATATTTTAACAGCACTTTTTTCCTGCATATTTATTTTATATTTGGTCTTGCATATTATGTTGCCAGCCCTGGTAAGACCCAATCTCCACCCTCAGGGGAAACAGTTATTTGTTGAAAGTCTATTGTGAAAGAATCTATTTGTTTATCATCTGTTTTACTCTTCAAAGCAACCCTGTGAGGTAGGTTGGCATTGTATAATTGTCACAGACGAGGAGGGACAAGTTAGTCACCTAAGAGCACATAGCTAGTACAGTCAGGGTCAAGGTTCAAATGCAGGTCTTTCCACCCAAGCCACATTCTCACTCCACCATGTTGTGTCATCTAAATTGATCAAATAGAAACAGAGTTTTAAGTTTCCATACAGATGCCTCTACCAAAAAAAAAAAAAAAAAAAAAAATCAAAGACAAAAACCAGCCCTCTGGTGTGCTAGCTGTCACACTGTACTGTTGTTATTTGCTCCCTGAACTAGACAGGATTCTTTGATACAGGAGCTTTTCTTTTTAATGTTTTTTTTTTCTTTTTTTTGAGACGTAGTCTTGCTCTGTTGCCCAGGCTGGAGTGCAGTGCCACAATGTTGGCTCACTGCAACCTCCACCTCCCGGGTTCAAGCGATTCTCCTGCCTCAGCCTCTCGAGTAGCTGGCTGAGTAGCTGGGACTACAGGTTTGCACCACCACGCCTGGCTAATTTTTTTTTTTTTTTTTTTTTTTTTGTATTTTTAGTAGAAATGGGTTTTTGTCATGTTGGCCAGGCTGGTCTCAAACTCCTGACCTCAGACAATTCGCCTGCCTCGGCCTCCCACAGTGCTGGGATTACAGGCATGAGCCATTGTGCCCGGCCTTTTTAACTTTTTATTATGGAAAATTTCAAACTTATACAAAGTCAGTGAACCCATCTCCCAGCTTCCACTGCTATAAATATTCCATTATTCTATTTTTTAAGTTAAAAAAAAAGTTTTAATTAAAAATTTTGATTGTCCTTAAATATACATAAAATTTGCCATCTTAACTATTTTTAAGTGCACAGTTTAGTGGCATTAAGTATATTCACATTGTTCCATCTCCAGAAGTTTTTTTGTCTGGCGAAACCGAAACTCAGTACCCATTAAAAAACTCACCCTTCCCCCTGCCCCAGCTACTGGCAAGCACCATTCTTTCTGTCTCTGTGAGTTTGACTACCCTAGGTACCTCATACAAGTGGAACCATGCAGCGTTGATCTATTTGCGACTGGCTTATTTCACTTCACGTAATGTCTTCAAGATTCCTTTATGTTACAGCATGTATCAGATCTCTTACTTTTTAGGGCTGAATAATATTCCCTTGTGTGTATATGCCACACTTTGTTTATCCGCTCCTCCACAGATGAACCCTTGGGTTGCTTCCATCTTTTGGCTGATGTGAGTAGAGCTGCTATGAACATAATGTTCTGCCATTCTTACATTATCTATATTTTCATCCACTTCTCATCCCTCATTTAGTTATTACTGTTTGTACCAACTCTATTTTATTCGTGTTTGCATTCCCCTAACACAGAGCCTAGACCATAGTAAGTGCTTTAAAAATGTTTGGGTGTGTGGATGGATCTTCCAAAAGTATGTGTTTTCTTAATTTTAATTTGTATTTTATTGTTTTTAAGTTATGGGGTACATGTGCAAGATGTACAGGTTTATTACACAGGTAAACATGTGCCATGGTGGTTTGCTATACCTATCAACCCATCACCTAGGTATGAAGCCCAGCAGGCATCAGCTCTTTTTATTATTATTTGTTTTTTTATTTTTAATTTTTTTTTTTTTTTGAGCTGGAGTCTCGCTCTGTCTCCCAGGCTGGAGTGCAATGGTGTGATCTGGGCTCACTGCAACCTCTGCCTCCCGAGTTCAAGTGATTCTCCTGCCTCAGCCTCCCAAGTATTTGGGATTACAGGCACCTGCCATTATGCCTGGCTAATTTTTGTATTTTTGTAGAGATGGGGTTTCACCATGTTGGCCAGGCTGGTCTTGAACTCCTGACATCAGTTGATCCGCCCACCTCAGCCTCCCAAAGTGCCAGGATTACAGGCGTGAACCACTACTCCTGGCCGACATTAACTCTTTTAAATGTTAAGCAAGGTCCATAAAGAGGTCTGAGATTCTTTCCATTTCTCATAAGAATCTCATAAATGTGCACATAGAATTTTGATAAAAATTAAATCAGTAAAAGAAGAATGTAATACTCTATGGGTCTTCAGAACAAGGAAACTTGCTGAAAAATCTGATGAGAGATTTTATTTTTATGCCAATAAAAATATCAGCAATGCTGTGGATAGAGTCATTTATTTCTGGAAGTATCAAAAACCTTTGAAATCACCAATTTTACCTGTTAACAAGGATTCAACTTATTAATGATAGTGTTTCCGATGGATTCCATATGTCAAGAAGATAATCCAGGAGTAAAACTTGTCTTTTTGTAACAAAGTTCTCGACAGGGTTAAGCAGCTGTGTTTTACTGTCCTTCAGGTCATACTTGGAAAACTCTGCTAATGTGATCTAAGCTTGAACACTCACGGCCTGAATTCCCTGAATTAACACTGCTATCAGCCAGTAGCCCCAGCACCTAGAATGTCACCTAAGAAGACAAAGGGCTTAATCAGCCTCGTAGAACTAAATCAGCACTTCAGGGGAGAATAATGAGACACCTTGCCTTACTCTTCTCCATGCACAATGGAGTGGGGGCCGCCATTTTTACTTGCAGGACGCAGGTGGACGAGCTGGTGGGAGTGGCTTGGCACCTCACCTTGGGCCTGTGGCAGAAAGAGCCTTGACAGCGGTTTGTTTACTCCCAGGAGCTGTTTGTCACTGAAGGGCTGGTGCTTTGTGTGCAGGAGAACCTAAAGGGTTCCAATTTTATTTTTTTTGTTGTTTTTATTTTTTGAGATGGAGTTTCACTCTTGTTGCCCAGGCTGGAGTGCAATGGTGTGATCTTGGCTGACTGCAACCTCCGCCTCCCGGGTTCAAGTGATTCTCCTGCCTCAGCCTCCCAAGTAGCTGGGGTTACAGGCGTGCGCCAACACGCCCAGCTAATTTTTGTATTTTTAGTAGAGACAGGGTTTCACCATGTTGATCAAGCTGGTCTCGAACTCCTGACCACAGGTGATCCGCCCACCTCAGCCTCCCAAATTGCTGAGATTACAGACGTGAGCCACCGTGCCTGGCCAGGGTTCCAATTTTAAAGAGAACTCTCCTGTCCAGGGAGGTCTCAGGGCAAGCATTTAGGACTGAGGCTGCAGGGAGAAGCCAGGCCTGCAGTAGACCACATGCATGCTGCACACCTGGGTTTGGGAAGCCACCAGCTGTTAACCCTGACTCTGCAATGTCTGAATCCTGTCACCTGGGCAGATGTCTTTACCTCAGTTATTCCTCTGTAAAATTTGAGTGTAATTTCGACTTCATGAAAGTTTCCAGAATGTTAAAAAGAGTTGTGAAGTGCGTAGCACTGTGCCTCACAGAGAGTTAAACTATGATTATTGCCTTTGTCTTACAAGGTGAGTTGCTCCAGGGAAAAGAGCCCTCTGTGCCTGGTGCCATTCAGACCTTTATGCATGGTTCTGGGTGACAACGTCACTGCCTTGCAGCAGGATTAAGATAGAAGAGTTGGGCCCTGAACAGACAGGATTTGCTCACCTAAGTCCTATTCACCCTTCCAGGCGCAGCCGAAGTGTCCACTTATCATGTTTTCTGACCTGCCGCCCTGGAGAATTTGCCGTTTCCTCTTTGGACTCCTGTGGACACTTTACCCCCCACCCCACCCCACCCTGGTAACACTACACCATGTGATAGACTTTCTTCCCATGTCTAATTCACACATCTGATGCTGTTCTTTAAGCTCTTTTCAGAAAAAGCCCCTTGTCACATTTCCCCTGACTCTTTCCCTTCCATGCCCATGTCCTGTTGCATTTTTAGGGCGCAGACATCTTGTCCGGGGGATATCACCTCCCGTGAGCACACAACAGGCCCAAAATGTTTATGTCTCCCCAAAGGCGAGATTCTTTCTGCTCTCCTGCAGCTAAATTCTGCCTCAGACTACCTCATCTACGAATCTGGTTGCAAACTCTCTTGAATGTATCGGGCCCTCAGCAGACTTCTTCCTGGCAACCCTGAGCCAAAGCTCCAGGAGTGACTGCCAGCCACTTCAGTGAGCATTTCCTTGGAGCAGCTCAACTCCCTGTGCATGGGTGCCACTTGCCTGGCATCGAGCTCTGAGACCTCTTTACCATCAGGCCAAACAGTGTCAGAGACACACTGAGACCACACAAGGCTCCTGTGGCTGGAAGCAGGGTTCAACTCATTTCGTGGTTCTTTAACCAGCATCCCTGAGCTTCTGATTAGGGGCTGGGCTCTTCCTGGGGCGTACAGAGATGAGTTCAGCCTCTGGCCCCTTGAGCTCCTGGTGAGAGGGGATACCAGTGAAGACTATCCCAGCACCCAGGAGTGCACACGGCACTGGGATGAGTGACTGCCACTCAGAGGCCTGCATGTGTCAGGAGGACAGTCCAGGCAGAAGGAATAGAACTGGCAAAAGCAATGAAGAAGGTGAGGAAGGAAGGATGTGGTGTGTGATCATGGGATGCGTTTGGAGCATGAGGTATGTGGAAGAGCAGAGGCAAAGTGACACAGAAGGACTCTAGGAAAGGAAGCCAGGGTCAGCTTTGGGAGGGTGCGTTTGCTGGTTAAGGAGCTCTCCCTTTCCTCACCCCTATTGGGCCCTTGTGTGTGCCACATATGTTGCCAGGTGCACAATGTTGAACAAAACAGACACCATTCCGGCCTGCGTGAAGCATATAGTCTAGTGGGAAAAAGAGACATTAGTCAAATAATCGCACAAAGGTAACATCTATGCAGAGTTCCTGAGTAGGATAGTGATGTGGTCTAATTTGCATTTTAGAAAGCACTCTAGCCAGAAGAGCTGGAGTAGAAGAGGGACGAAACAGGAGAGGAGTGTGGAGTTAAACCTCCACCGTGGTTTAAGCCTGTCCAGGCCTACGCCAAGGTAGGCGTAGATGGAGAGCCGGGGGTGAGCGTGAGACAATTCACAGGTAAAATAGGAAGGAGTTAGAAAGTCTGATAGGTCCACTGTGGGTAACTGTGGATAATGACAGTTAAGAAAAAAATAGATTTGGGGCGCAGTCTTGATGGGATAGTAATTGGAAGTTTCAGGCTATTTTGAGTTTGAGACGCCAGCAGGCCATCAGGTGGAGGTTGAGATGGATGGGTATAGAGCTTCGGAAAGGTGTCTGAGCTGCCAGGATTTGTCAGGAGTCATCAGTGGATGAGTGATGCTGTGTGCATGGATGAGATCACCTGGAGAGAGAATTAATTGCCCTGCTCTGGTCCCAAGAGTGAGAACAAAACTTCCAAGCCACAGGAATGGAATTCTAGCTGAGCTTGTGTTAGTTATCACTAGCTGGTTTCTCAGCTGTTGAGCAAGGAAGATGTAAACCCATGCCAAAGTAATAAATGGCACATAAAGCTATTTTTCCCAAGGAACTAGTGTGGGGTTTTTTTCTCGTACACAAAATAAAGTTTGCATTGTTTTCCTTCTTGCTCCAGCAGCCAGGAAGCTCAGAGCTAATTTTGTAACTTAACTTAGATGCCACATAGGACATACATACCCAGCTACTTTTTTCCCAAACAAATACTTTTTATATATCTATGTATTTGGCAGCCCTGATGTTTTTCTTTGTTGTTTTAGATGCTCATATAAGCTGCCTCAGATCCTTTGTAAAATTAGGTAGGGTGTAACTGTATAAAAATAAATATTCTCCTTACCCTAATATTTTTGGGTCATCCTCACAGCCCTTGTGCAATAAGTCTGCCCAGCTTCTGAGTTAATATTGGCTAGATTTAAGCAGGAAGAACTCTTAGAACTTACGGAAGCTCGACAGTAAATTTAACACTCATGCAACTCATTAAAATAGTATAAAAGTGGAGCTTCAAACATCTCTGTGTTTGCTACCAGGGCTGGGGGGTGGGGTGTTACCCTTAATTCAGCTCAAGATCTGAAAGTCTGATCTTTCAGAATTGAGAATACACCGCTGAAATTAAAGACTTGTCTGTGTAGATAAGCACTCCAAACATGTTCAAAGAAAAAGTGAGGTGTTAGCTCTATACGGATAGGATTTTTTTTTTTTTAACTCAGGGTATCGTCTTCTTGACTCATAAAACATGGTTTGGTAAAAGCAAACTTGCTTATCAAACAGCATAAGCATAAAATCGATTGGATAGTATATTTTATTTTTGATCATCCCCGTTCTTTAATTATTTTAAAATTTCAGTTTGCTATTGTTTAAGGTCACTGTGTAAATGGTTTTCAAAGTATGTCCCACAGCCAGTGGCCTAGGGACTGCAAAGATGCCTGGGATGTTGGGGGATGAGGAGGTGGCCAAGCCTGGAGAACCCAGCCAGCACCCCTGCTCTACCCCCAGGTCCTCCAGAGCAGCTGATCTCTGCATTATGGAACTCAGGTAACAGGGTTCCTTCTGTATAAAATCTTATTTTTTTCTGAGATGGAGTCTCACTCTGTTGCCCAGGCTGGAGTGCAATGGCGCCATCTCAGTTCACTGCAACCTCTGCCTCCCAGGTTCAAGCAATTCTCTCCTCAGCCTCCCAAGTAGCTGGGCTTACAGGCACCTGCCAACACACTTGGCTCAGCTCATTTTTGGGTTTTTGTTTTTTTGTTTTGTTTTTTTGTTTGTTTGTTTGTTTGTTTTGAGACGGAGTTTTGCTCTTATTGCCTAGGCTGGAGTGCAGTGGCATGATCTTGGCTCACCGCAACCTCTGCCTCCAGGTTCAAGCGATTCTCCTGCCTCAGCTTTCCTAAGTAACTGGGATTACAGACATGCACCACCACACCCGGCTAATTTTGTATTTTCAGTAGAGACGGGGTTTCTGCAGGTTGGTCAGCCTGGTCTTATACTCCCAACCTCAGGTGATCCACCTGCCTTGGCCTCCCAAAATGCTGGGATTACAGGCATGAGCCACCGCGCCTGGCCTAGCAGGGCTGCTTCTGCATAAAATCCTATCTGAATAAAGGGTTCCGCTGCTAAAAGTGAAAAAAGTGAAAAGTTTAGAAATCTTCACATTGGAGGGCATGTCTCCCTAAATAGCCCTTGGGGTACGGAAGGGGATGTGGGGTGTAGAATCTGACTGTTGGTTCCTGCTCTGCCTTCTACCCTCTCTGTGACTTTGCGGGATGACTCTTCCTCTCTGAAACAGCTTCCTCATCCATAAAAGAAAATGAATTTCTTGATAATAGCTACTTCACTATTAGCTAGTTAGAAATAGTTAGATATTTCTATTATTAGATAATAGATAGTTAGAAATAGTTAGCTATTTCTAACTATCAGAGGGTTAGAAAAGTTAGCAGATGGGGGCCAGGCACGGTGGCTCACACCTGTAATCCCAGCACTTTGGAAGGCCAAGATGGGTGGATCACTTGAGTTCAGGAGTTCGAGACCAGCCTGACCAACATGGTGAAACCTCATCTCTACTAAAACTACAAAAATTAGCCACTTGTGGTGGGGGGCAGCTGTAATCCCAGCTACCCGGGAGGCTGAGGCAGGAGAATCGCTTGAACTCGGGAGGCAGAGGTTGCACTGAGCCAAGATGGCACCACTGTACTCCAGCCTGGGTGACAGAGTGAGACTCCATCTCAAAAAAAAAAAAAAGGAAAAGAAAAAAAATAGCAGATGGAGAAACTCTGCAAATAGGAATTTCAAAACTGATGGCTCTTGCTCCGTGCCACTGACCCACCTCTCCCCTCTGCACTTCCCAGGAGGAGCCGATCACTTTCTGTGAGGAAGCCTTCGTGTCCCACTACCGCTCCGGAGCCATGAGGCAGTTCCTGCAGAACGCCACACAGCTGCAGCTCTTCAAGCAGGTGCCTCCCTCCCTGGTCTGGCCTGGGTCTGGCTCCCTGGCGGGGATTTCTGCAGCTGTCTCCACTCTAAGTACTGAGGCCGCAGGCATGGATGGGACTCAGGCCCCAGGCAAAAGAGGCTCAGGGGAGGGGGATTGGATGAAGAGAGCAGTCACTGACCAGACAGACCCTTTGCAAATCTGCCGTGTGGTTTTCCAAGTTATCATAAATATGCAGCCGGTATTTTAGAAAGAAACTTGCCTGTTGAACCTTACTTTTTGAAAACTCCTACCTTGGATACAGTAAGGTGCCCAGCTGAATGGTTTTTCCCCCTTTTCTTTGTACGAGCTGTTGTGCTTTTGTTCCTTCTTTCTATAGTTTATTGATGGTCGATTAGATCTTCTCAATTCCGGCGAAGGTTTCAGTGATGTTTTTGAAGAGGAAATCAACATGGGCGAGTACGCTGGTGAGAAGCAACTCATTTTCCTTCCGGGGCTGCAGGCTGCTATCATTTAGGGCATATTTGACAAGGAGTGGCAGTGACTTGCTTTTCCTTTATTGGGGCTTAGGAAGAGACTGCTTTCAAGCTTGGCCTTGAAATGTTTGAAGAATTCCTCTTTGTTTTCTGACAAAATGCACCCTGGCCCATATGAAGTCGCCCAGCCTAGGATCAGTTGCTTCCCCTGTGTAGACAAAGTCTAGTTAAAGTAGTAGCCAGCGTGGTCCACTGGGAAGCACATGCAGTATTCAGTTAGGAGGCCTGGATTCAAGTTAGGACTCTGCCTCCTCACAAGCTGCAAGACCCTGGTTGAGTCATTTCCCCTTCTGTAGCTAAAGTTCCTATCCATGTCCTGAGAGTACGTACCGTGTCCCACCTCACAGGATTCCTGTTGAGATTAAATCAGAGTACATGAGGAAAGGTTTGTGCAGTCATCCAGGACAGTTCCTGGCATGGGGACTGTGTGCAGTAAGTTTTTTTTGTTGTTATTGTTGTTGTTTTTGAGACAGAGTCTTGTTCTGTTGTCCAGGCTGGGGTGCAGTGGCACGATCTCGGCTCACTGCTGCAACCTCTGCCTCTCAGGTTCAAGTGATTCTCCCACCTCAGACTCCTGAGTAGCTGGGATTACAGGCACGTGTCACCACGCCCAGCTAATTTTTGTATTTTAGTAGAGACAGGGTTTCGCCATGTTGGTCAGGCTGGTCTCAAACTCCTGACCTCAGGTGATCCACCTGCCTCAGCCTCTCAAAGTGCTGGGATTACAGGTGTGTGAGCCACCATACCCAGCCCTGTTTCTTTAAAATATGACAAATTATTGTTGAGTGCCTGGTCCCTGCAGATCTGAAGAACTGAAGGTCTTGTCTTCTCATTTTTCAGAGGAGGCATCTAAGGCCCAGAGAGGTGTTGGTGGCTGAGTCTACCTCCTGAATCCCAGTCTGACCTTCTTTCCAAATCCCATCGCCTCAGTCTTTGGCAGCGAAGGCAAAACCAGATGCAAAATAATACCCATGCTGCTGGCCCCCTTTTATTGCTGGGTGTGTGCCCATGCTGCTGGCCCCCTTTTATTGCTGGGTGTGTGTCTATTCTGGACTACTGTGATAATCCAATTGGCAGTTTGTAAGCTCACAGAGCAAGGCACAGTATACACCTATAAACATTGCAGGCCCTCCCAGCCTGTGCTGCATGGAGAGCACAGTTAAGAAAATCACCATGAAGTCTACAAACAGCAATAGCCAGTCACTGATAAGCATTTCCTGAACACCTGCTAGGTCCAGAGCCCCATAGAGTAAAAAGCGGAGGACCCAGTTCTGCCCTCAAGGAGTGTTAGGTAGGAGAGAGAAATGCATGACTAAAGACAATCAGAAATTAAACCAATTCAGGAAAAGGAGTAGAAACGCATTTCGCTGCGGTTAGACTAGGGCTGTGTTAATCCTCGCTGTGTAATGTGAGGGCTTGACAAAGGAGGCTGGGCTGGAGTTGTGTTCTAACGGTTGCATGTGAGTTCCAGGAAGAAAGGCTTTAGGTGTTGTTAAACTGAGCTCACTTATTCAGTAGGTTAAGACCCACCATTTAAAATGAACAGAGTTTACCAACAGCACATCCATTTTCTTTCTGTCTCACTCTCCGAGGGTTCAATGTGTGTCCAGCAGGGTCCTTTCAATGGGACACACAGCCCTGGGGGTTCCTGTTCTGGTGCCCCTCACAGTACTTCCCAGAGTACGGATGTCTCAGTGGCTGTTACCTATTCCCGAGGGCTGTTCAGAGGAAGGAGAAGCCTCCAGAGGACATCACATCTGAGCTGTCAAGTTTACTAAGCAGAGAGAGTAGGGCGTGGTGACTAGGCAAGGGAGCGGCATTTGCAAGGGCCTGCAGGCCTGCGAGGATGCTGGTTTATGGACCCCGTGGTCCCTTAAGTAGTTCCCCGTGGTGGGACATAAGGTGGTGCAGCATCACAGCAGCACAGGATGGAGAGGCCGTGAGGCGCGACTGGAGGAGAGTGGCACGGCTGCCTCGGAGCCTGACCTCCAGCCAGCAGGCAGTGAGGTGGCTGCTGAGTTTGCAGTCAGGGTACTGCATGATCAGCTCTGTTTGAGAAGGAAACCCTCTGGCAGTGACTCGCTGCCGCCTCCTTTAAGAACAGGACATGGGACCCTCCACCGGGTTCTCCAAGTCCTGAATGCTGAAAGCAATTTCGGCCAAGCGTGGTGGCTCACGACTGTAATCCCAGCACTTTGGGAGGCCAAGGCGGGTGGATCACTTGAGGTCAGGAGTTCGAGACCAGCCTGGCCAACATGGTGAAACCCCGTCTCTAGTAAAAATACAAAAATTAGCCAGGTGTGGTGGCGGGCACCTGTAATCCGGGAGACTGAGGCAGGAGAATTGCTTGAACCCAGGAGCTGAGATCGCACCACTGCACTCCAGTCTGGGAGACAGCGTGAGACTCCATCTCAAAAAAAAAAAAAAAAGCAATTTTAAGGACTCCCAAGGACAAATCACCTCTTTAAGTGACAGCTTCTCTGAATTCTCTTTCCCCAGGCAGTGACAAACTGTACCATCAGTGGCTCTCCACTGTCCGGGTAAGCATGCACCCAATTCAGAGCCCCCTGGACTCCCTCCTTAGCTTCCTGGCAGCCTTCCGCTTCCCTGTGCTTCCCCTTCCATCCTGGAGCACTCCATTCTCTCTGCTGGAGATGCCTTTGTTTGTAAAGCCAGGCTCTTCTCATGCCAGATGGAGACTAGAAGGGTGGGATTGTCCAAAGCCATCACTTGGTGGGGGCTGAAAAAGGCATGAGAGGCTTCCTCCTCTGCAGGAAACCAGCCAAGGAGAGCTGAATGGAATGTTGCTGTCTTAGAGCATTCGGGGGGTTCTCCTTCTAGGGCCAGAGCAATTGTCATGATCATGGGCAAACCAAAAATTGCTGCTGTGTAACCTCTTTCACAGCAAAGCTCCTGGGAAGATGGGGAACACATCACTGGGAGGTTGACTGTTGTTGTGAGGTGTCTTGATGTGTCAGGAGCCAGGGGCATAGGGCTTCCAACGTCTCTAAAGAATTCGAAATCTTGCCTTTCCCTTCCATCAGTTTATAATTGAGGTGTCCTGAAGGCCTACTGTGTGCCAGGCACCCTGCTGGGTACTGGGGATGCAGCAGGGAGCAGGGTACAGGCCCTGCCCTGGGGGAGCTCCCTGTCTTGCTGGGGAGGCGGGCACGAAGCAGGCAACTCCAGCATCAAGTGATAAGTGTTCCCTCCTGCTAATGCGTCAGTGCACTGCTGCCAGGCGAGTCCCTTGGAAGTGGCTGCAGTTGGCGGAGAGTAAGCAATTCCTTCATGAAAGACTTCCTTTGTTCCTCTTGTATGGCCAAACACAGCACTTGGCAAATCAGAGAGGAGTAATAAGGACTTGTTGATTGATTGATAAAGGGAGTTTCAATACTCCAAAGGACCATTTAAATGGGATACTGAGTAATTTTGGAAAGCAGTATGGAATAAATGAGTGGGTGAAAATTTCCCATTGTCCTACAACATAGAATGCTTTCTAGGTCAAATTGTAATGTTTTTAATTAAAGCTCAAAATTTCTAATGTGGGCAGTTACCAAAAATTGTGCTAAAAGTTAAGACCGATAATTACATTACTGTATCTTATTCTCTTAGGTACCCACTGGTTCCAGCCTCTCTCCATACGAATCAGTTTTTTTAAACCACCACAGACCTGATTCTGTGATGAATTTGATTAAAAACGCTCTGTAGTGTAGACCCCTTAGCCTGGCATTCCGGGCCCTTCACGAGCTGGCCCCATCTGGCCTCCCAGCCTCAGTTAATGCTTCTCTGATGATACACTCATGGGAGTGTGTCATGGCGCAGTACAGCAGCCACTTGTTACAGCATACGCCATGGCTTTTCAGCTTCTGCACTTTCTTTTTTGTGCTATTTCCTGTCCCTAGAATGTTCTCCTCCCGTCTCCTACATCAACTCCTATTTATCCTTCATGGACCAGGTCCAGTGTTTCATCCTCCAAGGCCTTCCCTGATCTTCCAAGTCTCCACGCTCCCTGTGCACACAGCCATTACAGCCGTCATCACACGCTGTTGTAATTATTTACTGTGCTGTCCTGCCTCTCCAGCTGGAGGTTTTGGAAGGCAGAGATCAGGCCTCCCTTGGCCTGGTGTCTTCAGAACCCTCACGACGTGTCTGCAGGGATGAGACTGAGAAATGGATTCACGGACAGCTATGAAAACGTGCCCTGTGCACTTCAGGTCCCTCCACTGCCTCTTTTAGGAGCGGGAAGGCCTTCCCTCCTCCTTCCTCCCACTTTTGCTCCTAAAGAAAGTGAGCGAGAAATTGCTGTGTTGGATTTAACTAAAGCCATGGTGAACATTTGTGGCTATTCATTCTTTCCTTTTTTCAAGATTTAGATGTTAAGGAAGGCAGCCTACCAGAGAGATTTAAAAAAACACCACAGAAAACCAAGGAAAGAAAAGGAAGTTGCACGGTGAGGGCAATGTATTTCCCAACGATCCTGGCTGATCAGGGCCCCACTTTCTGCCCCGGCTTGGTGTCAGCTATGGAGTCCACGGTTATTAAACTTACCTGAGTGTCATCCGTGGTAACTAGAATATCTTGAAAAGCCACAGATGCCCATAGGGAAGCCCTTGCCTTAGGCAGCCTGTGATGCAGTTCCCTCCAGCCAGGGAACAGGTGCCAAGCAGAGCACTGAGTCTAGAGTCTCCTTCCATCAATTCACACTCCTCATCCCCAGTCCATACACACCCACCCACAGCTCCCACCGAGAGTCCTTCTGTCATGACCATAACTGACTGGCAGGGACCAGTTATCATCCAGGCCTATTTCTCGATGTGCATTTACATACCTTTGAAATGTTGCTTAACTCGATTGAAGAGAAGCAGTCTTTGTTGGTGTTGGATGACTCTGTCTTCAGCCCAAATTGCTAATTGACATTTTTATTATAGAAAGGAAGTGGAGCAATTCTGAATACTGTAAAGACCAAAGCAAATCCGGCCATGAAGACTGTCTACAAGTTCGTAAGTACTGGTCTTGCTGTCAGGAGCCAAAACAGATCAGTCCCTTAGCATGATGAGACTCTTTATTTATTTACTTACTTTTGAAACTGGGTCTTGCTCTGTTGCCCAGGCTGGAGTGCAGTGGTGCAATCACAGCTCACTGAGGCCTTGACCTCCAGGGCTCAAGCAATCCTCCCACCTCAGCCTCCCCAGTAGCTAGGACTACAGGTGTGCACCACCACGCCTGGCTTTTTTTTTTTTTTGGAGAGACAGGTCTCAGTATGTTACCCAGGCTGGTCTTGAACTCCTGGGCTCAAGCAATCCTCCTGCCTCGGCCTCCCAAAGTGCTGGGATTACCAGCATGAGCTGCTGCACCCAGCCAAGCGATGAGACTCTTAAGTATACCTTGTCCTCTATTGCAGAGATGACTCAGGCTGCTGAGCTCTTTCCTGAAGGTCTCAATGTTCTTCAAATTATTTAGCAGATTATTATAACTGGTTCAGTGACATTTTTAATTTATAGTGTTGGTGCTCACATTTGCCACAGTAGAGAAATGGGAGGCTACTGGTTTTAGCTTTTAAAATGTAGACTAGGTGGCTGCACCCTGCCTCTGTTTCTGAGACCCGGAAGCATGGTCTATCTGGTGTCTGGCAAAGCCTTCCTGCAGGAATCCCCATTATTGGGTCAAAATAAAGCAGCTCCTTTGCAGTTTCCTGAAGCGTGTTCGTGGTGGCATACACCACTTAATTTTTGTCCCAAATTCTTCATCATCTCTCTGATCACTGCCCTATAGGAAATGCATTATTTGTAAGACTCGTGTCCACAGCGGAGTGAAAATAGGAGAGCACATCTGTTCCCGGTGCTTCATCTTTCACAAGCATCAAGTATTTTTTCTTGTGACTTCTCTTGCTTGCTAATTTGACCGTGAGCCACTGAAGCGGGGTGGTTTTATTTTATTTCCATTTTTAATTTTGTTAGTCCTCTCTGTGCTTAAGCTGTAGTTATTTTAGCAGGATGGGTGGCTGCCAGCAGAACCACACAGGTCTAAAATGACCTGAAATCAAAGCCAGGGTGTCTGCCAAAATGAGATTTAGGAAATGGCACTGTAGAAACCCAGCAATGTGTCTGTTCCGGCCATTCAGCCTGGGCAGAAAATTGGTCCTGGGGCCCTGCCCTGGTGAAATAGAATGGATATTCTGAATCTTCCAGCCAGAAATACGGCTGCCGTACTCTTACTGGTAGCTGTCACCAGGCTGCTGAGATAAATAATTATAGAGAGCAGAAGAAGGGCTTTGGAACGGAAAGAAAAAAAAAATCTGTGCCATCAAAATGCAGAAAATAAAATCTCTGCAGCCTCTTTAAGGGTTTTTTTTTAACCTTTTACCGTTGTATTTGTTTTCATAGCCATTATGTTTTCGACTTGATGATCCCATTTTTCCTTCCTTTTTCTAGTAATCAGAGAAGGTGATTCTCGATGGACTGAAATCAAGCATAGTCCCTGCTGGAAACAGAAAGGGAATCTTAACTTAAATTAATTTTTCATGCAGGCAAAAGATCATGCAAAAATGGGAATAAAAGAGGTGAAAAACCGCTTGAAGCAAAAGGTACTTGAAGTTCTTATTCAAAATGTATAAGCACCATGTATGAAATGCATGGCCACAAAAAAGTATGAGGGGATCAATAGAGGGCTGTTTGATACAGTGTTGTTAACACACTTCAAAATGCATTACCAGCTGTCCGGGAGTTTTCACACTGTTATAAATATTCACAGACAAAAAACTGTCTTCAAATAACATTAAGACTCTGGCTTAAACCCACAAAGGCAAGCAAGTTCAGAGTTGCCACTGTCGGGCTGTCCCTTGCCCACCCCACCAGGCCTGAGTTCACAGGCGTCTGTAGAAATTGGCTTGGTGTTCCCATCTGGCACCTGCCCACCCGCTATGGCTGACCTCTGCCCCAGGGCCGGTTGTAACCAAAACCAAGGAGCATCTCTAGGGAATGATTGCCATGGTCCAGCATGCACGTGGCCACCGCCCAGACACAGCATAGGGGGTGGGGCTGAGCAGAATGCCGTGGGCTTACCTCGCCCTGGGGGACCAAGTGAGCAGAACCCAGTGGGCGCTGTTGAGACTCTGAGTGGGGAGGGGAGGGCTCTGATTGTCTTCACCAGCCGTCAGTAAAAGTGGGATATCATCCCAGCTATGTCCTGGCTAAGATTCCCCCAGCCTGAATCTCCCTTTTTTTTTTTTTTTTCTTTTTTTATCTGACTTCTTTTGTATTTTATTTTATTTTAATTTTTTTATTGCCATAGCCTTTGGGGGAAACAGGTGGTATTTGGATACATGAGTAAGTTCTTTAGCTGTGATTTGTGAGATTTTGGTGCACCCATCACCTGAGCAGCGTACACTGAACCCAATTTGTAGTCTTTTATCCCTCACCCCCTTCCCAGCCTTTCCCCGAGTCCGCAAAGTCTATTGTCTCATTCTTATGCCTTTGCATCCTCATAGCTTGGTTCCCACTTGTGAGTGATAACATACAATGTTTGGTTTTCCATTCCTGAGTTATTTCACTTAGAATAAGAGTCTCCAATCCCATCCAGGCTGCTGCAAGTGCCATTGATTCATTCCTTTTTATGCCCCCAGATTGAATTTCTGGACTTAGACAGTGAGGTTACTGTAAGAGGGAGGGCTTTTTTATATTATTATGAATGCCATCATCATAATTACATCATAATTATTGTTGCCACCTTTTTTTTTTTTTTTTGAGACGGAGTCTCACTGTGTTGCCATGCTGGAGTGCAATGGCGCGATCTCGGCTCACTGCAACCTCCACCTCCCGGGTTCAAGTGATTCTCCTGCCTCAGCCTCCCAAGTAGCTGGGACTACAGGCACGTGCTACCACATCTGGCTAATTTTTGTATTTTTATTAGAGACGGGGTTTCGCCATGTTGGCCAGGATGGTCTCGATCTCCTGACCTCGTGATCCGCCTGCCTTGGCCTCCCAAAATGCTGGGATTACAGGTGTGAGCCACCGCGTCTGGCCTGTTGCCACCCTTCTTTAAGCTCCTCTTAAGGGTGGGCCAGACTAGGAGCTTTCACACTTAATCCTCAGAACAGCCCTGTGGAGTATTGTTCCCATTTCATGAGTAAACAGACCACAGTTCAGAGGTGAAGTCATTTGCCCAGGGCCACCTTGAGCCTAGCAGAGCCAGAATTGGATCCCAGCTCCATCGACTTCTGGTGGCTGTGTGTTCTTACCACTACTGCATTGCACACTGCCTTCCTCAAACAAGTGTTTTGTTTTCCAAAAGATGTTTGGGATCACCTACTTCATTATCCCTATGCCCCCAAACGTACCACTCTAATAAGGCCCTTTGTCTAGCTCTGCAGTTTTTAAAAAATTGAAAGCAGTTTTAATTTTCTGAAGTCAGAAAGGACCTCTAATTAACTTGAAAGGGTCGAAGGAATTGATTCCTTTCTTTTAATTGGAAAATAATTTGCTCTGACTAAGCATTTAAATTCTTAGTTTCAGCTGAGAGTGGATTTTTAACAGCTGAGATTCACATCCTGAAATAAAAGCTCTGTAATGTAAATCCAGATAGACCTTAAACTGTAGTCTGTTTGCACCCTGCCAGAGACTGGCAGGTGGCATTCTTTACTTGGATGTTATTTAAGTCCCTAAATATACCTTTTTATCTCCCATCCCAGTTGCATGTAGCTGAAATGGATTGCAGATATAAAATGGAGTGGCAGGGAGCGGAGAGTTTTCCCTCCTTGATGCCTGGATCGTAGGCTCGTTGGTATCAGAATATCCCCTGAAGTAAGCAAAGAAAGGGGTCCCTCCTCAGGCAAAGGCCCCATGCGCCCTCATTGGTCAGATCCACTCTCTGCAGACCGTTAAGCTACAGACATCACCTTACCTCCCTACTTGTATGTGCAAGCCTCTGGCCTTAGGAAAATCCCCTTCTTATGATAAGTAACATTTCTGCAAATAACCAGTTAAGCTCAGATTTTTTAATGTGGTTGTTCAAAGATTTGTTTAAACAATCTAGATCACTTTCCTTCCACTCTCTCTCCCTTTCTGTTCCTTGATAGTATCTAAAGCAGATGTCTCCCTCCCCTTCCCTTCCCCCTGCCAGTCTTTTCAAGAATAGCTTCAGGAGATAATGTTCTATAGAGAGCGTCAGTACATTTCAGGTGACACAAATGGTGAAGGCATTTTATAGAAATGTGGCTTGTCACCATCGGACTGTTGACAGATCTATTAGTGCACCCTTTTCAATTTTCACTTTTCCCCCCTTCGGTCGTACAGATTTCCACAGACTTGATATTTTGCAGTTGTTCTTGGAAGAGAGCTATTTTGTAATTGAAACTCTAGCATTGTTCGCATCTACGGGACTTGGGGCTCCAGCACTCTCCAGCGCCCTTTCTTGAGCTAATTTAGGATTTGGCTGCACCTGACCTCTCACATAGCAGTAGAAAATATTTCCTTGGTTTTTTTTTTTTTGTCCTTCTCCCCTTTCCCTCCTCCCCTTTATCTGGCAACGAATGTACCTCGTGACTCCCCAGATGCCTCTAATATAGACATCTCAAGTTTGGTTTCTGCCATGAAATCGAGGCAGTTTCCAACAAAGATCCAATTTTCAAATGTGCTGGGTTGCCACCTGGCCTCCTCTAACTCTGCATAGCAATGGTGACCTTGCAGATATAATCAAGAACCCAAGCTTGCCCTCTTCACCCTCGCCTTGGGTTTGAATTGCAAATAGAAAATGTGGGGCCGACCTGTGGAGAGGTCACCATGATGTATGGAGGGTCCATCTCTAATATGACTGAGCTGGGCCCCTTCTCCAACGCTTGTTCATTTGTGCTGCAGATTTTCAAAGCATTTGAAATCGGAGCTTTCAGGATATCTGTGTGACCATTGGCAAATAATTGTTAATAGATCCGATGGTGTGACTTTATTCCATACCTGCTCTGCTTCAACCCAACAACAAAAAAAGAAGGATGGATAACATATTTCTCTAGATAAATGGAGCAAGGTGGTCAGGTTCTTCTGTAGCTTGGCCTCCTTTGAAGTCTGACTTGCTCAAAATTGGGAAAAAGAAGAAATGGCAAAGATGCTACCCAGCCATTGCTTTCTAAGGAAGAGTGTAGTGCTTTCATCTGGAGTGTCTCCCTGCCAGAAGAATGCCTCCTGGATGGGCTCATGACTGTCAACAAATTGCATCCCACTGCAGCACCATGCAGGGCTGGCATGAGAATGCCCTGCTTTAAAAGCAGTGGCCACAAATCCATTTCTCCTCACCTGCAGGCA
Source organism: Homo sapiens (assembly GCF_000001405.40). NCBI lineage: Eukaryota > Metazoa > Chordata > Mammalia > Primates > Hominidae > Homo > Homo sapiens. The sequence continues at coordinate 123,446,983 of NC_000009.12, read as the reverse complement.
ACGTTAAGATAGGCACGTAGGGATGTCCTCTTTTGCCTATTGAGGAACCCCTGAAATTTTTCTCTTTTTTCTTCGGTATCAAAATGATTTAGCCAAATGGGCCCATTTCACAGCCCTTTGTAAAGTTTCTGAATCTTTGATCTTCTTCTTTTCTTTTTTTTATTTTGTTTTTCTTTGTTTTGAAACAGGGTCTCACTCTGTCTCCCAGTGCAGTGGCACAATCACTGCAGCCTTGACTTCCCAGGCTCAAGGGATCCTCCCGCCTCAACCTCCAGAGTAGCTAGGACGACAGGCATGCACCACCATGCCTGGCTAATTTTTTTTAGGGACAGAGTTTTGCTGTGTTGCCCATACTGGTCTCAAACTCCTGGGCTCAAGTGATCCTCCCTCCTAGGCCTCTCAAAGTGCTGGGATTACAAATCTTTGATCTTTAAAAGACAAATCGAGCTTGTTGATTTAGAGTCTCTGTGATTGAAAGGAGCAAATTCACAGTTGGTTTCACAGAGGCTTGAATTTCTGGCCAAACTGTTCCCATTGAAGGGAGTGAGTAAGCATGCGTGGGGCCGGGAGAGCTAGGTAGACTTGTAGAACAGACATTTTCACACCTTATCACACAACTGTCAGCTCCCTGTCTCCCGACACATTAAAATACGCTGCAGCCTCAATCACAGAAATTCCAACTTTGGTTACTATTTTGATATCAATATTCATATTTTAATTTGCATTTGCTGTGCTGTGAGGTGGCCTGGGAAAAGAAGGGTGCGGCACGAGTCTGTAAATGGAGACGGGAGTTCTCACACCCGCAGCATGAGTCAGACGGGAAGGCCTCTGCCCATAGGGGCCTTTCAACTCCCCCACATGGAGATGTGGTGTTTGGGCTTCTGAGGCAGGCAAGTGGGACTCAGTGCTGGTTGTGTAGGATGTTAACTATGTGACCTTGGATAAGTTACAAGACCTCACTGAACCTAGTTTTTCTCATCTGTAAACTAGGGGAAATACAGGTTTTTGCTGGATCGTTGGAAGGAGTAGAAGAGATAATGTGTTGAGACAGCAACACTTAGTAGGCACTGAATAATTGAGAGTTTCCCTTTTGTCTGTCTTTTGTTTGTTTGTTTTTGAGATGGCGTCTCACTCTGTTGCCCAGGCTGGAGTGCAGTGGTGTGATCTCAGCTCACCGCAAACTCCACCTCCCAGGTTCAAGTGATTCTCCTGCTTCAGCCACCCAAGTAGCTGGGATTACAGGCACCCATCACACCTGGCTAATTTTTGTATTTTTGTAGAGACGGGGTTTTGCCATGTTGGCCAGGCTGGTCTCGAACTCCTGACCTTAGGTGATCTGCCCGCCTCGGCCTCCCAACATGCTGGGATTACAGGCATGAGCCACTGCATGTGGCCCTCTCTGTCTTCTTATGTCCCACATCTGGAACAGCCAGTCTGCCCACATACCCATGTGCACACACCTGGAGACCATGTCCAGCGTGAATGAATCACCTCCCTTGAGGTTGTCCATACAACCACCAGGGGAATCTTTGTAGGACCCAGCACTGACCAAGTCACTCCCTTGGTTAAAACATTTCAGACCTTTCAAACCTTCCACCTCCTTGCCTGGGGGCAGCCCAGGGGTGGAATGCCCTGGCCGCTGGGCCGCAGCAGGCCCTGCTGTCTGCCTCCCTGGGCCTGGGGCTCTACTCTTTCATCACTGGGTCATAAGTCCTTTCCTCAGCTCCCACCCCAACCCCTACCCAAGGCCACCCAGAACCCTCTTTGTCCTCTAGTCTCCCGAGACCCTGGGTCCTTACCTCCCCGATTTCTCATGGAGACTCATGTCCAGAGACTTACCGTATGCCGTGCCTGCCTTCTTCTCAGAGGGCTGGAGGTTAGAGCATAGTCATGGCTTCTGATTCCAGTAAACACTCAAGGAAAATAATAGGAATACAATGACTTTCTGACTGCCTTGCTTTACCGAGGGACGGGAACTGGCAGGACCCCCGTAACTCTCTGAGCTGAGCCTCGGGGCTCCAGGAAGAGATTTGCCACCCTGTGGTGGCCCCTGATATGTAGCTCTGTCTGGCGTCTTCCTCCTGTGTGACCCTTCGGGAAGAAGCAGGTTTAACCCTCCTGCTAGCTTCTTGTTTCTGCTTTTTAAAAATGACATTTAGAAGGTCAGGTTTTTTCCTGTTTCAAACAAAATTCATGTTTATTGAGGAAAACTCAGCAAATCAGAGGAACAAAAAATAATCTCATTTTATAACCTGCATTTTCATGTACTATATCCTGGGCATTTCCCAGACCACTAAATACTTCTTCCCCATGTCTTTATTTTATTTTGTTTTGTTTTATTTTTTGAGATGGAGTCTTACTCTGTTGCCTGGCGCAGTCTCGGCTCACTGCAACCTCTGCCTCCCTGGTTCATGCAATTTTCTTGCCTCAGCCTCCCAAATAGCTGGGATTACAGGCGTCCGCCACCATGCCTGGCTAATTTTTGTATTTTTGGTAGAGACGGGGTTTCACCACGTTGGCCAGGCTGGTCTCAAACTCCTGACCTCAAGCGATCTGCCCACCTTGGCCTCCCAAAGTGCTAGGATTACTGCACCAGGCCCACATGTCATTATTTTAAATGACTACATCAGATTTTATCTGATGGACATATATACATTATTTAATATTCCCATTGTTGGACCCTTACATGAGTTCCAATTTTTTCTAGACAAATATCCACATAGGTAAGACTTAGAAGAAATTCATATTATTTCATTAGGATAAATTTCTAAAAATGGGAGCAGTGGGCCAAAGGGCATATACATCTTTTAGGTTTTTCATATAAATTGCCAATTTATATTCCCATGAGAAGGGTATGAGAGTACCTGTTTTCTCAAGCCCTTTGCTGACAGCTACGTTAGTGCTTAGGCCACAGTTTCTTTAATCATGGGTATCAAAAGTTGCTGTTATTAGCTCCCTACTACGTATAAGATCTCTACCAGGAGATAGAACAGAGAATTTGAATGCCCCCCACCTTATTTTTTTCTTGAGACAGGGTCTCACTCTGTTGCCCAGGCTGGAGTGCAGTGGCCTGATCACGGCTCACTACAGCCTCAACCTCCCCAAGCTCTGGTGATCCTCCCATTTCAGCCTCCCAAGCAGCTGGGAATTCAGGCATACACTGCCGCATCCAGCTAATTTTTATATTTTTTTGTAGATATGGGGTTTCCCCATGTTGCTCAAGCTGGTCTCAAACTCCTGGGCTCAAGTGATCCTTCCACCTCGACCCCCTAAAGTGCTGGGATTACCGGCGTGAGCCTCCACACCCAGCCTCTTATTTCTTCCTTGACGTGGGCTCCTCCTCTTGTGCTGCCTGTGGCATCCTGAGAGGAAGCTGTTGTCCTTCTTCAGGTGGAGGGAATAGTAAAGAGGCTAATAAATTGGTGGCCTGCACCACAGGACTTTATAAGAAACCTTTTGCATCTTTGGATCTTCTAATAAATGAAGGTGCAGCACTGCTTTTTGACACGCAGGTACATCTGTGTATTGGACACATTTCCCTTCCAAATGTTTAACTCCACTTTACAAAGGTTTATTTGACAGCATGTGCTAGATTCAAGGCTCTAGGTTAGAGAACCCAGACCCCAACGAACTTACAGTTGATAGAGATACAAAAATAAGATAGTGCTAAGCATGGCAGCCTATGATCAGTGTAGCCAGGAGCTTCCGAGGAGAAGATTACATCTGAGCACTTTTTGAGCAGCTCCTTAATTCAGAATACCTTCACTTGTGCTGTCGTTATGGGATGATATGGCATAAAAGCACCAGGACTCCCATAGCTCTGGGTTATTCCACCTTCTAACTATGTGGCTTTGGGTAAGTTACCCCTTCTGAGCCCTATTTCCTCACCTATAAAAGCAGGATAATCCCATTTACCTTGTGATCATTGTGGGAACTAAGTGTGAGAATGAAGGTCAAGGGTCTGGAAAAGCACAGGGGTAGGCCGTCCACACAGGGAAACTCTTCTTTTTAGCAGGTGCTCTCTCCGTTTTGCAAATTGAGGTTCAATTTGCACAGTGCTGTGACATTTTTCAAAGCTTCCTCCTATCTCATTTCACCCATTCTCCCAGTAGCTTTGATGTTTGCCAAGCAGGTGGTAGTCTCCCATTGCAAAAATAAGGCAATAGGTGCAGAGAGGTTGAGTGATTTGGAAAGATTAGACAACTAGTTAATGGGAAAAACAAAACTAGACGATAGTATTTTTACTTATAAGCGTGAACTAAGATGCTTTTTCCAAAACTACTACATGAATTGTTCTTTTTTTCTAAATAACTATTACCTTAGAGTTTTCTATTAATACCCAGATTTTCTTACCATATTACCTTGCAGCTTCATTTTTTTTTCAGCCAAACACAAACAGGCACACACACCCACGCACAAAATTTTACCTGAACCAAAAGTGAATTTGTTCATGTTTGACCTTATTCATTCTCTCATATCTATCTTGTAGGATCTTCACCTGGATCCAAAATGCCCCTTTTGCCCATTGTTGTTTTCTAGCACAGATGGAACCCCTCCCCATCTTTTTCCACTTGACCTGAGCACCTTTGGACAGCCCCTTTCCAAAAGAGCTGTTTCTGTTTGGCCATCGACAGCCTCTTTCATCACTGAGCCTCAGCCTGGCTGAGACTGGTTGATCAAACGTGGGCCACCTGATCCAAGCCCTCCCAGTAAAGCCAGGAGGTCATCATCTCCCTTTGTTGTTTACCAAGCAGTACAGACTTCTCAGGTCTGGCCTCTACAGGCAGCCTTGATTCCTTAGGAAAGGAGGCCAGCTGGTAGGCAGCTGGATGTGTGAGGTCAAATATTGGTAGTAATGGTAGTAATTGGTAGTAATATGGTAATTCCTATAATTTACTGAATAGCTAATAATATTCTTGACACTCAGTTGTATTATCTGTCTCCTTTAATCTTCATGCTACCATATGCCCATTTCACAGATGAGGAAACTGAGTCTTAGAGATGTATATATGTTTCTTCCTTAATGCATAATTTTTCAATAAGGAATTACTTTCCTCCATGTCCCACCATTCTCTCTTAGCTGAGAAGTTAGGAGCAACCAAGTATCAAGTTTCTCATGTGCAGAATTTAATGAGTACTAAGGGGATATATTTTGTTGATCAAAGTGTATATTTGTTTTGCAATGAAAATAATTGGAACTTGTGTTCATTATATAATTCTGGCTGAGTTATTTTTATTTGGTAAGAAACATGATTATTTAAATATTTATTTGTACATGTATTCTCTGCCTTGTTCCAATGAAGGTTTAAGCAACTTCCTTGACTTGAATAAAACACGGGACCCTTATTGCATGAGTGGCCCCATCCATGTTCCAAATGACCCACGTGTATAGTCAGCTGCCAGCTTCAGCCACCGGAGCCATGGCCTGCCTTTTGCACATTGTGGTTTTTCTTTTCCTGATAATTTGACTTCAGTCATCAGAAGCACAAATTAAATGTAAATTTCTGGATTTAAAAAGATTTCTTTGGTCCCTAAATGTTTCCCAAGTCATAGAGTCCTGAGTCAGACTTCAATCTTTTTATTTTCTGCCAGAAAGATGAGGGGTAAGAAGGGGTAGGAACAAACACATCTTATTCACAAACAACAACATCATCAGTAAACAAATGTGGAAAAACTGTCCATACTCATAATTAAAGTAATGCAAATTAAAGCAACAAGTCAAATTTTTCACCTATTAAATTAGCGATACATTTTTAAAATGATACAGCTCACAAGTATCGTGAAACTGGTAATGCATCCATTGTTGGTAGTTGGTGTAAATTGGAAAGCAATTTGATAGGATGAATAAAAACCCTTGAAAATGTTTATATCTGTTGTCCTAGTAATTTCATTCCTGGGGATTTCCATAAAAAGAGATAATATGAAAGAAAGAAAAACTGCAGTATATATCACTGGCATTTTGAATGTTTAAAAAAAAATTAGAATCCTAAATGCCCAATAGTAGTAGAATATTGAATCGTGGTATATTAAATTATTGTATATCCGCTCAATGAAATATGCATTCAGTAAAATTATTTTTGTAATGACTTTGTAACAACATGAAAATGCTTATAATATAGTGGGGAAAAGCAGGATATAAAATTATGCATGAGCTGTGATTGCAAGTAATTTTTAAACGTCTGCATGTGGACAAAGTAAATACATAAAAATGAAAATGGCTGTGTAAGAGAGTAGGATGAACAATAATAATTGTTTTCCCCACTGTTGTGAATTATGATGTTATCTTTATAACTTCACATGGATGGTTTGGGTTTCTCTAGTTCTTAAAAGTCAAAGAGCCAAGTTAGCCCTCCATTCCCTCCATCTTCATCAAGAGGTCAGGCTCAGAATGTCACGGAGAGAGTCGCCTGGCAGGCCTCTTCGTTGTGGGGTGAGAGGGAACATGGGTGCCAGAACCCCAGTGCCAACCGCTGACTATCCTTCTCCCTACAGGACATTGCCGAGAATGGCTGCGCCCCCACCCCAGAAGAGCAGCTGCCAAAGACTGCACCGTCCCCACTGGTGGAGGCCAAGGACCCCAAGCTCCGAGAAGACCGGCGGCCAATCACAGTCCACTTTGGACAGGTGTGTACCCTGGCCCTCCTACCTGTCTGTTTTGTTTTTTTTTTATTTTTGTTTTTAGCAGCAGTAGCACATGCAGCAGACGGTTTTTCATTTCAGTTCTCTTTGGCAGTGCAGCTCCATGGAGGTTTTCACATCTTTAAATGTTTATTTGGTGCAAACATGTTTTGCAGGCAAATTTTCAAAAATTTTGAGGAGACAGCACGGCTGAGGTCATAAATGAGCGGGACTGTTGAATGAAGTCATTAAATGCACTGCTGCCTCCCGTACTCCAAGGCACTCTGCTTAAGGTGCCTCTGTTAGCTAAGCATCTCATTAGAACACTTTAGCATCCCGGGCCCTTCTTTGCACCTTCAAATAAAAGGCAACAAGCGAAGTCTTAAAAAAAAAATCAATTAGGAGTTCTTTATTAATGTACTTCCTGAAAATCAATATCAGGAGTCGTGCTTCTGAGAGTAAACACCCGTGCTACAATTCTAGAGATTCAATTTTTTAAGCAACTGTTTTCAACTACCTGAGCATTAGAAAAATTGTCTATTTAATTTTTTTTCCCTTAAGTAAAACATTCCACTCTGTATAGAAACTAAAATTTTGTATCCCCTTCCTACTTGTAATTATATTTTTGGTTAAAAAAGATTATGTACCCTTTCCTACCTGTCCTGAATTGACTTTTGGTTAGCGAAAGTCATCATTTGGAGAGATTTATGAGAAATGGCTCTTTTAGCAAGATATGGCTGTAACAAGAATTTGCAAGGTTATTTATTTTTAAATCACCTGATTCTGTAGCCATTTATTAGATGATGCATGATTAAGAGTCTTCATGATTTTTATCTTAAATGTGATTGCTATTTCACCACATGTAAAGGACCTAGAAGCCTACATTCCTGTTTTAAACAGACCTTTATCAGGTGCCTACTATGCACCAGGCATTGAGCTATTCAGAAATGAACGAAACTCACAAAATTCTTGCTCCAGGTTACTACTGTAAGGGGTGAGTTGGTTGGAACATAAAAGTCACTCTTCTCTAATCAATATTTTCAGATAATATATGTTTATACATCTTTAACTTGGGGAGGTTCATCCCCTTTTCTGATTTTATACTTAAAAGGATGTTATAAAAATTGAAACGCAAGAAAGAAGAATCCACAGGGTGATACTCATTTAGTTAATAAGTATTTTCAAATTGCACTGGTGTCTGCTCCCCTGAAGAGCTGCCTCCCCCCAGCTCCAGGCTCAGGCCCTGTTGGAGCAATCTGCACCCCAGTTCCCTGGCTGTGTTTGCTGAAAGCACAGCCCCTGGTTGTCGCCAGCGTGGCATTCCAGAGTCAGCTTCCTGCTTTCCTTTGTCCTCATTCCTGCACACACTAACCTTCCCATGAAAGGAGCCCCTCACTGGAGTTTGGAGCCCATTACAGAGAAAGAGGGGGCGGGGGAGAGGGATTTCATGGTGTTAAACATTCCATTTTCGAAACACAAAAAAAGGAGGCCCTATTTGAAATGGAGAAAGACCTTCTTTCCATTTCAGCCAGAAGTAGAGATTCTTTAATGTCATTCCCAGCTAAATGCAGAATAAGAGTATGTGTGTGTGCACGGGTGGGGGATAAACAATTAAAAAAGCCACCCCAAACTCTGTTGAAATAAGAGCTGTCTGTGCCTTCACAGGTCTGCAAACTGGAGAGGATGAAAGTGGCTTTTTTTCCCTGTTTGTCACTTCCCTCACGTGGCTGCCAGCATTATGCAAGTGTACAGGAAGGCAGGATTTTTTTTTTTAATGCATGCATGCGGATTAAGGTCAAGCCCCTAGTATCAGCCATGCAGCGGGCTCTCCCTTCCAGCTGCAGCCGCAGAGCCTACCCACAGCCGCGAGATGCCTTAATTGAGACGTGCTGTCAAAGTGACAAACACATTTGCATACAGTCTACACTCTATTTATTTTCTCTGGAAAGGTCTACAGTCTGCTGTTGGTTGAACATTCTTAATCAGTTTGCTGTAAGTGAACTGCCAGCTAGCTCACTTATGCCGGCCCCTTCTTCATTAGGTGACAGATTAGCTGCAGAGGGAGGGGGGCTTGAGCCAGGGAAACCACAGACCCCTTTCTTTTAACTCTTTCCAGCTTTGCCCTTATGGTAGGTTGTCCTTGAGTCTTTTCCCGGGTCCCTGGTTTGATGGGCTGTTGACCGTAAGAAGTACGGTTTCTAGAGCACCTACTACCGGCAGGCATGAGTTTTAAGGACTTGATATTCTTCCCAAAGAACAGTCTCTTGAGTTTCATTTCAGAAGTTTTTACCACACTCTCTTACCATCTATACTATTTTCTTTACTTGATAGTTTTCTTTAAATAAGACTCAGACCTGACATCTATAGCATCTTAGCCTCATCTTCAGAGATGCCATTGGTAAAATTATAGGCTTGATATACTAGTCCCAGTTTTTTCTAACATATAAAACAATTTTAAGTGTTCATCTATGAATCACCTAATGCACTCACGTAGCCCTAATGGTATATATTCTCTTTTTTTGGAAACCAACAGACTCCTTGGTATCTTTTTTGTTGTCTCCACCACATCCCTTTGAGGAAGGGACCATTAGCCCCATTTTATTGACCCAGAGCTGGAGCTCAGAGACGTGAGAGAACCTGCCCAGGGCCACTTCACCAGCTTGGAAACCCAAGCCCAGACACCTCCTCTCGAGCCCACACCAGCTCTCAAAACAAGCAGGGACTGCAGCCATGTGATATGTCTGTTAAAGCTACTGTACCCTGCCCTGGCAAAATCATCTTAACCAGCCAGAGAGAGCACCTATTTTAACCTCAAAAAAATCCTCGCCTTGGGTCTGTGTTTCTGTGGATTTCGTTATTTAAGAAGATTTAGCTTGCCAGTGGGGATGGAGACCGTTGAGACGGTTGCCTTCATCTCACCACCTGGCAAAGCCGGTGCCTGTGCAGCTAGCCAGGGCAGCTCCATGGAGACCTCTGACGGCAGCTCTGCAGCGGGGGCTGGCAAGAGGGGAGCTTAGTGTCGAGGCAAGAGCTGCTACTGCCAGGGGAGAGAAGGTGCTGCCTTGCCCTCTGCCTCAGTGGAGTTCCTCTTTCCAAGCTGTGATCATTCCTCCATTTAAGTATCATCTATTCATCTGTCTGTTGAGACCTACCATGTGTAAGATAAATAAGTTCTCAGTCCCTACCATTGTGGGGCATAATGATGAGACAGACCAGCAGATGGACAGGCCCAATCAGAGGGATAAAGACAATGAGGGAAGTAGGCTCCAAGCACTCCCAGGGCCCCCCAGAGGCTCCCTCTTCATCTCCAGGCCCACTTCATAGTCATAGTCACTTCATAGTCAGTCATAGTCCACCTCATAGTCCCAAGTTGGACACTTTAATTAAAAGATGCTTTTGTCAGTAGCCTGACCAACATGGTGAAACCCTGTCTCTACTAAAAATACAAAAATTGGCCGGGTGTCATGGCAGGCACCTGTAATCCCAGCTGCTCGGAAGGGTGAGGCATGAGAATTGCTTGAACCCAGGATGCAGAGGCTGCAGTGAGCTGAGATCGCACCACTGCACTCCAGCCTGAGTGACAGAGCGAGACCCTGTCTCAAAAAAAAAAAAAAGATATTTTGTCAACAAACTGAACTCGCTAATAATTTGTTTTCTAAAGCAGACATATGTTAGGCCACTCAGCTTATAAGAGCAAAGTAAATAGGTTTCTAGTTAGCCTCTGCCTCCTGATCACGTAGTTTCTTTAAGAATTCAAAAGTGTCAACTTGAGAATGCCTATTCCTGCCTTGGAAGATGTCGCAGTTTAGAGAGGCTTTAAATTACTGTTTTCCCCTTCTCAAGTTTAGTATCATTTGGGAAACAAAGCCCAGGGGACAGTCAAATGAGATAAAAGTGCCAGCTGTGTTTATTGATAAGCCTGAAAGGAGAATATTGCATTAGACCTGAAGGCAAATGTTGCAAACACTTCACCTGAGAATGTGAAGACCGCGTTTCTCCACTCGAGATAAGTGGACAATGGCAGGTCTCTCCAGGTTGGAGCTGCCCATAGACTCCTAGCAAGGAGGAGCTGCGGGAGGGCGTTGCCCTGGCTGCTCCCCAGGAGGGAGCTGGAAGGGGTGATGGAGCTCAGTTCCTTCTCCCAGACTCCCCGGGAAGGCATTCTTCCTCTTCCTCTGGGAGGGGTTGAACAAGAGGGTGCCTGGCCAAGCCAAGGATTCCCCCCTGGTTTTCTCTCCTAGGGTAGGAAATGGAAGCTCCTCCTTCCCACAGCTATAGAAGGAGTGAGTGAGTGGTGTCCTCCCCGGCAGCCCTGGGCACCCCTTGGTTAGAATGGCTGGCCTTGACTGGCTTCCCTCCCGAGGACCCCTGTGGAAACTGCTCTGCTCCCTACATTTAATAAGATGGGTGAGCCATAGATGCTTTCACATCCGTGAGCACTGACTTGAGACTTTGCCATCAGCGGGTGAGGAAGAAATCATTTTACCCATCGTACACATGAGGAGGCACACTGGAACGGCGTTGCTGGAATGAGTAGCTAATTCCTACTCCAAATCCAGCAGCAGCAGCACCTCTGCTTCTCTTGGCTGTGTGCAGCTCTCCCTCCTTGCCAGGAGAATGGCCTGATTGTGTGAGTTCAGTGACACTGGACCCTAGTCCTAGGTGCAGATAGCCAAGGCTAGAGACTGAGGCTTCCCTGAGAATATCACAGCAAACCCCTTCCAGGGCCCCCTTCTTTGTATTTCCTCCAAATGACTGATCTGCAAACAAAGTAGTTGCCTGCCTTCCAATCTGATAGATTGCAAAAAGCATGTATTGAAAGGTGCTGCCTCTGTTCTTCTCCCATCTGAACAAAGGTTTCTAAACCTCTTTAATGTAAAGTTTGAAAAGCTGGTTAAACCAAAACCAAAACCAAGCACCACCGTGGCTTCCAGAGAACTGTGGCAGGGAGGTCTGGATAGCAGCCCCAGGAACAGCTCTTGGGATGTGGTTGCCGGCTTGTCTCTGCGTATGGAGAATTCTGGCATCAGGGTCATCAGCCAGGTCATTTAGTGCCAATCCCATGCTAGGCTGGAGAAGATGCCGAGCTAGCAAATGCCTTCTCAGCACCCTTGGCTCTGAGTGCCCTGAGAGAGTCCTCTTGCCCCACTGAGCTTGGAAGCCACATGCAATTCCCTTCACTTCAGCCATTGCCTCCTCACCACCTCCAGCAGGTGCTCCCATGTTCTCAGGATACTGCACACCCCAGGCCTCTGGTCTGAACATACACTCCCCACCAAACTCACTCCTCCATCTTCCACCCCAGTGAATGACACAGGCTGGCCATCCAGAGCCAGGCTCCGCCCTCCTTCTCCCCAGATCCTCTCCTTCCACCCCTGAACACTACTTCATCCTCTCCTCTCCATCACCTTTGCCACAGCTGTGGTGCAGGCAGCATAATCATTCACCTGGACTGTTTCACAGGCTCCTAACTGGTACTCCCTGTAGTCCCCATGTGGCCTTGCCGGGTCCACTGTAAGCCGGGTCCACTGTAAGCATGCACTTACTGTAAGCATGCACTAGTGGCCGCCTCACCCCCGCTCCCAGCCTCTCCTAAAGACTCCATCTTCCTCCTTGGCCCCTTTGTGACCTGCCTGTCCAATCCCAGAGCAGGCCTCCTGGTAAATTCTCCCAACTCCCCTAGGAAGAGTGAGTTGCTTCTGTCCTCGTGCTACCCCAGGACTATGCACACGCCGCTTGTCACGCAGCCCTGCAATTTTTCTTTAATGCTTGCCTTCCCACCAGAAAGTCCACTGCAGGGCCTGGCACTGAGCTGGCAGTCAGTGCACATCCTGGGGTTTTATTATTGGTGTGGATGTTTAAATTAAGGAATAATTGATTGTTGTTGAAGCACTTGCTGTGCATTCAGCAAGTTATTTGGTTTCATTTCTGTTGCTATGCTTGTAATTCTAATTCATTTGAAGAAGAAAAATGAACATTCCCTTAGTGGTCACAAACTATTTCCAAATTCACTTTCCATAAAGAAGGATTTTGAAGTGAGGCCGGGCATGGTGGCTCACGCCTGTAATCCCAGCACTGTGGGAGGCCAAGGCAGGTGGATCACCTGAGGTCAGGAGTTCAAGACCAGCCTGGCCAACATGGTGAAACCCTGTCTCTACTAAAAATACAAAAATTAGCCAGGCATGATGGCATGCGCCTGTAGTCCCAGCTTCTCAGGAGGCTGAGGCAGGAGAATTGCTTGAACCCGGGAGGCAGAGGTTGCAGTGAGCCGAGATTGTGCCACCGCACGCCAGCCTGGGTGACAGAGTGAGACTCCATCTCAAAAAAAAGGATTTTGTTTCCAAATAGAAACAGCTTTGTGTTATAGCAATTTAGATCCCGTCTCATTTTATTTTGTGTGTTTTTCCTAGTTCCTAAGGTCAGTCATAGGTGTCCCCGGAAGGGAATGGAGAGGAATGAGGCAGGGAACTGGGACCCCCCTTCTCCTGTGCCCAAGGATGGGCAGAGCTGTGCAGGAGCAGCACAGTGGGGAAAGCAGTCAGGGGAAGGGAGGGGCCCATCATCCCTTGAGTCACATCAAGCGAAGCAAGCAACAGGATAAATTAGGCGTAAAGGTTTTATCTGTGAAAGAGACTAGGATACATGACCAAGTGCAAAGTGTGAACCTAACTTGGATTATGTGTTGTTGTTTTTTTAAAAAAAAGAAAAAAGAAAAAAGCTTTAAAGACATTCTTGGGAAAGTTGGAAAATTTGAAGATGGACTGGAATGTTAGATGATGATGTGGGATTAATGTTAATATGATAGTTTTGTAGGGGTTTATCTTTATTCCTAGGAGAGGCAGGCTGAAGTCTGTGGGGTGAAGTAACACAATGCTTGCAACTTACTTTCAAATGGTATTTGAAAAAACATTACACATCATGTACACACACAGGCTCACACATATATAAGATCCATGTGTAGAGAAGAGAGAGAAAGCAAATATAATCTCCTGTTTCCCCAAGATGTACCTGCTGAAAGGCAAATGTGGATCAGTTCCTGGAGACAATGAGTTAGAGTGGATGAAGCACAGGTTTTAGAATCGGGCAGTTCTGGACTTAAGTTTCAGCTGTGCCACTCACTAGCTGGTGACCTTCAGTAAGTTACTTAGCCTCAGTGAAATTCCGTTTCCACATCTCTAGAGGGGTCCACGTCATAGGTTGCTATAAGGATTAAATGAGATATTGCCTTTAAGTACCGAGCTCAGCGCTGGCACACAGGCCCCTGGTAAATATCAGTCTCTTTCCCCAATGTGCAAGAGTGGAGCTGGCTGTCAATCATTTGCTGACACTGCCTCCTACCCAACCCTGTCTTCCCAGTGCTTGGCCTTCACCGAGGCTCTCAGAGCGCGCAGTCCCTCAGGGGCGGCCCTATGCATGCACACATGGCAACTGACCTGTGTCCCTACACCTCTGGGTGGGAAAGGCAAAACCCAAGCCCAGAGGAGGCCCAGTGCCACCAGGCAGAGGGAGCAGGCCAGGAGCTGGTACCAGCAAGAGTGGATAATGCTGCCCAAGCCTGAGTCAAACATGTGGAAAGAAGGGGCTATGGGGCAGGTTGGGGCAGAAGGTACCTAGTGGTGGGCATTGCGGTCTACAATCCAGTCATTTTTTCTGCCCATCCCAGTCACGCGCCCACAGTCCATGAGGCGGTATACCCTGCACACCTCTCTTTCAACCCCTGTTGTTTCCAAAGCATATTTCTCCTTTTCCGTTGCCCCCGTTTCTTCCCCTCTCATCCATGTCTTTGTGTGAGTGAGCAGAGGTACGGTGGTGATCTCCCCACTCCGCTCCCTCCAGCTCCTCCTGCTCTGATCCGGCCTCTGTGCCCACTGTAGGGTGACCGTGACAGTGCCCTCCCTTCGGTCCCCATGGGGTGGCTGTCCAGAGTTGTTTGGACTCATTCGCTGCCATGACCAAGAGCAGCGTGGCCCCTAATTGGTGGTGCATTTCTCAGGTCTCCCTGATGAGGGTGGCTGGCTAGGCCTGTCTTTCCACGTGCACTCACCTTTTCAGAGCCCAGGCTAGCCCAGAGACAGCTTTCTGATGAAAGGTTAACAAGGCTGGGGTTTGCTCCTTTGAGCAGACATATTTGATTTCGGGAGGAAAAACTTGCCAATCAAAAAAGAGAAATCAGATTCTGGACATTCATAACGATTGAGTTGAACATTCGGGAGCTATGTGATTAGGCATTCAGCGTGTCCTCCTCGGGTGGTATTCCTCTCGTTATAGAGAGCTGGAGAAGGCCAGAGAGCTCCACGGTGAGGCCAGGGCTCCTGATGTACCATGGAAGAACTGAGAAATGTCAGCAGCTGAGTGAAAATCCAGGTGCAAAACAGTAGTTTGCTCTCTAAGCTGTACCACCTCTGTTCAGCCCAAGTTCATGTTGGCTGCAGAAGGGCTAGGGACCAAGCTTAGTCCACCCCTCCAGACCGTCCAGACCATCCCTCCTTCTAGGACTTGAGCACTATAAGGTCAATTTAAGCATCCCGTATGTGCTAGGTGTTGGGATGGCCTAAGAGTAGTGTGGGAGGGGCATGGAGATGAATTGCTCACTGCCCACCAAGCTCCACACTGAGACCTGGAGGGAATGGGTCTCTGTTCCAGCTCCAGGGAGCATGCTAGGCCATTCCAGTAGGTTAGCCTACTGAATCCCTCCAGCCAACCTGTAAGGGGCTCAGGTGGTATCCTCTCTTGGAGAGGAGGAGACAGGCTCACAGAGAATGGGCCTTAGTCAAGATTACACAAGTCAGAAGCAACAGGATTCAAAGCTACATTGTTTATTCTAAAGCTTGGGTTCTTGCCCAACTCTGTGCTGAGAACATGGCAGTTTCCTGGGTTGTAGTGAGAGGGCCAGTGCAGCCACCTGGGCAGGTGGCTCAGGATCCCAGGAGGGTGGACCACAAGTGAGACTGTTCTGGTATTCTTACAGATCTTAGGCCCTCCTTAATGTTTCTGGGCCTCAGTTGGAACCAAGACAAGTAAGCTGGTATCCTGTACCTGGTGTAGGCTCAAACTTAGCCCTAGACCCCAAAGGCATGTTGGATGATTTTCTGGTGTGTGTGAGAGAGTAGAATGCAGGGTAAAAACTGAGCATGTGTGGGAGCTAGCACTGGAGGTACCAGAGGGCAGTCCAACCCCATACCCACAATTACTTTGGCATCAACCTAATACATTTAGCAGTGTCTACATTTAGTTAGGGTACATGAGACATAAAATCCAAAAGAGAAATTGTTGGCTTATGCTAGCTTCAGGTATGGCTTGGTATCCAGTCATGTTCATCAGACCCCAGTTTTTTGGTTTTTGTTTTTTGCTTTTGTTTTGCTTGAGACAGGGCCTCACTCTGTCACCCAGGCTAGAGTGCAGTGGCATGATCTCGGCTCACCGCAGCCTCAACCTTCCAGGCTCAAGCCATCCTCCTGCCTCAGCCCCCAAGTTGCTGGGACTATATAGGTGCACACCACCGCACCTGGCTAATTTTTTCTTCTTCAATATTTACTTTAAGTTCCAGGGTACACATGCAGGATGTGCGGGCTTGTTACATAGGTAAACATGTGCCATGGTGGTTTGCTGCACAGATGAACCCATCACCTAGGTATTAAGCCCAGCATCCCTTAGCTATTCTTCCTGATGCTCTGGCTCGCCTCCCCACCCACCACTGACAGGCTCCAGTATGTGTTATTCCCCCAGTGTGTCCATGTGTTCTCATCATTCAGCTCCCACTTGTAAGTGAGAATGTGCGGTGTTTGGTTTTGTATTCCTGCACTAGTTTGCTGAGGATAATGGTTTCCAACTCCATCCATGTCCCTGCGAAGGACATGACCTCATTTCTTTTTATGGCTGCATAGTATTCCATGGTGTACATTTTCTTTTTTCAGTCTATCATTGATGAGCATTTGGGTTGACTCCATGTCTTTGCTATTGTGAATAGTGCTACAGTGACATGTGCATGTATCTTTATAGTAGAATAATTGATATTCCTTTGGGCATATAACCAGTAATGGATTGCTGGGTCAAATGGTATTTATGCTTTAGATCTTTATGGAATCACCACACTGTCTTCCACAATGGTTGAACTAATTTACACTCCCACCAACCATATAAAAGTGTTCCTTTTTCTCTACAACCTCTCCAGCATCTGTTGTTTCTTGACTTTTTAATAATCGCTATTCTGACTGGTGTGAGATGGTATCTCATTGTGGTTTTGACTTGCATTTCTCTAATGACTACTGATGTTGAGCTTTTTTTCATATGTTCATTGGCCACGTGAATGTCTTCTTTTGAGAAGTGTCCATGTCCTTTGCTCACTTTTTAATGGAATTTTTTTTTCTTGTAAATTTGTTCAAGTCCCTTGTAGACTCTGGATATTAGGCCTTTGTCAATGGATCGATTGCAAAAATTTTCTCCCATTCTGTAGGTTGTCTGTTCACTCTGATGATAATTTATTTTGCTGTGCAGAAGCTCTTTAATTTAATTAGATCCCATTTGTCAATTTTTGCTTTTGTTGCACATTGCTTTTGGCATTTTCGTCATGAAATTTTTGCCCATACCTATGTCCTGAATGGTATTGCCCAGATTTTCTTCTAGGATTTTTGTAGTTTTGCATTATACAATTAGGTCTTTAATCCATCTTGGGTTAATTTTTGTATATGTAGTGTAAGGAAGGGGTCTACTTTCAATTTTCTGCATATCGCTAGCCACTTCTCCCAGCACCATTTGTTAAATAGGGAATCCTTTCCCCATTGCTTTTTGGGTTTTTGTTTGTTTGTTTTTTTGAGACAGAGCCTTGCTGTGTCACCCAGGCTGGGGGGCAGTGATGCAATCTCGGCTCACTGCAACCTCCACATCCCAGGTTCAAGCGATTCTCATACCTCAGCCTCCCAAGTATCGGATTATAGGTGTGTGCCACCATACTCAGCTAATTTTTGTATTTTTTAGTAGAGATGGGGTTTCACCATGTTAGCCAGGCTGGTCTTGAACTCCCAGCCTCAACTGGTCCACCCTCCCCGGCCTCCAAAAGTGCTGGGATTACAGGCACAAGCCACTGCACCTGGCCCCTATTGCTTGTTTGTTGAAGATCAGATGGTTGTAGGTGTGCAGTTTTATTTCTGAGGTTATATTCTGTTCCATTGGTCTATATCTGTTTTTGTACAAGTACCATGCTGTTTTGGTTACTGTAGCCTTGTAGTATAGTTTGAAGTCAAGTAGCATGATGCCTCCAGCTTTGTCCTTTTGCTTATGATTGTCTTGGCTATTCGGGCTCTTTTTTGGTTCTATATGAATTTTAAAATAGTTTTTTCTAATGCTGTGAAGAATGTCAATGGTAGTTTAATGGGATTAGCATTGAATCTATAAAGTACTTTGGGTAGTATGGCCATTTTCATGATATTGATTCTTTCTATCCATGAGCATGAGTGTTTTTCCATGTGCTTGTGTCCTCTCTTATTTCCTTGAGCAGTGGTTTGTGGTTCTCCTTGAAGAGGTCCTTCACTTCCCTTGATAGCTGTCTTCCTATATATTTTATTCTTTTGTAGCAATTGTGAATGGGAGTTCATTCATGATTTGGCTCTCTGCTTTGTGTATAGGAATGCTAGCTATTTTTGCACATTGATTTTGTATCCTGAGACTTTGCTGAAGTTGCTTATCAGCTTAAGAAGCTTTTGGGCTGAGACGATGGGGTTTTCTATATATAGGATCATGTCATCTGCAAATAAAGATAATTTGACTTCCTGTCTTTCTATTTGAATGCCCTTTATTTCTTTCTCTTGCCTGATTGCCCTGGCCAGAACTTCCAATACTGTGTTGAATAGGAGTGGTGAGAGAGGGCATCCCTGTCTTGTGCTGGTTTTCAAGGGGAATGTTACCAGTGTTTGCCCATTCAGTATGATATTGGCTGTGGGTTTGTCATATATGGCTCTTACTATTTTGAGGTATATTTTTTCAATACCTAGTTTATTGGGAGTTTTTAACATGAAGGAATGTTGAACTTCATCAAAGCCCTTTTCTGCATCTATTGAGATAATCATGTGGTTTTTGTCTTTAGTTCTGTTTATGTGATGAATTACATTTATTGATTTGTGTATGTTGAACCACCCTTGCTTCCTGGGGATGAAGCCAACTTGATCATGGTGGATAAGTTTTTGATGTGCTGCTGGATTCGTTTTGGCTTGTTTAATTTTTGTATTTTTTGTAGAGACAGGGTTTCATCATGTTGCCCAGGCTGGTCTCGAACTCCTGAGCTCAAGCGATCTACCTGCCTCAGCCTCCCAAAGTGTTGGGATTACAGGCGTGAGCCACTGCGCCCAACCTAGACCCCATTTTTTTATTTTGCCTCATTTATTGGCCTTGCCTCTTCTGCTACGGCCATTCTCAGGCAGGCTTTCCCCTCCTGGTGGCAAGATGCCTGCAATCCTTCCAGGTGCAAGACCAACAGGAAAGTGACTGTCACTTCCTAGTAACTCCCACGCAAGGCACGGCATTGACTCGCTGGACTGACTGATTATATGCCCATCGGAACCAATTATTGAGGCCAAGGGTTTTTTGTGTGCTGCAGGTAGGGCCCCACCTGAAGCATATACCTAAGGGGTCATTCCTGAAAGGGAAATTGGGGCCATTATCAAAAGAAGGGAGAGAAGATCAAGTTGACAATGTGCACAGAAGCCAAACAGGAGACACTGTCTCAGCTCTTTGTCCACTTGTCTCACAGCAGAGAACGGTTCATACCAGACCTGTGGGGATCCTAAAACCGAGAGAGCATGCAGGGCTGAGAGTCAAGGTCAGACATTAACCAGGGCACCAGATAGAGGAGGGACAGAAGAGAAATGGCAGGTTAGCGCATGGCAGACCAGGGAGGTAGGAGGCAGGGTGTAGAGATGGGCACAGCTGTCTGCCGTTGCCTGCGATAGCTTCTGGAGACTCAAGTGTGACAAAGTCCACTGCAGTCCCGGGGCTAGGAGAGGAGAAGGGTAGAAGCTAAGAACCTAGGTCATTCGTTCAGCAAATCATCACTGATGCCTACTCTGTGCCACATCTGTGAAAACAGAGATGGCAATGACACGGTTCCTGACTTCAGGGGTCTAACATTCTCGTGGTGAGTGGTTCAACGTAATCCTGATGGACAGAATCCATCTGGTAGTTTTGAAAGGCCCAGATTTGTGCTTGTGTGATCATGCCATAGGGCATCTCTAAGTGCCCTTTTTGTTTGTTCTAAACCCCAACAAGTTTGGTCCTCAGGGTGGTCTCCCCACCAGCATTCTCATGAGGTGCCCATCAGCTCCTCACGGCCAGCTTGCTAGAGATCACTGTGAAATAGATGGAATGTTTTGTTAACACCCTTGCTTTTTATCTGCTTCAAGGACTAGGCAGAGAGCTTGTCTTTCTAAGATGGGAGTGTGCATCTTCTTCAGGCTGTGTCTGAGATGCATGGGGAGGGTTCCAAACCAGAGAAACTAAACACAGTGGCTGTTCCAGGCTGTTCTGCGATGAGGTGGCAACTGATTTCATGTTAAGTATCTGCCCCTGGTCCAGGCGTCCCCACTTGCTTTCCACAGCCAGTTGCAATGGACATTTCTCACCTTTTAAATAATTTCTTTGGTGCAAGTTATGGTCTCCAGAAAAGCTCAACTAAAATACACAAAGAGGAACAGAAACTAGGCTGGCTGCAGAATGGCTGACTGATTGCCCTGTAGAGTCCAGCCAGAGAGGGAGGTCTGAGCTGGGCTTTGCACCTAGGACCTGTGTTTGGTCCTCCCTTCCCTTAGATGGAGCTCCTCCCTGGCTCCATTCTGCCTCTAACTCTACTCCCTTAGCAGCCACGAGGAGCTCTACCTGTGGTTTCTAGCACCACCTTTGTTCTGGGAGCTCCAGGTTTCTGTTTCTAGCTCATTCCTGTTTCACAAGCTTCAGCTACTAGAATGTCTTAGTCAGACTTCCCAAACCAGCTGTACCCCAGTTCCACCAAGGTGTCAGCCCCTCTGTACCCATACATTCCTCATATCCCTGGGGTCCTGTGTCTCTCTCCTCGACTGGTCTGTGAGGCACAATGGGTATCAGAAAGCATCAGCACACGTTGAGATAGGCAGGGCCTGCAGCCTCCCGAATGTGGCACCTCTCCAGGATTGTCTCCCTGACCACTGGTTTGCCTGCATGGTCAAGAGGACGTACCCAGCCTCCAGGACCCTCCCTGCCAGAAATCACCACCACCCCTACCAAGCCCACCCTGACCACAGCTAGGCCTTCTAGTCTGGAGCTCCCTGCCATCCTCCACTCCTGGCAGTTCCTGCCCACCCTCCAGGACTCTGTGAAGTGCCCCTGCCCTGGGCAGAGTCCCTTCTTCTCTAGTCCCTAGCGCCTCGTATTTATTTGTTCACCAGCTCTTCATGGGCATCTGCACTGGGGGACCCAGGGATGAATCAGCCCCTACCATCTCTGCTGCCAGGAATGATTTTCCTCTTCTGTTCCACCTGAACAGAAAATCCTCCCAACCCTTCAAGGCCCTGCTCAGGCATCGCCTTCCCTTGACAAGCCCCCACCTCCACCGACTTCTCCAAGCCCAGTCATTCCCTTGCTGCTCTGAGCCGGCACTGTCCCTATGCTGGCTTGCTGGGGATGCATTTATACCCTGTCCCACAGAAAAGGACAGAATTGGCCTTCTCTGTATCCTTGGCACCCTCACAGGGCCTGGCACAGACGAGCTGCCCATGAGAGTTTGGGGAATGACCAAGTGGTGAATGAGTGCGGGCAGGAAAGGCAGTGACGTGGGGAAGAGGCGAGGCCAGGTCCACTCACTCCTTGTGCCCTTGAGTAGTCAGTCGGTTCAGCAGAGCAAGAGAAATCCAGCAAAAGGCAGTGACTTGTTCTGCGGCGCCTGCACGCGCTTTAGAATCCCCGCACGCGGCGCCAGGTTGTGAGAGACAGGATCCTGAGTCCCCCAAGGCTCCACCTTCAGCGGTGTGACAGCGGGGCTTCTCTGCCAAAGGACTGGCCAGAGCCTACAAACGGCATTTCTTTAAAGGTCTGTGTCGGAGCTGCTCAGAATCCAGCTCCCTGCCGGGGAGATATTGAGCCCAACAGGACAAGAGCAGGAAATCTGATTCAGCGAGACCAGAGGAGACATTTTCTCAGATTAGAATTCTCTGTGCCAGAGGTGGGGAGTTTATCACAGCAGGGAAGGGGAAATAAAACATAAAATATTGAAAATAAATTATATACCACATGCGAGATCACCTTAGAGAGTCAGCTCTGTATCTGTGGCTGTGCAGGGAGTCCCCGCCCCATGGTCACAGGAGTGCTGTGCCAGAGGCTGCTTGTCGCACATCCACCATCAGTCCCTAGCCCTGGCAGAGCCAGGTAGTGCCTGCGGGCTAAGGAAATTATTAACCTGGCTGTGCCCAGAGGAAGGGATGGCAAGGACTAACCAAGAGATGGAGAGTAAAAAGGGGTTAGGTGGACCTAGGGGTTTTCATTACAATGTAGACCTCCTGTGTCTCAGCCAAGCCCCTTCACAAACTTCGTCTCACTTAATGTTCTCAACAGCCCTCTAAGACTGATGCAGTTATGATGATCCCCAGATAGCTGATGCTCAGAGAGGTTAAGCACCTTGACCAAGGTCACACAGTAAGTGGCAGAGCAAGAATTAAAATCCAGGCCTATCTGATGCTGGAACCTGGGCTCTCCCCACCCCAGGTGGGGGAGCTTGAATTTTATCCCATAGGTGCCTAGGAGCCAACGAGGGTTGTATTCAGAGAAATAGCAGCTGGGAATATGTATGCTGGGCCACTGTGGAAGGGGATGGAAGTAGTTGAGGCAGAGAGACCACTGATGATCCCACGGACATTGCTCAGGCCAGGGCTGGTGGGAGCCTAATCTAGGACACTGCTTCTGGGGGTAAAGATGAGAAAATCATCCTAGAGACATTTAGGAGACCCAAAGGACACAACTTGGCGGGCAGCCGGATGTCCTGCGTGGGAACTGTTGAAGCTGATCATAGAATAGCACAGGGCTGGACACAGGCTGTGTTCCTCTTCATCCAGCCAGCATGCCCCAGTGAGGCTTGAAGTACAGTCCGTGAGGAAGGGATGTCCCTTGGGGTGTGCAGGATTGATGGACACCCTCCCTCAGCAACCCAGACTAGAAGTTTCTGCTCAGGGGCAGAATAGCCTGCTTGGAGGAAAGAGGGTACAGCTCCCCCAACCCTCACTGTCCCTGCATTTTCCCCAGGGCTGTCTACCAACCACCTTCCTTTTTATACTCTCCCAGAGTGCTGTAAGCACCAGGATACCCGTAACTTACTCCACCCCCTCTCCCCAGCCTAGGGTGTGGAATGTTATGGCTCCTTCCCTCCAGGTTGCCAGCTCTTCAGCCCCCAGGCCATTTCCACCAAGGATGATGTACAGTATTATGCTAAACCAACTTTACGGGTAGCCCCTTAAAATGCAGGCCTGTACCTGTGATGGATGGAGAACATCCAGTTGTTTAGCCAACCACTTACAGTTTGTTGCAAACTTGCAAGAACCACACACGGGCCTCTTGTTAGGCCTGTTATGCCAAGGACCCCATAAATAAACAGTAGCGTGTATCTTGGTGCATCAGGGCTGGAGTATGGAAATAGAAGTACTGTATAAATAATGCATATTTACAAAATAAATATATCCCATACATGAGCGTGTGCAGCCATAACCAAAGCACCTAGTTTAACAACCACGGAAAGCTTTGAGGGCCTGCCAAGTGATCAGCTTCCATCCATCAGTGTGCACCAGCATTAGAAATGACCGCCGAAGGGAGGGGGTCCTCCTGCACGCTGACCTTGAGGCCTTTGCATTGAGGCAAGTGGTGAGATTGCAGGTGGGCACCCTGACACACAGCTTCTCTGCCAAGGTGTGAAACCTACCACAGCCATGTGTTCCTGCAGATGTCTTAAGGTCTACCGCCAAGCAGAAGGCTGATGAGCGCCGAGTTGCAGGACGTAATGGGTTGTACCTACAGGAAGAGGGCTGGCTGGGGGAGGGAGAGATTTCCTAATTATGCAGATTCACTTTGGCTTGCAAAAGGGGCCGGTGAGTTGCCTTTCCAGGGGACTCTTACCGGAGCCCTGTAACTTTCAGCCATTCACCCTGAAGGCAGGGCTGAGCTTTCGGGAAGTCAGTGTCCCGTCTCTGCCGCCCCATTTTGAGCTCTGAACCCCACCGGGCATCCGGCTCTAGCATCTGGAGCTTGGAAGAAGCAGCTGACAGAATGGCCGCTGGAGTGGGCGCCCCTCCCCTTGGTTGTAATGGCACAATGCTGGATTTCAGTATTTTAAATGAAAAATATATGCAGTTAGCTGTGCGCTGACAATGTCCTTGAGGATTTGACAGTGAGATTTTCCAGCAGTTGGTCTTCGTTAGGATCCTGGCGGTGTTTAATAAGGCAGTCGAACTGCTGGCACCTTGGGTTCCTGTTTGTTCTCCGAGGGCTCAGGGGCTGCTGCGGTAAGCACATCGACCAGAGCTGATCATTACAAGGGCGTACGCCACCATGAATAAAAATGTCACACGTTTTCCCATCTCACAGCAGTACAAAATGTCAGTCCTGTCAAACACACATTGCAGGGAGCTGTGTGCAGTCCGTACAAATTGGAGAGCCGCATATTCCCCCAGCCTTCTGATATTCTTCATTTGAAGCTGAAGAAAAACAGTTGTTAACCTATTAGCTAGGATTTTAAACTCTGCTGAGGCGGTGGATGGGTAGACTTTGACACAGATAGAAATGTATTCCAAGGTCCAGGAATTTTAAAACCAGGTTCTCCGTCCATTTGTTCTGAGGGAAGGAAAAAAAAAAAAAACCTTCTGTCTGGTGAACCTGACTATCTTTCTTTAACAGACACACTAGGGAAATTTTGGGATATTTCATATCTAAGCTTCCCATTGCTTCCACGTTTGCATTCCACTCAAAAAGTCTATTGCTTTGGGGGATGGCCCTGGGGCTCAACCTGTTAGGCTAGGAAACCTGTAGGTAGAGGGTTTTTCCTGATCAGAAGCATGCCAGGAATGTTGCCAGTCTTGCAGACAAAGTAACTCAAATCATGGGGACAATGACTGGCGGGTCTGGCATTATTCAGATGCTGGGTGATGGCTTCACTGATAATTTGATGCTAGTTCCCCACTCTTGGGCAGCCATTTACTTTAACTTGACCGCGTGCCAGGCCTTGTGCCAGGAGCCAGATGTGAACCCTCAAGGACTCACCTTCTTAGGGGAAGGACAGAGGTAGGAGTGCCCGACTTTTGTGGGCCAGGAATAGAGAGAGAACTTCTGGGGGAAGGGAACAGAGTCGTGAGGGATGCAGGGATCCATCAGGTGGGTGAGTGAGGGAAGGGCTTATAGGACCAGCATGTGTGTTGTGAAGGGCCATGGCCCGTGAGGGGGCTGGCTGGAAAGAAGGGGCTTCTTGTGGTGGGGTTTATCGGGGGCAGGGCCAGGTCTTGAATGGCATGCTGGGGACAGGGATGTGAGCAACTCTCCTGGGCTGCCAGTGGCAGGGAAAGCAGTTGGAGGCTCGTGGTGGCCTGGCCAAGGAGTCCTGGACTCCCTTTCTAGATAGAGGGTGCTATGCACTCCTCTCTGGACCTCTGCAAAATGAGGAGAATTCTTCTCATTTCCTAGTTGCATCCTGTTAGGGTGGACATCATTCCAGAGATGATAAATGAGCCTGGTTTTGCTGAGCTGGCCCTGGTCCTTAAATGTACTGAGCAAATTCTCACTGAGTAGGGACACGGGCCTGGTGAAATGCAGGCGGCTGCAAAGACAAACCTTTCTGTGTGGTCAGAACAGACTTAGCAGGACAAAAGTCTCAAAGGATGTCAGAGGGAGGACTTTCTGGGGAGAGAGAGGAGCGGACCCGAGGAGATACGTTTTAACATCTTCTTCTGCTGTTGGTATGTCGGGTCTCCTGGGAGCAGCGTGGGCTTCTTTGGAGTCAGGCGTACTTGGGCTTGGATCCTGGCTCTGCCACCCGTTAGCTGTCAGGCCGGGCCTGGGCAAGTCACTGAGTGACATGGCCTCGGTTTCTTCATCTTTCACATTCTTGGAGGGTTGCTGAGATGAATAGAGACCTCGCATGTAGATCTCCTAGCACGGGGCCTGGTACCTAGCAAGTGTCAGAAAATAGTAGCCCCAGAGAGGAGATCATTTCCCCCAACATCTGGAAGCCCCTCTAACCTCACCTCGTGTCCCCCTCCTCCTGGGAATGTCACCCAGGCACCCTCGACAGCATCCTAGATGCATCCCAGCAGCAAGGCGCCTGCCTCCTGCTTCTGTCTGGGCAAAGAATGGCATACGTCAGCGAGGTCCCTGCCCCTGCCCAGGCACCAGCCGCATCTGGTGCCCGACCTCCGGCCACCAATGGGATGCCACCTATTCAGACTGTGCACCTGCACCCGACTAAAAACAAAGGGCTCCCCTCCCCCTGCCCCACTGCTGGCCCTCCTCCCTCCCCCGCCTCTGTCCCCCAAGCGGCTAGGGTCACCCGGCCCCCACGCAGCCTTCCCTCACAGCTGCCTCGCTGCTTTTGTTCAGCATGTGAACTTCCCCGTCAGCCGAGCTCTTTGCACGGGAAGTAATCAGGGATCTTGACAAGGCTTCAAACCACAAATGCCACTACAAATTAACCAGCACCACTACAAAATACTACTCCTGTCAACATCGGGGAAGAATGCACTGCTCTTCAGGACCAGTCTGAGATGTCTTTCAGCTCAGCACTCACTCACGGCAAAGAGAGTGCCCGGACCCAGCCGGAGAGAGTCGTTGACAGGACTGGCGAGCCCCTGAATCCTGAGCGCGCTCTCTCCGGAGATCATCTCTGTGAGACCCCGCGGCAGGTGCTGCGGCTTTTCTTCCCGGACCCCCTTCGATCCTGAGCACCCCCTCATCCCCCTCGCAGGTGGCGCCTCTGGAGGGCAAGTTGTGGGGCACCCAGAAACCTCACTGTGGAGTCTGCCGTTCAGAGTGAAGCCCAGCCCGACCTCTCTGCGTCCTACCTATGTGCTGTGCCTTTGGGCAAGGGGCTTCCCTTTCCCTGTCTACAGAGCGGCAATCATAATAGAGCCTCTGTCTCAGAGTCGCCAGGACCACTGGGATATCCTGAGTAATACCTGGCCCCTCCCAGCCTCCCTTCCTTTCCCTGAAGAAACAGGTCCTTGTTGCCCTGTGTGAGTGGACTCTCAGCAAGTGGAAACCTCTTCCTCAGCGTGACGTGGAAGTCCTTCCTGTACAGCATCTTGCAAGGAATATCCCTCTAGAGTGACAGCTTGTTATCTCTGCAAATGCTTCAGGCCTCAGGATCCCCACATTTCCTCTGGGTGCCCCGCTGAGTGGCTCAGGCAAGGAGCATGCTGTACGCTACGTGACACCAGGGCCTGGTCTTCTCCAGCTGCCCTGGCTGAAGCTCTGAAGTGGAGGCAAGTATTTGATCCTCCCCCGCAAGCAGCACAGCCCTCATCCAGGGCGGACAGAGAGGATCGGAGACAGCGATGGGCGCTGGGGGCTAGGTGAGAGCTGTGCCTGCAAGAGAGCTTCTTGGGCATCTCAAAGGAGACACTCCACAAAAATATCGCTTCAATGCACTCCTTTTTGGAGGCATATCAAAAGCAGCCCTCTTTTATTTCCATGCCTTGCATAATAGCAGATTTCCAGTCCCAAAGTGTAGAGGAGCCTTGCTCTCGGCGCAGAGGCCCTTTGTAAAACTACAGAAGGCTTTGTCTTCCCTCCCAACCGGGTCTGTTTCATGCATAGGTCAGAGCATTGATGTGGCTACTAGCCAGGAAAAATTAACCAGGTGAACACTCTCCTCATTAAACAGCGACAGAGTTTAATTGTGAATTTGCTCTCTTCCCCATCTCCATTCCTGGCCACGTATTTGACTGGGGCATGTGCCTGGGACAAACTGAGAAATGGCAGGGCCTATCCAGCTTCCCCCTCTGGGGCCAGGCCTCCTCCATTTGAGGCAGGTAGGCACCTGGCAGGGAAGGGACAATTCAGAGTACACAATGCACACAGAGGATCTGAGACCCCCTTTGGGGCCAGCTTCAGAGGCTAGCTCTGTCATGCGCCAGCTGCCATCAGGCACACCCCACCTTCTTGGCCTCCCCTCACCAGCCACCCCAATCTTTGCATGCACAGTCCTCAGCCTTTAGTGAACCTGGTTGGTCCCTGTGGCCTCCAGCATCTGTACTATTCTATTTTCTCACCTATACCGCTCCTCGGTTGGGGTCTGGCCTGTCTCCTGCCAACTTTGACATTTCACCTTCTGTGTGGCCCTGCTGTCCCAGCAGTGAAGTGCAGATGCTCATTCTGACGGCACAAGGATATTGAAGGGATGGTCCCAGATGTCCCCTTCACTGGGGACTGAGTGAATCCACGGGTCCATCCCTAAACAGCTGTCTGCCCTCTGCCCCATGCACAAACATCATAGCACCCCTGCCCCAGCCCATAATTAACTCAGGATGAGCTCACTGGCCCTCTTCTCAGGGCCTGTTACGCACTTGCTCTGGGCAACCCTGGGCAAGTCCTTGCTTGCCCTCATCTGTGAAATGGGTAGCAGCCCTCGTTCCCTGCAGAGGAGCCTTGCGCTGGTGAGTGTGCAGCGGCTGCTTAGGCCCTGGAAGCACCGGCAGCAGAAAGTGCCTTGGCTCTGCCCACAGCACAGGCAGGCTGGCTCCCAGGCAGCAGGGACACCACCTCTCCTCCCCTACACACTGCGCTCTCTGCCCCCAAGTCACCACCTGGCCGTCGAGCGTTTTCCACCCTGCAGCCCTGTGCGGGGTGCCCACTCATCCATGCCACCCAGGTAATTAAGTTGCTATTCCAACGCGCCTTCCCCTCCTGACCTTTTGGAAACAATGTGTTTTGCTGCATCAACAAATGAACTGCAAATCAGATGCTGTCCTCATAAATGCCGGTTTCATATCCAATGAGCATACTCACCTGGCCCACACAGCTGACAGATAGAGATGCCGAGGGCCAGGCAGAGACCAACAAAGGCCAAAGAGGTCCCCTCTTCTCAGGGACTTCTGTGTCAATCATGCCTTCGGTCTTACCCTCTCTTGTGTTCACATCTCCCAGCAGTGGTGTGGCCAGGGCCGGTGGGTTGGCAATATGGAGGCCTGGGCAGGCTCCTGTGATTGGAGGGGAGTGTCTGTTCCTAGGAGCATACCCCATCCTCCTCCAATGCATTTTCTATACCAAGGACGTCAAGGTTCCTCTTATTGTGTCTCTGATTATATCCCTCCCACTGAGCTCAGAAGAAAATCCGCAAATTCTCAGCCTGACATTCAAGGCCCTCTTTTTATCTGACCTCCCCCAGCCCCTCCCAGGTCCTGGCCTGCCCTGTCCTCATATTCAGCCTCACTCTTGTCTGATTGGACCACTGTGGGTCCCCTGTCCCTGCACTCCCTACCACTGCCCCCCCCCCAATCTATGGCAGAGACCTTCCTGTGTACCCCATGCATGACAGCGCCCTCTACCAGAGTCTTGGTGAGACATGTGCCCCTGTGCCTGGGATGCCACGCACTGTTTGTTGAATGAATGGACAAATGAATCAGGTGCCTCCTTTGGAAAGCACCACAAAAAGATGCTCAAATAAGGAAAGAAGGAGAAGGTGACAGTTACTCTCTCATCAGCCTTTTCTCTGAGGCACAGATCTCTAACAACAGATTCTAACTTCAGAAGGGACAAGGATTAGAAGAACCGTGTCAGAAAGGATTCCAGGTGACTTTGGAAATTTTAGTTGACAAGGATAGCACAATGGGCTAAGAATACCTGCTTGTTTTAGTTTTCGCTACTAGCTGTGTGACCTCATACTAGTCCCTTAACCTCTCTGGGCCTCCTGTTTCCTGTCTCTGTAACAGGGAAATAATCCTTCTCTAACTTGCCTCACCAGGGACTGTGAGGTTCAAAAGAAAGAACAGAAGTTAAAATGCTTTGAAAGGAAAACACATCATATAAATAGAAGAGATTATTATTAAAATCCAGTGTCCTTCAACAGAACCTTGCTGATAGCACACAGCTTTGGAAAACCAGGGTCCTCACGTCCATAGGACTTTTCTGGAAAGACCTGTGGGTACCATGGGGAGATGGAAGATGGAGTGGTCCCATTTCATCTTCAGGATATCAAACCAGAACCTCGTGCGGCTGTAACTGTACTCTCATCCTCACACCGATGCTTGTAACCTGGGAGTTTTGCCATTTTACAGAAGAGTTCACTGAGACTTAAGAGAGATTAAATAACTCGCCTAAGTGGCAGAACCAATACTGAAGTCAACTAGAAAATGACAGAACCAACTCGTGAACCCATGGGTTTCTAACCCGAAGTCTATTTCTTGGGGTTTACCCCACCAATATTTCTTTCACTTTAAGAAGTTATTTTCCCATGGTGTAGGTCAAATCCCACCAGACTCTGCAGTCCTCAAGGACAAGGACTGTGTCTTATTCTCTGAATCCCCCTGGTCCTGGCCCCCAAATACTTAGTTGTTCCATAAAGACACACAGGAGGAATCCTTCCACTCTGTGACAGTCCATCTGCTTCCCCTCCAGATGTGTTTTTCAGGAAAGCAGGCACTTTGCGTTGACCATCGAAGAAAACTCCGGCCTTCTCCCCGCTTCGCCGGCCCTCTCTCCCCTCCTGCCCTGGCCCAGCTCGGGAAGTGCTGGAGGAACTGTCGAATTGAACTCTCCTTAGCAAAAGATCGCCAAAGGCCCAGTCTTTTTGAACTGACTTAAGAAGCAGCAGTCTGTGTAGCCACATTTCAACCCGGCCAGGGGACAGAGGATCACATATAACATGACCTCAATGCAAAGATGCCCAGACTGCTTCGATTCTCTGCTGCATCTACTTTAAAGCTCTTCCAGTTTTACCTTCCTTTCCTTCAGCGGTGGAAAGAGCACTCAAGCGGTCAGCGGTCAAGAGGCCTTCCCGATGACAACCAACACTCCCAGCTCTGCCCATTACCAGCTGGGGGTGTTGAGCAGCTCGCTTTACCTCCCTCCAATCTGTTCCCTTTTCCATGGCCACTAGGACACTTAGCAAGGGCAGGAGCACCAGCGTGAAAGAGGAGCAGGCTCAGGGGCCCAGCCCTGGGCTGTGGGCTGGGGATGCAGACAACCAGAGCTGAGTCAGATGGGAGAGGAACCACTCCAGGTTCAGAATAACTTTCACTGAGTCCTGGCCAGCTCTGCCGTCCTCTCGGGCCTCACACCAACCACACTGTTGTAGTCCCTACATTCAGCTAGTGCTGGCTTCAGCTTCTAGAGCACCGGGGCCACTCTCTGGAAGAGAGCATGCTTTTCTGAGTTGATCCTTTCCTAGCTCATCCCCTTACCCCCTCTTCCCACCCAAATCACTACTACTCACCTCCTACAGTGTTTAATGGTCTCCAGACTACTCTTCCCCATCTGTGTCCCCAGCTGGGGACACCCCAGCTTATTTGGGAAACTGCAACCACCATGGCCGATGGCCCCACCACGCCCTGTCTAGGAAGCAGAGGCCTCCCCAGCAGCGTGTCCACTGTGCCCCTGGCCCTGCGTGAAGTGCCATCAGATGCCCCGCATCCCTGCAGCAGGGCCCTCGTGACTGGCCTCACAGATGAGGACACAGAGGCCCAGGGAAGTCACTTGCTTGCCAAAGTCACTCAGCAAACCAGCTAGGCCTGGAGACCCTGCGGTGGGAGCAGGAGGGCCCTGCACACAATCAGATGTTCTAGTGTCCGAAATCTGAGACTGCTTCCCACGGGATTACTGTCTAATCCGCTGGTGACAATCCAGCTGCTCACCTGTCCCCAGCCTCAGCTCTGGTCCCCAGGGCCTGCACACTCCTGGCAGGGCATCCTGATAATTAGTGCAGCCCTCCCCTTCTTCCTCTCCCCAGCCCCAGGGTGGAGGGTCTTCAATGCGCACCCCCTGGGAGTTCACCTTTCTCTTCCTGGCGGCCACCCCACAGGAGGTGTCCCCATCATATGCTCCAGCATCATAACAAGCCCAGGGTCGGTGAGTGCAGCCCCCGTCCCTGTGTGTTTCCTCTGGTGACAGGATCCCCTCGTGCCGACAACCCGCAGGGAAAACTCCCCGAGTGTCAGAAGGGGCAATGTGGCTTCCTGTTCTTGGTTGCCGTTGTTGGGTTTTATCTGACTGGGTGCGCCAGGACATCTGTACCACGTTACTCTTTCTTGGCATCTTTATATCCCGCTGGCTCACTCTGCTAACTTTTAGAATGGGTGTGGTCAAGAGGCTGCTTTCTTCCCACCATTTATCAATTCAGTTGCAAAACAGCCAGCACTTCCCGAGGACAAGCAAAAGAAAATGAGTTAATTGAAGAATCTGGAGAATTGACATTTGGTGTGTTTTTACATGTGCCAGGAAGTTTAAGCCAAAAGTAATTTGCTGAGCACCTATTAGGTATCAAGTACTCTACTAGACCCTATGGTAAACAGAGAAGTGAGTGAGCTGATAACGACAGCCGGTGTGCTGTGGATGTGAGGCGGGGTTTTACCAGAGATGAGATTGCGGAGGTGGATGGCGGGGCCCTGAATCTGGAGGGCTTTGAACACTTCAGACAGCATTTTCCAGGGGATATTCATGGGTGGTATAGGGAAAGCAAGTCTATGTTCAAATAAACTTGGGAAATAGGACTTTTTAAAAAAGAGTTAATAGGTTTTTGCCTGGTTTGGGTGGGTTTTTTTCTTGCAAGACTCACCAGCCTTTGCTATGCTAACAGGCGTTGTGAATCCCCAAAAGGAGCAAGACAGAAGACAGCATTTCTCAGATTTGCCTGGCTGGGGAACCTCCTTTTTTCCCTTCACACAATGCGTCTCCCAGGATGGTGTTTCTCAGCAGACACCCTGTGAGATGCCGGCCTTCCACTGAGATGATTTCATCTGCCAAGTGCCAAGACTGGGTGGACATTTTTTTAAGTCCTCTCTGGAAACAAATGTAGGCGATGGACTGGGAGGGGGAGAGGCTGGAGGCAGGGAAACCTGCTGATGGTAATGGTTGCTAATGTCTGTTGGTGGCACTGTGCAAAGAACCTGACGTCCATCATCTCGTTGAATCTTCCTAACAGGACACTCGGGTAGGCAGTGCTGTTACCTGTACTTCACAGATGAGGACAGTAAGGCTTGGAATGGTCAAATCGTGGGCCTGGAGTAACCCAGGGAGTAAATGGGAGAACTGGGGTTCTCTCCAAAACTGTCTGACCCCTAGAGGCTGCCTCCCGAGCGCTCTGGTGCACTGCCACCCAGCAGGAATGGAAATAGCCCAAGCCAGAGGTGACAAGCAGTGAAGACAGTGGGGCTGGAGAAGATGGTTCCCCCGAAGTAGAAAGGCCAAGCATAAGAGAAGCAGTATTGTGGGGAGTGGTGTAGGAGAGCTGGGTGTCTAGACAGGGTAGCAGCCTGTGCACCGGTGGAGGGGGTGGGCTCCCCTCTCCCTGATCACCTCTTCCTCTTGATGAATGGTGTGAATTGAGGGGTGGGGGGGCTGTTCCCCTTTCCCCCACACACTTCCTGTAAGCCAGGAAGGGGAAAAAACATGGTGGCCTTGCCCATCCCTAGGCAGCACCCCCAACTCCCGGGTAGCTGTCAGCTGAAGGGTCACCAAGCATGGGTCAGCCCTCACGCCCAGCTAATGGCATAGGATCTGGGAAGCCACGGTGTCATTCTATCCCATCGTGTTCTCCATGTGCCGCCAGGGAACCCTCCACCAAGTCCCTGGACCCGCTTTCCCCTCAGGCTGCCCCGACAGGTTCCATGCAGAGCACCAGGGACCCAGGGACAACTGGGACACAGGCCCTGCCCTCCAGGAGTAGTGGGGCAGGTTCAGAAAACAAATTCTAAGGCAGATTTGAGATCTGAAGTGTCACTCCCACTCAGTAGAGCCCTATATCAGCACTGTCCAAGAAAAACATAATGGGAGCTTCATACGGGAGTCACATGTGGAATTCTGAATGTGAAACATAAACAGGTGAAATTGATTTTAATATAATGAACCCAATATATCCAAAATATTATTTCAACATGTAATCAATCTAAAAATTATTACTGAGGCGTCTGACATTCTTTCCTCGTGCCGAGTCTCTGAAGTCCAGTGTTTTGCACTTATAGCACGTGTTTTTTGGTTTTGTTTTGAGACAGTCTCACTCTGTCGCCCAGGCTGGATTGCAATGGCACGATCTTGGCTCACTGCAACCTCCGCCTTCCGGGTTCAAGCAATTCTTCTGTCCTAGCCTCCCGAGTACGTGGGATTACAGGCATGTGCCATCATGCCCGGCTAATTTTTGTATTTTTGTATAGATGGGGGTTTCACCATGTTGGCCAGGCTGGTCTCGAACTCCTGACCTCAGGTGGTCCGCCCACCTTGGCCTCCCAAAGTGCTGGGATTTAGAGCACATCTTAACGTGGACCAGACACATGGGACATTGGCTCCCCTTTTGGCTGGGGCAAGTCTGGATTTGGTCCAGTTAGATGTATCTTTGTGACCTGAGTGACGGAATGGGCAGGAAACAACCGGAAGCCTCCCGGGGATTGCTGTGGGTCCGCGGCCTGGGTCTCGCGTGAATTTTTACTTTCCTTACTCAGCCTCCCTGTCTCCCATGCCTGCGAGAGCATCAAGACAGGCAGGCTGTTGAAAGGACACTGCTGGGCGTTCAAGATAAAGGGTTTGAGGGGAGAGCTGAGAAGTCTGTGCTCTACTGGTTTTGATTCAAATCCTGATTTCAAAAGCCAATCATTTTGGACAAATTTTATTTGTTCATCAGACGCTTGTTGAGCAGATTTTTTCCCCAGGTCTCACAGAGCCTGCAGGCATAGGGATGAACCCCCTTGGAGATAGACCTGTAAGAGGTCCCGTGGGGGCAGGGGTGAGGGATCCCACGCTGAGTCCCACATAGCAGGAGGCACGAGGCAGCATCCGAGCCGACAGAGCTCTTGAAGGACAGGCACACGTTTGGCAGGCCAGTCCAGCCGGAGCAGCCCATTCCACCCGGAGGGTGGGTGGCAAACAAGGCATGAGAGCCCAGTGCTACTTAAAGGATCTGCCCAGGGCAGGCATGGGTGAAGGTTGAGAAAGGTCTGTGTGGGGCACAGTGGAGTCCCGGTCTTGGGGGACATGCAGTGCCAGCCTCTAGCCTTGAGCAGGCGCCCAAGGACAGGAGGGGGCATGAGAGGTCTGGAGAGGGGGTGGGCTCGCCCTATTGCACCTGGGAAGGGCCCCCAGCCTGTGTGGAGCATGGTGGAGGGCGGAGCTGGGAGCCCTGTTGGGAGATGATTGCAGTAACCCAGGCTGGAGACAAGGTTAGAAGGAAAGAATGAGCAGAGGAGACGGCCTCAAAAGGTGGACAGTGGGGGCGAGGCAGGAGGCGTCGAGGTTGGCCCTCTGGCTCTGGCTTAGGTGACTGGGTGCCTTCCTCCAGGCCGTGTGTGGAAATGCATTGAGCCTTCTCAGTGTGTCCTGATGTTGTAAGTTTCCACTTTAATGCAGCTGCAGAGACTGCGTCCCACCCGACCGCCTCCCAAGATACAGCGCTCGAGGCCCGTGAGTAGCTGGTGGTTCTGCCCTCCCCACCTAACACTGCCTGAGCCATTCTCCCTCAGCCTGACTAAACCTCCAGAGTTTGGACCCTCCTGCCTGGCAAAAGAAAACTGGGAATTGGGTTTTTCAGCTTCCCTCTCTGTGTGGCATGAACTTGAGCTTGCATTCTCTGGGCTTCTCTTGCTTTTTCGTGAATAAGTTTGGTGACTTGCAGATCAGAGCCATAGGTAGCAAGGGGGCCACTGTGTGCTGCGTGTGCTGCGTGTGCATTATTTGAGCAAGTCTCCTAGGGTGAGCAATGGGTTGGAAGCCTTCCTCCAGACGCCTGTTCCTCACAAACGAAGCAGAAGTCCGGGGGCAAGGGTCTCGTTCCCGCCAGATCTTGGTCTGGAGATGCATTTGTACCTTCCCAGGGGTGGAGGCTATGTCCAGGGAGTATGGAGCCAGCTCATATGGATACAGGTACCGCTGCCCTGCCAGGCCTTCCTTGGAGATCCACTTTCCCATGTTAAGTGCCAAGTAAGGGGCGTGGTGGTGCATGCCTGTAGTCCTAGCTACTCAGGAGGCTAAGATGGGAGGATCACTTGAGCCCAGGAGGCTGAGGCTACAGTGAGCTATGATTGCACCACTGCACTCCAGCCTGGGTGACAGAGCAAGACCCTGTCTCTTAAAAGAAAAAAAAAAAAAAACCAAGTAAGGATGGAGAAGCAGGACAAAATGTGATAAACCCACCACCACCTGGGAATGGGGTGGGAGGGCGAGAGAGATCCGTCCATGGAAAAATATGGGGTCTGGGTCCCGTGTTAAGCATCAGTGGAGTCGTTTTCCTTGGTAGGTCAGACTCCGGCCATGCTGAGGCATGCGAACTTTAGCAGGTGCTTTGAAAGTGGGAAACCATCCAGGACCTTTCGATGGGGGCTGTTTACCAAGGGAAAAGTTTCTCCATCTACCATTCAGTGTGGCCACCACTCTGTGGCCAACCAAAGAGTACCCCACAACCCAGTGTCCTAGTCCTCCCGCCCTCTGCAACACACGTGTCCAAATCCATCTTGTGAAGGCAAAGAGGCCGGGGCCTGCAGGTGACCAGGTGAACTGTGTCTGTTCACCTGGGGAGATGCACCCAGCATCCACTGGGTAGCTGCTCTCTGGGTGGGTGTTGGCCATTCTGTGGCACAGTTTTCCTTCCCTTCCCTTCCCCGCTGTGGGTGGGAATTAGAGGGCTAGATGGGAGGCTGGGAGGACTTAGATGCCTTCCCCTGTGACCGTCGCGAGTCCACACTCCCAGCCACACGTGACCGTGGATCCATCCCGTATCTCCATCAAACTGTGGTTGGCCCAAACCCCCCATCGACACAGCTGGCAAGGAGCTAGAATATGTCTGCTCACTGTCACTGGAAAGAAGACACAAGCAGCAAAAAGAAACTGCTTTGGGGGACAGGAGGCCCCTTCTAGGCTGAACCTTGTGTGACTAGTGAGAGTTTCAGTACAGATTTGGGGGGCCGACAGAGCTAGGCTTGAATGCTGAAGTCATGTCACTCTGGCAAGCACTGAAGCTCTCTGAGTCTGATTTCACCTCCGGGGCTGTGCCCTCATTCCTAGAGGGGTTTTGTGAGAAGGAAAGTGGATGACATTTGTCATTTGCAGAACACACACAGTAAGAGTTTTTTTTTGTTTGTTTGTTTGTTTTGAGATGGAGTCTTACTCTGTCATTCAGGCTGGAGTGCAGTGGTGCAATCTCAGCTCACTGCAGGCTCCGCCTCCTGGATTCACACCATTTTCCTGCCTCAGCCTCCTGAGTAGCTGGGACAACAGGTGCCCGCCACCATGCACGGCTAATTTTTTTCTATTTTTAATAGAGACGGGGTTTCACTGTGTTAGCCAGAATGGTCTCGATCTCCTGACCTTGTGATCCGCCCGCCTCAGCCTCCCAAAGTGCTGGGATTACAGACGTGAGCCACCGCACCCGGCCAACGGTTCTTATTCTTAACAGGTTTTTGCATATTACAGCTTCTAAGGAATGGCCCAGTTTATTAATAACCATCACTTGCCTAGGATTTTATAGTCAGCAAATCATTCTTAGGTACCTCATCCCAGCTGCGCCTCACAGTCGCTCAGTGAAGTAGGCATTGTCACCAGTTTAGCAATGAGAAAACTGATGCTTGGTAACTTAACCCAGGTTCCTCAACTGCAAATAAGGTCATCTGGACTCTAGAACCTGTGGTCTTGCCAGTATTCCAAGCTCTCTGGACCCTCCGTCTTCTGCTTGGGACCAGAATAGTTTCAGCTTTCAGTTTGTTTCGGATTTTAGAATATTTGCGTGATACTTCCTGGTTGTGTGCCCCTAATCCAAAATCCAGAATACTCCAGTGAGCATTTCCTTTAGCATCATGTTGGGGCTCAAAAAGTCTTGGATTTTGGGGTGTTTCAGATCTCGGATTTTCAGATTAGGGATGCTCAACCTATATAAAATGCTGCGGGAAGAAAAAAAATTCAGTCAAGAAAAAAATGAATCAGTAGCAGCTGAACTGTCTGTGGAATCTCCAGTGCCATGTTAGGTCTGGCAGAGACACAGAGGAGAAGAGAATTAATATTCATTGAGCACCTTTTATGGTGCCTAGGACTGTGCTAGGCACTTGTGTAATTATTGTCTCATTTGTCCAGCCCAGAGCAGGCAGATGCCATCTCCCTAATTTGTAGCCAACACCACAGGGATGATGACAGGCCTGATGATAAGTCCTGCCTTTGAGCCCAGCTTGCCTCTCTCCACTGTCTCTCTTTGTTTTCTACCAAACAGCCTCCCCTTAAGCCAAAGTCAGCAGCAGGTAGCTCTCAGAATTCCCCTTCGAGGCTTGGGATCCAAGGCGGGCAGGGAATCTTGGAAGCCATGATTCAGGGAAGGATCATTCCCCTTGGAAAAATTCAAGTATTGGAGACAGCTACAGTGGACTCTGTGTTGTCTCACTGGTGTGGGGATCTGTGCAGATTGCGGGGTGGGCTGCCACATCCATTGGCAACTGAGGACTCGGGAGACAGACGCTGTGAGAGACACGGAGTAGCAGCTGCCTCAGGCGCTGAGCTAATGCAGGAGGTGACTAGCCTGGCGCTAGCTTTGGCTGGACCTCCTGGGTTGATGGCATGCTGAAGAGGCAGGATGCCTAGGAGAACCAGCTCTCCTAGGCTTGGAAGTCAGAGAGGCCTGCCCTGGTTTGAATTACAGCTTGGCCACTTCCTGGCTGTGCGACCTTAGGCAGGATCCTCACCTCTGAGCATTAGTTTCATCATCTGTAAAATGGGTTTAACAATACCACCTGGTAAAGGTAATGAGGTTGTGTATGTATAGCACCTAGCACAGTCCCTGGCATGTCCCCCGAACTTACACTGCCAAGCATCACCACTAAGAGGCCAATTTGGGAGTCATAGAAGATTTGTGCTTTCTGGGCCCCTAAGGACCATTTATTCTAAATGCATTTATGCAAGCATTTCCAGTGGACACTGCTACAGACTAGGTGGGAACCGGGGAGACTCGGCATATGGAACCCACAAGGGCCTCGAAGAGAACAGCCTACCAAGCTCCCATGTCAGGAGCCATCAGCCTCCAGTGTGGCTTTGCTGGGTCACGTAGCCACAAACTTTCCAGACAGAAGTGCAGCCGTTGGCCCAGGGTAGCAGGGGCTGGGGAGGGTCTAGCCATTCAGCCTTTCTGGAAGGAGCTTTGTAGCCTGGCACCTGTGGCTGGAGTTCAGATGTTACCCGAAGATTTGGGTTTTCTTTTTAAAAAGAAGAAAAAAGAAAGAGCAGAAGAAAACCATGCCAGTGTCTCCTGGACGAAGGGGCATGGGTTGGGGCCTGCCAGGGAAAGGCAGGCTGCCGTCGGCCTGCGTGTGAAGCACTTTATAAGCTCTGTATTTATTATTTCTTGCTCACCATTAAAATCAAATGTACTCAGTGCTTTTGTATTCAATACACATTTAACCCTGCCGACTTAGATTTCTCAGGTTTTAAATCCAGTGGGGAATTGGCTGGCTTCCCAAGTTTCCCCTCCAGTCCCCCTTGAACAGAGCTGGAAATCTCTGTTTAGCATTTTCTCCCCGGACGCGGCTGGGATCCTCACACCGGTGGGGCCAGTCACTGTTGTGTGTGCCTGTGGGTTTCTTCCTTCATCACCAGTACCCACCCTTCCTAAGCACCCCCGAAACATGGGTGTGATCGCTGAAATATGACAAGACTTGTCTGCATCGTCTGTGATTCGGGCTTCATTAAACCGTTTTGTCTGTGTGTGTCTGTGCCTGGTTGTGGTCTGCCACCGTGTGTGTGTGAGGGGGTGTGTGTGTGAGTGTGTGAGTCATACGTGTGCCTTCACCTCTTGCGCGTGCCTCTGTGAGTGTGTATTTGTGAGATAGTGTGTACACGGAAGTCTGGAGGCCTCGATGTATCTCGGGATGGTCAGGTCTGTGAGTGTAATTTTGTGTCTGGCTTTGTCCACACTAGTCAGGTGTGTGTGACTCTGGGTGGGTCGGCAGCCATGCTGGTGACCAACCGCCTCTGGGTCTGGCGTGTCTTTCTCTCCCTCCCCAGCCTCCGAGGCTCCAGCTCCGTGCTCCCCACCCCCCCGCCCCTCCCCCCCTGCTCTGTCTGTTTTATCATCCCTAATGAAGCAGTCTCCTCCACCGATCCCGCTGATTGCCAACCCATTCCTTTTGTTTGTTGGCGCTGAGCCATTCAGCGGCACTCTGACAGCTCAGCTCGTCTAATTAGCTCTGTTGTTCTTTTTCCCCATGTTTCACCACGTTGCAAGTTCAGTTGAAGTTGCCACAAACTTAATCCCCCCATTTCAGCCACAAGTTCACATTCTTAACCCGCCTTTATTGTAGCAAGGAGCAGCCCTGTGCAAGGATGAGCTGACAGGCCTTAAAGTCTGACCTTTCCTGAAAGCTCTGCCCCGGGGCCCCGCGGGGCAGGGGCAGAACTGCTCCTTCACCCTACCCACACTCCTGCTTTTGTGGGCAGAAGTTGGGGGTGGGGATCATTCCAGCCAGGTGACCCTGTTGACCAGCTGCCAGAGCTGGGGAAACCAGTGCAGAGTCAGAAGGGGTGCAGGGATACCCACTTGTTTATTCAGCACGTGTTGACTGAATGTGAGCTGTGTGGCAGGCCCAGCTCTAATCACGATGATACTCGCAGCGTCATTATGCACTTCTCAGATTCCGAGCAGCAACATTCATTCGTTTCTAAAAATCTTGCTGAGCAACCA
Organism: Homo sapiens; assembly: GCF_000001405.40. Taxonomy (NCBI): domain Eukaryota; kingdom Metazoa; phylum Chordata; class Mammalia; order Primates; family Hominidae; genus Homo; species Homo sapiens. The sequence continues at coordinate 123,406,527 of NC_000009.12, read as the reverse complement.
TGACATACCAGGCAGTCCACAGAATGCGAGGCAGGGGTAAGAGAATCCTAAAACTCATCTTCTAATTCAGAGACACCCACTCATCGTCTTCCTTTTGTTGTTGACAAGAAGGGACATCCAGGTCACAGAGGAGCAGGATGAGCATTTATTGAGCCCCCATTGTGTACCAGACCCCTTGGGGGGACTTTCCCTGTATCCGGGCTTCACAATCACCCCACAGATGAAGACAGCCAGTTTGGTGGAATGCCTTTGGTGTTTACCACATCCCTGATATGCCAAACCTGTCTGAGATCAGACTGGCCACTCCACAGGAAAAACTTTGGTTAGATCAGACGTGCGCAGACCTGAGGGCTTGACAAGACTCTGTAAAGACTTGTCTTTTATGCAGCCAGCTTCTATCATCTGTGTCCCTAAGCCACCGTGCCGTGTCACCCACAAGCTTCTGGGGGGTGGGGGGTACGATGTTCAGGAAAAAGGGTGGGCAGGAAGTGGAGTGTGTGCCTGCTTCCCTTCCCTGTCTTGTCCTGGAAACTCAAAGGGTGGGCAGGAAGTGGAGTGTGTGCCTGCTTCCCTTCCCTGTCTTGTCCTGGAAACTCAAAGGGTGGGCAGGAGGTGGAGTGTGTGCCTGCTTCCCTTCCCTGTCTTGTCCTGGAAACTCAAAGGGTGGGCAGGAAGTGGAGTGTGTGCCTGCTTCCCTTCCCTGTCTTGTCCTGGAAACTCAAAGGGTGGGCAGGAAGTGGAGTGTGTGCCTGCTTCCCTTCCCTGTCTTGTCCTGGAAACTCAAAGGGTGGGCAGGAAGTGGAGTGTGTGCCTGCTTCCCTTCCCTGTCTTGTCCTGGAAACTCAAAGGGTGGGCAGGAGGTGGAGTGTGTGCCTGCTCCCTTCCCTGTCTTGTCCTGGAAACTCAAAGGGTGGGCAGGAGGTGGAGTGTGTGCCTGCTTCCCTTCCCTGTCTTGTCCTGGAAACTCAAAGGGTGGGCAGGAAGTGCAGTGTGTGCCTGCTTCCCTTCCCTGTCTTGTCCTGGAAACTCAAAGGGTGGGCAGGAAGTGGAGTGTGTGCCTGCTTCCCTTCCCTGTCTTGTCCTGGAAACTCAAAGGGTGGGCAGGAAGTGGAGTGTGTGCCTGCTTCCCTTCCCTGTCTTGTCCTGGAAACTCAAAGGGTGGGCAGGAAGTGGAGTGTGTGCCTGCTTCCCTTCCCTGTCTTGTCCTGGAAACTCAAAGGGTGGGCAGGAAGTGGAGTGTGTGCCTGCTTCCCTTCCCTGTCTTGTCCTGGAAACTCAAAGGGTGGGCAGGAGGTGGAGTGTGTGCCTGCTTCCCTTCCCTGTCTTGTCCTGGAAACTCAAAGGGTGGGCAGGAGGTGGAGTGTGTGCCTGCTTCCCTTCCCTGTCTTGTCCTGGAAACTCAAAGGGTGGGCAGGAAGTGGAGTGTGTGCCTGCTTCCCTTCCCTGTCTTGTCCTGGAAACTCAAAGGGTGGGCAGGAAGTGGAGTGTGTGCCTGCTTCCCTTCCCTGTCTTGTCCTGGAAACTCAAAGGGTGGGCAGGAAGTGGAGTGTGTGCCTGCTTCCCTTCCCTGTCTTGTCCTGGAAACTCAAAGGGTAGGCAGGAAGTGGAGTGTGTGCCTGCTTCCCTTCCCTGTCTTGTCCTGGAAACTCAAAGGGTGGGCAGGAAGTGGAGTGTGTGCCTGCTTCCCTTCCCTGTCTTGTCCTGGAAACTCAAAGGGTGGGCAGGAAGTGGAGTGTGTGCCTGCTTCCCTTCCCTGTCTTGTCCTGGAAACTCAAAGGGTGGGCAGGAAGTGGAGTGTGTGCCTGCTTCCCTTCCCTGTCTTGTCCTGGAAACTCAAAGGGTGGGCAGGAAGTGGAGTGTGTGCCTGCTTCCCTTCCCTGTCTTGTCCTGGAAACTCAAAGGGTGGGCAGGAGGTGGAGTGTGTGCCTGCTTCCCTTCCCTGTCTTGTCCTGGAAACTCAAAGGGTGGGCAGGAGGTGGAGTGTGTGCCTGCTTCCCTTCCCTGTCTTGTCCTGGAAACTCAGCAGTTGTGGCATCCCATCCGTGGAGAAAGCAAGCCCCCTGCCCCGGCAGGCTCGGTTGTTTTTATCAGCAATGAAATTCAGAGATAGACTTTCTCAGCTTAGCTCTCAACCCATCCCTCTCGGGCACTGGGAGTGTACAGAGATGGCCATGCCAAATTTAAAGCCATGTAATGTCGACTGGACCAAATGAGTATCCTTCTAAGGGCACCTAGAAATTCTCAGCCTAACATCCATCACGAACTCTGGCAGGGGATGAGGGTGTCTTTCTCTGTGGGCCCTCATGTTCGCTTTCAGAGACAGCGGGTCAGAAAAACCCATCCCGCTGCTGCAGCAGCTGTGGGGTTAGGAAGTTGGGTCCTTCCTGATGTGCCCACTGCAGACCCTCCCACTAGGTCTGCTCAGTGCATGTAGCTACACAAGATGGGCAGCATCCAGGCTGAACCCTGCTGGGAGGACTAGCACAGGGATGCTCTGGGAAGCAGAAAGACGATTTGTAGTGGCACTCTCTCATGCCTCTCTTATTTAGAGAGGAAAATAAGCACCCTGTGATTCTGTTGTAAAAAGAGCAAACTAAGCATGTTCACCCTAAAAACAAGTGTAAGCGCAACCTTTTCTTTCTACAAAACCAGCTTCTGGGCATCAGAGGAAGATGAGAGGGAATTGTCATTGATAAGGGCCTCTTTGTTCCGGGTCCTATGTAGACATCATCTCATTGGACCCTCACCACAGCCCTGCAAGGAGGCCAATGGAACTATCCTCATCTTGCAGATGAAGAAACCGAGCTTTCCAGGAGCACCCTTCTGATTTGAATAGGCCACAGAATTCCAGTTAATGTGTCTGTCTGCTGCCTATTAGATGGTGATGTTTCTGTGATAGGCTGGGCTTTTGTAGCCTGTAGCTTTGAAAATCCCTAAACGTTTTTTGGGGGGGCCGTTTATCCAAATGTTCAGAATGTACCTGTATGGCTTTTCCAACTCACTCCTTCTTGGGGCTCTCCCCCTGTACCTCCTCTAGGTGCGCCCACCTCGTCCACATGTTGTTAAGAGACCAAAGAGCAACATCGCAGTGGAAGGCCGGAGGACGTCTGTGCCGAGCCCTGAGCAGTGAGTATTGTGCCTCTCCCCTCTGTCTGTAAGAACCCTGTGTCTGCGGAGCCAGCACTTTGCGAAGCCCAAGCGTGTAGCCCCGGCCTTTGTGAGGCTTCCCCGGGGCTCCCAGCGGGTGTTTCACAAAGGGGTCATTCAGGGAACAGGACTTGATCTTTTACTCGGTCTGGTTGTCACACCAGTGGGAGGCCCCAGAGGCCAGGGAGCCGGGCACTTGGGCTGGATTTCGAGGGGTGGGGTCCAAAGCATACTTTGCTGGGTTCAGAAGAAGGTCCTAGGCCTCTTGTGCTGAAGATGCCGAGTCAGTAGGTGAGGGTTAGAACCTGGTGAAGGAGGCCAAGTGTTGAACTGGATCCACCCACCTTCCTAGGCCTCCATGGCCGAGAACCTATATACAGGACTGCCCTCATCCACTGCCCCAGACCCACCAGGACCCTTTGCCCACCTGTGCCGGAGGATTTATGTTACTGTGGTTTTTCTTACCCATCTCCCTGAGACGCGGAGCTCCCTGGGTGTTATGCCCAGCACCTCCCGTAGGACTGGCCTAGAGTCACCTGCTCAGGAGGCGTGGGGTAGATGAAGTGAATGAGGGGGGCAGAAAGACAAGCAGTGGACTGAAGTGGACCTGCCTGTGGTGGGGTGAGGCAGAAGGCTGCAGATAGCCCCGAGTCCAGACCAGAGCCATCTGCAGAAGGTAGCACTGCTTCCCTTTGTCCGCAAAAGGAGCACAGCCCTCAGTCTCTATCCAGACAACTCAGCGGCTACACGCTGACTTCCTGTGATGCCTTGAAAAAGTGCATGAGTTCGTCTTGGTCTAGGATTGTTGGAGGAGTCAGAAAAACTACCCCAGGGATCCTGAAGTCCTTTGGGTGGAAAGGGGGAGGCCCCCATGTCTGTCTGGCTCTCAGAAAATGGGAAAGAAGGTAAGGGACATGGCAGGTCCCAGTCAGAGTTGGAGCAAGAAGGAAAAAAAATGATTTCGAGCTGTCAAGCTGGGGCCTAACCCAAGTTGCAGTTCACTTCAGCTCTCCAGGATTTTCTGGTTGATAGCGAGGGTACGGTCTTTAAGGAACCAGCCCACCCAGACAGCCCTCAGACTTTGCCCAGAAAGTTCCAGAATTATATGTGTGCGTGCGTGTGTGTGTGTGTGTGTGTGCACGTGTGCGCTTGCACACAAGGATGCTCAGTTATTAGACATTTGGAAGAGAGGACTCCTGAAGCTGGGTTAAGTTTAACTTTTGCTCTGCACAATAGCCTGGTGGGAACATGAGGGATGGATTATGATTGCCCCCTTATGGAGAGAACGCTGCATGGCACCTGAGTGCCTCGGACTAAAGATTCCTCCTTAAGGGGATGAAATTTGTCACATTTCTTTGAAGTCCCCTCTTTAAAACTGGACTAAACCTTTTAGACACTGTACCAGGATACAGGGTCACAGGCCTGTTGATATTGAGATGTAAACCCAGAATATTCTTGCATTACACAGAAACACCATTGCAACACCAGCTACACTCCACATCCTACAGAAAAGCATTACCCATTTTGCGGCCAAGTTCCCGACGAGAGGCTGGACCTCTTCATCACATTGACTTACGCCGTTGCTTTTCCAGACTGGGCAGAGGGGCTGACTTCGCAGTGTGTGCCAAAGAGCCGGTGTCTGATAATCCCATTTTCCTGCTTATCACCTGAACTGTGTCAGTATCACTTTTAGTTTTGTTGGTTGGTTGGTTTGTTGTTTGTTTAATATGCCCTGTTTTCTACTTCTGTTGGAAAATATTTGGGGTTGAAATAAACCAGTGGGAGCATGGGAGCCAGTTTGGTGGTTGGCAAACTACCAGTGATAGAAAACAAATGACAGGTTTTCTGTGAGCGTACGTCACAGTGGCTCGGGCCCACAAGGAGACAGAGGGGTACGTTTCAGGACATCATTCCAAGGGTTTCTGTTCACGTTTGTTTAACGAGGAAGGGGAAGTTGTTCTCCCATAATACCAGTGGTATTTCTAGTGCAACCCGGGTGTTTTTCTACGCCTCTTCCCATGCTGCTTCCCCACCCCCCCACTGTGCTCCGCCCCTTCCAAATGCCATGTCACAACAGCACTTGGATGTGTTTTTCTCAACTGTCATCAGCTCCAGCTGGCAGGACCAACTTCTTGAAACACAGGAAGCATCCAGCGGAAAATATTTTAATAAAACAGACTCCTCATAAAATATTGTTCGGGGGAGGGGGAAGAAACCGGCTCCACCAATCTGTCGGCATTGTATTGGGAGATGTGAGAAGCCAGGCTGGCAGCAGGGGCCCGATCCTAATGGGCCTTTGTCAGGTGGTGGTTCCGTGTTGGGCACACGGACTTGGTGCCTGGCCCTTTAATCTGGCCTGGGTTTTCTTGAATCACAGATCTTCATCTCCACTGGGAATATCAAAGTGCTTGGGAAACTTAGAAGACTGGGGCAGCAGAAGGGGATGCAGGATCTTTGAAGTGGAGAGGAGAGATTCATTCCTCCTGACTTCTTGCCCCAACTCTCACTTCCAATTGCACATTAAATAATCCCAGCACTTTGGGAGGCCAAGGCGAGCGGATCACCTGAGGTCAGGGGTTCGAGACCAGCCTGGGCAACATGGCGAAACCCCGTCTCTACTAAAAATACAAAAATTAGCCGAGTGTGGTGGCGCACCCCTGTAATTCCAGCTACTCGGGAGGCTGAGGCATGAGAATCACTTGAACCCAGGAGGCGGAGGCTGCCGTGAGCTGAGATCACACCACCACACTCCAGCCTGTGCAACAGAGTGAGACTCTGTCTCAAAAATAAAATAACCAGCTTTGTGGACAGCAAGATGGGGCTGATTAAGAGTAAGACTGTCTCCTGGAGTAGCTGAGCATCCTGGGACTCATCAGGGCCCAGAAACACTAGCCAGCCACTCTCTGGCCAGTCCACCCCTGAAGTTCATTTCTTCCTTCCCAGCTGATGTCCATCCCTCCATCATTCCATCTGTCCATTCGTGCATTCATTCATTCAGCAAGTATCTTTGAAAACCTACTAGGCGCAAGCACGGACGATTTTTTTAAAGGAGGCCTTAAAAGGGAGTCCCCATGCTGACTCTTGGTTGACTTGCATTTTCCCAAAATGAAATTTTCCTGTGTCAAATTTTCTTTCTGAATCAATGATAGGTTTCCTAGTCCCTTAAAACTGGCCGTTGGCAATTGGAAGAAGACTTTTTTGAAGATTTGTGGGGGAAACATTCCCTTTACTTTTCAGGTAACATTACTTGGTTAATATTCAGTTACTAAATCTCTTCAAGAAGTACTGGCTACTTCCATTACTATTCAGAGCACAGCTGATGTGACGCCCAGGGGCTTCCGTGGGGCAGGGATCGGGGTAGGAGGGATCCTGCATGAGAGGCTGTGGGTCAGACACCAGTCAGCAGGGGGCGCGGTGGAGCACCCATTGATTTCTAGGCCCTCTTGGGCTAGCATCGTTTCTTCCCGAGTGGGAGCTCAGGCCCAGAATGTGGATTTGACCAGTCTTCCCAAGGTCACCCAGTTGAAAAGTGGCCAGGCCAGCATTCAGAATTCTTGATTTCATTCTCTCCATGACATTCTGATGCTGTCCTTGGAACGGGGCCCTTCAGGGTTCATCTTTAGTCTGGCTTTGCCCAGAGAGACAGCTCCACATCCTAAAATGAGATGATGGCCTGCCCAGCAGGCCACCCTTCCTCTCTGGCTCCCTGAAGGCTGGAGTTGGGAACCGGATCTGTTCAGTCTTCTCACCGCCAAAGAAACCATGTGCACTGGTGCCTGAGTGTTTCTTCTTGGGGAAGGAAAGAGGAATGACATTCACCAACATCCCTTAAGGTTGTCAGAGGTATTAGCCGGGCATGGTGGCGTGTACCTGTAGTCCCAGCTAGTCGGGAGGCTGAGGCATGAGAATTGCATGAGCCCTGGGGAGTTGAAGGTTGCAGTGAGCTGAGATCATGACACTGCACACCACCCTGGGCCTCAGAGCGAGACCCTATCTCAAAAAATAAAATAAAAAAGATTGTCAAAGGTAGGTGGTAGCTTTCCCATTGAACAGACAGAAAAACTGAGGCTCAGAGAGACTTTCATAACTTGCCCAAGGTTTCTCAGGGCCAGAAAATGGTAGGATCGGCTGTCTGATGACAGAAGCCTGGTCCATTCTTCTCTACTCTCCAGGCTTTTTGTTAAGACCTAATTATCCTCACGTGCTTCTCTGACTGGTGGGGACGACGGCTACGGCAGTGAGCACAGTGAGGTTCACAGCTCCCCTCCTATTAAAAGCAGGCCACGGCCGGGCGCGGTGGCTCACACCTGTAATCCCAGCACCTTGGGAGGCCGAGGCGGGCGGGTCACTTGAGGTCAGGAGTTCAAGACCAGCCTGGCTAACATGGCGAAACCCCGTCTCTACTAAAAACACAAAAAATTAGCTGGGTGTGGTGATACATGCTTGTAATCCCAGTTACTAGGGAGGCTGAGGCAGGAGAATCGCTTGAACCTAGGAGGTGGAGCTTGCAGTGAGCCGAGATCACACCATTGCACTCCAGCCTGAGTAACAGAACGAGACTCTGTCTCCAAAAAAAAAAAAAAATGCTGTGTGGTGGTTTCCATGGGGTGCGCACAGCTGCGAGGCCCCAAGTTATCTTCCTTTTGGTCTGCCAGGTATAGGTAAATTGCCCATCCAACTGGGTGCTTAGAAAGAGCCAATGGTGGCCGGGCGCGGTGGCTCACGCCTGTTATCCCAGCACTTTGGGAGGCCGAGGCGGGCGGATCACGAGGTCAGGAGATCAAGACCATCCTGGCTAACACAGTGAAACCCCGTCTCTACTAAAAAAAATACAAAAAATTAGCCGGGCATGGTGGTGGATCCCTGTAGTCCCAGCTACTCAGGAGGCTGAGGCAGGAGAATGGCGTGAACCCGGGAGGTGGAGCTGGCAGTGAGCCGAGATCGCACCACTGCACTCTAGCCTGGGTGACAGAGTGAGACGCCGTCTCAAATAAAAAAGAAAAAGAAAAAAAAAAGCCAATGGCAGGCTCTGAAAGGCAGCACTGTGGTCTGAGCCGCCGGGCCCCTCATGATGGCACACTGTGTGCAGACTAAGGCCAAGGCAGGGAGTGACACACTGATCCCGGGGTGCATCTCTCTGCCAGGCAGCTAGTCATTTGTTCCCTGCTGGGAAGTGGCAGTAGGGGCTGGGGCACTGGCCCTCACAGAGTTGCTGAGAGTATGGAGGGAGATAATTACAGGCATCTGCCACCTGTTTAATCTTCACAGCCCAGATGTAGGGCTGTCTTCTGAGTCTTAAGGGTTAAGGGGCTTGCAGCTGGTTGTGGATCTGAGGTGCCCCTCCTGACAACCTGCATGCAGAGCCAAGTGCTTTCGACTGCACACCTTGTCTCCTAATGGGTGAGACACTGAACACTCTCCAGTCACACGAGGGTCTTGACTGGCTGCATCCTGGTTATTTGAAGTTCCACTGTACTAAGTAAGAAGGGTCCAAACTCAGCCACCAGGGCCCAGGGCTGCTGCCCAGCTCACTTCTCTGGCCAGATCCGTGCAAAATCTGCTCTTTTCAGGTAATTTTTGGTTTGTAAAAATTACCCGGTAGCCTGATAGACAATCTGGAATGTTAGGGAAAAGAGACAAATTCATTCTGAATCCCATTACTTTCATTCCACTACATATTAGCATTCCTGGAGATCCATGCCCAGTCTTTATCCTGCATGTCTTTTATAGAGCTGCAACTTCCTTGCAATATGCCAGCATGTGGACTTGTTCCGTGTGTCTCTGTAACCCCTATTGTCTGTGACTGCAGAGGATCTCATTGTGTGTATGCTCATGGTCTGCCTAACTATTGCCCTCATACTGGATCTTTAGATCCTTTCCAGGTTTTCATTAATATAAAAAATGCCAGGGTAAATATCCTTATTCTAGGCTGGGCACGGTGGCTCATGCTTGTATCCCAGTACTTTGGGAGGCCAAGGTGGGTGGATCACTTGAGGTCAGGAGTTCGACACCAGCCTGGCCAACATGGCAAAACTCCGTCTCTACTAAACATACAAAAATCAGCCGGTCTTGGTTGCACACACTTATAATCTCAGCTACTCGGAAGCCTGAGGCAGGAGAATCATTTGAACCCAGGAGGCAGAGTTTGCAGGGAACAGAGATCATGCCACTGCCCTCCAGCCTGGGCAACAGAGTGAGACTCTAAAAAAAAAGAAAAAGGAAACGGAATTATTGACAACTCCCATTAACTGGGAATGTGCTAAGCACTTTACATACACCATTTCATTGAATCCTCACAAGAAATATGTAGGGGGAGGTCTTATGAGATCTATTTTATAGAAATAGCTGAGACTTCAAGAGATTGTCACTGCCCTTGGTCACACAGCTAGTTAGTAGCAGACCTGAGCCTCAAACATGCCTTGTTAAGACCAAAAGCCTTTACCCTTAACCAGTTGTAAGAAGATTTCTGCTCCATATTGCTGTATAACTTTCTGAAGAATTGTACCACCTTATACCCTCACCAGAACTGGACTCCCGGACATCTGATTCTGAGGGACCCAGAGAAACATGTGACTGGCATTCAAACATGTGTCCGAATCCTTCTGGACAAGGAAAACTTCTGTAGGCCATGCTAGCTAGGTAGACAGTCTCTACCCCAAATGCCTGACCCTTGCTGCCTAGGAATTGGAGTGTCTGATCCTCTGAATTGCACTGCGTGACCCCAGCACCAAAGCCCCAGAAGATTAAAATAAGATCAGAAGAAGCTGCCAGAAGCATTTAGTGAGAAAACCCCGCCCGAAGCCCAGGTCTCAGAACACTTTGCAAGGGACTCTGGACACTCACACACATGCTCTGGCAAAAGCTGGCGTGCCGCTTGTGCACGTTCAACGGCCTTGCCCTCCTCGAGCCTAGACTCAGCATAGCCTCAGCAGATCAGTTGCTCCCAGCTGTGGATCACACAGGGGTAGAGCACTTTCCCTCCTGCACAGCCCCACTGCTGCCCTGGGGGCGTGGGCCCATCATTTGGATGGCGGCCTGGTGCATGGGCAGAGCTCTGGCATCCAACAGGCCTGAGTCAGCCTCCTGGCCCACCAGGCACCAGCCTGGAGGCTATGGGCATGTCTCCTGGTCCTCCTTTCTTAACATGATGCCTATTAACATCTCCAGGAGCGTGGCTGGGGAAAAGGCCCACAGTAGGCACTGGCATCCTGAGTGAGCAGAGCGCGTGGCCTCCCTCCTGGCCTTATCTCAGCACTCCGACACCCCAACACCTCCCCCACGAACCACCCACTCTCCTCCCTCCCACGCCCACAATCCCCTGTGCGTCTCCTGATCTGGCGGTGACCGGCCATGTTGTAGCTTTCTCTTTGTCTCACACGCGTGCACACACACACACACACACCAGGCACACCAGTAGTCTGTGAGCTCTTCCTCAGCTTTGACTCTCCAACTCCTGGACCACATCCGAGCCCAGACCTCTGCTCTGAGATGTTTCCTGGGTGAATGAACAAAGGAATCTGAAGGCAGAGTGCGGCTTGCAGTCAAGCACCTGGGAGGCGGGGTAGGGGCGTCCGGTAACAACCACAAACAGGTAAAGAGCACCTACTGTGTGCCAGGTGTGATTAGGACGTGCGTATGAAGCTGCCAGTGCATCCCCAGCCCTCTAAGAGCCAGGAACTGTGCTCAGCCCCAGGAGCAAGTCTCCAAGATGCCAGCTGGGCCCTCGGCCCCAGGGGGTAGGGGCAGCTGTCTGGGCTCTACCCCCTGGCAGGCTGCCAGGGCCCACTCCCTTAGCAGCCAGCTATCCAAACACATGAGCAGAAGGTCACAGACCCAATTAGCAGGGCTAGAGGCCTCTCACTCTCACTCTCTCTCTCTCTCTCTGTCACACACACACACACACACACACACAGAGAGAGAGAGTAGATTCTGGGCCCTGGAGACAAAACCAAGCCTAAAGCCAGCCGTGGAGCCTGAGCCTAAACTGGAAGAGCAGGAAGTGCCAAGAATACCTCACTTCTGCCCACCCAGGATCCCCCCAAGGATCTGCAGCAGCCCCGGAAGACACGGGACCCATTTGTCTGTCGCCTCTTCTGCCTGGCAAATCAGAGGGAAGGACTTTTCCCAGGAGCTGTCACCACAGGGAGTTAACTGGAAACCAAGCCTTGGGGATGCTTTAGGAACAGGGGCCTCATCCTCAAGACATGACTGATTTCAGTCACCCCTGAAAGGCTTTGCCTTCCCACCTAGCCCTCTGCCTCTTCCAGATGCCACATCGCCATTTCTCAACTGCCTGTTTTGTGCCCAGCAATTTCACACGTGTTGTCTTGGCTAAGCTCCCTGCTCCCCAAAAAATCTTCGCAGCCTGGGCATTCAGCCATGAGGGAGCCACGGCTGTAGCCAGTGGAATGACGTACCCTCAGTCCAGGATGTGCACCCGGGCAGCCAGGTCCCACAGCCACTACTTTCTTGCCCCCACCACTGCTCCCACAGTTCCCAGAACTCAGTCTCCAGATCTGGGCTCCAGGATGCAGAGGCTGTCCTCAGGGTGAGGGGCAGGTGTTCTGCACAGTGCCTCTTCCCTGCAGAGGAAAGTGCCCCCAAGGCATTCCCAGCCCCATCTTCCCTCCACCGCAGAGCCTGAAGCCCACATCCTGTGCTGGGGCCACTGCCTATGTGAGTGTCCAGCCAGTGGTCGTGGAAGGGCTTCTCGGGCATGCTGGGGCACGGGTATGGATGTGTGAAATTGGCATTCATGATTTTTGTTGAAAGAAGGAAGGAGTGAACCTACAGACTGAGAAGTAATCAAATAAATGCCCGAATAAAGGCTGAAGAAGCCAAGGGCATAACCCAAGAGAGGGGGATGGGCAGCCAGGCATGCTTCCTGCTTGACTGCAGCCACCCCAAGGCCTTGCACCACCCCCAGACTTGCACGTCACCTCTCATCCTTGCGCTGGCTCCAGGCCCTCCACGACCTGGTCCCTGCCAACCTCCAGCCTCTTCTCTTGAACTCCCCACCCGGACATGGAGTTCCCTGTGCCTGCCCCTCTCGGAGATGCCTCCAGGTCATTATGATCCTCTCCCATGCTCAGGATTAAAAGTCCAGCTCTGGCCAGGCGCTTTGGGAGGCCGAGGCGGATGGATTGCCTAAGTTTAGGAGTTCAAGACCAGCCTAGGCAACATGGTGAAACCCCATCTCTACTAAAATAAAAAATAAAAAAAATAGCCAGGCATGGTAGCACATGCCTATAGTCCCAGCTACTCTGGAGGCTGAGGCAGGAGAATCGCTTGAACACATGAGGCGGAGGTTGCAGTGAGCCGAGATTGTGCCACTGCACTCCAGCCTGGGCAACAGAGTGAGACTCCGTCTCAAAAAAAAAAAAAGTCTGGCTCCCACATCACCTCCCAAATGGAGCCTTGTCCAAGAGCCCTTGAGCCAGGCACGCCCCCACCATTGTCCTCCGGCAAAGCAAGTCCCCAGTGGGGCGGGAAGGACCTGGTATCTCACACTCACCCATCTCTCCCACCTCCCCTAAACCAGTTCACTGGACAGGCAGAACAGGCAGAGCATGCTGGTGATCGTGACTTGTGGCAACAAGAATTCTTATCGTCGTTGCTTTTAAGTAGATATTCACCTGCAACTGAGTTTACAGGTTCCTATGTACAGTAGCTTCCTCTGTCTCCATTGCTTCCTCCCTGAGAACAGTCCTAGCCCTTATCCTGGGTCGCACAGAGAACAGCTCCAGTCTAATTCCAGAGTTTCTTCTATGGGGCGTGTGCCACTGTGTACCCCCAGAGACCCTGCAGTCTTGGTTCAGAGCCACCTTCTTTTTTTTTTTTTTATTTTTTTAAGATGCGGTCTAGCTGTGTTGCCCAGGCTGGCCTGGAACTCCTGGGCTGAAGCAATCCTCCCACCTCAGCCTCTTGAGTAGCTGGAACTTCAGAGATTCCTTTGCTGTGGAATCTCTGGCAGGAGACGGGGGTTCCCAGATGATTCTGATGTGCTGACATACATTCAGCTGAGGACCACTAACCATGCCTGGAAAGTTCTGGGAAGGCAGGGACTGCCTTACTCATCCTTGAACACCTAGGAAAGACCCTGCACAGGATACAGATGCCCAGAATCTACTTGTTGGCAGGTGAATGTGGCATGTGGACAGTAGTGGATTAGTCACTGTGTGCTCAGCACCATGCAAAGCCCTTTACGAATACGTGCATTTAAGTTTTCCCATAAGACTCTCAGGAGGGCTACAGAATCTCCATTTTACAGATAAGAAAATAAGGTTGCAAAGATGTGGAACCAGCCCAAAGGCCCATCAATCAGCAAGTGGATAAAGAAACTGTGGTATATCTATGATGGAATACTACTCAGTCATAAAAAGGAATGAATTAATGGCATCCACAGCAACCTGGATGGGATTGGAGACTCTTATTCTCAGTGAAGTAACTCAGGAATGGAAAACCAAACATCATATGTTCTCACTCATAAGTGGGAACTAAGCTTTGAGGATGCAAAGGCGTAAGAATGACATAAGGGACTCTGGGGCCTCGGCAGGGAAAGGGTAGGAAGGGGGTGAGGGATAAAAGATTACAAATTGGGTTCAGTGTACACTGCTCGGGCGATGGGTGCACCAAAATCTCACAAATCACAGCTGAAGAAATTACTCATGTATCCGAATACCACCTGTTCCCCAAAAACCTATGGAAATAGAAAATTAAACAAGAAAGTTAGGTTCAGGGAGATGAAGTGACTTTTCCAAGGTAGCCTGACTAGGAAGGGGAGGGTAGTGGATGGTTAGACAGACTGGCACCCACCGGACAGGCAGGACCTAGCCTCACCCTGGGGGCTGTCCCTGCTCGTCAGCACCTGCCCACTGGAGCCACGTGACAGAGGGACACAGCGTAGCCAAGACATTTACAAAGCGAGGATCCTTTGTGCCTGAGTGAAGTGATCCTTTCAAAAATGATCACCAGCTCCCCTTCACCACCTCCGGAGACCAAGTCCTGGCTGATTTTTCCCCGTCTTTATCTCAAGTACATTTAAATGTCAATTAAATTTGAAATATCTACATTTGTCAGCATTTCATTTTGGGCCAGCGTGACGTGCTGCTGATTTGTCCACGCGATGTGACACATGAAAAAAACTCCCGAGATGCAGATCTTCCTCATTAAAAAATAAGCCGGTGCGATCCCGGCGCGGCAGAGAGCATGGAGCACGTCCCTGCTTCCTGACGCCGTGTCTCTGACATGGTATTTAAAAAGGAACAGCCTCGCCTGTCACCACTGTCACACGCGCGCGCTAACCGGCGACACGTTAAACCAAACATTAGAAGGGGTTCGGGAAGTCATCTGCATGGGAACTCCACGCGGAGACAAGGTGGGCAGAGGCGGGAGCAGCCGTGGGGGATGATGGGGTCTGATCCATGACGGACGGCCAGCCTTTCTTCTGCACCAAGACTCTGGCAGCCCTCGCTGGGCAGCCAAGTTTGCCGCAACCTGCCTTTTCACAGACAGCTCTTTGTGTGTAATAAAATCCAGGCAAGTGGTGGGTGGCAGACCGCAGGGGAGTAGCTGAATTGGGTTAATGAGGGAAAAGGTGCTTTTTTTTTTTTTTTTTTTCATATTCTGCCTTAAGCTAATAAAAAGTTTAAGCCTGGACGTTTTCGATGGTTCATCCTTTATCTCTGACAAATATCTGACTGTATGTTTCATGGGAGAACATGGGCAGCTGAATTTAAGTAAGTTTATTTTGAAACCTCACCTTTCATTAAAAGTAAAAGAGGAAACACCCTATCTCTTATTTCGTTGTTTCTGACCCAGAAAACTGAAGAGGCAAGATCCCGTAGTGGTTGAAAGTTGGCAAATCCACATTCAGTTCCTAGCTCTACCTTTAGCTGCTGTGTGACCCTGGGCAAGTGACTCCCCCTCTCTGAGCCTTGGCTACTTTGTCTGCAAAATGGGGTTGCAGTAAAGAATTCATGAGAAATTGTATGGACAGCATTTCGCCCAAGGCTTGTAAGTATCGCCATCCATGTGGCCTGGACTCGACAAAGCTCTGATCTGACCACATCAGATGACAAACTTCTCACCTGGATGTACCCTGCCACTTTCAAGAGACAGGTGGTGTATTCTGGAGACAGCTAGGCCTCCTGTGGAAATCACTGCCCAACCAGCCTGGCTCAGCCAGTACATCCAACTGGAGAAGGAAAGTGGCTCCTGAACTGGAAACTGCGGTTCCCTCTCTTCCCCCGCCCACCACAGTCACACCAGTGTGGAAGCCCCCAGCCCCCTCCACCATCACAGCAGTGTGGGCAGCGCTGGATTGTGACAGTGGCCTGAACTGCGGCAGTTGGATTTAGCAAAGCCAGGGCACAGCCCAGCGCAGAGGTTCCTCGCTCCTGGGTGAAGCCGGAAATTCCTGGCAGGTTCAGTGGCGTTGCACCAACGTGTCAAGCTGTGATCTGTGCTCTCTTGTCAGAGCCAGAGGTGGGGGCCCGTGCTTGGATAGGTGTCGGAAAGGCAACCAAGGTGGACGTGAGGGCGACTGGAGAGCCTCCCTCCATTTGGCCCGAGCCGGGGCTGGTGTCCCCTCGTGTGCATCTACTCCGAGCCCCGCTCACAGGAGAGGGTGAGGCCCCTGGGGGTGGACCATCCGGGCTGCAGTCCCTGTTCTCCACTTCTTGGCCACGTGGTCACCTCTTCACCAGTGATGCCCCAGTGCACAGCTAGCCTGGGTCTGCTCACACCAAGTAGGCTCAAAGCGCCTCTTGGTTGGGTGCACAGATGGACAGATGGATGGGTGGACTCATGAAGCCCTCACCCTCTAGAAAATCAGTATTGCGACACCTTCTTGTTAGGCTCTTGTGAGGGGTAGAAGTGGCCTCTATAAAGCACGGTACCTGCTTGTTGATATCATTTTAAACACTTTCTGCCTGCCCCTACCTACCTGACACCCTCACCTTCAAACATCGTCCCATTCTTCACATCTTAGCATCTCAGAACAGATGGGAGCCCAGAGGGGGAGCACTTTTGTACCACAGCCACAGTCTGGGGAAAGGGGACAGTGTGGTGCAGCTCCAGGAAGATGGTAAAGTGGGGGTTCCCCCAGCAGGCTGGCTTTCATTCATTCGCAAACTTCCACAGCATTCATGCTGTACCCCAGCTGGGGAGAAAGAGAAGAACAAGGCAGGCCCTGCCCTTGAGGAACTTGACTCAGAAACAGAGTGACAAGAGGTTAAATGGTATCTATGAAGTGCGAAGAGGCACAGCCAGGGAGCTCTCCTAGCCTCCAGTGGGCTTCGTAGAAGTCCCGCTGAGCTGAGTCTTCAAGACGGCAGAGCAGTCAGTGCTCCAAGCAAAGGTGACAGGGAGGGGGAATATCCAGGGCCCAGTGTGGTCAAAGACGGTAAGCATGGCCGCAGGGGAGGCCAGGAGAGGGCCACAGAGGTAGGTAGAGCCAACACACAGCATGGAGACTGCCCTGCTCGGAGCTCGGCACGGCCGCTCAGCAGTGCATCCCACGAGCTCCCCAGAGTGCAGCAGAAGCCCACGGCCTGCGCACCCTCTGCCCCTCACCTGCTCAGGAGAGCAGTCAGTGCTGCAGAGTGAGAGTGGGCTCCCCCTCACTTTGAAACAAGTCCCTGCAAATGTCTGAACATTATTATTCCTAACCCTTTGCTCCACAGATTTATTTACTCACCATACCACCAACTGCAGCAAGATCACAATTCAGAATGGCAGATTTATAGGTTTTAGCAGGAGAGTGACAAGTGTGGGTTTGTGATTGAAAGAGACTCTGGTGGCTGTATGGAGGGTAGCCTTTCTGCTCTGTCTTCTTTGCTGTGGAAGTGGCAGGAGCCAGGTGGTGCCCTGGCCCCGAGATTCCTGCAAGTCAGGTCTTCCTGACCTGTCCACTGAGGCGGGAAAATGCCCCCTGGACCAGAGCCCCCTCGAGTCCAGGAAGGGCTGAGTTGTGTCTTGCCCCGACAGCCAGCAAGGCAGCCTGGGAGCAGAGAAAAGCCCAGCACTGGGACTCGCTGCCTCCTGTTGTGTAACCCTGGGCTACTGGCTTCCCCTCCTGAGCCTCAACCTCCACTGCAGTTCGAGGACAAAACTCTTTGCCTGGCCAGCCTCTGGGAGGAAGTGAGCGTTCTGATGTGCAAGTGCTGGGATGGGCACCAGCCCTGGCGGATTGCAGCAAAGTGCAGGCACAGGCCACCTGCCCCGTCCCCCTGCGCAGCCACTGTCTCTCACTCACCCTCCAGCTGTGGTTCTCATGTCCTTTTTTTGGACACGTTGCCCTTTCCTGAAATAAACCCTCAAAAGAATTCTAGCATACAGAGCAGAGAAGGGAGACGGCTTTAGCTGGGGGCTGGGGGGTGAGGGGAGAGGAGGTAGCCCATGCCAGCCCCCGTGCCCCACATTCTCCCCAGACTTCACTCGCCTCAGAGCAAGCCAGCCCACAGAATGGGGCAGGGGTGTGGAACACCCCGGGTCTGCTCACACCAAGCAGGCTCAAAGTGCCTCTTGGTGGGGTGCACAGAGACACCTACTCCCCAGCACAAGGGCCGGGATTTGAACCCAGATCTGCCTGGTCCAGCTCGCCCCTGCTGAGCACATGGCCTCTGGTGGGCCCTGGTCAGTATATAATTCATGGGAGCCGGGCGTGGAGTTTCTCCAGGCTGTGTATGTGTTGGTGTTTATAGAGGTAGAGCTCACAGGTGGCTGACAAGGGAGATGCATTTTTTATAACAATGAATATTTAATTTCCACATCACAGATGAAAAAGACTCTCTGAAGAGGCATCTGAGGGAAGCTCCAGAGAGCAGCCGCTAATCAGAAAAGGGCCTTCTCGCGAGAGCTCTTCCGCACGGCTCACTTTTTTCTTGAACTTTTTTATTTTTTATTTCTTCCTGCTTATTGGAATAGATATGCTCATTGTAGAAAATGTATAAGACACAGAAAAATAAAAAGCAGCAGAGGGGAAAGAAATCACCCATGATTCCACTGGCTGTTATTGACGTTTAGCCATGAACCTTTCCAGTCTTTTTTCTATGAATTTTTCCATAAGCAGATGACAGCGAATGTGGTGTGATTGCAGTTCTGCATCCTGATCTTTAAATTTGTCTTCATAAACATTACGTTTCATGGGAGGACAAGATTCAGCCACTGCACCAGCTAGTTGTTGCTGACAGTGTAGGTTGTTCCATGTTTTAATATTATAAACAGCAGTGATGACAATCTTCCAGTGTGATTCTTTGCCAACTTTGAGGGTTAACCAAATGGAAGTGGAATTACTAGGTCCTATGTGATGGATCATGAGTTTAAGGCTCTGGACACGTGGCAAATTTAGTTTCTTTTCTATCTGGAACGAGCTTCCTCTCCTGAGAGCCCCCACCCCAGGCTGGCACACAGAGGCAGGGCCAGGCGTGGAGCCCAGAGGCCTGCTTCCCGCCTGCACGTGAAGTTCTGAGGGCGCCCCTAACTGCCTGTTCTCTTCTCTTTTGTCTTCCTCTGCCCCAGCCTGGTAAAGCCCTTGCGACACTATGCGGTCTTCCTCTCCGAAGACTCCTCTGATGATGAATGCCAGCGGGAAGAGGGCCCGAGCTCTGGCTTCACCGAGAGCTTTTTCTTCTCCGCTCCCTTTGAATGGTCTCTCCTTCCTTCTTCCATTTCCCTGAGCTCGGCTTGGTGACTCTGCGGGGCTGCATGGCGAAAGCGGGGGGCTGGTGCTGCTTGCCTTTGTGTCGGGGGGAGGGTGTCTGGAGCTGCTGCCTGCCGGTGCCCCAGTGCCAACATGCAGGGTGGACACCACCTCTGCGTGCCACCTCTCAGGGCATCCGTTTTGCCAGCTCCACAGAGGCTGTGACAATAGAGAGGTGACAGGGTGATACGCGAGCATTGGTCCCCTTAGAGATGAAATGTGCTTGATTGCTAGTGGAACTGGTGACTACAATTAGCCTGGTTGTTGATCTCCAAGTCCTTCTTTATCTCAGCACATCTTGGAAAGCCATGGAGATGGGAATCAGAGTTTAAGTTAAAAAAGAAAACGTTCCTCATATGAAATGTGTATATTAAATGCCAGCCTATCCAAGTGTTCTGATCTGCCTGACTTTTTAAAGATAATTTAATCATTATTATTTATAGCCTAAGCCTCATACCAATTACAAGTAGCGATTTTTAAAAGTTTCACCCACCATCCAGCCACCCCTAAGATTAAGCTGCTGTCGCCCTCCTTCCTTTACCCGTTCTTGCCCCTCCACCCACAAGTGTTTCAGAGCTGGCATTGAGCAGAGAGACAGCTTTTGTCTGTCTGCCCTTGTTAACACGGTTATGTGTTTTTAATGGGAGCCTTTAAGGGAATGGAAACTGCCCTTTGCGGGATGCCCGTGGTGCCCACAGCAACCTTCCAGGGGGCACGTTAATCGTTTTGGTCATTGCACAGAAGAGAGATGCCTTTCCCTCCCTCTCCCTCATGTCCCCTGCACCCTCTCCCTGTTCCCAAACCCCAGCATCAGGTCCCTCCCCCTGGGATGGCCTGTGGGTTCCTCTGGGGACCTTATAAACCCCAGGCTGCTTGGCCCTCTGTCATTGACCCCACAGGGTCAGAGGGTCCTGATCCTTTCCTGCCAGCAGGTCACTGGGGACCCAGACAAGTCACTCCCCTCCCAGTGTCCTCACTTAGAAAGTAGTGGCCTTGCCAAGCGCAGTGGCTCACACCTGTAATCCCAGCACTTTGGGAGGCCAAAGCGGGCGGATCACTTGAAGCCAGGAGTTCGAGACCAGCCTGGCCAACATGGTGAAACCCCATCATTACTTAAAAACTACAAAAATTAGCTGGGCATGGTGGCTCACACCTGTAATCCCAGCTACTCAGGAGGCTGAGGCACGAGAATCACTTGAACCCGGGAGGCGGAGGTTGCAGTGAGCCGAGATCACACTGCTGTACTCCAACCTGGGTGACAGAACGAGACTCTGCCTTTAAAAAAAAAAAAAAAAAGAAAGAAAAGAAAGTAGTGGCCTAAGCTGGTGTCATCCAAGCATCACACGTCACTTTTGCTGTATGTCAAATCTTTGTTTCGATTTTTTTTCAAAAGATTTTAAAATTAGCCTTCTCCTAAGCAATAATATCTATGATGTCATAGGCGTAATGTATTAGTTATTATTTCTGTTGCTAATTAGAACAAAAAGAGAACCTTTAGCATAAGAAATGTTCATCTATGTGTCAATTTAAAACACCTTTTGGGAAAAGGCACCCTGCTCCCAGCCAGGAGTCCACCAGGTCATGTCCAAGGCCCAGCTCCATCATATCGTCTCTGAACTAACTGGCGCCTTAATTATTTAAATAACGGCGAGGGCTCGCTTCCTTAGCCCATGACCTTAGAAGTCAGTACAGGCCTTTGTGTGTGTGTTTGAAAAGAAACTAGCCCATCCTAACTCAAAATGGGCTCAAAAGAACACTATTTCCTGAAGTTCCAGAAGCACACTGACTGACTTTAACCCTTTCATTGTGCTCATCTTTATTAAAGGGTCTCTAATTCCTTGGTCAGGGTGAGTGAGGGACGTTTGAAGCCTCTCAAGCTTGGCTTCCATTTCCACCTCTTGCGGGTGCTGTGTGACATAGGTGAGTTATTTAACATCTCTGAGCTTCATTCCTCATCCATAAGGTGGGGGTGTAAGTCCGACTTCCTGGCCTGCTTGCATTGCTTCAGCGAGAGAGTACATGATGGAGTCCCTGCCCATCACTGGGACTGTTTGATGAGCCCTCCCATGTCCCCCACCCTGGTGCCTTCACTGTGATCCTACCCTTGACCGCCAGGTGGTGCCCTTCCCCCACTTTACCAGTGCCACGGGCACCATCTCCGCCTGACGTAGGGCCACCACCAGCCCCAGACTTGGGGTTAGAAGAGGTGAGATGTGGCCAGGCGCAATGGCTCACACCTGTAATCTCAGCACTTTGGGAGGCTGAGGCGGGCAGATCACGAGGTCAGGAGTTCGAGACCAGCCTGGCCAACATAGTGAAACCCCGTCTCTACTAAAAATACAAAAAATTAGCCAGGCAAAAGGCAGGAGCCTGTAATTCCAGCTACTCAGGAGGCTAAGGCAAGAGAATTGCTTGAACCTGGGAGGCAGAGGTTGCAGTGAGCCGAGACTGCGCCATTGCACTCCAGCCTGGGAGACAAGAGTGAAACTCCGTCTGAAAAATAAAAATATAAAAAAGGCTAGATGCACTTCCCACTGGGGCTCCACTAGAGGTAAGGGTTGACCCAGGCGCTGCCTCTCCATCTACCCAGTGGTGCCCTGGGACTCAGGTCCATGGGAAGGGAAGGCAAGTGGAACCCTTTGTTAACTATACTTGGATCAGCTGCAAAGTAGTGGTGTGGGGTTTTTTGTTTGTTTTTTTGTTTTGTTTTGTTTTTTGCTTTTTTGTTTTGAGACAGGGTCTCGCTCTGTCGCCTAGGCTGGAGTGCAGTGTTGTGATCTTGGCTCACTGCAACCTCCACCTCCCAGGTTCAAGCAATTCCCATGCCTCAGCCACCCGAGTAGCTGAGACTACAGGCACGCACCACCACACCCCGCAAATTTTTGTGTTTTTAATAGAGACAGGGTTTCACCATGTTGGTCAGGCTGGTCTCGAACTCCTGAACTCAAGTGATCCGCCCGCCTCGGCCTCCCAAAGTGCTGGGATTACAGGCGTGAGCCACCGTGCCCAGCCAATGACTGCAAGGTTTTGAATGTGTAAAAGTACAGAAAGCTGCTAGCAGAAGAGCCTGTGTGACAGCCGTGCTCACTGGTGGGCGATGGATGCTGTAACCAACCCGTGCGTGTCTGCTGTGTGCCGGGCACCGCATTTGCTCATGTAACCACCACCACCACCTGAGCACCTGAGGCTCAGAGAGTTAAGTGACCTGCCAAAGGTCCCACAGCAAGAAATAGCATGACCAGAGGTGGAACCAAGGTTAGCAGGGCAAGCTTAGGCCCAGACAGCTCCCCTGGAGAGCTTCCCCAGCCCAGTTCCCCATGGGCTGTTCACAGAACCTGACTGTGGCTGTGCCTAGGCCACCAAACAAACAGCAGAGCAGGGCGGGAGCAAGAGGAGCATGACTGCTGGCCTGTGAGCCCCCTTCCAGTCCTGTCTGTTCCTCACACCTTGTCTGAATGGCTCACAAGCCCAGTAGCCAGTTTTATGAAAGGACCTGTAGTTTGGGGGGCACTAAATGGGTCCCCTGAGTGCAAGTGAGAGCCAAAGCGAGTTGCCCTGGTTCACAGCCCCAGGCCCATCGGCATGCCCAGCTTGCACCCTCGCAGCCTCCCAGACTCCTGCCCTCACGGAGACCCCGGGACACTCTCCTGTCCCGCAGGCCCCTGCGTGCACCCCTCAAGCCCTCAATGTGCTTGGGCTGGAGTCCGCTTGCTCCTCCCCTGAAGGCCTGGGTGGGAGAGTGCAGCCTGCTCTGTCCCCGACAGGCCGCAGCCGTATCGGACACTCAGGGAGTCAGACAGCGCGGAAGGCGACGAGGCAGAGAGTCCAGAGCAGCAAGTGCGGAAGTCCACAGGCCCTGTCCCAGCTCCCCCTGACCGGGCTGCCAGCATCGACCTTCTGGAAGACGTCTTCAGCAACCTGGACATGGAGGCCGCACTGCAGCCACTGGGCCAGGCCAAGAGCTTAGAGGACCTTCGTGCCCCCAAAGACCTGAGGGAGCAGCCAGGGACCTTTGACTATCAGGTATGGCATGGGCAAGGGAGGGTATCGGCCGGGGGCCGGCACTGTCCGCACACGAGGTGGGATCCCCATGTGACAGTGGAAGAGACTAAGGGAGAAACAGTGACTTTCCAAGACCCTCAGCCAATGCTCAGGGTCAGTGTGACTGTAAACACCTCCCAGGGTGCCGGGGCCCACACCACCCTAACAGTGACGGTAGGAGAAGATGCTAGAGCCCGATGGAAACTTGCCCCACTCTGTGTGTGCATCAGACGGGGGGGCGGGTGCTGCCAGCCACTCTCCTCGCACCCCCAGGCAGGGCTGCAGCCCCTGCTGGAACCGGGATTGCGTCCATCCCTGCCAGGGCTCCTTGGCAGAGCCTGTGGATGCAAGTTCTTGGCTCTGCATTATGAATGCAAATCAGTGTGTAATTCCCACTGTGACGTCTAATCCATCACATCCCCGCTCGGTGCCTCAGTTTCCTCACTTGCAAGTGGGGTCTTCTGACTTTGCATCACTGGGTCACACCGTGGGGTTCACAGAGCTCCAGTCATTCATGAGTGTTCCCTGCTGGGAACGAGGACCTGGGCCAGGAGAAAGGGACTGGCACCCGGGCCGTGTGGCTTGCAAGTGGCAGAGCCAGGACTCCAACTTGGCCTCCTCCTTCCTCCCCAGCCAAGGTGCCTCCTACCAGGCCCTGAGTCTCACTCGCGCCCCCGGGCTTACAGGTGATTGCGGGTGCCTGCGATCTAAAAAGTAAAAAGGGCCAGCCGGTAGCTGGAGTCACTTTCCTAAAACTCCTTGGCAACCGCCACTGGCATAAAGGGACGAGAGCTTTGTCTTGAGTTCCCGGAGCACAGGCTTGGAGTCCCAGCACACGTGGGTCCTCTGCTGGTAACCTGGGGGAGCCCTCAGCTGTTCCAAGTCCGAGGAGCTGATCAGCCACACAACTAGGCCCAGCACACATTCAGCACACAGAAGTGGTGTGGGAATGGGCACACATATGTCCCAACTCAGCCCGTGGTCACTGCCGCCCTCCTTCCCTCCCAACAGAGGCTGGATCTGGGCGGGAGTGAGAGGAGCCGCGGGGTGACAGTGGCCTTGAAGCTTACCCACCCGTACAACAAGCTCTGGAGCCTGGGCCAGGACGACATGGCCATCCCCAGCAAGCCCCCAGCTGCCTCCCCTGAGAAGCCCTCAGCCCTGCTCGGAAACTCCCTGGCCCTGCCTCGAAGGCCCCAGAACCGGGACAGCATCCTGAACCCCAGTGACAAGGAGGAGGTGCCCACCCCTACTCTGGGCAGCATCACCATCCCCCGGCCCCAAGGCAGGAAGACCCCAGAGCTGGGCATCGTGCCTCCACCGCCCATTCCCCGCCCGGCCAAGCTCCAGGCTGCCGGCGCCGCACTTGGTGACGTCTCAGAGCGGCTGCAGACGGATCGGGACAGGCGAGCTGCCCTGAGTCCAGGGCTCCTGCCTGGTGTTGTCCCCCAAGGCCCCACTGAACTGCTCCAGCCGCTCAGCCCTGGCCCCGGGGCTGCAGGCACGAGCAGTGACGCCCTGCTCGCCCTCCTGGACCCGCTCAGCACAGCCTGGTCAGGCAGCACCCTCCCGTCACGCCCCGCCACCCCGAATGTAGCCACCCCATTCACCCCCCAATTCAGCTTCCCCCCTGCAGGGACACCCACCCCATTCCCACAGCCACCACTCAACCCCTTTGTCCCATCCATGCCAGCAGCCCCACCCACCCTGCCCCTGGTCTCCACACCAGCCGGGCCTTTCGGGGCCCCTCCAGCTTCCCTGGGGCCGGCTTTTGCGTCCGGCCTCCTGCTGTCCAGTGCTGGCTTCTGTGCCCCTCACAGGTCTCAGCCCAACCTCTCCGCCCTCTCCATGCCCAACCTCTTTGGCCAGATGCCCATGGGCACCCACACGAGCCCCCTACAGCCGCTGGGTCCCCCAGCAGTTGCCCCGTCGAGGATCCGAACGTTGCCCCTGGCCCGCTCAAGTGCCAGGGCTGCTGAGACCAAGCAGGGGCTGGCCCTGAGGCCTGGAGACCCCCCGCTTCTGCCTCCCAGGCCCCCTCAAGGCCTGGAGCCAACACTGCAGCCCTCTGCTCCTCAACAGGCCAGAGACCCCTTTGAGGATTTGTTACAGAAAACCAAGCAAGACGTGAGCCCGAGTCCGGCCCTGGCCCCGGCCCCAGACTCGGTGGAGCAGCTCAGGAAGCAGTGGGAGACCTTCGAGTGAGCCGGGCCCTGAGGGTGGGGGATGCACCGAGGCCCGAGGGTCCGTCCACTGCTGCGGTTCCGAGGCTCCCCCGCCACTCTCTCTCTGCCCAGGTTCTGCTGGTGGGAAGGGATGGGACCCCTCTCTGCTGCCCCCTCCTCCCCTCCACACTGCCCATCTCTGATGTCTGGCCCTGGGGAATGGCACCAGTTCCAGCCTGGGAATCAACCCAGTTCCTGAGTGCCCATCCCACCCCGCGGTTGCCTCTCCTCGGCACCCTTGATTGGGTTTTGCACTAAAGAGGTCAGCTGGGCCAATGATATTGCTCCAGACCGAGTCCTACCCACCTTCCCCCGGAAGTGTCCCAAGAGGCTCCGAAGGCCTCCCCTCCGAGCCCAGCTCTCCTGTCTCCTCCACAGCCAGGCCCTGCACGCCCACCTCCTCGGACACAGGTGACAGGGTTACCCTCCAGTTTGAGCTCATCTGCACGAGACACAGGTAGCTTGGGGTTGAAGTTAGGACTCCTCCTGGGCTGGAGGATTTACCTGGTGGGGCACTTCCAGACTGTTTCTAGCAATATACACACACGTTCTTTCCTGTGTCTTCACCCCAAAACTTCAGTTGATTCTGACCTGGGAGGATCTGGGGACCAGGGGGTCTTGGGCTGCCTTGTGATACACAGCCCCAGCCACCCTGCACGGGGGCTGCGAGCACCAGCAACTTTGATTTATAGAAGGAAAATGGAAACCCCCATCTGAGTATTTTGGGAGGAGCCCCCAGCCCTCATCCAGCTCTGGCACGCTGATACCTCCAGGTACTCCCCTCACTGTCAAAGCTGGGGCTCAGCCTCTTGTCATCTGGAGCTTTGTGGGCAAAGCTGAGAAGCTGCAACCCAGATTTCAACCCAAAAAGGTCAAGCTGAATGCCTCAGACTGATGTGGAAGGCAGCTGGCCTTCCTGGGTTGGAACGAGGCAGTGGCCCTGAGCCCCTTCTCCAGGGCCAGGTAGAAAGGACAAACTTGGTCTCTGCCTCGGGGAAGCAGGAGGAGGGCTAGAAGCCAGTCCCTCCCCACCTGCCCAGAGCTCCAGGCCAGCACAGAAATTCCTGAGGCCAACGTCACCAAAGTTAGATTGAATGTTTATTATCTTTCTTTTTCCTTTTTACCTTATTGATTTGATGAATCTTGAAATGGATTCATTTCCATAAACCAAGTTAAAGTATGGCCCGACCATTTAAGAAAACAACCATCTGAGACACGCAGGAAATTGTGAGCATTTCGACCCGAGCTCTCATTTCCTATTTGTGAAGGGTCAGACACAGTCTACCCAGGGGTGTCTGGGGGACAAGGGGGTCTCTGGAGATGTCACCCAGGGAGCCCCCTCTATGTCTGAGAGGCTGCCACTGCTGCACATGCTCAGTGAGGCTTGGCGGCCATCCTGGCACATGGCTCTTCCTGGGTCAACCGTGACCTGTCTGGCTCAGGAATGGGCTCTGGCTGCTGGGGGAGCCGTGTCACTCCTGGGCCATGGGGGCACCTCCTGGGCACTTAGGTGTTTCAGCATAGATTCCAGTTTCGCACCCTGGGCAGACCCCCAGGCCCCATCCGGGATAGGGCAGAGGAGGTGCTGGCGGCCCCAGGGAAGGAGGGTGTGTACCCCAAGGCCCCCTGGCTGTGCTGAGGGGCTGGGGTGAGCGCTCCATGTTCACATGAGCACTGCTGCCTCTTCACTTGTGGGACTTTTTGCAAACCCAAGGATGAACTTTGTGTGCATTCAATAAAATCATCTTGGGGAAGAGGCTGGCATCCCCGTGTCCTTGAAGCTTTTGGGTCGGGGAGGCCCCACACGGGCCCGGAGCCATCCTCACCACCTGCTCCTGTAGAGGCAGGGGCCAGGCGCAGAGCAGTTAGGGAAGGAGTCAACTCCCCGCACCCTCCCAAGCCGGTGCCCACTCAGGGCTCTAAGCCAGCTCATGCTCTGCCCCTCACAGACCAGGCACGGGGTTGGGCTGGCAACAGGCCTGCTCAGCCCTGCGGGGGCCATGGGGCAGACTGCAGGCCTCCAACGACGTTGAGGGCACCCAGGAGCCAGGAAAGAGTTCAAGGGGACACCTGGCAAGTCGCCCCCACAGGTCTCTCATTAGCAAGAACAGAGCCTGGGACTCTGCCTCTGTTGGACGCTGGTGTTTGCGGGGAGGCGGGCGGGGGAATGCAGACCAATCGACCACCCCATAGTGAGCGTGGAACATGCCCAGTCACACCACCCACCCCCTCCGACTCGCCCATCATCTGACCATG
Source organism: Homo sapiens (assembly GCF_000001405.40). Classification (NCBI taxonomy): domain Eukaryota; kingdom Metazoa; phylum Chordata; class Mammalia; order Primates; family Hominidae; genus Homo; species Homo sapiens. The sequence goes on along the minus strand of NC_000009.12, from coordinate 123,379,155 downwards.
CCCCCACTTGCAGGACTGACTGACTGACAGGCTGAAAACGACAGGCACGCGGGCCGGGCGCGGTGGCTCACACCTGTCATCCCACACCTATAATCCCAACATTTTGGGAGGCCGGGGCAGGTGGATCACGAGGTCGGTCAGGAGTTCAAGACCAGCCTGGCCAAGATGGTGAAGCCCCGTCTCTACTAAAAGCAGGCACCTGTAATCCCAGCTACTCCAGAGGCTGAGGCAGGGAATTGCTTGAACCTGGGAGGCGGAGGTTGCAGTGAGCCGAGATCTCGCCACTGCACTCCAGCCTGGGTGACAGAACTAGACTCCATCTCAAAAAAAAAAAAAAAAAAAAAAAAAAACAAAAAACAGGCACCCGAACCCACAGGAGCCAGGAAGAGGACAGGGGACAGCCAGCTTTCATCTGCATGTTAGGTTCCACATAAAATATCCTAGGAGTTACAGCTGACACAGGTTTTCCAAATCTCTAACTTAGTAAACTGACCCTGGAACCAGCCGCCTCCTCCCCACGCTCCCAAGGGTTGTAGAGAAAGTTCAGGGAAAGGTGGTCCCACCTCCTACAGGATAAGGACCAAGCAAGCCCCTGAGCCTGGTGTTCAGGGCCCTCTCTATCCCAGCGTCTGCTGACTTCCCAGTCCCATGTCCCAGTCCCCCACGTTGTCACGTGGCTCCCCACATTGGACTGGACACCCATGCCTCTGGGACCCGCCAAAACCAAAAGGAAAAGCTGACTGTCGACCCAAAAGTGTAAACGGATCTACTGGCCTGGGAAGCAGGAAGGATGAAAGGGCACATCTCCAGGTCCATGAAGCTGGAAGGAGGCCAGGCCCTCAGGCAGGTGCCCTTCAGGGATGGGAGGTCACAGTGTGATGGGCATCGCCGGGGAAGGGGCTGGGAGCAAGCAGCAGAGTCTCCTCTGAGTCGGCCTCTGCAGGCCCAGCCCCGACTCAGAGGCAGCGCCAGTGTTCACTGAGCCCCTGTACTCAGCAGACAACCCAGAGGGCTTCCTTCAAGTCCTCTCGCCGAGTCTGTGTAGAGGCAGCCAGTCATCAGGGGAAGGAGTGAGCTCACCAGGCTGCTAGGAAGGACCGGAGCTGGAGAACCAGAGGTGGTCAGGTGAGCTGGGGGGGTTCAGGGCAGGAGAAGGGTTGCTCTGTCATCCTCATCCCAGAAGGACACCCAGACGGTCCTTCCCATCAGACGGCAGTTGAAGACTTCCAGATTCTTTCCCCACTGTCGTCCTCTCTGATCCTCACAACAGCCCTGTGAGGTAGGCAGTGGGTGCCTTCCCCCTTTGACAAATGACCACAGCAGGGTGGGAAGCTCCAGGCAGCCCCTCCTCTGCTCCCTCGGGCTGCTCCGGCTGAGGGGGCGGGTGGGTCTGTGGTTCCCTCGCATGACTGGCTCTGGCTTCTGGCAGACAGACCTGCCTGAAGGGACATTTGTTCTAGGAGCCAGAAGCCCACTCAGCCTCTGCTAGTGGCCTTCCCTGACTTCCCAGCTGCCTCCACAGCAGGAGCAGCCCCCAGAGGCGGGGAAGGAGGTGCCTGGGCAACCCCGGCCTGGCCTCCTGGAGAACATGCAGCCTTGGGCCGCCCCTGCCCTAGGACTGTAATGGTTGACCCCATGGCGCAGCCGCCACCTCCTGGGATCAGCTACACCCATCACAGTCATAGACACACAGTAAACACGGCAGACACGCCCTGGAGCCATGTCAGGACACACTCACACTAGCATCTGCAGACTAACACAGGCCCAGGTACACACTCACACACACACTCCTCCAGATACACACACTCCTGAACACACTGTGAACCCACGTGTGCCCTCCCACGCACAGCCGTACACCTGCCAAGGCGGAACCCCGAGGGTGGGATGGAGAAGTCCGCAGCCTCTCTAGGCCTCTGTTTCCCTGAGTTGCTCCCCTCGTCCTCCATCCAGGATGGGGCAGAGGCAGAGGCAGAGGCTGCCAGCCAAGGGGACACTTCCGTAGCAATGTCCCGAGCCCTGGAAGCAGCTTCCTTGGGTCTCCAGGTAGAAACCATTCAGGACCTCCAGGTGCTGGTGCCAGCAGCCAGGCTGGCCTAGATGAGTCTCTCCTCCGGTGGCACCTTGAGGACACTGTCCATCTCCAGCCGGGCCCCAGCCACCTCCTGCTGGCTTGGGCTGTAGGTGCCCTCAGACTGGCGGCGCTTTCGGGCTGCCAGGATCCCTGAAAGGAGGCCCAGGAGGAGGAGGAGGAGGCAGGCACAGGCTGCAGGTACGGCCACCTCCAGCAGTGGGAATGGCAGCGGCAGGGGCAGGCCCTTCTGCAAGAGACACGACACCGAGGCCTAAGACCGCAGAGAAGGGGAGGACGCCGGGGCCCTCAGAGAGCAGAGAGCGCAGCACAAGGACCTACTCAGAGAAAATCAGAGCTGGGAGCAGGCTGCCCTGGGAGCAGTGAAGACCCAGCCCCAGGGGTATGCAGGCAAGTGCCAGGAAACCACCTGTCACAGCCACTGCTCGGGGAGGCCTATACAACAAAGGAGTTCTGGCTAGAAGGACAGAGATGGGCGTTTATTGAACACCCGGCAGGAGCTAAGCAGGGTGCATGGGTTTCACAGAAGCCTACGAGGGTCTCATGAGGCAGAGCAGGAGCAGGGGCAGGCTGAGCGGCCCCCTGCCACAATAGCAAGGTCAGAATCCACTGGGGCCCACCTGCGGGGGCAGGGTGGCAGGGGGGCCGAGGGGCTGTTATGACAGCTTGTCCCTGCGAGCCTCGGCCCAGGCTTCGGGGAGCCCAGCAAACCTCCCTGGTGTCTCCAGTCACAGGCTCCCAGGATTCCCCATCAAAGCCTCTACATGCCTGGGACTCTGTAGTCCCAGGATGCGAGGATTCCAGAGGCATGGGCTCTGGGACTCACCAGCCTCCCTCTGTACCTCCAGGCTTCCCAGCCCACTGTGACCTGGGTCCTAAAACTTGACAGGAAAGTTCCTCTGGTCCTGAGAGGGTCCTGCCAGCCTCCACCGTTGGACATTTTGAGGGAGGAGCTGTAAAGCCATTTCCTCCCCCTGCCCTGGGGAGGTGGCTGGGTAGGGAAGCCAGAGGCTGTAAAAGTTCAACTTGAAAGGAAACATTCCCCGTAAGCGGAGGGGATTTGTGGTTTATGACCCAGGCTGCCAGAAGCCTGTAGAGATCAAGGCTGCTCCCCAGACTTCCCTTCCAAGCCTCTCCTCGCCAGCACCCACTCCCCCCACCCCGCCCCAGGAAGGGGTGTGGCGGGGAGGTTCACAGCTCCAGCGCCTGCTGCCTTCGTCTGTCCAGGCTCCTCCTGGGCTGAGCCACCCGGGGTTGGGGCCAGCCTGCACAGCGGGCCGAGCCTGCTCCAGTGCGGACTCCCAGGCCCCCTGCCCCTCCGTGTCTTCCTACTCAGGACACTGGCTCAGAAACCCCTGGAGATGAGTCTCCTGGATTCACCAACCTAAATCCCAGAACACCAACATGGCCCTGAGTCCTGGTTGGATTGGCAGAGACCATCTGTCCTCACTGCCACTGCCCTGGGCACTCTGAGGAAGCCGCTGACCCAGCTAGGAGCTTTGTGCTCTTGTCAATAGACGGTGACAGCCCCCAAAGCTCTCCCTGCAGTGGAAATACCTCTTGTGTGGGGGGTGTGGAAGGGACCTGAGGCTCCTCTCACTGCCCCACCCCATGACAGAGTGGCCCAGGAACAGCCCCATGGTGCTGCGCTCTCTCCCCAGCAGCATCTCGCCAAGGGCCCAGCAGGCCACGTCCACGGCCCCTCACCCCTGACAACACTCACCGCCACTTCACAGAACTGGCCGGAGAATCTGGCATTGCAGATACATTCAGACACCCCTCCAGCTGCCCGGCAGGTGCCCCCATTCAAGCAGGGGTTGGCTTCACAGGGGAGAGTGGGGACCTGACACCTGGAGAGGGAGGGGGGCTGAGAAAGCGGCTTCCCCCATGGCTGCCTCTTGTGCTCCCAGCTGCTCTGCTGCCCATCCCCACTTCAGCAAGCATCAGAGCTTATCCATCCACTGTCCCCATGCGCTGCTCCTGCCCAGCTGGGCCCTGCCAGGTGACCACCTGAGCAGCCGTCACTGAGAAGGACTCTCATCCCATTAGGGTGACGGGAGCCTGTGTGAAGGCAGGTGCCCCAGACGCTGACGCCACTGTCTGCAGGGCCCAGAATCTGCACTTTTATGGTCTCCCACAGGCGGGCTGAGGCTGGGTTTCCAGAACTGCCACCAGGCAACCACTGCCCAGCAGCAGTCTGTATCACAGAGGATGGTCTTGCGAGTCATGGAAGGAAACTCAAGTGACAATGGTGACTGTGATACCAGGGAGGGGTGAGAAGGTGGGCGAGGACCCCCGCCCCACCCTGGCTGGAGGAACAGCCCTCCACATTCATTGGACCTCCTCACAGTTCCCAGGCCCCCAGACCCACCTCTGGCCAGCAAGACCCTCCAGGCAGCTGCAGTTGGCAGCGGGAGAGCCACCCTCACATGGGCTGCCATCGAGGCAGGTGACATTCAGGCTGCACTCCTTGGATGGGACAGGCAACCTGGGGAGAGAGCAGAGGCTGGAGTGGGTGCAGGACACCTGGGACCTGCCCTCCCCAGCGCTGTGACCGTGGGCCACCTGAGCTTGTGTTCTCATGTATGGAACTCAGGGCCTTCCTCTATTGGGCATGGGATTGAGGTCCCTGATGGGAGGGAAGGGACACAGGGTTGCACTCGCTTTCCAGAGTCTCAGAGGACTCAGGACAACAAAGTGTAAGGACTCTGAACAAAAGCAGCTCCTAAACACAACGCCTGGACATTCCTTGAGGGGAGAGGGAGGGGTCAGGCCACAGCCAGATCCCCTTCCACACGCTGGGCTCCCGGGAGAGCCACTGCCAGATGAATAAGGGAAGCGCCAAAGCCTGACCCCCTCCCTCCACCCCAACCAGCCACCAATAGGGATGAACCTCCGTGTAAGCGGCAGGCGGCTCCCAGCCCCAGACCACAGCGCTGTTTATCTGAAATTCCAGGCTAACTGGTTGTGTTTTGATCTGTATTTTATCAGGAAATTTATCAAATTAAACTGTCCTCCTCATGTCACAGATAAGGACATGAGGACCAGGGAAGGGAAGCGACTCATCCACAGACCTGGCAGACTTCTCTGCCCCACCATAGCCCCAGGGGGCATTCGCAGCCCACCCCCCTGCCCAGCCATCCCACCTGCAGCGCGGGCCCCCGAAGCCAGGCGGGCAGCGGCACTCGAAGCGGCCGTCGGGGTGCGTGTGACAGCGGCCACGGGCGCAGGGGGCGGAGTGACAGGGGTCGACGTGGGCTTCGCAGCGCGGGCCTTCCCACCCCGGGCCGCAGGCGCAGGCAAAGGCGTCGAAGAGGTCACGGCAGGCACCGTCGTGCAGACAGGGCGAGGGCGCACACACGGGCGCGCCGCGGCAGCCGAGGATCGGGGCCGGCGTCCCAGGCCAAGACGCGAAGTGCTCTCGGGCGCCAGGGGCCGCGCCGGGCCGGGGCCGCGCCAAGGGCAGGGGCAGGCCGCCCAGCGCCACGCGGCCCAAGCAGCCGGTGAAGTTCTCAGCCAGCAGGATGCGCACAGCACCCGGGCCCTGCAGGAAGCCCAGGTCACTGGCCAGGCCGCGCAGCGCCACCGGGGTGGCGGCACCATCCAGCCACAGCAGCCAGCGCGAGGTGGTGGCCGCCGGGCGCTCCATGGCCAGACGCACGCGGTGCCAGGCACCATCGGCCACGCGCGGCCCCGGTATGGGCAGCACAGCGCCGGGCAGGCCATGGCCTCCGCGCACGCCCCCCGCCAGCGAGCCATTGCGCACCGCCAGCCACACGCCTTCCAGGGCGCCCGCCGCGGCACGCAGCAGCCAGGCCTCGGAGTCGCGCGTGCGAAAGGCCAGCGACAGGCCGCCGAGCAAGCGCCCTGACGACGCGTTGTGCCCGCTGAACGCGGCGGGGGGACCCTCGCGGAACGTGGCCTCCGCCACACCTGCGGAGAGAAGGAGCCTCAGGGAATAGCCCACGGAGCCTTCTCCAGAAATGCCACCTCCCCACTTCCCCCAGCGAGTGGCAGACAGCCACTTACTTGGGGTGGGGCACACGCACCCACCTATCATCTAATCCTGGAAACTGCAGCCGCCCCCACCACCCTCACTTCTACTCCCAATGTATTTCCTACCCATGGAGGAGCAGTTCCCGGCCAGTGCTGGGGGGTGGGGCGTGATGCCTAGGCGACCCTCCAGGTCACAAGCCAGGCAACAGCAACTCCTGGCAGAATCTGGCCCCTTCCCTTCTCCGTGAAGCTGCCCCACCTCATGGCCGAGGCTTGCCCTTCACTGCAGCCAGTCATCTTTGTAAAATGCAGATCTGGTCATGCCCCTCTCCTGTTTAAAACCCTCCAGAGGCTCCCCACTGTCCTTGGGATAAAGTCAGAGCCGCCTAGCTGGGTGTCCTCAAAGCCCCTACCAACTTTCCCACCCCATTCCTGCTCACCCCCTTGCACTTCCACTGTCCTTGCAGACCTCAGGGACTTGGCACATGCTATGCCACTCCATAAAATATCCTTCCCCCTGTGGCTCTCAGAGTCTGGCCCTGAAGCCCAGTACAGGCTCACCTTCTCCAGAAACTCTGTCCCTCTACATGCGGTGGCCCCGCCACACTGCCCTAGGGCTTGGCATGCCTGGTCCACCAGTATCCTACAAGCCCTGAGAGTGCAGATGGGATCTAACCAGCTTAGGTGTCCAGCACCCAGCACGGGAGCTGCCCAGGACACACACTCACACACAAAGCCATCAGGGACCTCCTCACACGTGGCAGGTGGGAGACAGGGCTGGCCGGGACACCACAGCTGCTGGGCACACGTAGGCCCCGTGAAATTGGCAGGGCAGGTACAGTGGAAGTCATTCCAGGTGACGAGGCAAGTCCCACCATTGAAACAGGGGTCAGGCTGTGGGAGAGGCAGGGCAGGGGTTGGCTCAGGACTGCAGTGAGCATCACCCACCATAACTGGCATTGCAGTGCTTCTTCGCTGAGCACCTACTACAGACACAGTATCTCCTCACAAACGAGGGGAGAGGAAGTCGCTAAGATCCCCATTTTACAGATGAGAAAACTGAGGCTCAGTGATGCAAAGCCACTTGCCTGAGTCACCCAGCCAGTAAAGAGAGGAACCAGAATTCATGCCCAAGCTGTTCTAACTCCAGGGTTGGTGGAATTCTGTTCATGATCAAAAGCGTGTCCCGCTCCCCAAGTAGCTCCTGCAGAAAGGCTCAGGCAGCTCTCTATCTCGGTCAGGGTGTCTCTCTCACACCAGGACTAGCTCGGGGAGACACGGGGACCGCCAGAGGGTAGGAGCAGCTGGGCTGAAGAGACAGATGTAAATCTGCCCTGCCACCCTCCTGTAGTGGGACCCTGGGCAGGTCACTTCACCTCCTGAGCCTCAGTTTCCTCATCAGCAAAAGGACACACTAAGCCCCGGTGACACAGGACAGATCCTGGGAAAAGGACTCCCCACCCCACCACCACCACCGCCACCAGACACTTACACTGCACATGTCCTCGGAGACGCAGCCCGCAGTGAGGTTCCAGGACTGCCTGCCGCCGAGCTCGCTGGGCTGGCTTGAGTTATCCAGTGGCAGAGGAAAGAAGGGGAGGTGGCAGCCATCGAGTCGCAGGTCCTGGAGGCAGCCTCGGAAGGGCCCACCCCAGGGCTGGCTGTCGGCAGCAAGGAGCCTCCCACCCACGTGCACGTGCTGCCCCAGGTCCTGCAGCTGGTCAGGCCCGAAGCTGAGCATCACCAGGTGACGGAGCCCATCATCCCAGCGCCCAGGGAGCACTACAGCAGGACTGCCCGGCACCTCAGCCCGGATCCGACCCTCACTCAGGAATACTGTTAGGCCAGCTGCGGAGTCATTGGCAAACTGGAGCAACAGGCCAGCGGACTCCCGAGTGCGGAGAAGGAAAGACACTGTGAGGTTGGGACCTGGCAGCTCTTGGAGCAGAAAGGAGGCAGAGCTTGGGGCGCCTCCCAAGCCAAAGGTGGCAGCAGGAATCTCTGCAGGGAGAGAAGGTGCCAGGTGTGAGGCCTGCAGGCTGAGGGAGGCAGATCTCAGGTGCTGCCTTCCCACCTGGCTTATTCCTCACCATCAGCGCACGTGGGACCTCTATGGGGCCGGGCACAGTCGCAACGGAAATGAGTCCACAGATCCACACAGGACCCTCCGTGGACACAAGGCAGAGGCCGGCACTGCTCTCGGCGCTCACAGCCCAGGAGGACGTTCTCACCGAGATCCTCAGGCAGCAGGAGGTGGCCATCCACACGCACGTCCTGGAGGCAGCCTGCAAAGGTCGCGTCCCCCAGCTGGGCAGAGGAGATCCCGGCAGGCAGCGGAGTTGCCGAAGCCGTGGAAGCCAGGGCCACAGGACCAGAGGCCACACAGAGCCGGGCAGGGCAGCCCTCATGCCAGAGCCGTAGCTCCAGGGTCGCTAGATGGAGCACAACCTCCACCTGGTGCCAATGGCCATCGTTTAGGGCCAGGTCCGGCAGTCTCAGGACAAGCACAGTGGTGCTGTAGCTCCAGAGTGTGGCCTGAAGTGTGGCTGCCACCAATGCCAGCTCCAAGCTTTCCTTGGTGTCATTGCGAGTGGCCAAGGTCCCAGCGGGCAGTGTGGTGCGAAACCTCAGTGCCAGACCCAGGGGGCCACCAGCTGGCACTGATGCCTGAATGGGGCTCCCAGCCATCACAGAGAAGGTGGTATTCTGGCCACAGAACGGTCCATGGGTACCAGGTGGGCAGTGGCAGACGTAACTGTGGACCCCAGACTCGAAGATAGGGATGCAGGTGGCAGCCAGCGGGCAGGTGTGGCCCTGGCAGCCAGTGAGCTGCACAGAACAGTCGCGCCCACCCCAGGTCTCTGGGCACCTGCAGATATAGCCTGCCACAGTGTCACTGCAGGTTCCGCCGTGCAGGCAGGGATCCGACAGGCATTCATCCACATCTTCCTCACATGTCGGCCCTTTGGGAGAGACAAAGCCAAGGTTCAGTAATGTCTGGGGCCAGAATCACAGTACTGACCCAGAACTTACATGCCTCTTATGATGGGGACCTCAGTACCTATCAGCCAAACCAATTCCCAGAGGATTTCTCATGGTCCCCTCAAGTCCCCCCGTAGGCCAGAAGCCAAGATGCCCCTTCCCTTCTCATGTCTGGTGAGTGTCCAGGCCCTGTAGATTTAATCTCCTAAACATTCTCCAATGCCCCTTTCTCCTACCCCCCATCTCCTGCCTTACCAGCTGTCTGGGCTACCATCCCGCATCCCCCAGTTCGCCAGCCTTCAGAAGCCCTTTCCCATCCATCTCCACCAGTAGCCAGAGGTCCATTTCTAAAGCATCGCCAGGCTGGGTTCCTCTGCCGCCTGAAGTCCAATCACTCACCCTGACATTTAAGACACCCTCATGGGCTGGGTCCTACCAGGCTCTCAAGCCTCAATCCTGCTTCCCACAAATCTTGAACGTCCCATTCCTCCGAGCATTTCCTGGAAAGTCGTGACTCTGGGGCTTTGCTCATACTGTTCTGTCTGCTTGGAATGCCTCATTCACCCTTACCCTTCCTTTCAAACTCCTACTCATCCTGCAAAGCCCAAACTCAAAGGGCCCAGAGGCTTTCCCTAACTCCCAACCTCAAACTACTGTGTCACTCTGCAGTCCCAGGCACAGCTCCCCAGAACCCTGTATTAAAAGTATTTGTTTACTCAGCTGAGATCTTCAGGGACCTGAATATGTCCTTGGTGCCCAGCAAAGGGCCTGACATGGCTTTTATGGACAGAGTGATGGCATGGAGGAGCTAGTGGGGTAGTGCAAGTACCCAAGGCACTCTGAGTGGCCTCCCAGGCTCTAACCCCTCAGTCCCTCTGCCCCAGGGCCCCCACACTGGCTGTGAAGGGGCTGCCTCATCCTCCCTCTAGGGATCCCTTCAGGTGCTCAGGCCCCAGCTTGGGTCCAGAAGCCATAGCCCACTGTAGCTCAGCCAGAGCCACATCCCAGCTGGAGGAACCCAGGCCCAGAGAAGTCACCAGGGTTTGAAGCCCAGCCTCGATCAGCTCACAAACACCACAGCCTCTTCCTAGGAACCACCACCCACCAACCTCCCCCTGCCCAGGGCCCACATTCCTCCATACCTGCCAGGAGCCACAGGTGGCCCAGGAAGGTCCACAGAGCCCCCGGCTCCATTGCCATGCCCTCCAGACAGGTTGAGAGTGGTGGGCGGGCACTGAGGCTGGGGAAGTGGGGAGGAGGCAGAGCTCCCTGCCTGGCCCAGCTGCCTCCTTCGGAGCCTGCTCAGGAATGCCAGGCACTGGCCTCCCCCATGCCCAGCATGGCCTAAAGGGAGGGAGGATGGGCAAAGAGCCCAGCCCTGCAGCTGGGGTCCCCCCTCCCTGGCTCTGACCTCAGAGGTCTGCCCTCCCTGTCACCCAACAGTGAGCTCAACTGGGAGAGGAGCCGGGTTCCCGCTGATAGTGGTGAACCTGGGGGATGACACCCCCTCATCCTCTCAGCTGTAAGATGGGGTTTTAAACCCCTGCCTCATGGGGCTGTGGCAAGGAAAAAACAAAATGCAGAGCAAATGCTTCCCAGAGGCCAGACGTGCTGTGTGGGCCCACTGTGTGCCAGGTACCCAGGAGGCCATGGCTCTTGGAGCAGGACTTGGGGAACCTCGGCCCATGGAGGCAGTGGATGGGCCTTCGGGACCCCCAGGAGTGTCAGCCATCCAGGGCTGGGGGACACTGAGTCCCACCATCTTCAGGCGAGTGAGAGAGGGGAAGAGGTGACCACCATCTCTTTCCCCTGGTGGAGGAGCCTGTGCCCAGGAGCCTGCCAGGGGGAGGAGGCAGTGTGCCCCAGCAGGAATGCGGGCGGGTGTGAGGGAGGTGTCGCAGGCATTCCAGAGGGGGCAGGGACGTTCAGTGTTGGCGGTGGAGCTCCCTGGGCTCACCGGGGTCCTGTGTCTGTGCATCTGCGTGTACCCAAGGCAGGGGCAGACTTCTGAACCCCCAACTCCTGCCTGACAGGCCCCAGCTCCCCAAAGGTCAGAGTCATCCTTCTACAGATGCTGCCCCCTAACTCTCTGCAATAGCCCCCCTTTCCTTCTCTGTCCTGGCTGAACCACCTCCGTCTTCCCTGAAGACCATCCCTCCACACGTTCTCCCAGACAACCTCAGCCCACTATGGCCCCAGCTGCCAGGACTACACTCCTGAGCCCCAGTCTCACCTCCAAAGCGAGTCCCAGTTCAGCCACCCTCAGCGGTCACCTGGGCCACCATACCCACCTCCTCCCTGATCTCCTTGACCCCATCAATCCACACATCCAGACAGAAGGGACCTTCTCACCTGAGGACCACCAATTCTGATGGTCCCAGGGCCCACCCCACCCCAGACACCTGCGTAGCCATCTGGGCAGTGACACTGGAAGCCATTGGGCAGGTCCTGGCAGTGGCCTCCGTTGAGGCATGGCCGTGAGGCACACTCGTCCACCTCCACACCGCAGTCGGCTCCTGTAAGAGGCCCAGCTGTGGGTCCCACCTGCACCCTCAGAGCCAGGCAGGGGCTGAGAGGGTCCATTCTATAGCTAGAGAGACTGAGTCCAAGAGAGAGGGCAGACTCGGGTGTGGGGTGTGGGGTGGGGGGGTGGGGGGGGTGGGGGGGTGGGCACAAGATCCCTCCCTGGGCATCTGGACATGGGCTGACCGCTTCCCCAGCAGGGGCTCACCCTCAAAGCCAGGAGGGCAGTGGCACAGGAAACCCGCAGCATGGCGGAAGCTGAAGGCGCCAGGGAAGGCGGCCTGGACACCCCCGTAGAGGGCCGGGTCAGAGCGCTGCAGGCATCGGCCCCCATGCTGGCAGGGGCTCGATGCACACTCGTCCTCGTCCACCTCGCACAGCTCGCCGCTGTAGCCTGGGGGCACACACACGCGGACATCAGGTCTCACGGGGTTGCCGGGCAGCACCTCTTCACTATGACCAGGCTAGCGAGGGCCAGCAAGGGACCGCAGCTCGGAATAAGCCACGAATGGCGAGGGAGGGACACACTAAGGGCCGCAGGAATGACCACGGCAGCCTTCAGCAGCAGTGGCCTATTACTGCTATTACTAGTCTTACTACTAATTTTTTTTTTTTTTTTTTGAGATAGAATCTCACTCTGTTGCCCAGGCTGGAGTGCAGCGGCATGATCTCTGCTCACCTCCACCTCCCAGGTTCAAGCGATTCTCCTGCCTCAGCTTCCTGAGTAGCTAGGACTACAGGTACATGCCACCATGCTTGGCTAATTTTTGTATTTTTAGTAGAGATGGGGTTTCACAATGTTGGCCAGGCTGGTCTTGAACTCCTGACCTCGTGATCCGCCCGCCTCAGCCTCCCAAAGTGCTGGGATTACAGGCTTGAGCCACCGCGCCCGGCCTAGTCTTACTACTATTACTAGCATTAATTACTGAGCCCTTTGCAGCTGTCAGGCCCTCCCCAAGGGCTTCCCAGGCGTCGCACCTTCGAGCTCCCCGCAGCAACCCCAGGAGCAGGCGCTACGATCAGCCCTATTTTGTAGATCAGGAAACTGAGGCTCCGACAGGTTGCAATCACACACACACTCTGGTCCCGAGGACCCAGCGGGCACTCGCGTGCAGCCACACACCTGCCCCACCGCCCCAGGCCGCACAGGCGCACACCTACCCCTCCCCCCGCCAGGCCGCGCACCTGCACGCACACACCTGGCCAACAGAGGCAGCGGAAGCTCCCGAGGCCCTCGAGGCAGGACGCGTTGTGCTCGCAGGGCGCCGATGCGCACTCCAGCACCTCCCGCTCGCAGTGCGTGCCCTCGTAGCCGGTGCCCGCGCAGTCGCACCGGAACCTGGGGAGGGCGCACCGGCGGAGCTGAGCGCGCGCCTGCCCCTTCTGCCCCGCGCCTGGCCTCCCCGCCCTCGGGCACCCGGCGCCCCTGCCGCCTGCCCCGCCGCTCGCTCACCCGTTGACCAGGTCGTGGCACGTGCCCCCATGTGCGCACGGCTGGCTCTGGCACTCGTCGAGGTCCAGCTGGCAACGGGTGCCCCCGTAGCCTGGCGCGCACACACAGCGGAAGGAGCCCACGCCGTCCAGGCACGAGCCCCCGTGCAGGCAGGGCGCTGAGGCGCACTCGTCCACCTCCATCTCGCAGGTCACGCCTGGACAGGGCAGGGGACACACAGGGTGCAGGATGGACACCCAGAGCAGGGCGGAAGAGGTCGCGCCAGGCCTGCTCCAGAGTTAGAGACTCGTGGATTCATTCATTCAGAGCCGGATGGTGGTGGTGGTGGTTGGGGGGTGGGGGACGGGTCATGCCAGCAACCGCAGGGAGAGAAACGAGACAGACAGCCCTGCCTTCATGGGGCTCACAGCAGTCTAGGCCAGGACATGGTGGGGGGTGATTCAGCCAGTAATTACCTAAATGAGCTAGGTGATGTTGCCAAGTTCAACAAGGAAAGGGGTTGGGTCTTGGGAAAGCAATAGCCGGGGTCTGCTCTGTTCAGGGAAGGCTTCCTAGAAGAAGAGGCTTTTGAAGGATTCAGATAGGGGACTGTGGGCAGCAGTTGGATTCCAAAGAGACTGCAGCAAGAGGCAAGTTCCACTAGGGGCAGGGCCATGATGCCCTAGGCGGGGTTATTGGAGGGTTGGAAGCAAGGGAGAGGGTGGCGGAGGTGAGTCGGGTGGGAGGTGTCAGTGCCTTGGGGACCAGGTAACCTCTGGGTCCATCCTGAAAGTTTCAGACAGGTAAGTGACTTGGTCCCACCTACATTTTAGTTAGTTGTTTTGGGTTTGTTTTTGTTTTTTATTTTTTTGAGACAGAGTCTCACTCTGTCGCCCAGGCTGGAGTGCAGTGCTGCAATCTTAGCCCACTGCAATCTCTGCCCACTGGGTTCAAGTGATTCTTGTGCCTCAGATTGCAGAGTAGCTGGGATTACAGGTGCATGCCACCTCACCCGGCTAATTTTTGTATTTTTTTGTAGAAAAGGCGTTTCACCATGTTGGCCAGGTTGGTCTCCAACTCCTGGCCTCAAGTGATCCACCCACCTCAGCCTCCCGAAGTGCTGGGATTACAGGCGTGAGCCACCACACCTGGCCCTACCTACTTTTTAGAAGGTCCACTCTGGTGGCTTTCAGATCCCAGAGAGGCAGGAGATGCTTGAGTAGGGTAATCACTCCTCCCAGTGTCCCTGCACTGTCCTGGTTTTAGAACTGAAAGTACCAAGTCCCCAGAACCCTCGCAGTCCTGGGCGAATCACGACAGCTGAGTGGCTCTCCCAGGGTGATGGTGAAGAGGAAGGGAGATGGGGAGTCCCAGGGTTTCAGATACGCTGCCTGAGATCATCCTGGACTCACGTGTCACTGTAGACTCCAGCAGGCCCTGCCCCCTAAGTGGGTTTGGTCAAGCGGGGGCCAGAGGCCCAGCTGACTCCAGCTGGAACCCTCCCCCTTCTCAGTTCATTGAGCACAAAACATGGCCCCACCTTCCCATGACCCTTCCCTCCTCCCTCCCCATCCCCACTCCCACCCTCTGTGCCAGGGGGAGCCAGGCCTTGTCTGGAAATCCCAAACTCCCCCACCCGGCTTGGAATGGAAAGAGGAGAGAATGAGTCACGGCAGATGCTGCCCCCACTCACATCCACAGCTTACCCAGGAAGAGTCACCCGAAGTGTGTGAGTGCTACACATCCGGATGCACAACCCACTGCCCGCACAACCCACTGCCCGCACAACCCACTGCCCACACAACCCACTGCCCGAACAACCCACTGCCCACACATGCACTCAGACTGCAGACACCCCCAGGTACTGGCAGATCTTTACAGATGCAAAACAGAACTTGGAACTAGGAGACACATGGACGAATGTGACCTGCACTGGCATGTACACTAATACACCCAGACGCTGAGACACTGGAACGATGAGAAAGATGCATGGAACCAGCTTCCCAAATCTCTCTTCATCAGCTGCCATCTCTTCGCTGTAGGCCCCCTGCCCTGGAACCCAGCCCCCCAATCTGTACCTCTTGCTCTGAAGTGACTTCAAACTGCCCTCTGCCCTCAGAGTACAGTTGTCTGAATTCAGGATTGAAGTAGGATCCAGAGCATCTACACTGCAGACTCAGACTCTGCCCTGGACTCAGCTTCGCTCCCAGACTGCGCCCCTTCTGTCCCCAGCTGCGCCCTCCTTCCCGACTTCAGGCCTCTCTGGGAAGCCGCTCCAGGATGTTCTCGGCTCAGACCATGGGTGGGCCTGGGACGGGCCACACTCTGGAGAAGGTACCCTTAGTGCCAGTCACTTTTCTGAGCACTTACGTATATATTATCCCACTCCAGACAGCAGCGATCCCTGGGGTATGTCAACACTACAGTTTGAACGAGACCTTGTATGTCTATGCTAGAACTCTGGGGGAGACCCAGAGGCCAGGGGTCCACATTGCACTCCAGACCACATCAGGAGTGTTCAAATGAGCTGATGGTGACTGTCGTGTAGACAGTGTCTACATGACAGCTTGGCACAGGCCTGAAGTGCTAGAAAGACTATCTGGGCATCCTCACTAAAGTCACGCCAGGCAGGTTCACACTGCCAGAGATGAATGAGGGGTATTCCACCCCCGCAGCCAAACTGAACTCTAGGCTGGACTGAAATCACATTTACCGAGTGCCTGAGATGCGCCACACACCACGCCAGCACCCGCACATACATACTCTCACCCAGAGCTGCCAGGCATCAGTTCTGTAGTCAGACCAAGTGGATATACCCTAGAGCTGCCCGGATGCCTGGGGGCGTCCCTACACGAAAGGCAAAGCTGAAGCCATGATGCTTACACTCTGAGCAGCTGATGCGATCTGCATTACAGACCTCCTCCCAGGGCGGCCCAGGCTGTTACCTGCATAGCCAAGGGGGCAATGGCACTCGTAGCGATCGGCCAGGTTGCGGCAGGTGGCCCCATGGTGGCACGGCCGGGATGCACACTCATCGATGTCCAGCTCGCAGCGTGGGCCCTGGAAACCCGGCACGCAGTAGCAGCGGAAGCCGGTGGGATCTGGACCCTGGGGCACACACAGAGCGCCGTGGTGGCATGGCTGGGTGGCACAGCCCCGGGGCTCCATGGGCCCACAGGTATAGCCACCACTCTCGGTAGCCTGGCACTCGGTCCCTGGAGCGCACGGGTCTGAGGCACAGGCACTGGGGGGCTCTGAAGGCACCGTCCCTGTAGAAAGAAGAAACTGGCTGGGCAGGGTGGGCAGAGGTTACAAGGACAATCTCCTCCCCACCCTCTCAGGCCCACCCCAGACCCCAAAAGCAACGTGGGTCTCTGCATGCACAGTATGGACAGAGGGCCAGGGGTCTGCAAGCCAGGTCCCAGTAAGCTGCACACATCTGCACCCAGAACTGGGAACGGTTTTAGGAGAGCCTATATAGCAGAGAAACAGCACCAAGGATGTCTGGCTTCTGGGCAGGATTAGTGAGCAGAGGTTCCCTGAGCCCCGTGAGCTTCCCTCCACTGTCTTGTCCCTGCAGTCCCCCTTTGAGGCAGTATCCGTCATGCCCATTGCACCAGACAGCAAAAGGAGGCCCAGGAAAGAAAGTGAAGGCTTGCTGAGCCTGCCCAGCCCTGTCCACTTCACACAGCAAGTTAGTGTTCGCTGGGACAGGCTTCAAGGTCTATCTGGATTATTTCAGCTCCACCTGGGGAGGGGTCTCCCTCCTGCAGGCCCCATCCATCCAAGGAGGCCCCAGAGGGTGAGGCTCCTCCCACTGCCCCCTCCACCTCTTCTGCCAGGGGTCTGGTAACTCCATCCCTGGGTGAAACTGGAGATGGGCCCGACCTCAACCTCTGGAGGATGGGTGGACAACTTCAAAAGCAGGGATCGTGTGCTCCGCTGGTCTCATTCCTACCCCTTCTCCACATCACTACCCACCCCCTGCCAGCCACTGGCCTAGGAACTTCTAGAGGGTCCCTGGCCCTAATTTCATCCCCCATCAGCAAACACCTGAGTGGCCGGCCTGGCCAAGGTCGCATGGTACAGAGCAGGTATTGAGATGGCTCACGGACACCTGCCCCTGGCCACCATGATGCTTCCAGCACCGGGGCTCTAACAGAGGGTCACCAACCGGCTTGGAAGCCACGCCCAGAGATCCTCATCCCCCTTCCTCTCCTCCTGCCTTCCTGAGAGCCTTGTCACCACAATGCCCAGGTGAGAACTTGAGCTTTGAAGTGAAACAGACCTGGGTTCAATTTCAGCTCAGAAAGTTCCTAGCTATGAGACCCTGGGTAAGTCATTTCTCCTACAGAGCCTCCGTTTCCCAGTCTGAAAATTAGATCATAAAAGAATCCCCTCATCAAATGCTGAACTATTCAGCTCCCCAGCACCGCAGTCAAGGGCTGCTTTTGGTAACAACTCGGTAAGGGATGGGGGAGGAGAGCCTCCAGAAGACACAGCCTCCATTCCTCCCCCCACCCCCATCCGGAGCTCCCAAAGGTGCCCCTCCCCCACCCAGGTTGTCATCTAGACACTCACCAGACCCCAGAACAGCTCAGACCCTGCACCCTTCCCTCCCCCACTCTGGTGAAGCCCCCCAGATAAGGCTGGCAGCCTCTCAGGCGTCATCCGCATTCCAGGCAGGGCTGTCCTGTGGCCTGACCCGCATCCTTCCAGCTCCCCCAGGAAAGGGCACAGGTTTGGGGCATCGGGCAGTCCTGGTTTGTATCTGGGGTGCAAAAAGTGCCCATCTCATGGAGGTGTTGAAAGGATTCACCAAGGTGATGCAGGGCACAGCCCTGGGACTGGGTGTGGCCAGCACTGCTCAGGAGGGTGCAGCACTCATAACCCATGGTAAAGGGCCCCGGCTGCCAGCGCCTGTGCCAACAGGTCCCTCACTTAATTCCCACAGAGCACTGTCCCTCACCTGTGCAGTGCAAGGAACCCCCCCCCCTCCCCGCCCATCCAATCTGAAGCTTTGCCCCCTATCTCAGAGCAGCTGGGACCACGCTGGGGAGGCAGCACCGGGGAAAGGATCCTGGGGGGCGGGGGAGGTGCCTTGTCACAAGGGATCTTCCCAGGACCATGGGAGCAGATGGGCTCTAAATGACAGAGCCCGGGAGACAGAGTCCAACCCCATGGGAGGAAGGAATTTCTCCAGTCAGAGCCAGGCAGGAAGGGAAGGAGCTGCCCGTCCTGGGAGGCATGCAATAGTGCCACAGTCCTGCCTGGGAGGGACAGCCATCTTTCATGTGTCATCTCAGTTGATCTTGGCATTTACCTCCGAGGTGGATAGGATTATGATGCCTGTTTTACAGCTCAGGAAAGGGAGACTCGAAGCAGCCTCACAGTCCACAGCCCAAGGGAGGCTGGAATCCAAACCCAGGGCCTCACTCCAAGCTTCCCGGAATCACGGGCCCACATTAAGAATACAGATTCCTGGAACCCACTCCAGACCCCAAATTTAGAACCACTGGGCCCTGAGCCTGAGAATCTGCATCGCAACCTGCTCCTGGGGGATTCCTTTCACTTTTAGGTGTGGGAACCGCTGACCTCAGGTTGTCTCTGTCTTCCAGGAGTGAGCCTAGGAGGCCACGATAGCCCAGGCCAGACAGGAGAGGCAAGGAGGGGCGGGGTGTGGAGGGCAGCAGGGCGGAGGAGGGGCTGTCCCCCCTTCCCGGGCCAGGCTGGAGGGGCGGGGCCTGTTGCCAGGGCAACGAGGGGCCTGTGCTTATCTTTACAAATCCCTCCTGACCTCAGGCTGCCTGGGCCGACCTGGCAGGGAGGGATTAACCGACGCCCGCCCCTCCCCTTCGACCTGCTGCCCTGTCCTGGGGAGGGGCAGGAGGACCCAGCTGTTTACTGAGTGTGTACTATGTGCTTGGGCCTGTGCATCTATTATTACATTGTTATACTTGATTCAGACCAGAAAAGGTGGGTGCCATTAAGAAAATTTCTGTTTTTGTAACTCAGAGAGGTTGATAATTTTGCCCAGGTTGAGACGAAGAATCAGATCAGCTCCTGATTTCCCAGAGGTCCACATCTCCCAATGCATGTGAAATTTTCACTTTACAAACCCTAAATTGCCACTCACATATTGTTGCTTTAGTACATTACAGCTGCCTCACCCAGGAAAAAAAAAAAATCTCTAAAGGTTTTCACAGGAATACAGCTTCCAATATCAGCCTGGGCAGAGCAGGCAATCTTCCCCGTCTATCCAGAACCCAGCTGTCAGTAATCCCACTGTGTCTCAGGCCTCACTCATTAGTAACTCCTACTTTTCATGCACTTAGAATGGGCCTGTTTATAACAGCCAACAACTGATGAGAAGTGTTTTACTGAAGCCAGGTGCAGTGGCTCACACCTGTAATCCCAGCACTTTGGGAAGCTGAGGTGGGAGGATCACTTCAGGCCAGGAGCTCAAGACCAGCCTGTGCAAACATAGTGAGACGCTGGCTCTATGAAAACAAAACGAAATAAGCCAAGCATGGGGTGGGTCCCTGTAGTCCCAGCTGCTTGGGAGGCTGAGGTGGGAGGATGGCTTGAGCCCAGGGTGTCGAGGCTACAGTGGGCTATGATTTTGCCACTGCACTGCAGCCAGGGCAACAGGGTGAGACCCTTTCTTAAAAAAAAAAAAAAAAAAAAAAAAACAAAACAAAAACGAAAAACCACAAACAAAAAAAGAAGCATTTACTGGGGAAGCTTCCTGTCCCAACAAATCAAGAGACAGAATATTTCTAAGAAGCGACCTAAGATCTCATAAGGTGTGGGAACTTCTAGCATAGGGGAAGAAATTGTTCATCTAATATCCCTGGGCCCCAAGGCTCTACCCTACAAGGGTAGGGCTGAATAACCATGGAGGCTTGCAGACACTCACTCAGTCATCAGGAAAGGGTGAAATTCTCTTTTGGGCAGAATAATTTGGCATACTCTTTTTCAAAAATGTTTACCTTCTGAGGTTAAAAGACATAATTTTGATAACAGTAATTGCAACAATAGCTGTCAGGGACGGAGCACCTACCCTGTGCCTGGCACTGACCAACCCTTGAGAGTTTGGGCTCAGAGCACAGTTCCAGGGAGTTACCTCCTGAAGTGAGGGGGAGACAGAGCAGGTGGGGTTCCCCACCTGCCACCCAAACAGGCCACTTTTAACAATTTTACTATTAACTATTCATGGGCTTCCATCTAAAATTTCCCTTGAAATTGGGGGTTCCATGCCAAAACCTGGGGTGGGGAACCGCTCACTGCATTCTCTTCCAATCCTTATACCAGCGCTCGGAGTAAGCCAGTCTGTCCTCGTTTTGTAGAGACAGAGAAGAGACGTGACTTTGCCTAGGCAAGTAGCACAGTGTACTGTGAAATCCCAGCACTGGCTCTGGGGCTTCCTGGCTCTGGGACTGGCCATCTCTGGGCCTCGTTTACCTCCTCTGTAAACTAGGGGTATCAGAGCTGACTTCATAGGCTGTTGGGAGAATTAAATTAGACCTCGTTAATAATAGCACAGTGCCTGCCATGGAGTGGCTGATCTTACTCATTAACAATTCTTTACTTGAGGCAGACACCCACTGTCCAAAGGATCCTGACATTGGGTTGAATGTGTGTGGCTTTCTGCTCCATCTCTGCTTCTGTCCTGCAGGCCCCCACCCCCTTCTGGCTGGAGGAGGGGCCGGACTTGGGGCCTGGACTCACTGCCCCTTTGTCTGCTGGGCTCCCTGGGTGTTTGGGGAAGGGAGGGTGGATATGAGAGCCCAACGTGCCCCATTGTACTCCAAGATGCTTGGTCCTCTCCATGGCAACCAGCCGGGCCTTTGTGGCAAATTGGGCCCAGGATGGAGAGGCCCAGCTCAGGGCCTGGCAGGGGTGGGGAGAAAAGCCAGGGGCCCATGGCCTCCAGAAGCCCCCATCCCCTCCAGGATGGAAATTGGTTTTCAAGTGACAAAATCCCCAATCCCTCCCCTCCCGGCAGGCAGTCTAGGGTACCAGCATGCAGAAATGGTCATGCCTGCAGTGTACCCCACCAACTTTTAGGGATCCCCAGGGATGGCGCTCCCAGCACAGAAATGGCAGAGGAAAGGCTGCCCCTGGGCAACCCAGCAGGCCTGATGGGTTGAGTGTACACACCAGTGTCCAGACCCCCCACAGCCTCCATCCACTCTGTGCCTCCAGGTCCCCTGTGAGTGCACACTGAGTGTGAATGCACACATGTCCACATGTGCGTGTTGGGGTGTGCACATTGGTGTGCAGGCACATGCCATGTGTGTAGGTAGGTGCATGTGCTGGTAGATCCACATGTGTCTGTAGCACCTGTCCCTGTGGTGCTGTGTGCCCTTGGGCATGCCACACAGGTGTGCGGAGTGTGGGTGTGTGAGCATCACAGGGCAGGGGACAGAGCACCGATCCACAGACCGGGATCTCACGTGCTTTGTATGCAGAGAACAGAGAGGAGCAGCCACCCCGCCCCCCGCCACCATGCCCCACCCCTCTATGGAGCCCAAGTCGCCTGCCAGCAGAGCCCAGCTCATAAGTCCCCGTCCCTCTCTGAGCCTTGGTTTCCTTCACTGCAAAATGGGGTCCTCATCCTCCCTAGGGCCCCATAGAGAGGATAGGAAATGAAAGCTTTGTGAGTGCGGGAAACATGAGGGTCCCCAGGTGGGACTGGGAGACACTTGGCCCCCACACCCTACAGCCTGTGGAGCTCTGGGGCAGGGAGGGCTCCCCCAGCCTCAGGAGAGCCCAGGCCCTCCTTGGCTCCCTCCCCAGCCTGTGGTGGTGGGGGCAGGGGACTTCCCAGGCCCGGCCCCTGTAACTATAGTAACTAACACCAAGCGTTCCCTTGGACCCCCCAGGAGGAATTCCAGGCTCCGAGAGCTTGGACAAAAGCAAAAAGGGCTTGGCAAATGTGGTCTGGCTTCAGGGAGCCCTTTCAGATTGGCCTTGGAATGCTGGGGAGGGGGCAGCAGGGGACACACACATGTTCCCAAATCCCCAGCCACCCCACAGGGACCCAGAGCATCCCCAGCAGCCCTCAGCACAGGCAGGGCTACCGCACAAATGGAGGGGTGCGGGCAGGCACCCAGCTCCCTGAGTCTCCCTCACGCTTCTCCACTCAGTCCCGAGTTGGGGTCGGCTGTGCACATCCCACACCCCTCATGTTGAGAGCAAAGACCTAGTTCAACCCTGGACAACCTACACCCCACAGCGTGTGCTAGGACACAGCTCACCACACCCAACTCCTCGGACACAACTCACGGCTCACCCCAGACAGCTCATCCACCTCCCAACTCTAACACACCCACAACCTGTGCCCCACAACCCAGCATGCGACACAGAACAAGCTCTGGGGTGAGGCTTATGCCACCTGCAACTCCCCAAACTCAGCCCCTAGAAACCCAGAAGTCCCCCAGCCCTTTACAGGATGCAACACAGCACCTCCCAAAACACGCACCCCATCCCTCACCCGCATCAGCTCCCCCAAATCATGCCCAGCCCCCGATCCCCCAACCCCGAAACTTACAACCCCCCTCAACATGAAACAGCCCCGAGCCTCAGAACACACTCACCTCCGTGGAGCCCCACAGAGTCTGGGGGCCACAGCCGCGCACTCCTGTGCACCCCACAGCTCAGGCCTGCACCCACGCGGACCAGCCCACCCACCACCCCAGCAGCCAAGGCTTGGGGTATCTGTCTTGGGGGACAGACCCTCTCCCAGGCCCCTCCAGACATGGGCCCCAACTCACCAGCCAGGAGGGAAAGGGCAGGGGCCCAGAGCAGCAGTAGCAGGACAGAGGCCAGGGCCTGGGGGTCCGGGGTCCCAGGCCTGGCCAGCGCCATGGCAGCCCGCTCTGCGCTCTGCTCGGCTGCTGTGAGAACGGGAGGGCGGCCTGGCTGGCTCCGCACCCCCCTCGTCCCTCCAACCAGCACTAATGCTGTGGACAGAGGCCCAGCCCCTCCCTCCCCTCCCCGCCACCGCCTCCTCCTCCCACCCAGGCCTCCTGGGCTGCTCCACCTCGTGGACGTCCCTAGACATCAGCCCCAAGTCCTCAAGCCCCCTAGCCTGTGGGGCTGACCTGGTCTTGGCACCCACTGGTTTCTCCCTCCTGACCCTCTGCCCCACTCTCCTCCCACCTCTCAGGTCAGCCTCCTTGGAGAAATTTCTGTCCTTGGAGAGGGGGCTGTTCAGGACTCTCGTCTCACCAGGTGATGCCAGCTACTCCCAAGTCCTTAGTTATCCCCTCTCCTGGATCCCCCTCCCCACCTCTCCAGCCCGGGCCTCTCTCCCAAGCCCAGGCCTTCGAGTCCAGTCGCCTCCCAGACCCTGTCTCTGCTGGGAAGCTGCAGCCCCTCCCACCCAGCTCGTCCCCCCACCTGCTGCTCCCCAGTGCTCCCATCGGAGCCAAGGCACCTCCCATCGGGCAGCCCAACGCCCCCTCCCCACTCCCCCCTCCCCACACTCGGTCAGCCCCTAGCTCCTGGCCATGCCACCTTCTCAGTGTCTCCTGCTGTCCCCACCCCGTCCCACCCGACCACACACAGCTCCTCCCACCATCGGCCTCAGGATCAGCTCCCTGCAGGGCACCTCACCCCTGCACCACGGTGGTCCCTGCCTCCCTTTACCCTCTCCACCCTTCACCAGCCAAACTGAACCTTTCCCAGCTTTCTTCCACTTGACCTTGATCTCTGGCTCTGCTGTTTGCAACTCCAGCGACCTCACTGCAATCCAAAGCAGCCCATTCTACTGAAAGGCAGCTCTAACCAAGCAAGCATTGCTCTCCCCTGCCAGGAAGTCCTTCTTGTTGTCTAACCTTATAGTCTCCTGCTGCACTCGATGTTTGCTTGCTCTCCAGCTGGCCTCTTGTTGGGGTGGACAGGAGGAGCTCTTCAGGGGGACCTGGTTCAGGAAGCCAGGTCATCTCAGAGACACTACAACATAGAACAACATTCCTTTCTTCTACCACCCTCAGCCCCAGTGGGGAGAGAATCCTCTTGCTGAAGGGACTTTCCTGAAATGAGCCACCGGCCCCTGCCAATACATGCCTGTTTGTCCCTATTCAGTAACCGTGGATACAGCCCACGCAGGCCCTGGGCTCTGGGATGTGTCCCTGACACGGGAGGACACAGCCTGGAAAGACAGCAGGAGCCATTGAGGGAGGTCCAGATGAGCTAGAGGGATGGGCAAGGGTCCCCTGCAGTGCAGGGGAGGGAGCAGTGGGCACCACACAGGCCCTGGCCGACCCTCTAGCCCGGGGCAAGTGCCACAGCCCTGGGTCCCCAGGGACCAAAGGAGGGAACCCAAAAAGGCCTGGGTAGACTCCTTATCCACTGCCCCTGCCCCATCCCTGCCCTTGAGGCCTGTTCTCTCCAGGGCAGGGATTGCCCCTTGGTTTCTGGGACACTAACCTCTCTCAGTCCATCTTTAATCCCCTGCCTCTCCAATACAACAGGATCCCTCTCCCCAGGTGGGAGAAGCCCCTCTCCATGCCACAGGAAAAGCAGAGGCCTCACAGCGTAAGAGATCTGGGTTCGAGCCCAGCTCAGCCACTGATTAGCCGGTGACCTCAGCACGTGACTTCCTTCTCTGGGCCTCAGTCTCCTCACCTGTAAAATGGTGGCGTTAGTGAGCCAAGGCGACAGTGCCAGCTCTCTTTATCCAGCTTCTCAGTGATCCCCCAGAGACCCAGGCAATCCCAATGGGGGGCTGGGGGGAGCACGGCAAGTCAACCACCACCCTCTGGTTCTCTGGATGCACAGACACAAACTCCCACACTTTCACAGAGCGGGGAGGTCACCCGGCGCAGGTCCAGTCTCCTCTGCAGCCCGGCCCCCAGCACTGTCCTGCAGCCGCCACACTCCACCTTGTGGCCAGACCTGGAAGTGTCTTGTGAGGTCTGGAGGGTATGGAGGGGGGCTCCCCCGACAGCACCGGGTACAGGAGTCCCACGTGACGGGGAGGAAGCCAGGGAGTCGCTGGACAGCAGGCAGGACGGAGGTCAGACAAGGGCACACCATCTTGACCGCTCCCTGGTCCGGATCTGGAGAAGGCAGTAAGAGTGGGCCAGCTCCTCTGAGATGGTCCCCCAGGTGCATCCACTTCCCCTGTCCTCCCCACCTGGGAAGGGAATCGACATAACCTCAGTTTACCCCCCCCCCACCCACCAGCAGCACTGCAAAGTCAGCATTGGCCCCATTCTATGGATGAGGAAACCGAGGCACAGAGAGGTGAGCAGCCCAGCACCAGTGCCTGGCAGGATTCGAGTTGGGTCTGCCCGACTCCAGCCTTTCCACTGGTGAACCTCCGACTGCAGGTTACTAACTGCCCCTCCACTAGCCTGAGCATGACTTGCTGCCACCTCCCTGGCTGAGGGGACGCTGTCCTGGGCCGGGATTCCCACCAACTCTCAAGCTGATGGGCACATGCGACAGCAAGGTTCAGTGGTTGGGAGTCCCAGCTTTGGCATCAGGCAGACCTGGGTTTGAATCCGGTTCCTGCTCTCTGCCCTTAGGTGAGCTTTTGTTGGTCTGTTCCTTTTCTGCGTCTTAGTTCTCCCATCTGTAAATGGGATCATCACAGCATCTGCCTGAGAACATTGCAAGGACTGGGCGGCTGCTGTCAGAGCCTCGTCGTGGGAGGATAGTGACCCTCCCCACTGAGGAGCCCACCAGAAGGAACCCCTTCAGACCCTTCCAGGTGACTCCTGCTCTGGATCATTCCCCAGGGTCTCACATCTCCCTTCTCAGGGTCTCACTGGTTGTTCTGTTTGTCCCTACTCCCCACCCAGAGCCGCCCTTGCCCTGCTGGCACCTGTGGGCTGTGTCATGCTGGCTTCCTTCCATCTGCTTCCTGGAAAGGTGAGCCAGTGGGAGGCACAGGCCGGAGATGCCAGGGAGAGAGGAGATGGAGGTTGGGGTGTTTCTTCCCCTCCTTCTCCCTACATTGGGTATTGGGGTGAGAGTGACTGCAGCTCCAGCTGAGGCCCCTTCGGCTCTCACGGCCCAGGTCCCCCTGCTCCCTCTGTGTCTGAGTCTGGGGCCACCATCAGCCCTGACCTCACTGGGTTTCTCTAAGGCCTTCTCCATTGTCACCCATGCCCTCCTTCTTGGAACTCTGTCCCTGTGGGCTCCCCAACCCCTGCTACCCTGGTCTCTCTACCTTGTTAACCGTTCCTCACTCCTCCTCCCAGAATGTTGTGACCTGTCCGGGTCTGTCTCCAGCCCCCTGCCCTCCTCACTCCACATTCCTCCCTGGACAAGCGTGTCCATGCCCCAGCTTCAGTGACCAGACCTCCACTCCCTCCCAGCCCAGCTCTCACAGGCTCTCCACCAGTGGCACTTAACCTTGTCTCAACATATGTATGCTTGTAACTTCCAAAAGAAAACCAACCCAATGCCCTAACTGAAACATCAGAGGCAGACACTATAGGCCAGTGGTGAGGTGCACAGATGCTGATTCAAATCCCGGCTTCTCCACTTCCCAGCAGCACTGCAAGGTCAGCACTGGCCCCATTCTATGGATGAGGAAACCAAGGCACAGAGAAGTGAGGTTGGCCCAGCACCAGTGCCTGGCAGGATTCGAGTTGGGTCTGCCCGACTCCAGCCTTGGGTAAGTCACCTCTCTGTGCCTCAGTTAGCTCCCTGGTAAAAAAAAGAGACAGCAACTGCACCTTACTGCATAGACTTGTCTTGAGGATTAAATAATTACTCATCAAGCATTTAGAAAAGTGTCTGGCAATGTCAAGAGTTAAATGAGTGTTGGTTAAATTAATACATAAAGGGCCGGGCGCTGTGTCTCATGCCTGTAATCCCAGCACTTTGGGAGCCGAGGTGGGCGGATCACCTGAGATCAGGAGTTCGAGACCAGCCTGGCCAACATGGCAAAACCCCGTCTCTACTAAAAATACAAAACTTATTCAGGCATGGTGGCGGGCACCTGTAATCCCAGCTACTCAGGAGGCTGAGGCAGGAGAATCGCTTGAACCCGGGAGGTGGAGGTTGCACTGAGCTGAGATTGTGCCACTGCCTTCCAGCCTGGGAGACAGAGTGAGACTCTGTCTCAGAAAAAAAAAAAAAAAAGAATACATAACGAAGGTAATTTAAGGTGATCCATTATTTCAAATTGTAAATGCTCCTGTTGAGTACACTATGCTAGCAGACACAATAAAGCAATGAGAAGTGTGTGCCTACACAGAACTCCACTGAAGGTGACAGCCACAGATGCACACCAATGTGGGGAAGGTCCCGTTGGCCGCTCAAATCCCATGAGAAGATCTGCCATGAAGTATGTAGTTTTTCAAAATGGTGGCGAATCTGGGTAAGGCTCCAAACAAGATAAGGCGCAATCTTCCTAAAATGTGCATGGAAGGCATAGTTCTGGCAAATCAGTCTTCGCTAAAAACCACGCAAAGATGCTCTCCGTTTCTATGCAAGCCAGACATGTGCTCTAATCTTAGACAATTACAGACAGGTGTTTTCCCTCTGCACGCGTGCCTGGTGGGAAATGCAAAATCAAATGGCACATGGGCCAACCCTTCATGATGTGGACTGTTCCCAACATCACAGGGTGTTTGGCATCCCAGGCCCCATCCACTAACTCACAGTAGTACCCCCCAGTCATCATGATAACTGAAAGCACCCCACAAATGCCCAAAACGATGCCCAGGAGGCCCCTGGGTTCTACACCAATTGCCAGAGGGATTTTTTTCAAATCTCAACTGTGTCTCTTGCCTGGTGACCCCCAGTTGCACGAAGGCCAAGTCTAAATTCCTGAGACTCATGCCCAGAACGCTTCATAACTCAGTCCCTGGCACAAACACAGATCAATATCCTCAGCCCCCAGCTCCTCTGCCCACCTCTCTACCGTTCAGCGTCTCTCCCTCTGCCCCTACTAAAATCTCTCTCTCTCTCTCTCACACATACACACACACATGCACACACACCCCTGGGCCAGTGGCCAGGTTTTGCCCACAAGTCTTTGATGCCAGGGTCTGCTCCCTGGAATGCCCACCCCGCCCCCACCTGACTGAGTGCCTCTTGACACTGCACTGATCCTTGAAGACTCCAACTCTGGCATCATCTCCTCAGAGAAGACTTCTCTGCTCCTCCCCCAACCCCCAGGCTTCGTCGGGGCCTCTTCTAGGCTCCGACAGACCCCTGGGCTTCCCGTAAGGCCCCCAGCACTGATCCTGCCCTGTTCTCCTCACCAGTGTAGGCATCCGTACCCATCCTAAGGCAGGCATGTGGTAGGATGATGAATACACAGATGAGACTCACTCAGCCCTCACCACTGGGGAGCTCATGTCTAGAGGAACAGACTCAAGGACAAGGCAGAGAGGGGCTGGCTTAGAGCCCAGTGGGAAGCCCAAGAGAAGGCCAGCTGCAAAAGGGCAATTCCCCAGGGGAGGTACCACCATGGAGTAAGAACAGGAGTTTCCAAGTGGAGAAGAGGCAGAAGGCATACCTGGCTGAAAACCAAGGATGGTCCAAGGTCAGGTGTGAGAGAGGGCATTGTACCTTCAGGAACTGCAGACAGGTCATTATTACCCGGGGTCAGGATGCAAAATGGCAATGATTAGAAGTGAGGCTGGTGGGTCGGCAGAGGACAGATGGCACAGTCTTTGTAAGGTGCTAAGGATTTGGACTGTGTCCTGAGGGCACTGGGGAGCCATAGAAGAGGTGAAAGAAGGGGAACGACGTGGCCAGGTTTGCATGTGGCAGAGTTCCCTCTGGGAAGAGTGAAAGCTGCACTGAAGGAGTGCATGCGTTGAAATCACCCAGGGAAAGGCCACGAAGCTTGAATCAGGACGGGGTTGGGTGGAGTCACAGAGAGCAGGAGTGGGCATTTGGGCATCAGGAACAATAGAATTTGGTGTCCGCTGGGGTTGAAACAAGGGAAATAGCCCTAGTGTATCCCCAGGATCTCAGCTTGGTGAACCCCCAGGAGTGAGGGTAGAGACTGGGGGCTGGCAAAACAGCTTGGGGAGGGTGGCCAGGACAAACAACCCCCAGTCCTCCCCTGGATGAAGGTTAGACTGTAGGCCCCTTTTCAGACACTAGAGGGAGCTCCAGGATAGGCCCAGGCTCCCCTCTCCAACCAGCTTAGCTTCCACCCGCTCTGGGAGGGGGATAGAACCCAGCTCACCGTTCAGATGTAGGTCCTGGGGGTCCTATCGGAGCCTCGCCCAAGTCCAGTGGCCTCACTGTCTCTGGGCCACCTCCTCCTTCAGGCACCGAATTGGCAGTGGAGAGGGGTCTTTTTGAGGCGGGAGCAGGCGGAGGCAGACTTTAGGAACTGCAGACAAGTACAGCCAGGCTGGGCCCTTCTAACCCTGTTCCCGCCCCCTGCCCCTACGGGAGAAGGGGAGTGACTCACCCAAGGTCGCATGGACAGAGCACCCCAGGTGGGATGGAATGGACTCTTGAGCGGAAAGAGCACAGCAGCCCTTCCAAACCCCTTCCTGAGCCTTCCTACAAAAACCGAGGTAAGGGGGGATTCCCGTGAGCCACCCCCCGCCCCAGAATCCTGGGACACCTTTACCCCGCAGGAATGTTCTGGGGTTGGGATTAACAGCAGCTTCGTGGGTGGGGCCCGAGCGTGAATGGCTGCCACATTTTTTAAAATTTATTTTTCTTTTATTTAGAAACAGGGTCTCTGCTGCCACCCAAGCTGGAATGCGGTGGCATGATCTTGGCTCACTGCAGGTTCAACTTCCCAGGCTCAAGGGATCCTCCTGCCTCAGCCTCCCAGGCAGTTGGGACTACAGGTGTGTGCCACCATGCCCAGCTAATTTTTTCATTTTTATTTTTTTAGAGATGGGGTCTTGCTGTGTTGTCCAGGTCAGTCTCAAACCCCTGGATTCAAGTGATCCTCCTACCTTGGCCTCCCAGTGTTGGGATTACAGGAAGGGGCCACCACCCTCGGACTGGCTGCCATATTTCAATGGTGTTCTGTACTTTCTGGAGATGCACCTATTTTGCTGTGATGCTGAGGTACAGGGGGATAGGACCTTCTGGGGTCACCCAGAGAACCGTGGCAGAGCTAAGGCTCAAACTGAGACCTCTAACTCCCAGCCCAGGACTCTCCCCAGCAATGATTTCATGGAAGGGGTTAAACTCGGTCTGTGTCTGGAGTCAAAGCTAAATGTCTCAGGTCAGGACTCAGTCTGCAGCTGAAGTCAGGGCTTAGTCTGAGTCCAGGATCAGGGCTCAGTCAGCCCAGGGTCAGGGCTCAGGACAGTTTGAAGCTGGAGGCAGTTGCTTCTGATGGAGATGCCATCTGAGTCCTCACCCTGGGTTCGGGTCTTCCGGCCACTGAAGCTAAAGCTGGACAGGACATCATCCATTCATTCATAATGCATTAATTCACTCGCCAAGTGTTTATTAAACACCTCCTGTGTGCTGGGCAACATGGTAGGTGCTGAGATTACTAGGGAGAACCAGATTGCCCGTCCTTGGGGAGCTCACAGTCAGACCTGATCCTCCTCAGAGCATCCAGAGGGGGAAGGATGGAGAGGAGTTAGCCAGAGGAAATGAGGGGAGAGATGGGAGTCAGGAGAGCAGCATTCCAGGACAAGGGAATATCCCTGGACAGAGGCTGGAGGCAGGGGAGGCTGGCAGAGACACGGATAGAAGGGGACAGAGGGTGGCAAGGCTGCGGTGCAGAGAGCAGGGAGGCAGCTGGAGAGGAGGGGGCCACTGGGAGTCCACGGCCACCAGAGAGGAGGGGATCCTGGGAAGAATCTCCGCAGGGCAGTGTCATGGCAGCTTGGCATTTGGGAAGGATCACCCCAGCTGCAGAGCAGGGAGTGACAGGATGACAATTTTAGGGAAAGTGACTGGCATCTCTACTTGTCTAAATGGCACAGTCTTTTAACATTTTATGAAAACAAGAAATGAATAACAAACGGAGACACCGAAACAGGAAACCCTTTTCCTATTAAATCTGATGGAAAGAGCAAGCCCAAGCCCAAATCCTGCCAAAAGGATTTTACAACCTGCAAGGAGACATGCCCGCGACGTGGCAGAGCTCCCCGGAAGCTGCCTTCTCTGTGCGGCTGAGCACCCCGAAATGCAGTCCCCCTTGAACAACATGGCGCTCACTGCCCAGACAGGGAAACCGAGGCTTGATAGGGGCAGGGGCTGACCCACGTCACATGCCAAAGTTGGAACAAAGACTCCTGATCTTCATGCTTGGACCTCTCTCTGTACACGTCATGCCCGTCCACACCCCCACACGTCACACACATACATCACAACGCACACACACTACATGCATACAACCCCACACATCACACGCCACACACACAACACACACACCTGCACATATCACACACACCCACGCACGCATCACACACCCACATACATCACAACACACACTACACATATATAACCCCCAGACATCACACACCACACAAACACACACACATTTCACATCCACATACATCACAACACATACAACCCCCACACTTCACACACACCATACACATAACACACAACACACACCTGCAGACATCACACACCATACACCTGTACACAACACACACACATCACACAACACACACATCATATACACATACCCACACACACCACACACTCATACACCAACACATACATAATATGCAACACACACTCCCACACATATCACACAACACACACATCATACACAACATACATTACATACATCACTACACAACATACAACCCACACACCACACCCTCCACACACATCACACACACACACCAGCATACACATAACACACATACTACACATATGCAACCCACACACATCACACACAATATACACCTGCACACATAACACACCCACACAGGTGCATCACACACCACACACCTGCACACATCACAACACACACACCACACACCCTCATACACACACCAACACACACATCAACACACTACAAACAACCCACACACAGCATACACTACACACCTGCACACATCACAACCCCCACACATCACACAGTGTACACATACATCACAACACATACATCACACACAATACCCACACATCACACACCACCTATACACACCACACAACCCCCACACATCACACACCATATATATCGCATAAGCACACACATCACATGCCACACACATTCATCACATGCCACACACATCACAGCATGCACACACACACACATATCATAACCCCTACACATCACAGACCACATACACACCATACACACAGCACTCCACACCTTACAAACCACACATATGACACATACACCCCCACAGACATCCGACATCACACACGCATCACGTAGCGCGCGCGCGCACACACACACACACACACACGCGCGCGCACACACCCTCCCACATGCCGGAAATGCTCTCCAAATTCAGATACGCAAATATCTGTATACATACAAGATTCTACAAACACACATAGACTGGCTAACACAGACATGCACTAGTCTGGATAGACGTGTGTGTACATCCACACAATGCCCCCCAGAGCACCCAAATACACACAAACATATTCACATCCACACACACACACACGCACACACCTATCCCAACACTCGAAATCGAAATACCCAGATACAGAACCCTCACAGAACACACCCCCCACACAAATGCAAATATGTGCAGAGATACACAACACACCTACAAGATTCAAAAATATCCTCAGTACACATCTACAAACACACCAGTCCCACATCCACAGACACACAGACCCCTATGCAATCATAAAAGCCCAAACACCTGTGTACCCAGCGCACTGCACAGCCCGGGAGGCCCGCCAGCAGCCGGTGGACAGGGCAGAGCTGCCGTGTCCCTGTGCTCACATCCAGGGACAGGCCTGGAGACCCCGCCACCCTCTGCAAGGGTCTGGCAAAGTGCCACCTCCTGTGGGAGGCCAAGGACACCTGGCCCCTCAGAAGTGCCTGGGTCGATTTCACAGCCACGTGCCAGGCAGCCTGGCTCAGGGGCCACACTGACCTCACCCTGGACAGGAGCGTGTGAGCATGTGTTCCAGTGTATGTTTTACTGGGTGGGGGGGTGTGTGGGGAGCTATGGCAGGAGCAGCATAAAGATGACAAGAGACAGTTTACCTACTATATCAGCCTGCTTACCTCCCTCCCTTGCTCCCTCCTTCCCTTCCTGCCTCTCTCCCTCTCTTCCTTCCTTCCTCTGCTATTCAATAAGGACCTTTAGTGAATCCGGCAAAACCAAGACACAGCCTCTGCCTTCCAGGAGTGCAGTCTTGGCGTAAGCAGACATGCCTGGGGTTGAGCTGTTATAAGACACATTGTGATCATTGCTAGG
The DNA here is from genome assembly GCF_000001405.40 of Homo sapiens. Lineage (NCBI taxonomy): Eukaryota > Metazoa > Chordata > Mammalia > Primates > Hominidae > Homo > Homo sapiens. Next base: position 123,345,815 of record NC_000009.12, on the reverse strand, counting down.
AGGCCTCAGGGAGGCCTGGCTTTCATCTGGGGCTGTGGGACATTGAACGATTCACGTCCTTCTCTGAGCCTCAGCTTCCTCAGCTGAGAGAGACCACATGCTCCCTGACCACCTGTCGGGTTTGTTAATAGAATCAAATGTCATGATGAAAGTGGCAATGCTTAGCGGGGACAGGGACATTTTTCTTAAAATAAGAGCCAGGTCTGTGCTAGGCTGTGCATCAGATCTGTGATATGGGAATGTGGTTAACTGCATGGGCCCTGCAGTCAGGGAGTCTTGGCTGGGTTCAGATCCCTGCTTTGCCAGGACTAGCTGTCTGAGCTCCAGCTTGAGCTTCTATTTTCTCATCTCTAATATAGATGCAATAATAATAATATCCAATTTACATGAGTGCTATGAGATAACGCATGTTAAGCTCTTAGAACAGGGCCTGCCGGCCAGGCGCCATGGCTCACGCCTGTAATCCCAGCACTTTGGGAGCCCGAGGCGGGTGGATCACGAGGTCAGGAGATCGAGATCATCCTGGCTAACACGGTCTCTACTAAAAATACAAAAAATTAGCCAGGCGTGGTGGCGGGTGCCTGTAGTCCCAGCTACTCGGAAGGCTGAGGCAACAGCGTGAACCCTGGAGGCAGAGTTTGCAGTGAGCCGAGATTACACCACCGCACTCCAGCCTTGGCGTCAGAGCGAGACTCCGTCTCAAAAAAAAAAAAAAAAAAGAACTGGGCCTGTCACAAAGTACATGCTCAATTAAGCTCCTATTCTATATAGGCTGTCATGTATTCATACAACAAACACTGAGCACTTACTATGAACCAGGCATGATTCTAAGTGCTCTCCAAATTCTAACTCATTCAATCCTTTTAACAACTCTATTATTATCCCCTTTTTGCAACAAAGAAAACTGAGGCACAGAGAGGTCCAGTCACTTATTCAAGGTCACACAGCTGGTAGAAGGCAGACCTGGACTGAAACCCAGGTCTGTGGGACTCTCTGAATCTATCTACAAGGTATGTACTTCCCTTTTATAGTTCAAAATCCTCCTCCCCTCTCCCCAGCAGCAGCCCCTGTTAAATAAATCATCCAGTAACGGTTTCTAATTCCCAGACTTGGTTGCAAATGAATTATTCACATGGTAAGGCCTGCAAACTGCCGGCTGGGCCTCATTACCCAAGAAAGGCTGCCCGCCCGCAAGATGCTGCTCCCTCCCCTGGGCATGGGTCCTGGCAGGTTGGCCAGAGGTGGCCAGAGTTGGTGGGCCCCGCTCCAGTGCCCTGCTCCGGGAACTGGGAAGAGCAGCTCTTTTCCTTTCCCCCGGCCCTTGCTTTCTAATAAGCTCACAGTCTGATGTGGCTGAGAGACCATAAGCTCTGGACTCAGCCAGTCCTGGGTTCCAATCCTGGCTCTGCCCTTAGCAGCTGTGTGACCTTAGGCAGGTGGCCAGCCCTCTCTGAACCTCTGGGGGAGGCTGAGCAGCTGGCCCACACAATGCGGCACAGGGCACCACTTCACACTTCCTCTTCTTCCTCCATTTGCAGGCTGAGGCTTGTGCTGCCCCTCCAGGCCCTGTGCTAGATGCTGGGGACAAAGATCCTGTCCTGTGGGGACATCCAGCGTCTGACTGAAACACTGGTGTGAGCCTGAGCTTTGGGGTGGGTTGTGGGGACTACTCTGTGCTCCAGAGCCCCTCTTCAGGGCCAAGCTGCTGGGACTGCTGTTACCTCACTGGGTTATACCCCATGCCAGGGACAGCCTGTGGCCAGTGCCTGACCCATGTGTGGCTGCAGAGGCACGGCTCCTTCTCAACTAGGAAACCCTAGGGGATCGTCAGCTCCAGGGGTCCTCGTAGGGACCTCAGTTGCAACCTCACGGTGGGTCAGTCTCCTTCTGCCCAGTCAGCCTTGCTCCTTCCTTCCAGGTGGATCTCCCAAGGACATGCCCCAAGAAACACACGTGCAGTCCAGAATCTGTTTCCAGGAACGCAGGCTGAAATACTTGTCACAGACAATCCTGGCATTGAATGAGACCCAACCCAGGTCATCCGCAGACTCATCGTTCCCAGGCAGACTGAACCTCAATACTGCTTACAGACGGAGCCTAGTTTCCACCCCAGTCTAAGCTCAGATCCTAGTCCCAGACTGAGCCCAGGCCTCCCATGGAAAGCAGAGGGCCATTTGAGACAAAATGAAGAGAGGCTGCGTGGGAGGTAGAAGACTGGGGTGTGGCTTACACTGAGAACTGAGCCAGACTCACCCGGTCAGCCAGGAAGTCAGAGTCACGGAATCTCAATTCAGAGAGGTATTTCTAAAAAACACCTAAATGGGTTCCTCTTTATGGAAGAACCAAAATCTACCACGACTGACAAGAAAAATCCTAATAGCTGTGGGCACCAAGCCATGGGATCTACTTCCAGGTCCCTCTGCTTCCTCGGGACAACCCGTAGAGTTCTATTATCACCCATTTCATTTTATTTCAGTGCTTTATTATTGTGTTATATTGTATTTATTTTGAGACAGGGTCTTGCTCTGTCACCCAGGCTGGAGTGCAGTGGTGCAATCACAGCTCACTGCAACTTCTAACTCCCAGGCTCAAGCGACCCTCCTGCCTCAGCCTCCCAAGTATCTGGGACCACAGGCATGTGCCACCACACATCATCAGTTTTATTATTTTTTGTAGAGACACAGTCTCCCTCTGTGGCCCAGGCTGTTCTCAAACTCCTGGGCTCAAGCGATCCTCCCACCTTGGCCTCCCAGAGTGCTAGGATTACAGGCATAAGCCACCACACTCATCCTATATTATGGTGCCTTTTATAGACAAAGTGGCCAAGGCTCAGAGACATGCATGACTTGGCCTCTGGCCCACACTGTATTTCTATAGGATCTAGGCTCAATCAGGGGCTCATCTCCCAAAGGGAGACTCATAAGGAGCATCCAGGCCCCTCTGTCACCTGAACTAGCTAGTCACCAAGTTCCTAAGTCTTGCCCAGGGCAGCAGGGGTGTCAGGGAAGGGTAGTGAGTGGCACATGAATCTGTGCAACTGATCCAGCCCCAAATTCTGGCAGGCCATCATTCCCTTCTGGGTGTCCCAGTTCCTATCATTGGATGCTCAGAGTCATCTCCATAAGGTAGGCACTATTATGCAGACATGGCACAGGTAAGGAAACCGAGTCCCCCAAAAGGGGATCCCACTTGTCTGGGCTCACAGAGCTGAAACTCACCTCTGGAATTTCTGATCCTTGGTCTTCCAGCCTCTGCCGTTCTATATGGAAGAACAAAGGCCACTTCCCCGTGTGCTCCACACCACGGATTCTTCATGCATCTGTCCATCCACCCACACAGCATCTCTGTGACAAGCATCTTCTATGCACCAGGTCTGGGCTGGGTGCTGGGGACTGAGTGGGGAACCAGAGGCAGAGCCTGACCTTGCGGAGTGTTCAGGCTGGCAGGGGAGCCACACAGTCAATAAACGTGCTCACAAGAAATGAATGCATCTCCATGTGCTAAGCACTGGGGAGAAGCAGCCTGGGAGATCATGAGTGGTGTGACAAGGACTGTCTCTCTTGGGAGTGTTCTCTGGATTCCAGGGAACTCGTGGGCAGAAAATCTGCAGAGATGGACCATGTAGGCTTGGCCTCGGGGGACAGAGGCTAAGAGAAAGTGTGAATTATGCCCCAAAGGAGTCAGCTCACTTGCAGAGGCTGCAGCCACCCTACTTGGCTCCTCCAAGGAGATGGGGTCCTGGGGGCTTGGCTGCAGCAGGATATAAGTGAGGAGTTTATTGAAAATCTACCCCAGATTCACTTTGTGAGACGTCCCAGCTGGGGCCTGAAGCCTCCAAGAACTATATTAGAGCTTTAGGAGAAATAACGAGAAAGATTATTTCAGGAAGAGGGAACGGCATGAGCATACGGCTGGAGGTGGAAAACAGTAGGCAGACCCAGAAAGGTGGAGCAAAGAGAGAAAAAGGAGGAGAAACTGGGTCCCGGCCCTCAGAGACTTCACGGCACCCTGGGGAGACCCGGTTCCCACCGTGCACCAATAACAATAATTGCTGCCCTGTTGCAAGCTGACCCAGTGCCCAGAAAGGGTCACACATGATCTCATTGCATCCTCTCTAGATCCAGGAAGATGTTTACTGCCAGGTCCCACTTTGCAGATGGAAAACCAAGGTCAGAGGGGTTAAATCTGTCACCCAAGAGTGCAGCATTAGTAAGTAAAGGGTCAGCCTACAATTCCATGGTGCAGGGCTCCACAGCCCCTGCCCTTAACACTCCCCTATGTGCCCACAAAACAATCGGAGGAAATCTGGAGGTGATGGGCAAGGCCCATGCCAGCTCCACCTGTGGTCTTATCTGTCTCTCCCACTGAGCTGAGAGCTCATTTACCTCCGTCACCGCAGAGCCCCGCGTGACGCTAGGCACAGATCTGGTGCTTAGGAAGTATTGTGAATAACTCATCATCATAAGAACAAACATTTATAATGTGCTCACCATGGGCGGTGTAAACACAACCCTATGAAATCTATACAGTCATTATTCCCATTTCACAGATGGGGTAACGAAGTCGCAGCAAGTAGTGAAGCCGTGATTCACCAGACAGCAAGTAAATAAATTAACAAGCTAATTAACGAGTGAGTGTAATGATGAATGAATGAATGAGAGTAGAGATGAGTAAATAAGTGAGGGGTTGAGGCCGGGCAAAGTGGCTCACGCCTGTAATCCCAGCACTTTGGGAGGCCAAGACGGGTGGATCACCTGAGGTCAGGAGTTCAAGACCAGCCTGACCAACATGGTGAAACCCTGTCTCTACCACATACCAAAAAATTAGCCAGGCGTGGTGCCTGTAATCTCAGCTACTTGGGAGGCTGAGGCAGGAGAATTGCTTGAACCTAGGAGGCGGAGGTTGCAGTGAGCCGAGATTGCACCACTGCACTCCAGCCTGGGCAACAAGAATGAAACTCCATCTCAAAAAATAATAAGTGAGAGGTTGAAGTGGGGATGGAGAGGGTGAAGATGAGGTATAGGTCTTGGCAGCATGGAGAAGAGGTGGAGGCCCTTCTTCTTTCCATCCCCACCTTGTTCCCCTCCAGCCCCCAAGGAAAGGCCCCTTTTCATTTCCTCTCAGGGCGCCTGATACTCTTTGCCAGACTGTTGCCTAGCAACAGTGCCCTCTACGGCCAGCTCCACCCACTTCAGACGCCAAGGCTAGGGGTACACAGCCAGCTCTGAGGGCCTGGCCTTTGGCAGGCAGGGAGTGGGGGGCCCTGGGCTCCCAAGTTGTGAGAAGGAGGTCAGAGAGCAGAGAGGAGCCTGGGTGGGCTCTGAGACTGGAGGCAGTGACCTGCGAGGAAAGGGAGTGTGTCCTGGGCACCAAGCCATGGCATCTAGTTCAGGGCCCCTCTGCTTCCTCAGAACACCCCGTGGGGTCGCATGATCACCCACGTGACAGATTCTGAAGACAACTCTGCCTTGTGTAGGGGAGGGAGGCCATGTCAGGCTGCGCGTAGCAAGAACCACGGGGCCTTGAGTCTGAAGTCTGAGTTTGAGTAGAGCTGGGATGAGTCACTTCCCTTCCCGAATCCACTTCCCACACCTGAAGAATGGAGACATGGTACCCACTTCCCGGGGAAGTGTGTGAGGATAGAGCAGGAACACGGGAAGGCTTGGTACTGGGAGGGTACGGATTATTTTTATAAGCAAGGAGTGTGACATCTATTTTTAGAGGAGAAAGAATTTCGTTACAAAGAACTCTCCTAGTCCCCTCCCAGAGTGGATGGGCTGAGGTGCGGGGGAGCAGTAGGCCCGGAGGACTCCCTGAAGAGGTGGCCTGGGGATTCCTGGCAGAGGGAACGGCCTGTGCAAAGGCCTGGAGACACGCGACTGAAGCGCGCCTAACAATGGCTACCATGGATTCGTGGGCAGGCGCCTGTACACTCAATCCTCACGGCAGCTCCAGGACACTGGAGTTAGTGCTCCTGTCTCACAGGAAAGGAAACGTTGGCTCAGAAAGGTAAAGAAACTTGCTTGAGGTCACGCAGCTGGTGAGTAGCAGAGCTACGTCCGGTTCGCTTTCCCCTGGTTATGCACTCGGGGAAGAAAGTGGCTCAGACGCGGGGAGTGGAGAGAGCCAGTGGTGAGAAACGCAGCTGCGGTGCGCAGTATCATTCCTACATGTAATCCTTCTCGGGAGGGCCTGGACCCATGGCGAAGGAGCCCGGGCTGCGGGCAGAGGGTAATAGGGAACCATCGATGGCTTCTGAGCTGAGACAGAAGTGACCGAGGCCGTCCCTCGGTGCTGTCCTGGGCCATCCGGCTCCGCCTCCTACACTCTCCACTCTCTGCATCCACCACCCTCCACCCCCGCTGCTTCTCAACCGCACTGAGAAACCATGTGTGACGGTGGAAAATGTAAAAATATATATGCAACCGAAAAACAACATCGGGCTGACAGCACACAGCTATAAATACTCTGACGGGTGCAGAAACGCTCCTCCGATCCTGCTTCCTGCCGCCTGAGGAGCGGGGGCATGGTGTTTGACAGGTGGGGTGGGGGGACTCAGGAAGGGAAAAGGAAAAGGGACAACTATTCGTGGACCTACTCTGTGCCAAGCACTTCGCAAGCGTTACGTCACCAAGTCTTCGCAGAACCCTCGAGTGACTCACCACCGTTATTCCTGTTTTACAGATAAGGAAACCGAAGCACAGAGAGGCAGGTCATCTGGCTGAGGTCACACAGCCACACGGCGAGAGAGCAGTGAAGCTGGAGTTCCAGCAAGCTCCACCTGGCGAGAATTCAAGCCCTGCCATGGGCCACCTCTCTGGAGGAAGAGAAAGCCAGCTTCAGACTCTGCCTCTCTCAATCCTTATACAAGGCCAGAGAGCGCTTGAGGCTTCCAGGCACTCCTATGCTTACACACCTTCCATGGCTCCCAGCTGCCCTCCAGATAAAGAACAATCTCCTCAGTGTGGCCCTTGAGGTCCTGTGATCTGGCCTCTGTCCACCACCAGGGCCCCCCTCCTGGCCAGATCTCTGAGCCTCGGCCAAGCTGACCTGCTTCTCTCAGGGCCTCAACAGGGCCGATCTCCATCCCTGCTGTTCCCTTGGTCCAGCATGCTGTTCCCCTCTAGTTGCTTCTCCTTACCCTGGGGGCCTCCACTCAAATGCCACCTCCTCCACTGGCCGGACGCTGCCATTAACCTGCTCGAGTGCTCTCCCTGCAAAACTCAGCACAGGCTGGGCACAGTGGCTCATGCCTGTAATCCCAGCACTTTGGGAGGCCGAGGTAGGATGACTGTTCGAGCCCAGGAGTTCAAAACCAGCCTGGGCAACAAAGTGAGATCCTGTCTCTATTTTTTAAAAAATTAGCCGGGCGCAGTGGAGCACAACTGTAGTCCCAGCTACTCAGGAGCTTAAGGCTAGGGGGTAGCTTGAGCCCAGGAGTTCGAGGCTGCAGTGAGCTGTGATCACATCACTGCACTCCCACCTGGGTAACAGAGCAAGACCCTGTCTCAAAAAAAAAAAAAAAAAAAAAAGACCCATAGCACAATTGTAATCATGTGGGTCATTGTGGGGTGGTGAGTCACAGCTGGTGAGTGGCAGAATCAAGACCAGGTCCAGGTGGTACAGCCACAGAGCTGGTGCCCCCAAGTACTCGGCTGCTCACACGGGCCCCAAGAGACCTCCTCACTGGCAAGAGGAAGCCACCTCCTCTCAGAAGAATGAGCAGGGCTAGAGTACAGTGGCACAATCACTTCTCACTGCAGTCTCGAACTCTCTGGCTCAAGCAATCCTCCCACCTCAGCCTCCTGAGTAGCTGGGACTACAGTCGTGTGCCACCACACCTAGCTAATTTTTTCTATTTCTTGTAGAGGTGGAGTCTTCCTATATAGCTCAGGCTGGTCTCAAAATCCTGGACTCAAGCAATCCTCCTGCCTCAGCCTTCCAAAGTGCTGGGATTACAGACATGAACCACCGTCCCCTGTAACTACTGTTTAAGAAAGTAAAAAGATGCAGAAGAAGTTAATCTAATATTTTGTTTAACCCACTATACTCCAAATATCATTCCTACATGTAATCAAGATAAAAAAAATTATTAATGGCTGGGTGCCATGGCTCACGCCTGTAATCCCAGCATTTTGAGAGGCCGAGGCAGGCGGATCACCTAGGGTCAGGAGTTCAAGACCAGCCTGACCAACGTGGTGAAACCCTGTCTCTACTAAAAATGCAAAAATTAGCCAGGATTGGTGGCGTGTGCCTGTAGTCCCAGCTACTCAAAAGGCTAAGACAGGAGAATTGCTTGATCTTAGGAGGCAGAGTCTACAGTGAGCCAAGATTGCGCTGCTGCACTCTAGCCTGGGCAACAGAGCAAGACTCTGTCTAAAAAAAAAAATAATAATAAATAAATAATCATTGAGATATCTTACTTTCTTCCATACTAAGTCTTCAAAATCCAGTGTGTATTTCACACTTGTAACACATCTCAGTTTGGAACAGCTGCATTTCAACTGCTCAACAGCCACATGTGGCCAGAGGCTACTGCACTGGGCAGCACAGTGCTAGACTATAAACTCCATGAGGGCAGGGACCAAGCCATACCCACAATTATTAAATCTAGCATCTGACACAGAGTGGACACTCAAGAAATGTTTGTTGACTGACTAGCTGAATGAAAGAATGAATGAACAAATGAATGAAGGAATGAACAAATGATCTAAGGCCTTCTCAGATCTGAAGCCACACTCCCAGCACAGGCCATGGGAAGGGCATGGAGATGAATTCCAGCCCCACCTCTGCACCCACTTCTCTGAGTGACTGTAAGTACCTCCACTTTTGGGGCCTCAGTTTCTCCAGCTGGTCAATGGCTGGGGGGCTGGACTCTTGTGATTTTTCTGGGCTCTCACTAGAGGACTTTACCCAGAAGATGGGAGTTGGGCCCTCGGTGAAGTTCCCTCCTCCATGCCACCCCATCACCCTACTCTCCCTCCACCTGTAAGATAGGAGATCTCAGGAAAGGCCTCCAGGTGGCCTTCTGTACAGAGTGGAGCCACACCCAAGAGGGGAAAGCTGAGGCAAGGCTTGGTACCTTGGCACAGGCAGCAAGGCCAGGGTGGGGGTGCTGAGGCTTGGCCTCCTCCCTCCAGCATCATCACCCCCACACCTCACATTTGTTCAGAGTTGAGAAGAGAGCAGGGCGGGGCTTATCCTTTCAGTTCTGCAGAGAAGGATAAAAGAGACCGAGAGACATGCCAAGACCAGTCTGAGGTCACATGGGGGGCATGACAGAACTGGCTACTGCCCTAGACCTCTGTTTTTCTCATATGAAAAATGGATACAAAATGTGTCGTCATCCTATCAAACATCAATGCCTCAAATCCAAGCTCCACTACTTAACAGCCCTGTGATCTTGGGCAAGGTTTACCTGGCTGTGCCTCAACATCCTTATTTGTAAATGGGTATCATAATAGTGGCAACCTTGCGGGGTTGTTGAACCATTAATGTGTGAACGTATGTAAAGCGCTCATAAGAATATCTAGGACACTGTGAACGCCATATGAGTGATAGATATTATTATCAGCCTTTATCACAGAGCTGTACTGCAGTTTAAATAAAGGAAGAGGTGTGACCAGGGTTTGCAAACTCTGAAGTCCCCTCTGGAGAGGTAAGCACCTTTTGGCTGCAAAGAATGTTGCAAACTATAAAATGCCGTGTGACTTGCAAAGCACTTTGTAAATGTTGCCGCAGTGAGGAGGCTATTGTAGGTTAGCCTTTCATAATCCAAAAAGCACTTCAAAATCATAAATCACTTTGGGGACCGAAGAGCTCTTTGTAGGGGCTTTCTAGACTGTTGAGTGCTGTGCAAGTCAGAGACAAGTGGCCTTTCAAAGACATGAGCAAGAAGCCGGGGGGGAGTGGGGAGAGAAAGAAACCAGCCCCAGAGAATAAAAACAGCAGTCGTTTTCCTCTGCTCTCGTCACCTCCCGTGCCAGCCAGTGCAGAGAAATTCCAGCAGATCTGCAGATTCCTGCGATTCTGTGCTGAGGCCAGGGAGGCCTCCCTGCATCGCTGACTCAGCCAAACGAGAGGGTGTGAGTTAAGCAGGAATCAGCTCCATCTTCCTTGCTTCTGTGCCTCTTCTTTTTTCTTCCTTCTGCCACAAAGGCAATGAACCTGACACCATTTAAAGATTTCCCTCTTTGGCCTCCTGATGACCTTGCCCTGAGGCCCAGACTTGGGCCTGCTCTGGAGACCCAGCCTGGGATGTCTGCCACCCCCATCATGGAAGGAGTAATAGGGCTGTGAGGGCAGAGGGCAGGTGGGGCCAGGCAAAGACCCTGGGCTCCAATCCCAGTTCTGCTATTTCTCATCTATGACCTCGGGCAAGTTCATTTACTTCTCTGAGGCTGAGTCCCTCAGCCATAACATGGGGTTGACAATGCTCATCTTGTGTGTCATCGTTAGGTGGCCTGGTGTGCATGCAAGTTCTGTCCCTTCCTCTAACTGTAGGCATGAGGGCCTTCTGATAAGGGAGAAATAGATACCAAGGCAGCTTCTACAGTGTAGGGGCTTTGAGCATGAGTTTTCAAATCATAAAAACTTGGGTTCAAATCCTGGCTCTGGCCAGGCCCGGTGGTTCACGCCTGTAATCTCAGCATTTGGGGAGGCTGAGGCAGTCAGATCAGATCACTTAAGCCCAGGAGTTCCAGACTAGCCTGGACAACATGGCAAAACCTAGTCTCTATAAAAAATTTAAAAATTAGTTGGGCATGGTGGCACACTCCTACAGTCCCAGCTACTCTGGAGGTTAAGGATTAATGCCTACAATCCCAGAGTAGCAGGGAGGATCGCTTGAGCCCAGGAGACGAAGTTTGCCATGAGCCAAGATCACACCACTGCACTCCAGCCTGAGTGACAGAGTGAGACCCTGTCTCAAAACAAAAAACAAAACAAACAAACAAAACTTCTGGCTGTGCAACAAACCAGCTGTGTGTCTTTAGGCAGGTCATATTACCTTTCTGAGCCTCTATTTCCTTGACCCATAGGATGAGCATAATAGTCTATCTTGTAAAGTGTTTACAAGGACTTGAGACATGATGCATATGGCATGTGTGGCACAAAACCTGGCACACAATCACAGCTCAATGAATGGTCACGATGATTCCCCCACCTCCCCAGGCTAGTTTGACAGTCTCATTGTATTCCATCATATCACACACGTCTCCTTCAGGTGTTTCCTCATGCTTTCAAGTAATAGATTAAAAGCTTCTGGACCCAGCCAGAACCTGCCACCCCTGCTATTTCTGCAAACCCCCCTGAGATCCCTTTTCCACAGCTCACTCTCCTCTACTCATATCTCTATCTGCAATATGTCAACCTCAATGTGAAACTCAACTCCTTCTTGAGCCTGTCACAAGCCAGGCATGAACAATACATCCTCTGCTATAGATTTCATTAACGGGAGAGGGGTCTACACTGCAGCCTCTCTTCCCAGGAATTGTGGTGAACATAGTCATCTTCGTCCAGTTACAACCATGGGTCTGTATACCCCTTGAGGGATGTGGCTACGTGCCTTGTTCGCTGTTGCTTCCCCAACACCCAGTGCAATATCTGGCCCCCAAGAGGCAGATCTAAAACACGCGGTGAGTAAATTAATATACGACAGGGAAAGACGCTCTTGAGCTGGGGGAGAATCATGTGGTTGTCCAGTGCCCTCAGCTCTCAGGTCAGTTTTGTGGCAAGGGGACAGATTTGGTCCCCGCTGCAGTCAGGAAGAGGCTGATACTGATGTGTGTCCATTTCAGACCTCAGAAATAACCACCTGCCCAATACAGTCTTGGCCTTTTCAAGGTTCATGTGCCTATTAACACTTGGGGATCCTTCTTCACCCTCAGGTCTGATGCTTTCCCATCAGCAATTGTCACCAAGAGTGACTAAGACACAGGACAGTGGTTCCCCAAACCAGCTGCACATCAGAAGCCCCTGGGAAGCTTTGGAACACCAGAGCCACTTGGAGGTCAGGTTCCCCCGAGATCCTGATTCAAATGGTCTGGTGTGGGGCCTGATAATTGATTTGTTTAAAAATCATAGCTGATTCAAAATTATATCACTGACGGCCAGGCGTGGTGGCTCATGCCTATAATCCCAGCACTTTGGGAGGCTGAGGCAGGTGGATCACCTGAGGTCAGGAGTTTGAGACCAGCCTGGCCAACATGGTGAAACCCTGCCTCTACTAAAAACACAAAAATTAGCTGGGTGTGGTGGTACGTGCCTGTAATCCCAGCTACACAGGAGGCTGAGGCAGGAGAATTGCTTGAAGCCAGGAGGCGGAGGTTGCAGTGAGCCGAGATTGTGCCATTGCACTCCAGCCTGGATGACAAAGCAAGATTCCATCTCAAAAAAGAAAGAATAAAGAAAAAGAAAAAAAATCACTGAGGCAGAGAAAGGTACTTTTTGTTTTGTTTTGTTTTGTTTTTTAACAAATGGGTCTATGAATGCCTGCGGGCTTTCCATCTAAAGCCCTCCATGAGTCAGGCAGTCTGTGGGCTGGATGAGGGCCCGGCTGAATGCTGGAGAGGAAAGCATGTGGGCTTTGGAGTGACTGTAGATGTGGTTTTGAATTTTACAACGTCCTGGCTCTGTAGCCTTGGGAAAGTCACTTCACCAATCTGAGCCTGGGCTTCCTCCTCCATCAATTAGCAATCAGAATTCCTGCCTCACAGGTCGGCTGGGAATAATCAATGAGAGAATGTCGTATGTAATTATCTGGCACAGGGCCCAGCCTAGGGTTGGCGCTTTGTAAAGTGAGGTTCTGTTGCCTTCCTGAGCAAGCTTGGGGTAGGAGGGGAGGGCAAGTGTGGCCCCCACATTGGCCTGAGCCCTTGATGGGAAGAACACTGGACTGGGAGAAAGGAGGTGTGGCCCTGTCCTAGTTCTAGACCATCATGAGGTGTGACCTTGGCCAAGTCACTCCCATCTCTGAGGCTCGGCGACCCCATTTGACTCAACCCTAGGAGGTAGTTAAGTGGTGAGATTTAGGGGGAGATTGACCTGGTTCAGCCAATTATCTGGGGCAAGGCACTCAACCTATTTCTTTGGACCTCAGTTTCCTCCTCTGTAAGACAGAGATCCATTGGTGCAGATTCTTCCCAATTCTGTGTTCAGTGATATCATATTGGTAGCTTGAAATCAACCATAGTGGGAGTATTTACACCAAGGAAATTGGCAAACATTACACATCAGGGATCCCCCCTCACCTTCCCCCAGCAGTTTACCAGCACACCACTGGAACTCAGATAACGATACCTTCCGCCATGCATGTTGGGAGTTTCAGAAAGCTATTGCCTGTTTTTTTAAGCACTTAGCACAACACCTGGGACATAGTGGGCACTCACACATGCTAATTAAACACACTTAACATTTGTCAGCCATCACTTTGCTTGGTATAAAGTGTTCACACATCTGTCATCTTATATAACTTGATCAGCCCCAGGAAGTTTCCAGAGGAGGAAATCCAGGCTCAGACAGGCTTGCTGACTTCAAATGCAATTACATTTTGCAGGCCCACTCTATACTGAGTTATTCTTACATATCCATCCCATTTCAGCCTCACAACTCCCTTTCATTACAGATGAGGGATCAATGGCCCAGAAAGGGCGAGCGACCTGCCCAAGGTCACAACGCACTGAGTCTGAGGCCTTGGTATCCATCTTGAACCTGCTTCTGCCAGTGCCCATCTCTGCCAGGCACCCTCCCCACCCCATCTAGCTGCCTAGTCTCCAGTGAGGGCAAACTCTGCCGATATGATCTCTCTGGCCCTTTCCAGCTCTGACATCCTCAGTATTTAAATCAGCACATGAATATTTCACAAGTATCCCGGGCGAAAATAACCCCCTGCCTGGTTATGTCAGGCTGCGGCCCCAGTCGCTAGGCCACGGCTCTCTTGCTATTTGCGAGACATGCAATTCTGCGAGGCCTCCCAGCAGCAGCCCAAGGAATCGATAGTCTTTAAATAAGTAATTAGAGGAGCGGAAGACGTCGGCAGAGCTAGAAGGGAGCAGGGGAATATAAACTCATAACTCTCCCAAGTTCACTGTTAAGAGCTTGGTTCTGTTTTTTGGTCAAGAAATGTGGCAGGGCCTGGGGCAGGGTGAGAGATGGCGACGGTCAGGGGAGAATCAGAGGAAAACAGTCATTGTTGTTATTTATTGGGTACTTCCTATGTGTCAGGCTTTGTCTCATGATTGCCTTACCCAAAGTTCTCCTAAAGTCATTGAGGTTCAGAGAGGGGAAGTCAGTTGCCCAGGGCCACACAGCTGGAGAGTGGCAGAGGCTGCAGCCCGTCTGACCTCTGAGCAGGGTTTCTCAGTCTTGGGTTATTGACATTTGGGGCTGGAGCATTCTTTGTGTTGGGAACTGTTGTGTGCAGTGCAGGGTGTTTTGTAGCATCCCTGGCCTCTATGTACCAGATGCCAGTAGCACCTCATCCCCACTTGTGACAACCAAACATGTCTCAAGATGTCGCCCAATGTCACCTGTGGGGCAGAATCACAGACCACAGTATACAGTCTGTGTTCACTTTGCTGCTCTCTTCCTCTGCTTTTAGGATATGGATTAAAACCCTTCTCTTAGGCCAGGCATGGTGGCTCACACCTGTAATCCCAACACTTTGGGAGGCTGAGGTGGGCAGATCACCTGACGTCCGGAGTCTGCCCAACATAGAGAAACCCCATCTCTACTAAAAATATTTTAAAAATTAGCTGGGCGTGGTGGCATGTGCCTGTAATCCTAGCTACTTAGGAGATTGAGACATGAGAATCACTTGAACCCAGGAGACAGAGATTGTGGTCTCTGCAACAGAGATTGCACCACTGCACTCCAGCCTTGGTGACAGAGTGAGACTCTGTCTCAAAAAAACAAACAAACAAACAAACAAAAACCCTTAGCCTTAGCCTAGAGAGGCAGATCTGGAGACAAAGCTGGCTGCGTGGGAATACCAACTTCTCTACTCACTGGCTGTGTGACCTTGGCCAAGTTGTCAACCTCCTTATGCCTCAGTTTCCCTCTCTGTAAAATGAGGGCCTACACAAAGGTTATCATGAAGTTTAGACTAGTCAATATACCCATGTAACAAACCTGCACATGTACCTACTGTATCTAAAATAAAAGCTGAAGTTATTTTTTTAACGTTAGTATTATATATCCAAAGCATTTAGAACAGTGCCTGGCACGTATGTGTGAACCCCCGTCGTGATCCCAGAGCCTACCTGACCAAGCCCCAGCCCATCTCTGCAGCAACCCTGGTACCTCTCTCCCCATGAGAATAAAAAGAGAAACTGTCCTAGAAGCTAGGGAAGAAGCATCTTTGACAACTTCTGCTGTTCCTACCTTCCCTGATGCACGCTGCTTCCCACCATTCCTGGAGGAGTTGGGAAAACAGCAATAAGGATGGCCTTTGGTCCCAAAGGTTCCCAAGGTAATGACAAAAGCTGCTACTTCCTGTCTCCCTGCAGCTCTCTCTGTGCATGAAGAGGAGGGTAGAGGCACTGCACACTGATTTAACAAACGCATCCGATTAGAACACGGTTCCTTTTATTATCCGGAAAGCTATAAAAATACATAGAAACGAACATATTTTATCACTGGAGTTGGTCTTCACATTTTATGGGTCTGTAGCGGGTGTTTTTGTTTTACCGACATTTGTTAGAAACAAGGTTCTGGAACGTTGTCCTTGTTTGGGTGCTCGTGAGAAATTGTATCCAGAAAGGCATTTCAGGACCTGTCCCTATGGAAACAGCCCCACTGCAGGAGTGTGCGTGACAGGGTGAGTGTGAGTGCGTGTGTGTGTGTGTGTGTGTGTGTGTGTGTGTGTGTGTGTGTGTAGCTAAAGTCCTCCTTTTTCCCAGGAGCAAGGGTGCCTAGGGATTACCTGGTCCAGCCTTCTCATATAGTTGAGGAAACTGAGGCCCAGACAGGGCAGTGCTTTATCCAGGATCACAGAACAACTCGGTTCAGCAACTATTTTCTGAGCGTATTAGTATCACCTTAGCTGCTCTAATAAACACCCCCACCCCAGTAACACAATAGACTTTTCTTGCTCACAGGACAGAGTTCCTGGTTGGTCAATGAGCCTTCCACTACGTGATTCAGGGACCCAGCCTCCCTCCTTATTGTGGTGACACCTTTTCCTAGAACTCAGAATCATCTGCTTTCGTCTGGATGAGGGAAGAATTTGGAGGATTACACATTGAAGGTTTTTATGGTCCAGGCCAGAAGTGGCCCATGTCACTTCCGTCCATGTCCCACTAGTCAAGGCTCAGTCACATGTCATGCCTAACCACAGGGAAGCCGGGAGGTGTCACCTGGCTCTGTGCCCAGGAGGAAGAGAAAGGCTGGTGAACAACTGTCCAGGTCTTGGTGCCTGGGCTGGAAGATGCATGAGCAGAGGAATGAGACAGCAGACCTGCCCTGCCAGAGCTCACAGTCCAGTGTTGTGAGATGGGGATGGGGGAGCAACAGCAAACACAGGTCACTTATGTCCCATGTCCCCAGCTTGAGGTTCAGAATAAGGACCATCTTTTTGCACCCTCGTCCCATTGATCACCAGAAGTCCATTTACTTCTCACAAGAGAGAAGTCCCATGCCAGGGTAAGTTCAAGACTCCCAGTGTCCTTCCTAAGTCAGTCCAAAAGAAGTCAGCAGTCCTGGTTTTTTTTTGTTTGTTTGTTTTCTTTCAGACAGAGTCTCGCACTGTCACCCAGGCTAGAGTGCAGTGGTGCAATCTCTGCTCACTGCAACCTCTGCCTCCTGGGTTCAAGCTATTCTCTTGCCTCAGCCTCCCGAGTAGCTGGGATTACAGGCACCCACCACCACGCCTGGCTAATTTTGTATTTTTAGTAGAGATGGGGTTTCACCAAGTTGGCCAGGCTGGTCTTGAACTCCTGACCTCCTGATCTGTCCACCTCAGCCTCCCAAAGTGTTGGGATTACAGGCATGAGCCACCACGCCCAGCCAGCAGTCCTGGTTTCTAAAAGATTGCAGAGAAGAAGCTGGAAGGTCTGGTTTATTTCCTGAAAGGTCCTATTCATCCTATTCTCTGTCTCAAGCCCAGCAGTATTTCCTTTTTGAGGGGAAAGTTAGGAGCCTGTATCCTGAGTTTCACGTCATTAGATAATGCCACAGGCCTGAAATCCCAACAAAACAGCACTTAAGAGGGGACATAGCTTAGTTCACGTACGCTTTTTTTTTTTTTTTTTTTTAAAGACATTCTCACTCTGTCCCCCAGGCTGGCTGGAGTGCAGTGGCACAATCTTGGCTCACTGCAACCTCCACCTCCCAGGTTCAAGCAATTCTCATGCCTCAGCACCCAAGTAGCTGGGATTACAAGCATGTACCACCACACCTAATTTTTGTATTTTTAGTAGAAATGGGATTTCACCATATTGCCCAGGCTGGTCTTGAACTCCTGGCTTGGATTATAGGCGTGAGCCATGACACATGGCCCGATGTACACATACACACATATTCTCTGTGTATACATACACACACACCTCAGAACCAGCCATCAGACATTCACCCCTTTGGTTGACCAGCATCTATTAGGAGAATCCCAAGATAGTGGAAGGACCCCCCCCCGCCTCTCCCCACAGAAGCTGCCTGGGACAGATCTTCTGTGCTTCCAGTGACTAGAATATGGACGTGCAGCCTAGAGTGTGGCCAGCTGGACATGCCCTCCCAGGACTCTGTAGAGTGACATTGAGGCACAGAGTCAGTCTGCCATTTAAAGGGTGCCGCCATAGAAGGACATCTCGTGCTGTGTGGGCGTCATCTCCATGGCTGGAGGTGTCAGATGGGGCCACAGTGACCAGCTGGCCGGCAGTCAGCTCCCAGGTGGCAGCTTGGCAGATCTTAACTCTCTGGGTTCTCGTCAAGCCTGTTTCTCTAGTTTCTCCGTCAATTGCATGAGCTACCCGATACTTTTACAAACCACTCCTTCAGGTTAGCTGGAGTCCGATACTTTTACAAACCACTCCTTCAGGTTAGCTGGAGTCTGTGCTTGCCACCAGCAGCCAAGCTCCCTGACTGGTGTCACCTTTGTCTTAGCAGTCAACCCACTCCCATTTCCCTTCACTACCAGCTTCCCCAGGGCCACCCCAGACCCAGACGGGTCCACCAACTTCCACCCTCAAGGGAAAGGCCACGGCTCCCACCACCTTCCTCCAGGAGATGTCTGAGCAAATCTCTAATTAACCTGTCTTTTCACACTCCTTCAATATTGAGTCCTCAAGGGGGCTGTGGACAGAACCAATGTAATTGGTTTACTCTGCGATGCTAGATATTTTATTTGATGCATTTGAAAATATGATCCTGAGAGGCTTGGTGTGGTGGCTCATGCCTATAATCCCAGCACTTTGGGAGGCCAAGGCAGGTGGATCACCTGAGGTCAGGAACTCAAGACCAGACTGGCCAACATGGCGAAACCCAGTCTCTACTAAAAACACAAAAATTAGCTGGGCATGGTGGTGCTTGCCTGTAATCCCAGCTACTCAGGAGGCTGAGGCAGGAGAATTGCTTGAACCTGGGAGGCAGAGATTGCAGTGAGCTAAGATCGTGCTACTGCACTCCAGCCTGGGCAGCAAGAGCAAAACTCTGTCTCAAAAACAAAACAAACAAACAAACAAAAAATCCTGAGAAAGGGTCCACAGGCTTCACTCGATGCCAAAGGGGTCGAGGGCACCAAAAAGGTAAGGATCGCTTGGGACTGCAGCCTCCCAAAGGCTCCACAACAAGCACCCCGCTGGCCTTGTGAGATCCCTACTGGTTTGAGGGCCAACCCACCCTCCCCACACCATTCCTTCTCAAAAGCACTTCCTCCTTTTTGAGACCAGCTCCTCTCCCCACCCTGTCTAGGCAGGTGGGCCCTGCAGTTGTCACGTGACCTCATGTTGCCATATGACCTCATGTTACAGGAGCTGGCACATGACCTCACCCTCCAGCCATAGCTACTGGCTCAGAAGGAGTGGGCTGCTGGCCCAAGCCAGGCCAACCAGGTCCTTCCCCGCAGTTGTTTTTGGTTTCATTTTAAACTGGAACTTGGGGGGAAACAGTTATACTCTCCCCGGTGAGGCCTTTGGAGCTGAGAGCTCTCTTGTTTTCCACAAAGTAGGGGAAGCCAAATGAGTAGCAGAAGGACGCTGATGCTGACAGGGAGAGGAGAGGTGGGGAGGAGAGAGGAGAGTGGGGAGGGGAGGGAGCTGGCTGCATTCGCAGTCCGTCCATCCGTCCGGGGTCTGGCCGTGGCCCTGCCCTCCTGGCAGTATGGTTATTTATTGCCTCCTTAATTTCCCCTCTTCTTGCCCCAGTTAGAGATGGAGTTTGCCACTGCCTGTCTTGTTCTGCTGAATCGCAGAGTCTGCACAGAGCCAGACACATAGTAGGTGTACAGCTAACATCTGTGAACAAGTGACTGTACAAACACAGGCATTGGAAAAAGTGTACAAGGTCCAGAGAAGAGAGGAATTAAGTCTCCATGGGGGGATGTCAGGAACTGCTGGGGTGGGAGGTGACATTCAAAGGTGAGAGGAGGTTTCTGGATGGCTATGGTGGGGGAAGATGGGGAGGGATGGTAATTGAGGCTAAAGAAAACAGCTGAGACTAGGTTGAAAAAAGGCTTAACTATCAGACTGGAAATGACTTTACAACTTGTGGCTGAGCTAGGTCTAAAGCCTGGGTGTTCCTAAAAATGGCCAGAGCTCGGGTTGGGCACGGTGGCTCATGCCTGTAATCCCAGCACTTTGGGAGGTGGGCAGATCACCTGAGGTCAGGAGTTTGAGACCAGCCTGACCAACATGGTGAAACTCCATTGCTACTTAAAAAAGCCAGGTGTGGTGGCAGGTGCCTGTAATCTGAGCTACTCGGGAGACTGAGGTAGAATTGCTTGAACCCGGGAGGCAGACGTTGCAGTGAGCTGAGATCAGACAGCTGCACTCCAGCCTGGGCAACAGAGCAAGACTCTGTTTCAAAAACAAAAACAAAAACACAAAATGGCCAGAGGTCCATGCAGAACGTCATCCATGGAAGTGAAGACGTGGGTGTCTGTATGCTCCCCGTGTCTCCTCACCCCTAGAAATCCTGCTATTGAGAAAACCTGGTTCTCCTCCCACAGTCCCAACAACTCTCCTGAAATTGCCCTCACAGAGTGCACTGCGAAGCCTCCCTGTGACTGGGTCCAGCCAACCCTTTTCAGTCTTGATTCTTCCTGACCTTTCTGCCGCCTTCCACATTCTGACTTGACCCACATTGTTCCTTCCCAGTGGCTCCTCTGTCCCTCTGTGTGTCTCCCCTTCCTGGGGCCACAACTGTACCTTAGAAGTGGGTGGCCTCCCAGTGTCTGTGCTGGGTCCTCTCCTGGCTCTATGTCCATGCTGTACAACTTCATCCATTCTTGTGGCTGCAGAGACCACTTAGAGATGGGACTTCTAACCTTCTGCTTCCCGCCAGCTCCAGACCCAGTTATCCAGTGGCTGAACCTTCACCTCCAGGCTTCCCCACGGGCCCTTAGACTCAGACACATCCCAAACCAGATTTATCCTCTTCCCCTCATTACGATGCACACAGCTCTTTCCCATTCAGTCTCCCCGTGAGGACCGGATTCCTAGCCACATTGAAGGCAGAAGGAAACAGGCTCAGAGAAGGGCAGCTCGCAGTCACACAGGTGAGTCCACCTAACTCCAACTCCACACCGTTTGATTAGGACTCAGGATGGGGCAATACTTTTCACCTCCGACCCCCAGGCCTCCCAGGGCCAGGGCAGTAAATGTTGACCAGATCGATTTCCACCATGCCTGAAAGTCAGCGGTCAGCTGCTGACCACACTGTCAATTATTCAGGCTCCCTGGGATTTCACCAAGAGCTACGGTTTAACTAAAACACAGCTCCATTGTCCTCACACCCCCAGCTTGCCCTCAGAGGCCTGGGTGCGGGTGGACAGCCAGGGCACCTCCCCGGGCGGCCAAGCACATATCTGCCCCAGCCCCTCACTCCCCTTCCCAGCTCACAGATCAGACTGGAGCTTCCTGGTCCTCAAATCCCTTGGAGGAGGTCCTGGGCTGAAAGGGCTGAAGCCCTGAGGGCAGAACTGGGACCGGCCACCAGAAGTTACCTGAGGCAGGTTTAGGTTCCGTTCTGCTGTTCTGCAAGACCCAGACTTTTCTTTCCTCTTTTTTTTTTTTTTTTTTTTTTTTTTTTTGAGATAGAGTCTCTGTTGCCCAGGCTGTGATGCAGTGTTACAACCTCCCAGGTTCAAGCGATTCTCCTGCGTCAGCCTCATGAGCAGTTGAGACCCAGACTTTTCTTATCACCAGACAAAAACAGACACTCTGGGAGGCAGGGAGCTAGTCAACCACACAGGTGTGTGACACTCCGGGCAGACTGTCATTAGGAAGACTATCCATGGGGAGAGTCAAGGGCTATTGATGGTAACAACTAGATTTTTGAATGTGCTTTACAATTCACAGTGCTAGTGGGGCATTGTGGCTCACGCCTGTAATCCCAACAATTTGGGAGGCTGAGGTGGGTGGATGGCTTGAGCCCAAGAGTTCAAGACCAGCGTGGGCAACATAGCGGGACCCCATCTCTATAAAAATATTTAAAAACTAGCTGGATGTGGTGGCGCATGGCTGTGGTCCCGGCTACCTAGGAGGCTGAGGTGGGAGGATAGCTTGAACCCAGGAGGTTGAGGCTGAAGTAAGCTATGATCATGCCACTGTACTCCAGCCTGGGTGACAGAGTGAGACCCTGTCTAAAAAAAAAAATCACAATGCTCTCAATGACATATGTCATCTTACAGCCTCAAGTCTTTTTTGGAACAAGGTGGTGCATAAATAAAGACACATTCATTCGGCAGTCATTACTGAGCTTGCCAGGCACTTTGCTAGGTGCTGCAAAGTGAGGTAAGAATACAGATTTGACCCTGGCCTCGGGTGATAACAATACTGAACGCCACTAGTAAAGGGGCCTGCCATGTGTCAGGGATGGCAGGTTCTAAATACCCCATGTGCTTCAACACACATTATCCTTACAACAATGCTGACAAGCAGTTGCTGGCATTGTCTCCATTTTTATTTTATTTTATTTTTTTTTTTGACACTAGGTCTCACTCTGTCGCCTAGGCTAGAGTGAAGTGATGCAATCATGGCTCACTGCAGTGCTGACCTCCCAGGCTCAAGTGATCCTCCAGCCTCAGCCTCCTGAGTAGCTGGGACCACAGGTATGTGCCATCATGTCTGGCTCGTTTTTGTATATTTCGTAGACATGGGGTTTGACCAGGTTGCCCAGGCTGGTCTTGAACTCCTGGGCTCAAGTGATCTGTCCGCCTCGGCCTCCCAAAGTGTGCTGGGATTACAGGTATGAGCCACCATGCCCAGAGTGTTATCTCCATTTTAGACAAGGAAAGATTTTACAGATGAGGCACAGAGAGGTACAAAGAGATGCCCAAGGTCACACAGCCTGTGTAAACAGAGCAGAATTTGAGCCCAGGCATCGGATTTCAAGCCCCTGCTCTCAGCCTCTGCTCAAAGTCGTGTGAAGGAGTTCGGTAGACGTTAGGTAGATGATCACGTAAGTAAGATCTAATGACAGAACCATGGAGGAAAGATCGCGGGGAGTATAACAGGGAGGACTGATCTATCCAGGATGTGGGTTGCGGGAGGGGGTGAGAGTCAGAGAATGATTATTAAGGGTCCTTTAAGCTGAAGTCTTCAGGAAGAGGAGTTTGCTGGGGGAAGGGCTCAGGAAAGGCACATTCCAAGCAGTGAGAACTGCATGTGTAGAGACCCTGAGGCTTCAGCCCTGTCACCAGGACCCCCTCGGAGCCTGGCCACAGGGAGCCGGCAGCCAGAGGCACAGGGCTGCACCTCAGCTGGGCCCACTTCCTCTCTGTCTGCCAGCTTTATTTTTAGATCTCTCACTTTCCGATGCCATGAGTGAGCCAGCAAGGTCTGGGCCTTCCTCATCAGATTGTTTATGTTCTACCCCATCGGTGTCTCCATCACGGCCCCTCCCCTCCCAGGAGTGATCTGCAGGCCTGATTGGAAGCCCTGGTTTCTTCTCTGATGTTGTTATTGACTATTCCACTCCTCTGACTGGGGCCACTGGGTCTCCCCACCTCACCCTTCTGCCTGCTTTCTCTCCTTCTTCCCATTAGCTCAATTCCACTCCACTCCAACGATCCTATCTGTGCCAGACACTGGGATGAGTGTTGACAAGACAGACCTAAATGACACAAGGGTCTTTGGCATCACATGTGCTAGAATCCAGGTAAGCATGGATGATTCATAGTGCAAACTGAGACAGGTGTGAAAGTGAAAGGGGTGCTATTAATAATGATTGGTTATTAATAATGCCAGCACCACAGTGCAAGCCCAGGCAACTGAGAAACATGGTCACCCGAGTTCATTAGGACAGAAAAATGAGGAGAGATTTGTCCAATGGAGGACAAATGGAAGGGAGTCTCAGCAGCGGGGAACAGCATGTGTAAATATTTGGCAAGTTTGGGGGAGAATGGTGAGTTCATGGTGGCAATAACCTGAGACATGGGTCTTCATACCCCAATCCTGAGCCATGGAGAAAGGAAAGAAGGAGAGTCCAGCTGGATTCCAGGTGAGAAAATGTGGACAGTTTAATATGACTAGCACAGGGTGGCAAAAACCTTGCAGTTCTGCCGCCCCTGCGTCCATGGCAGGCATCACTAATTGATCACCGCACTCTCCTTCCCACTGAACCCTGATTCAACCCTCACAGCCCTCAACACAGTGCTCTGGGGCCAGTCATTACCAACTGTCACACTGTGTGTACCTGGCTGGAGATGAGGGTGGAGATCACATCAAGAGAAGCCTAGAATTTGAAAGTAAGAAGTTGAAATATGATTCTCTGGGTAATAGGGAGCCATCAGATGTGAAGGGAAGTGATGAAACTAAGATTAAGGCTTAGGAAGGTCACTGCCAGTGGAGGGGAGGAACTTGGGCAGGGAAACTAGTGAGACCCGTGCTGACGTCCAGGCCATGAACCTGAACCTGAACCAGGAGCAGAGAAGTAGGTCTGGTGACCGAGGAGATGTTGTGGGGCAGGAAAGAGGAGAGGGCAGTTAGGATGATGCCCTGACTTCCGGATGTCTAGCCCTGTGTCTGGGAAGATGCTGTGGGCAAGGCTGGTGTAAAGGCACCATGGGAGGTCCTGATAGGAATCTTCTGTTCCAGAGGTCACCAGTGAGAGCCACCCTGAGACTCTGTCCCCCAGGGGGAGAGAGGCCAAATCGGTCTGGTTGAGCTTTACCTTGAGAGACACCAGAATTTGCACATATACACCTTTTCAGACATAAAAATGTCTTCTCTACCCCTCAGAACTCTGCAGAGGAGGGGAGACTTGATCTGCTGATCAAGTCTGGGGGTGACTGTAAGAAGCGGGGGGACTCACGTGTCATTCCCTGGCCAGACATCTGCTCAGCCCCAGGGCCATCAGATGGGGTTGTGGAGAGCAGTGCCAGGGAAAGGCCCCTGGGCTTCCGGTTCCTGGGAGACACGGGGGTCTGGGAGCAGAGGCTATGGAAGGTAAGACTCGGGGGCTGCAGATTCTTGAACCCATGCTTGGACCCTCTCAGCACGGGTCCAAGAATCTCAACATAAGGGAGGGGTGTGGCACAGGGGCCGGCCAAAGATTAACTGGAAGGTGTCACTTCTCTGGGGAGAAACCACCAGTGCCTGAGGAAGGGGCCTGGAATTGAGTCCCTGATCAGTGGGGCCTATAGGGGCCTTCACCTACAACCGCCAGGTGTCAGGCTTTGAGCTCAGCCCACCACAGCCATGGGTTACAGGAGGGGCACCACACAATCTTCTAGCCAAGGGTCAGTCCAGAGACAGCTGTGTCCTTCTTTCTTCTCCTCAAGCCCCAACCCTAGGGGTGAGCCCAGAGAAGGGGTGTGAGTGTGTGTGCGTGTGACCTCTGAACTCCCCAAAACACACACACACTCACACTTCAAGCCCTTAGAGCTCCCAGCCCAGCTTGCCTTGCAGAGGAAGAACTAAATTTTGAAACAGATCTGAGCCTGAAGGTTTTTCGTTGTTGTTTGTTTTGTTTTGTTTATTTGTTTTTGAGGCAGAGTTTCGCTCTTGTTGCCCAGGCTGGAGTGCAATGGCATGATCTCGGCTCATTGCAACCTCTGCCTCCTGGGTCTGCGATTCTCCTGCCTCAGCCTCCCGAGTAGCTGGGATTACAGGAGCCCGCCACCACGCCCAGCTAATTTTTGTATTTTTAGTAGAGACGGGGTTTCACCATGTTGACCAAGCTGGTCTCAAACTCCTGACCTCAGGTGATTTGCCCGCCTCGGCCTCCCAAAGTGCTGAGATTGCAGGTGTGAGCCACCATGCCCGGCCTGAGCCTGAAGTTTTAAAATTACCAGGTCTTAACTAGAATAAGACTGTTCTTATAGCCAAAACCATCTGAAAGAAATGGAACCCAGGTGTGGTCAAAGACACATAACTCCCAGCCAGGCAGAGGGCTTCATGGAGTCCTGTTGGTGGCAGTTACTAGAAAAATAAAATTGTGTCATAATTGGAAACCTAAGAGCTGAAGGTCCTCAGCTGTTTACAAAGTAAATACAAAAGCAAGAGTGGATTTGAAGGGGGAAAGATTGTTGGAGATAAGGGTGGAATGAGGTTTTATTGAGAGGTTTTAGACAGAGGGACCCAGGAAGTTCTGACACCATCTTTCCCTTCACTCTTCTCTGCGCAGTCCCCAAGGAGCCATCTCTGCAGGGAACAGAGAATTGAAGGAAACAGGTCCCTGTGCTGTCAGTTGGGTTTCTGTCCTCTGTCCCATGCCCTTCCTAGGTTGACTTAAAGCTCAGGATGGCCTCTCCCTCCAAGGCCAAACCAAATCTCAGGATCCCCTCACCTTGCGTTTTCCCGGGGAGCGGGGGCCATGGCTTCCACAGCACGGTGCGAAGGCAGCCGAGAGGGAGAGCCCAGATTGGATGGAAAGGAAGAAGAGCACCAGCATGAGGCAGAGAGGCGCGAGGCCAAGGGTGGGGTCGGATTCCTGGGAAGCTGGCTCCGCCAGGGGGCTTGAGGTCTGGCGCATAGCTCTCCCCTTTGCGGGTGAGGGTTGGGGGACGAAGAAAAGAGCACTTGTCACCTTTTGCTCCCTATCCCCAGGGAGGCAGAAGAATTCAATTTGGGACCCCCTGAATGTGAGGGTCTGTGGCACAGCATGGGGTGAAGGATGCCAGATCAGGGGCTCCCAGGAGAGAACTCAGGGAAGAAGCTGGAACTCTGGTAGTTGTCAGGATGCAGGTGACACTGCAAACCTCGGAGGGAGAGCATAGAGGGAGAGAAGCGGCAGCAAGAAGAACAAACGGAGCCTGGGAGAAGCCGACACCGAGGGAAGGGAGCAAAGCTAGGAACTCACCTAAGAGCTCTGCAGCTGGGAGATCTGACTCCTGGCTGTCTTCCTGGCCAGACCTCCCCTCTGGCAGCAGACAAGATGCATCTCTCACCAAGCCTGCTGCTCTGGGAAACCTAATGGCTTTTGAGTCTGCCCAGGTGGGCAGCGGGACAAGTTTACCTCCCTGCTTCCTGCCATCTCCCTCTCGCCGGCTCTGGCTGCTGCTTCGGCTGCTTCTGAGGCAGCCCCTCCAGGCCCAGGCTGCCCTCCCATTCCAGGCCCAGTGCTCCAGACTTTCTCCTCATCAGAGTTTACCAGCCTGGTCTCATTCCCTCCTCCCTGTCCCTTGCCAAGTTCTGCCTGGCTCCCTGCCCCTCTCTTCCCTTCTCCTTAGAACAGGAGCCAATTGAGGCCTGCCTTCAGAGTCAGCTCCACGCCAAGCCCTGGGACCCTTCCATTAATGGCAGCAAAGTCAGCCCAGGATCTGGGAGCCAGCATCAAGGACCCTCCCCTTAGAAGTTCATTTGACTGTCCTTATGCCCCAGTACCAAAAAGAAGGTTTTTGCCTCCAGAAACTGAGACCCAAGGACTCCAAGCCGCTCTCTGGCCTTTTTCTTGCATATATCATCAGCCCACCCCATGCCAAACATACCCCAGAGTCTTCATCCTCCAACTCCAGCCCAAGGGGAGGCATGGGGGCGTAGAGAGGTAGCTGATG
This sequence comes from Homo sapiens, assembly GCF_000001405.40. Taxonomy (NCBI): domain Eukaryota; kingdom Metazoa; phylum Chordata; class Mammalia; order Primates; family Hominidae; genus Homo; species Homo sapiens. Next base: position 123,318,667 of record NC_000009.12, on the reverse strand, counting down.
TTCCCAGGGTTTGGGGCATCAGTTTACCACCTTTGTGTAATCCATTTGTCAGCTGGGGCCTCCCTTCCTCTTGACTATTTCAAAAATATCAGTTCAAATGCATATTTCACACCCTATGGAAGTGTAACACTGTCCCCAATATTTCGGAGAGTTCTGGAATGGCTTGCCTTTTCATACTCCCCTCTGCATCAGAGCTGCAGCTTCTGCTAAATTCGTTTAGTGTCTGGCTTGGGCCGCTGACCCAGGCCTGCTGTTTCATTTTGACACAGCTCTGACTGAGACGTGGAACTCAGCCAGCACCTTCCTCTGTTTCACCAGAAACCCATCTCAGAAGGTATTTGTGTACAAAGCAGGCAGAGGGAGATTTAGGGAGGTCAGAAGGATGGTTTTAAGAAGCGCTGCAATTCATATACCTTCCAACGAACACTGGACAATCCTGTTCTTAAAAGTTCTTTTGTGGCCGGGCGCGGTGGCTCACGCCTATAATCCCAACACTTTGGGAGGCCAAGGTGGGCAGATCACCTGAGGTCAGGAGTTCGAGACCAGCCAGGCCAACATGGCGAAACCCCATCTCCACTAAAAATACAAAAATTAGCTGGGTGTGGTGGCAGGTGCCTGTAATCCCAGCTACTCAGGAGGTGGAGGCAGGAGGTTGCAGTGATCTGAGATCAAGCCACTGCACTCCAGCCTGGGCAACAGAGCGAGACTCCATCTCAGAAAGAATAAAAATAAAAAATAAATAAAAGTTCTTTTGTTAACTCCCCCTTCAGGAAGTTTTCCCTGGCACCTTTACCTCCCATGGCACCACAACTCCCAGCCTCCTCAGGCTTTTTCCTTCATCCTTTGTGCATCTCTCTCCCTTGAGAGGCAAGACAGTGCCGTGGTTAAATGCAAGCGTTCTGCTCCCACATGGCCCGACTGTGAACCTGGCTCTGCTTTTTTTTTTTGAGACAGAGTCTCACTGTCGCCCAGGCTGGAGTGCGGTGACGCAATCTCCGCTCACTGCAACCCCCGCTCCTCCTAGGTTCAAGTGATTCTCCTGCCTCAGCCTCCTGAGTAGCTGGCATTACAGTCACCCGCCACCACGCCCGGCTAATTTTTTGTATTTTTAGTAGAGACGGGGTTTCACTATGTTGGCCAGGCTGGTCTTGAACTCCTGACCTCGTGATCCGCCCATCTCAGCCTCCCAAAGTGTTGAGATTACAGGCACGAGCCATCGCGCCCGGCCTGGCTCTGCATTTTATCAGCTGTGTGATCATAGCAGAGTTACCTAACCTCTCTGAACCTTAATCACATCTGCAAGTGAGGATAATAAAAGTTGAAGATAGTAGGTTGGTGGTGAGGATTTCATCAAACAGTTATGGGAAACACTTAGCACAGCGCCAGCTCCACCATGTTAGCTGTTGCTGCTGTTGTTCACCCCTTCAAATTCTTCCCATACCCTTTCCCAAATCCTGCCCGTCTTTGCCTATTCGAACCCATGAAGAGGCAGGGTGTGGTGGCTCACACTTGTAATCCCAGCACTTTGCGAGGCCAAGGCAAGAGGATCATTTAAGGCCAGAAGTTCAAGACCAGCCTAGGCAACATTGCGAGACCTGCCTCTCTCTGTCTCTCTCAAATTATATATGTAATATATAATTATATATAATATATGATATGTATATTATATTTATATTATAATATATTATATATAATATTTATATTATAATTATATTATATATAATGTTTATATTTTATAGTTTATATAATATTTATATAATTATAATATATAATTATATATTAATAATTATTAATATGATAAAATTATATTAAATATGTTATATATTATCTATATTATATTATATTAATATGTTATCTATATAAAACATATTTAATATAATTTTATAATATATAAATATATATATTATTTTAAAATACAAGCCCATGAAGAGCTCAGAAACAGGAGGTTTCAATGCACAAGACTGGCCCTCCTTGTTGAGGTTGTAAATGGGCTCTGTCACTGTCACATGTAAATGGGCTTGAGAGGGACTTCACATTCGTGGACACTAAAAACATGTCATGCCCTTCCTTCCTCTTTCTCTGCACCTTCCAACCCCCATCCCCACAGCGTTGAAAGCAAACAGCCATGACCAACAGCAGGGGAGTCGGCCTGGACTTTGCCAAACTATTAGGAAAGAGGTGTTGTCTTTCAGGGGTTTTTATGTAAGCCTGGAGTTACTGGGGGCCATCTTTTCTACCTCATGGGAAAAACCTAACAAATAATGAAGCCAACGCAAAGAAAAAGAAAAAGAAGTGCCTTTTGTTTTGTTTTGTTTTGTTTTTTTTGAGATGGGGTCTCATTCTGTCACTCACACTGGAGTGCAGTGGCAAGATCATAGCTCTTTGCAGCCTCGAACTCCTGGGCTCAAGTGACCCTCCTGCCTCAGCCTCCCAAGTACCTGGAACTACAGTCATGAGTCACCACCGCATTCAGCTAAAAGACAGTATCTTGGTGATATCATTTGAAGCCCTAGATCCAGCCATACCTGAATTCATACCTTGAGTTTTCCAATTATATGAACCAATACATTCCCGTTTTCTTGTTTAAACTAATTTAATCTGAGTTCCTGTAGTGTAAAAATTGAATGAATCTTGACTAATAGAGAATTTCAACTAAAAATGGAGGTCATTAGAAAGCAAAGGGGAAAGTCACATGGACTCCTGCTATAGAAAGAATAACCAGAAATCACAGGAATGAGAAGGTTGCTTCTGCCTCCATTTCTCTCTCTCTCTCTCTCTCTCTCTCTCGTTCTTCCTCCACACAATATCCCATTTCTGCTTTTCTCTGCATATCTGGTCCTTTTACTCTGCAGACCAGGGTTTCTGCTGACCCATTGGCTCATCTGGAAAAGGTCACAGGGCTGACTGTCTTTGGCCCAGACTGGGTCACACGACCCCCTTGACCTATTGCAATCCATGTACTTACCTCTGTATCTGAGGATTGGGGTCAGGCCCACCTAAGCCAAACAGACTAAGATAGGGTGAAGAATCCTTTAAAAAAAGAAATCACAGGGCCCGTTTTCAGAATAATGGGAAAAGAATCCAAATAGGCAAAAGCAACAGGTGATCACTCCCAGGAGTTCAGTGAATTTCTGTTTTATGACTAACCAAGCCCTGACTAAGCACAGGCCCAGCACCTGGAACCAGGGGAGTGGCTCCGGTGGCAACAGGTCCTGGGAGCTGGTTTTGCTTAGGCTTTCTTTAATATCATCGTCAATCGGCCGGGCGCGGTGGTTCACGCCTGTAATCCCAGCACTTTGGGAGGCCGAGGCAGGTGGATCACGACGAGGTCAACAGATCGAGACCAATATGGTGAAACCCCATCTCTACTAAAAATACAAAAAATAGCCAGGTGTGGTGGTGCACGCCTGTAGACCCAGCTACTCGGGAGGCTGAGGCAGGAGAGTCGCTTGAACCAGGAGGCGGAGGTCGCAGTGAGCCAAGATTGTGCCACTGCACTCCAGGAGGCGGAGGTTGCGGTGAGCCGAGATTGTGCCACTGCAATCCAGGAGACGGAGGTTGCAGTGAGCTGAGATTGTGCCACTGCACTCCAGCCTGGCGACAGAGCGAGACTCTGTCTCAAAAATAAATAAATACATAAAATAAAAATTAAAAATAATCTTCACCAATCACACCACATTGCCAGAGGGAAACCGGTTTTGACTTTGACCATAACATGCAACCCTTCTGTGGCATCATTTGAGTTGTAAATGCCACATTACATGAATTTTTTTGTGGGGAATTCCATTACACGGAATACTGTCTCCTACACAGTAGAGCTCCACAGTAGAGAAAACCCAAGGCGCTAGGAGAGATCTAGTGGCAGCGTGTTACTGCGACAGGCTCCAAGCCCTCTGATGTACGCCAGCTTCCTTGGTGTAAAGGACCTCATCAGGGGTATCTGCTTGGCCCTGAATGACTCCCTCAACCATTGCCCACTCCCTGTCTCAGAGGTGGGCTCCTGGCAGCTATGTTTGTACAACATGGCCCTTGGTTGTAGCTGATTACCCAGTGTGGACCTCTGACTCAAGCTCAATCAGCCATTGTCATGTATTTGGAATTTAAGACTTCGATAGAGGAAGAGTCCTTCTCTCCATGGGGCTGGAGTATGTGGACTAGGGGTTGTGGGCAGCCATGACCCTCTTGCCCATCCCCTGGGCAGGGCTGAGAAGAAGAGCAAGCTGGTCCCAGCCCTTTGGAAGGTTGTGGGTCCTTGGTGGAAGTAGCTCTGAAATGAAAGCACCTGGGAATCTTTGGGGCCTGAAGATCTGTGTACTTTGGGATGGGGGGAGCCCTGAGCCACCAGAGGAGCAACAGTGAGATGGGGAGGCAGGTTCAGAGGATTCTAGATGAAGCAGCTTTAATGCAGGGTGGCAGAGGGAGGCTGGTGTCCCAGCAACTTTCCTGGCAAGAGTTTGGGAATCAAAGACCATGGCCATTGGTAACCACTGCCCTTGGTCCACAAGTTCCAGGGAAGCAAAACTTTCATTAGTAGCCACAATAATGGCTACGTTAATTATCAATAATTATCAACAATTAATATTATTTTGTACCAATACAGCATGTTATACCTTCCAAAGCATATCCACCTCCACAATCTCATTTGCTCCTTTGCCATCTATATTGGGAAAAGATGTATTTTTTTTAATTTTTAAATTTTGTTTAGAGACAGAGTCTCGCTCTGTCACCCAGGCTGGAATGCAGTGGTGCGATCACAGTTCACTGCAGCCTCAACCTCTCAGGCTCAAGTGATCTTCCTGCCTAAGCCTCCCAAGTAGCTGGGACCACAGACACACACCACCACACCTAGCTAATTTTGTATTTTTTGTGGAGATGGGGGTCTCCCTATGTTGCCCAGGCTGGGCTCGAACTTCTGGGCTCAAGCTATCCTCCCACCTTGGCCTCCTGAAGTACTGGGATTGCAGGCATGAGCCGCAGCAGCTGGCTGTGAGAAAGACGTATTATGTTCTAAGAGTTGCCATGGGGGCCAGGTGCGGTGGCTCAGGTCTGTAATCCCAGCACTTTGGGAGGCTGAGGCGGGCGGATCACCTGAGGTTGGGAGTTCGAGACCAGCCTGACGAACATGGAGAAACCCTGTCTTTACTAAAAATACAAAATTAGCCGGGCATGGTGACACCTGCCTGTAATTCCAGCTACTCGGGAGGCTGAGGCAGGAGAATTGCTTGAACCCGGGAGGCAGAGGTTGCAGTGAGACGAGATCATGCCATTGCACTCCAGCCTGGGCAACAAGAGCAAAACTCCGTCTCAAAAAAAAAAAGGAATTGCCATGCCCAAAGCCCCTTCTAGAAAAAAGCTACCCATGTACCCACCCCTTGCACACTGGATTAAGGTAGGGGCTTGTTGCAAAGGCAGCCACCCCACGAACAGGGTAGTGACTTCTGGGGCAGCACTGCAGGTGTACGGGTGACCAGCTGAGCCCACACAGCCTCTGTGGCAGAGTTTGAGAGTGAGCCTCTGGAGAGAGGCAGGACTCTGGTTTCCCAAAGGCAGAAGCCAAATGACACATACAGAAGGTAGCAAGAGGAAGCTAAGAATAAATGAGAAGTAGAAGCAGAAGTCAGGAGGTGGGATGAAGGTAGGAGAGAGACATTAGTGGACAGGGGAAGGACCCATGGCCCCATCTGGGCCATGGAGGTGGAGGAGCTGATGGAGGGGCCTTAGAGCAGAGAATGCCTCTGGCAGGTGGCACCCCAAAGCCTGGAGGACACTAGAACGGCACTGGCCCCTGAAGGATGTTCCTGGTCCTGAACACCATTCTGAGCTCCAGAGAGAGTAGCCAGGTGGCTTAGCTTCCTGTCCTCTGATGATCTTGGCCATCCTCAACAGCAGCCACCAGAGTGGTCTCTATTCCTTAATGCAGCCACACATACCCCATACAATGACTCAGCAGAGCGAGGCCACTCCTGGCCAGTGTCAGCACAACTCAGCAAGGTGCTTCCTCTCGTCTGTCCCTGGACCCACTCTTCCCCAGAGGGGGCACTGTCAGGGGCTGACTGCAGGAAGGACCCTTCTGCAATGCAATGGCATCAGTCGAGGCGTCATCTGCCTTCAGCCTGGACAGTTCAGGGATATGTCCCAGGAGAGATGAGCAACACCTTGATTAGTAGCTGAGCAAATTAAATCAAAGCATGGTGAAAAAATCCTCCCTCCCTCTCCCCTCCCTCCCTCCCTCCCTCCCTCCCTCCCTTCCTTCCTTCCTTCCTTCCTTCCTTCCTTCCTTCCTTCCTTCTCACCCAAGGGAGTATGCTGAAATCAGGGGAGAGTAGCCCTGAGAGGTGAGAGCTCCTGGAAAAATGTCAAATGCCCTAAGCCAGAGATGGGGGTCAAAAAGTGTTTTCATCTGGAACCTCCTGATGTCAGGTAGCCAAGAATGGGGAGCCCAGGCCCCTTTCAGCATGCAACCTCAAGGTCCCACAGGCCAGGGGACACCCTGAAGACTTTTAGCAGGGAAATGACAAGCCTGGTTTCAGGAAAATGGATTGGAAAGAGGTCAAAGGAGCCAGGGGGGTGAATTAGGAAATTGGAACCAACATCTGGAAGTGAGGTGAGTAAGAAGAAACAGGTTTCTGTCCTAGAACTTTTAGTTCCTGCCTGGGAGATAAACAATAAGCAAGTCAACAATACACTTATACAATGTGTCCAGGGAACAATAAACCTGTACAAAATACTACTGTAAGAAAGAAAAAATAAAGCAGAGCCGGGGGCTAGAGAACAGTGGGGACAGAGTGACTGGTGCAGAGACTGTCAAAAATAAAGATATGTTCAACGAATGGCTGAGTCTCGCACTTTGATAAACACTGCTTTTCTCTTTACATCCTGAATTATGTTGTCTCGGTTTAGGTTTTAACTCTAGAGGCTTCTCTTGTTCCCTGGGACTAAGGTATTTTCTACTTTTTCCTTTTTTAAGAATCAGCAGCTTGAAAGATAGCATGTTCCCATATTCTTCAGGAATGTCACATTTGATATGGCCACTGGATGCGCTTGACTTCTTTATTTATGATTTCTGGCACATTTCCTTTGAGGACGCTCAGAATAGCTTCTGATCCGGCTCACTCACAGAAACAGTGAAATCAAATCTTCCTGTACTAACCCTGAGAGTAAGCAACTTTCCTGATGTAAGCTGCCCCCGCTCTCCGGGAGTAAATAACTGGGTGGTCACAGCCTTCCATGAGCAGGGCCATGTCCTGATTTCCAGTGCGGCTCTCTCCACAGCAACATCTTTGACTTGCATACTATTTTTCTGGTAAAGTGCGTTCACTTCCAGAAATCTCATCACAATCAATATGAGTGGTGTGCATGCTCCTAAGGCCAAATTTGGGCCATTCGCTCTTCACTAACCTCTTTATAATCCGTTAAATGTTTCTGGTCTATCCCTTGGTAATATTCAAATCAATGTTCTGACTTATTTATTCTTTGGAAGCCTCATTTATCTCTCTCAGCATCGTGCCACTTCTGTTTGCCTCTCTTGAACTTTTGCACTCTGGACAAAGCAAAGGGCTCAAAGGAGCGTTTGTTGACTGGTGCTGGTGTGTGTATGTGTGAATGAATTTACATGCATGTGAGTGCGTGTGTGTGTGTGTGTGTGTGTGTGTGTGATATAGTTGAAAGAGCTCTGAGTTGGAAATCAAACACATTTAGGTTAAAGGGACAGTCCGTTTGAGTTCTAGCTGGTAACTTTGAGTAAGTGACCTCTTGGGGCCTCAGTTTCCACACCCATAAAGCAAAAATATAGGTATATATCCAAGAGACATGTAAACATATGTGTACATACAGCAAAAACTTGTACATGGGCCAAGTGCAGTGGCTCTCACCTATAATCCCAGCACTTCAGGGGACTGAGGCTGAGGCAGGGGGATCACTTGAGCACAGGAGTTTGAGACCAGCCTGGGCAACATAGCAAGACCCTGTCTCTAATAATAATTTAATAAAACTTGTACATGAATATTCATGGCAGTTTTTTTTTTTTTTTTTAGGAGTGGGGTCTCTCTCTGTCACCCAGGCTGGAGTGCAGTGATGTAATAATAGCTCACTGTAGCCTTGAACTCCTGGGCTTAAGTGATCCTCCTGCCTCGGCCTCCCAAAGTGTTGGGATTACAGGCATGAGCCACCATGCGCAACCGGCTTTTAAAATTATAAACCAAAGCTGGAAACCAATTAAATGTTCATTGACTGATGAATGGATAAATAAAAGGTGTTGCATCCATACTGTGGAATGTTATTAATTCATAAAAAGGGATGAAGTACTAATATAGGCTACAACATTATGCTAAGTGAAAAAAGCCTTGTAAATATTATGCTAGCTGGGCACGGTGTTCGCGCCTGTAATCCCAGTGCTTTGGGAGGCTGAGGTGGGTGGATCGCCTGAGGTCATGAGTTCGAGACCAGCCTGGCCAACATGGCAAAACCCCATCTCTACTAAAAATACAAGGATTTGCCAGGCATGCTGGTGCACGCCTGTAGTCCCAGCTACTCAGGAGGCTGAGGCAGGAGAATCGCTTGAACCCAGGAGGTGGAGGTTGCAGTAAGCAGAGATCGCGCCACTGCACTCCAGTCTGGGCCATGGAGCAAGACTCCATCTCAAAAAAAAAAAAAAAAAAAAGAAAGAAAAGAAAAGTAAAGAAAAAAAAAACATTATGCTAAGTGAAAAAAGCCAGACACAAAAGACCATTATGTGTTAGTTTCCCAGGGCTGCCATAACAAAGTAGCACAAACTGGCTGGCTTAAGCAACAGAAATTTATTGTGTCACAGTCCTGGAGGCTGGAAGTCTAAGATCAAGGTATCCAGAGTTGCTTCCCCCTGAGGACTGTGAAGGAGACATGTTCTGTGACTCATGCCTAGTTTCTGGTGTTTGCTGGCAATCTTTGGTGTTCCTTGGTGTAGAGAAACATCACCTCAATCTCTGCTTTCATCTTCACGTGATGTTCTCCCTGTGTGTATCTTCATATCTAAATTTCCCCTTTTTATAAGGACACCAGACATACTGGATTAAGGCCCATTCTAATGACCCTTTCTTAAACTAATTGCATCTGCAATGACCCTGTTTTCAAATAAGGCCACATTCCGAGATACTGGTGTTAAGACTTCAATTTATGAATTTGGTAGGGGTGGGGGAGACACGATTCAACCCATAATACCACATGTTGTAAGATTCCATTTATGTAAAATGTCTAGAATAGGTAAATCCAGAGAGACAGAAAGAAGATTAGTGCTTGCCAGTGGCTGGGAAAAAAAGGAAATTGGGAATGACTGCTAATGGATACAGAGTTCATTTTTTAAAAATGTTCCGAAATTAGAACAACTATGTGAATACAGTCTGGCAAGTAAACAATACACTCATAAAATATGTTCAGGGAGGCTGGGCGTGGGGCTCACGTCTGTAATCTCAGCACTTTGGGAGGCTGAGGTGGGAGGATCACTTGAGCCCAGGAGTTTGAGACCAGCCTGGGCAACAAAGTGATACCCTGTCTCTATTTAAAGCATTTAAATATTAGCTGAGTGTGATGGTGCACGCCTGTAGTCCCAGCTACTCAGGAGGCTGAGGTAGGAGGAACACTTGACCCTGGGAGGTTGACGCTGCAGTAAGTCATGACTGCGCCACTGCACTCCAGCCTGGGTGAAAGAGGGAGATCCTGCCTCAAAAAAAAAAAAAAAAAAACCTCAGGGAGCAATAAGAGTGTAAGCAAACACAAAACAGGGCAAGTGGCTTTATTTTCTGTGGTTTCAGTTACCCATAGTCAACTGTGGCCCAAAAATATTAAATAGAAAATTCCAGGCCAGGCGTGGTGGCTCACACCTGTAATCCCAGCACTTTGGGAGGCTGAGGTGGGCAGATCACCTGAGGTGAGGAGTTCGAGACCAGCCTGGCCAACATGGTGAAAGCCCATCTCTACTAATAATACAAAAATTAGCCAGGCATGGTGGCGGGCGCCTGTAGTCCCAGCTATTCGGGAGACTGAGGCAGGAGAATCCCTTGAACCCAGGAGGTGGAGGTTGCAGTGAGCCAAGATCGCGCCACTGCCCTCCAGCCTGGGTGACAGAGAGAGACTCCATCTGAAAAAAAAAAAAGTTCCAGAAAGAAACAATTCATAAGTTTTACATTGTATTCCGTTCTGAGTGGTGTGATGAAATCCTGTGTCGTCTCGGCCCATCCCACTTGGCATGCAAATCATTCCTTTGTCCAGCATCTCCATGCTGTATGAACACCCACCTGTAAGTCACTTAATAGCCGCCTTGGTTATCAGTGCCAGTATTGATACTGTAGTGCTTGTGTTTAAGTAACCCCTTATTTTACTTAATAATGCCCGCAGAATGCAAGAGTAGTGATGCTGGCTTATTGTTAAAATTGTTCTATTTTATTATTAGTTACTGTTGTTAACCTCTTGCCATTCCTCATTTATAAATTAAACTTTTTCTAGGTATGTACAAAGAGGAAAAAACAGAACAAGCAAGTCTACTGGTATCTATAGTTTCAGTCATCCACTGAGGGTCTTGGAACATATTCTCTACAGATAAGGGGGACTACGATACTAAAATTCAATGAATTACACCCTGTTTTTGTTTTTGTTTCTGTTTTGAGATAGAGTCTTGCTCTGTTGCCCAAACTAGTGTGCAGTGGCCCAATCTCGACTCACTGCAATTTCCGCCTCTTGGACTCAAGCCATTCTCCTGCCTCAGCCTCCAGAGTAGCTGGGATTACAGGCACCCACTGCCACGCCCGACTAATTTTTGTATTTTTAGTAGAGACGGGGTTTCACCATGTTGGCCAGGCTGGTCTCAAACTCCTAACCTCAAGTGATCCTCCTGCCTTGGCCTCCCAAAGTACTGGGATTACAGGTGGGAGCCACTGCGCCCGGCAAATTACACACTTTAAATGGTTGAACTGTATGGTCTGTGAATTACATCTCATTGAAGCTGCTTTTTTTTTTTAAGGGTGCAATGTTTACTATTCTTTTGCCATAATAAGGTCATGCAGATCACATGATACCAGGGAAATGAATGTGTTTGGACAACTCTGCAAAGACAAAAACAATTGTAGCTTTTGGTTTTTAATTTTTCAATACTTTTGGTATTTCCTATGTGCCTTCCACCCTAACTGCATGGAGGATTCTCTATTCATTCCAAATCTTCCTAATGTAATAAGCAAAATTCCACCTCTCCTTAAAAGCTAACTTCAACAGTCCCTGCAAGCTTAGTCTCATATTACTTACAAAAACATCTTTCCTAAACCTGCCCTGTGATTCTTGCAAAATTTTTATCCGTTCTGAACGGATGTCTCTTTTACCATTGAATTATCTCACTGCAATCTTCAGAAAGCACCTTCAAGCTTTTGCATTTTAAGAGACAAGCTTTTTCCCCCCCGGCATCTGTGCTTTTGCCCTTGTTGGATCACAGCTAGTTTTTCCCCAGAGGCCAAATCAAATTTCATAAAACAGTCGGGATCTAGATAGAGGCTAACAAAATCCTTGCTCACCCTCTGAGGCACTGCCGTGCACCTCTGTCCATCCCTGGGCCTCAGAGGAAGCAGACAGAGGACCCCTAGCTCCTGAGGTGTAACCCTTAGTGACCACTGTGTTTGTGGCTAGTCCACTCAGTTGCCTGTGGCCACAGAAGAAATGAGTACCCGCCTCTTACTTGTGACCTTGGCTGGGTGTCTCATGCCTGCTCTTGGGTGAACTGTGAGTTGCAGGTCTCTCAGGGAGTCTGTCTCCTGTTCTGCAGGGTGAGGGATCTCTAGGTATAAACTCCATCAAGGTGAGTAGATTGTAGGTAAACTGTGCAGTTGCCAAACCCAGCTGGAAAAATCCTAATTTATGAATCCTTCCAATGCCCTCTTCTCCCATCTGCCTGTTAGACCCTATGCTCTGGGGCCTGTTCAAACTGGGTCCCCATCCTAGCCCTCTAATCGCTTGCTGTGTCTTTGGCTGAGTTGCTGAACCTCTCTGGGCCTCAGGTTCTCCAACTGTGAAAAGGAGATAATGATCCTTTTCTCATAAGGTGTGATAAGGATGGAATTAATTTTTTTTTTTTTTGAGACAGAGTCTCACTCACTCTGTTGCCCAGGCTGGAGTGCAGTGGCATCATCTTAGCTCACTGCAACCTCCACCTCCCAGGTTCAAGAGATTCTCCTGCCTCAGCCACCCAAGTAGCTGGGATTGCAGGCGTGCACCACCATGCCCAGCTAGTTTTTGTATTTGTAGTAGAGACAGGGTTTCACTATTTTGGCCAGATTGGTCTTCAACTCCTGGCCTCTAGTGATCCACCCACGTTGGCCTCCCAAAGTGCTGGGATTAGGTGTGAGCCACCGCTCCTGGCAAGGATGGAATGAAATTTGTCTGGTATGCACTAATGTTGGCTCTCTCTCCCCATGATCCCAAATGTCCCTCCAGGAAAGCAAGATCTGACCCACAAGGTCCATCCTGGCTGGACTGAGAGCTACGAGGCAGTGGAAAGAATACTGCACTTGGGGTCAGACCAAGTGACCTAATTTGAAGTCCCAGCTCTGGCTCGTGATCTTGTGCAGACTCATCTAACCCACACCTTCCCATGCCACCCAGGCTGGGGTGAAGTGAGGAGCACATGGGATTATGGGTAAGAAACTGCTTAGAAATCTGGAAGGCAGCCAGGTGCAGTGGCTCACGCCTGTAATCCCAACATTTTGGGAGGCCGAGGCAGGTGGATCACCTGAGGTCAGGAGTTCAAGACCAGCCTGGCCAATGTGGTGAAACCCTGTCTCTACTAAAAATACAAAAATTAGCCAGGCATGGTGATGGGTGCCTGTAATCCCAGCTACTCAGGAGGCTGAGTCAGGAGCATCATTTGAACCTGGGAGGCAGAGTTTATTACAACAACAGAGTGAGTGAGACTCTGCCTCAAAAAAAAAAAATTCATTCTATCCTTATCACACCTTATAAGAAAAGGATAGTTATCTCCTTTTCTCGGTTGCAGTGAGCCGAGATCACACCATTGCACTCCAGCCTGGGCGACAGAGTGGAACTCCGTCTCAAAAAAGAAAGGAAAGGAAAAGAAGGGAAGGGGAAGGGGAAAGGGAAAGGAAAAGGAAGGAAAGGAAAGGAAGAAAGAAATCTGGAAGGGGCTGTGTGGCTGGGAGTGTCTACTGTCACGCCTGCCCTCCCAGTGACTGTGTGGCCCAACAACCCTCATCCAGCACTTCACCCCCGGCTGCTCCTACAGCACCCCCCACCCAGCTCCTCAAACTCACTGCTCACAGGTGGGCAGGCTCCAGGACCCTCCCTCTCTGCTGCCCCATTTATCTTCCTTTCTCTACATCCTCCCAGCAGACTCAGCAGATCCTTTCCTAGCCCAAAGCAGCTTTGAAGAGCCATCGTGAGCCAATGGGCGGAGCTAATAGTCTCCTATCCTCGACTTGCAGGGGGTGAGTACAGCTCTCCCAAGGGACTGGGAGGGGCCTCTCCATCATTCCTCACTCAGCTTCTTGTTTTTTTGGTGGGGCGGGGGCCCTGGGGCAAGTTCCTTTTGCCCTCTGTGCTTCTGCTGCCTCATCTGTAGGTCAACAGTGACAGTAGCACCTACCTTGTAAGTGTCTGGGTAGATTAAACAAGCGTCACGTGTAAGGAAGTTAGCTCAGAGTCGGGCACATAGTTAGTTATTATTGTTGCTTATTCATTCAGCTGTTCTCATGCAGTCACTCACAGGACACCTTCTCTCTGCTGCTGCTAGGGGCACAATGAATCAGACAGAGACCTCACCCTTGCAGAGTTCGCAGTCCGGGAGGCAGGCAGACAAGACCACAGTTGCAAGGTGATAACAGCGGGTGGCTGTTGTGGGAGCCACTGCACAAAGTGATAAGAGAAGAAGGGTGAAGTGGGAGGATCGCTTGAGCCCAGGAAGTCAAGGCTGCAGTGAGCCAAGATCGTGCCACTGCACTCCAGCCTGACAACAGAATGAGACCCCGTCTCAAAAAAAATAATAATGATGATAAAATAAAATTTAAAAAGAGAGAGGAAGGGTGCTGGTGGGAGTCCATGGGAGAGAGGCCCTAACTCTTCTGGGGTGGTCAGGCGAAGCCTCCCAGAGGGAGAACGTTTAGCTGGGCCTCGAAGGAGGTGTAGGAGCTCACTGCTAGTGGAGAAGAGACCTGGAAGAGGGCAGTTCAGGGATGGAATAGCACAGCAAAGGCACAGAGGCTGGGAGAGTGGGGGCCTGTCTGATCCCCTCCCACTCATCTGGAGCCTGCCTATGGGGTCCTGCTGCAAGCATCTGTGACTCTCACACCACAGGTGTCCTTCAGCCTGAGCCAGGAGCAGGCCACAGGTGTAAACACCCCAGGAACTGCCCTGAGCCAGGTGAGTGGGAGACGGGAGGTAAATACTTCAGCATCCTTTACTTTCCAGGTGGGACAACTAGAAGTTGTGCTTTCTCCCATTTCCTAGAGGACCTCAGCAGGATGGAGCCGGAGGTGCTCAGAAAGGTGGCTACCCTCAAACGTACTCTGTGTTAGCGTCCACCTCCCAGATATGCCGTTTAGACCCCACCCTTTCCCCAGGGTCTGTTTCCTGGCAAACCTGTGAACCCGGCCTAACACGTCAAGCTCTATAAGCGTGAACTAGGCAGGTCAGTTGCCCAGAATCCTTCTGTGTTCCATCCTTCTGGCTACTGGATTCGTTTTTCTGGTAGTTACTGAGCATGCGTCCATGGCCAGCCCCAGATTAGACATTGAGGGAGATTCAAAGAAGTGGAGAAAATAGTCCCACAAGGGGCTATTGGAGGAGATGAGACATATCTGGGAAAAAGAGAAAATACGGAAAAAGCAAGAAAGGCGGAGTTCACTTGGGGAAGAATAAGAAGGTTGGTGCATGAGATCCTAGGGGATTGCCACAGAGAGAAGTGGGGAAGGGAAGCTGAAAGGACAAAGGGAGGGTCTCGCTCTGTCACCCTGGCTGGAGTGCAATGGCATGATCTCGGCCCACTGCAACCTCTGCCTCCCGGGTTCAAGTGATTCTCGTGCCTCAGCCTCCTGAGTAGCTGGGATTATAGGTGTGCGCCACCACGCCAGGCTAATTTTTGTATTTTTAGTAGAGATGGGGTTTCACCATATTGGCCAGGCTGGTCTCAAACTCCTGGACTCAAGTAATTCTCCTGCCTTGGCCTCCCAAAGTGCTGGGATTACAGGCATGAGCCACCGCACCTGGCCTGCGACTTCATTTGGACCCTGAGGCCTGGAGTGCCTCGTCTGAATGCTTCTCAGTGGGGAGCCGTGGAAGGGTTTTGGGACAGGAACAATCTGTGTGTTGAAAGGACACTTTGGGTTCAAATGGAGGATGACAGGACAGGGAGAGGCCCAAGTCAGGGAGGCCCAGGAGCAGACTGTTGGAGGAGTCTTGGCCAGGCCAGCTGTGACTCCAGCTCAGCCAGCCCAGGTTCCTCCAAGACCTCCCCCTCAGACTCTGGAGGGCCATCTTCTCATAAGTGCTCGGGACGCTTCCTGCCTTCCCACCCTTCCTTTCAGACCTGCTTCCTGCTTGGCCTCCAAGCCTATTCTTCCTCTTACCTTCTCCCATTATCTCTGACTTCAGAATGTTTGCTTTGGCTCCCACTGTCTCCCCTCTGCTCTCTCCTGCGGTTAGTGTTGGATACTCAGCAAAATCTCTCCTTCCTACAAGCCAGCGCAGACCCATCGGGGCAGGGATTGTCTTCTTTCTACTTTAAGTAAACGGAATTGGAGCAACCTTGGCCTTGGAAGACAGACTTTGTCTTCTAACGACTTTCCTTCAAAACCACAAATGCATTTTGTCTCGACTTGAGGTGGTTCTTGCCTCTCATCTCAGCAACCTCAGGGTGAGCGTGAAGCAGCCTCTGGCAGCCTGAAGATTTCACAGCGGATGCTGTGCTTTTGTGAAAAGTCGATTTCTCTGCAAACCAGCCGAGAGGGCAAAGATAGTGCAGTGCTCCTTCCATTCAACAGACGTCTATGAGCCAGGCCTTGAGCTGTGTTGTGGGGAGTCGCTGAATAAGGTGTCTGCTCTCCAGGCCCGCATGGGCTGATAGGGAAGATGAACAAGGAGACTGTCCACAGGAAAAGCTTGTACAAAGTACCCTGTGGTCTCAGTGGAGGTGCAATGCCGTCCACACTGACCTTGCATTTGCATGTGGCACCAGAGCTGTGCCACCTTGGGGAAGCTATTGAACCGCTCCCTGCCTCAGTTTCCTCACCTATGAAATAAGCATAATGAGGGTTCTTCTCTTCTAGGTTTGATGTGGGGATTACACAAGGCACATGGGAAGTGCTTAGCATGGAATCTGGAGAAGGAAATGCTCGCTATTCTCTCTTTTAAAAACATTCTCCCAGCACTTTGGAGGCGGAGGCGGGCAGATCGCTTGAGGTCAGGAGTTCAAGATCAGCCTGGCCAACATGGTGAAACCCTGTCTCTACTAAAATACAAAAATTAGCCGGGCGTGTTGGTGGGTGCCTGTAGTCCCAGCTACGCAGGAAACTAAGGCAGGAGAATCGCTTGAACCCGGGAGGCGGAAGTTGCAGTGAGCTGAGATCGCACCACTGCACGACAGCCCGGGTGACAGAGCAAGACTTTGTCTCAAAAACAAAAACAAACCATTCTCCTATCATTTAAATTCTTCCTTAAAGTGTACAATTCAGTGGTTTTTATTCTATTCATAAGGTTGTGCACCCATCATCACTATTTCCAGATCATTTTCAATACCCCAAAAGAAACCTTGTACCCATTAGCTGTCCCTTCCCCCAATTTCCCCTGCTCCTACTTTCTGTCTCTGTGGATTGGCCTATTCTGGCCAATCATAAAAATGGAATCATACAGTATGTGACCTTTCGTGCCTAGCTTCTGTTTTCAAGATTCTTCCATGTCATAACACTCATCAGTACTTCATTCTTTTTTATGGCTGAATAATATTCTATTATGTGGAAATACTGCATTTTGGTATCCGTTCATTGGTTGGTGGCTTTGGGTTATTTCCACTTTTTGACTACTGTGGATAACGCTGCTATGAACAGTCGTGTAAAAGTTTTTGTGTGAACATGTGTTTTCATTTCTGTTGGGTGTATACCTAGGAGTGCATCCGCTGGGCCATACAGGGATGCTATGTTTAACTTTTAGATGAACTGCCAGACTGTTTTCCAAAGTCACATACCTGCTTTTTTTTTTTTTTTTTTTTTTTTTTTTTTTTTTTTTTTTTGACAGGGTCTCACTCTGTTACCCAGGCTGGAGTGTGCAGTGGCACAATCACAGCTTACTGCAGCCTCAACTTCTTGGGTTCAAGCAATCCTCCAGCCTCAGTCTCCAGAGTGGCTGGGACTATAGGCGCACACCAACATGCCTGGCTAATTTTTGGTATTTTCTGTAGAGACAGGGTTTTGCCATGTTGTTCCAGCTGGTCTTGAACTTCTGAGTTCAAGAGATTCACCTGCCTTGGCCTCCCAAAGTGCTAGGATCGCAGCTACCGTGGCAGCTGACACCAGCTACTCTTGACTCTACTTCTCACAACACTTACCCACACACCAGTGCTCCACAGCCCCAACAGGAGCTGTTACAATGCCAAGACAGAAAGTGATGTACCTGAAGTCCCAGGCAAGTCAGTGGTAGACCAGGACTTGAGCCGAGAACTTTGGGGCCCAGATTCACCTTGCTGCCTTAGGCACCTGGATCTTTTTATTACACTCCAGATAGAGGAGATGTGGTATGAGCCATTGCCCCTGAGCATAGCAGCCCAGTGTCCAGCAGGTGAACAGAGAACACCCTGGCCTATCTGAGCCTCCCAGACACCAGAGGCCCTGAGTCCCCCTCCTCCACCTCTGTCAGCACACACAACCCCACATGGTCCCTGAGCCCCGGGACAAAGGACAATGGCAGATATGATCGAGAAATGGCTATGCTGTCCCAGATGGGTGGGTAGTGTTTCCGGGGTGGAGGGGAGCCCTGGGAAGCTGCCTTCCCAGCCTGCACTTCTCCTGCCAGGATTAGAGCCCAGCCTTGGATCCCTGCCTCCCTGGTGGAGGACCTAGCCCCATTCCTCACCCACACCAGACTCTCACCTTCTGTGACCTTCCTATTCACCCAGTTCCTTACCCAGACCAGCATCTTCTCACTGCAAGCTCTCAGGTCCCTCTGACGCTGTGTTAAAATGACCCTGAACTGAGATTTAACCTTGCTGAAACCCAGTTTTCTCATCTTTCCTGCCTATCCCACAGGGTGGTTATAAGAGCAGCACAGGGTAGGGATTAGGGGCATGAGGCTGGCAGTCAGACAAGGGTTGGTTTGAAACGAGGCACCACCACTTCCTTACTAGCTCTGTGACCTTGGACAACTCACTTTACTCCTCTGAGCCTCTCTTTCATACTCTGGGAAATGCAGATGCATATAAAGAGTACAGTAGCTGGCACAGAAAAAGGACTCAATGATAGCTACGGTTGTTATTTTTACAGAGTAAAGGAGATAGGCATGTAAAGTGCCAAGCATATAGCAGGTGCTTAGCACACAAGAACTATGGTTTTTATCATCCCCTGTCTTTGTGTGGGTGAGTGGCGCAGGGTTTGAGGGCCTGGGGGAGATGGCTTTGATTATTATCTGGAGCATCAATGCAACCGGAAGGTGAACTCCAAAGCACATGTAGACCAGTGGCCGGGGCAAGGGGAGCCACAGGGTGCGGGAAGCATTGAGACCGAGCCAAGGCTTCTGTAAGCTGAGCATGAAGAACAGAGTGACACCAGTTGAGTGGGAAAGTCTCCAGCGAATGCCAGAGGCAGGGGCTTCTGAAGGCCGCTGGGCTTTTAGGCACTCCAATACCTGCTTTGTAAGCAGCCAGATCTATTTAAAGAAACAGGGACTGAGCAGCCGCTTTGGGGATGCCTTAAGCTTCCTGGGCTGATAAGCCATATCCCAGCAGGCTTTGGCAGTAAGTGTCACACTACCGTGCAAGCAGACAGAAAGCTGAATGTAAGCTAGGAAGCCCAGCAGCCAGCAGAGATCATGGCAGACTTCCTGGAGGAGCTGGCTTTATAGAATGCCGGGGTAGCTATGGATAGGTCATTGATCTAGGAGGAAAGGAGGCACATAGGCAAGACTACAAAACTTGCTTCGGGGGAGGAATAAGAAGATGCATCTTCTTGAAAACAAATCAATACAATTTTTGTCTTATTCAAAGCGATGCATTTTCATTGTAAGAAATTTAGCCGGAGGGAGTCGTGAAAATACAGCTAAGAAAAGGAGAAAATGAAAAAAAAATCTCCTGTATTCTCAGTCGCTAGGGGTAATTAGTATGAACATTTTGGTGTGTTTTTCTTCCATTTTTAAAAAAAGCATATTACATATGTTTTTGTTTTTGTTTTTTGTTTTTGAGACAGGATCTCTCTGTCATCCAGGCTAGAGTGCAGTGGTGTGATCTTGGCTCACTGCAACCCCTGCCTCCTGGGTTCAAGCAATTCTCCTGCCTCAGCCTCCCAAGTAGGTGGGACTACAGGCACGTGTCACCACGCCCGGCTAATTTTTGTGTTTTTAGTAGAGACGGGGTTTCGCCATGTTGGCCAGGCTGGTCTTGAACTCCCAACCTCAAGTGATCTGCCTGCCTTGGCCTCCCAAAGTGCTGGGATTGCAGGTGTGAGCCACTGCAACCCGGCCTAAATATGTTAAAAAACAAAAACAAAAATGGACTCATGTAATATGGACTGTTTGTGACCTACTTTTTTTTTTTTTCCCCAGAGACAGAGTTTTACTCTGTCACCCAGGCCAGAGTGCAGTGCCGTAATAATAGCTCACTGCAGCCTCGAATGCCTAGGCTCAAGTGATCCTCCTGCCTCGGCCTCCCAAAGTACTGGGATTATAGGCATGTGCCACTGCACTAGGCCTGTTTGTGACCTACTTTTAAAAATGTATCATGAATTGTGTTCCCTGCCATTAAATATGCCTTTTCACTGCTACTTAATGACTTTATAGTATTCTCTTGTATGAATGGAACATAATTTATTTAAGTAATTTTCTATTCTTGGATACTTCAGTGGTTTCCAATTTTTTAGTATCGTAAGCATCTTCTTAAATGAATATCCTTGTAGCTGAAACTCTGTGCACATCCTTAATTATGTCCTTGGGATAAATTTCCAGAAAAGGAATTGCTAGGATAAAGGATATGCAGATTTTAAAGAATGTTGATATGTTATTGTCAAATTGCTCCCTAGAAGGCTTGTATGGATTTATTCTCTCACTAGCAGAATAGAGGGTGCTATTTTCTTAGCATTTGTACTACCATTGGCTATGGTCTTTTCTCATCGTGAATTTGATGCATTGAAGACCAGAATTCATGAATTCAAGTTTCCTGATGTGTAAAATGGAAATGATAATAATGATATGTACCATGGGTCTGTTGTGACAATCAAACCACATAATAGATAGGATATGCTTAAAAAGAAAACACGATTCGGAAGCCATGTGAGTCAGAATTGAAAAGATAGTTGGGAACCAGCTTTATAAAGTGCTTTATTTTCTCTTTAACTTCAAAATTAATAAATGCTTGTAAAAATTGAAACAATACATATTTGTGAGAATAAACAATGAAAGTATTCCTTTGATTCTTCCATAATGTGCTCCCTAGAAGTTAGATGTGTATCCTACTAGATCTTTCTTAATAGCTTGGCAAACTCTGTGTGTATGTGTATGTGTGTGTGTGTGTTCATGTACAAAGTTTTGTTGTTATTTTGCAAAATGGAATCCTGTATCTGCTGTCACTTTCATCTCAGAGCATACAAATCTACCTTATTCTTTATAACATTTCCGTGGATTCTGTAGTTGGATAAAGCTTAGATTGCTTATTCTTTTTTTCT
Source organism: Homo sapiens (assembly GCF_000001405.40). Lineage (NCBI taxonomy): Eukaryota > Metazoa > Chordata > Mammalia > Primates > Hominidae > Homo > Homo sapiens. The sequence goes on along the minus strand of NC_000009.12, from coordinate 123,297,785 downwards.
TTTTCTTTTTCTTTTCTTTTCTTTTTTTTTTTTTTTTTTTTTTTTTTTGAGACGGAGTCTTGCTCTGTCATCCCGGCTGGAGTGCAGTGGCGCGATCTCGGCTCACTGCCAGCTCCGCCTCCCAGGTCCACGCCATTCTCCTGCCTCAGCCTCCCGAGTAGCTGGGACTACAGGCGCCCGCCGCCACGCCTGGCAAATTTTTTTGTATTTTTAGTAGAGACAGGGCTTCACCGTGTTAGCCAGGATGGTCTTGATCTCCTGACCTCGTGATCCACCCGCCTCAGCCTCCCAAAGTGCTGGGATTACAGGCATGAACCACCGCACCCGGCCTTAGATTGCTTATTCTTACCCCAAGCAATGAAATAACAACACATCATCACACCCATTTCCTTTCATATTTGAGCTGTTATTTCTGTAGCTTGGATTCCTAGCAGTAGAATGCTAGGTCAAAGTGGGTACACATTGTCATACTATCACATTGCTCTTCAAAGAGATTGCACTAATTTATTCTCCCAGCATCAGGGAAACAAGAGTGTGTGGCGGACTGGGAACTGCAGACTCAGGGGAATTAGGGCAACCCTTCAGTAGCTTGGCCTGGGTCAAAAACAGCTCCTATCTCCCCTTTACTCTTCTATCCCTAAAATTTCTGAAAGAAACCTGAAATGAAACCCAGACCTGTCTCCAGCATAAGCTTCTTGCTGTCCTCCGCCGTGAAGCAAACCACAAAGGAATCTTTTTCTTGTTAATTAACTGGGGTTTTATTAAACACCTTAGCAGCTAGCCAACTGCTCTGACCCAGCCATTCCTGGGAGACATTTTGATGAGGAATTTTGTGTTTTAATTTATATGTCTTCAATGACAGCTTTTGTGCCAGAGTGTGAGCTTTATAATCAAATATTAAATTATCTGAGAGACACAGTTCTCCAACAACAAACATTTCCAAGGCCCTTACTCTCTGCCAGGCGCTAGTCTATGCACCGGGGAGGTAAATGTGTGTGCTAAGTTCCTGCCCTTAAGGACTCAAAGTGTAGTGGAGGAGCTGGGAACACGCACAAATAATGACGAGATGTGAACATTGTGTTATGAGACACAGGGACAGGACCAAAGTGCTCTCTCTTCGGGGAAGCGGGGAAGCAGGAAAGCAGACATTGAGCTAAATCTCAAAGGCTCAGAAAGCCTTTGCCAGGTGAAAAAGAGAGAAGGTATTTCAGGCAAGGGGAACAGTGTGAACAAAGGCCTTACATCTGAAATAAAAACAGCAAGTAGGAGTAATGTGGGTAACACATTAGTCATGGCATCAGGAAGGGGAGGTCTGGGGCATCTATAGGAGATGAGGCTGGAAAGGAATGTTGAGGTAAAACCATGAAGGCTTCAAATGTCAGGACAAGGAGCTTGAACTCTATCCTGTAGGTAATAGTGAGCCACTGAAGGTTGTAGGCAGAGGGGGTGAAACAATCAGGTCTGTGTTTTGGAAAGACCACTCTGATGATATGTGGAGAGTGACTTATAAGAGGGTAAGGCTGAAGGCTGAAAAGAATGGTAGGTTTTTAGTGAAAGCTATTAACATTACTAAAATTATTTTAAAATTCTAATTAACAAACATGGTTTAAAAACATTTTGCCCAACTCTGTAACAAGTGGTGGAGGAAAAAGCCAAGCATAGAAAACCCACTTTCTCCACTCCCCGCTGCGGCCTGTTAGATTGGAAACAGAAGACACATGGTCAGGCTCATTGTAAGCAAAGAAACAAACATGAAAATGACAATGAGGTGCCAAATTTCACCTAACATTTTAATACCCAGTTTGGCAAGAGTGCCGCAAAACAGACACTTTTCCACTTGGTGGTGACTGTGTACGCTGGAATAGGGTTTGACGATATATATCAAAAGCCTCAAAACAAAAACCTCTTCATGACTTTTTATATAGAAACATTTCCTCCAGGAATTTATCCTGAGGATAATAGTAAAAGATGAAAAAACTTGAGGATAAAGATGTTTATTACTCTGTTATTTATGAAAGCAAAACTTGGAAGAAACCTATGTGTCCAAGTTAGGACGATTATCAAGTAAATTAAGATATAAATACATTTGTGCATATATAAAAATCATGTTTTAAAAACAATACCTAATAACATAGGAAAATAACTGTTCTATAATTCAAAAGCAGTCTATAAAGCTACAAAGGGCATAATATTATTTGGTATATGTGGTAAGTATGTGATTTCTGTTTCTAAATCTCTCTTTCTAAAAAAAATCTACAATATGGCTGAGTATCTGACTAAGTTTTGTTTTATTTCTTATATTGTTATTTTCTAAATTTTCTGCAATTAACATGTAGTGTTAAAAAGCTAAACAAAGCAATGAGATTATATTTTAAATTTAAAAAAGCAAAGGAAATCCATGAATGTAGAAATGATACAAATGGGTATTAAACATAAAAAAGTACAACCTTGTTAATTATTACAATGTAAATTAAATCAGATTGTGATGATATGTTTTAGTCCGTGAACTTTAGAATAATAAAACCTGCTAATACGCAATATGTACTAGCAACAATATGGTAAGAGAAACATTTGTATACTGCAAATGTGAGTACAATTCTGTTAAGACTTTCTGAAGAGCATTTTGGCAATATATATCAAAATGCTTTAAAATGTGTAATTTCTCAATGAAGTTTATTTTAAAGATATATAATTCTATTCTTCAGATATTTTAAGGAAAATACTAAAGAATTGTGTACAGGTATATGAGCAAGAAAGCCTATCACTGCATTTTCTTAACACACTGGAAAAAAGTTGTTTGATATTATGGAATTACATTTATGGATGTGTAAACATGTGTTTAATATATTACTAAATTTTAAAATACAGATAACAACTTGCATTTGGTAATCCCTTTAAAATTTATTCATTTTTTATATATACCAAATGCAGGTACATATATAAATATATGTGAATAGAGTCAGAGAGAGAGAGAATAATTAGCTATACAAAACAGATTTCCAAGATACATCTAAGTGCTAATATTGGTCATATCTGATTAGATGGGATTATTGCTATTTTAAAATACCTCCAAAATAATCATCTCAAAACCAATTTAAGGCCAGACAAGGTGATTCACACCTGTAATCTCAGCACTTTGGGAGGCTGAGGTGGGAAGATTGCTTGAGCCCAGGAGTTTGAGACCAGCCTGGGCAACATAGGGAGCCCCTATTGCTACAAAAAAATTTTAAAGTTAGCCGGGCGTAGTGGTGCCCATCTGTGGTCCCAGCTACTCGGGAGGCTAAGGTGGGGAGGATCTCTTGAGCCCTGGAAGTTGAGGCTGCAGTGAGCTGTGATCATGCCACTGCACCTCAGCCTACATGACAGAGTGAGACCCTGTCTCAAAAAAAAAAAAAAAAAAAAGGCAATAAAAAAATTTAAATAGAGGTATTTTTTTTTTTTTTTTTTTTTAGACAGAATCTCACTCTGTCACCCAGGCTGGAGTGCAGTGGAGCGATCTCGGCTCACTGCAGTCTCCGCCTCCTGGGTTCAAGCAATTCTCCTGCCTCAGAAGGGGACCAGTCTGTAGGGAATCTGGAGATGGCATCTGAACAAGTTTAGGGAAGGAGTCAAAAGTTGGAAGTCAAGCTTGAATCTGGGTGTCTCATCTTTTGGAGAGGCCAGGTACCCTGACTCAGTTTCCCCAGTCTGAAAATTGAAAGAAAAAAACTACCTTATTATTGTTGAGGATTAAATAAGTTAATACGTGTAAAGGGCTTCAAACAGTGCTTGACCTATCAGAGGTGCTACGTGTTCATAATTGAGCCTTATTTGGCTGTGACTAGTATGGTGATCAATTGGTTGGGGGACTCTGGCATAAACCTTTGGTTAATTTGGGTTCAGGTTGATAGTGGATGCCTTGGGTTATCCCCTCCCCCTAATAGACCCACCTTATCCTCTGTACCCTTTCTTTTTTTTTTTTTCTTTTTTTTAATTATTATTATACTTTAAGTTTTAGGGTACATGTGCACAATGTGCAGGTTAGTTACATATGTATACATGTGCCATGCTGCTGTGCTGCACCCATTAACTCGTCATTTAGCATTAGGTATATCTCCTAATGCTATCCCTCCCCCCTCCCCCCACCCCACAACAGTCCCCAGAGTGTGATGGTCCCCTTCCTGTGTCCATGTGTTCTCATTGTTCAATTCCCACCTATGAGTGAGAACATGCGGTGTTTGGTTTTTTGTCCTTGCGATAGTTTACTGAGAATGATGATTTCCAATTTCATCCATGTCCCTACAAAGGACATGAACTCATCATTTTTTATGGCTGCATAGTATTCCATGGTGTATATGTGCCACATTTTCTTAATCCAGTCTATCATTGTTGGACATTTGGGTTGGTTCCAAGTCTTTGCTATTGTGAATAGTGCCGCAATAAACATATGTGTGCATGTGTCTTTATAGCAGCATGATTTATAGTCCTTTGGGTATATACCCAGTAATGGGATGTCTGGGTCAAATGGTATTTCTAGTTCTAGATCCCTGAGGAATCGCCACACTGACTTCCACATTGGTTGAACTAGTTTCCTCTGTACCCTTTCATCCAGCTATTGCTATTGGACACCCTCCACCTCTTAACCTTTCCTGAAATGCATGGAATCCCTGTCAATTTCTCTACATTCTTTTGCAAAGCTGTCTTTCTAAAGCCTCCTCTCTCTCAACGACAGAGAGGCACAAATGTTGCACCTTATGCTTCTATTTTGAGTTGGGGATTTGAAAAGGGAGTGTGCACACATGTGGACAAGCATTTATGCATGCCTGTGTGGACTAGTGGTTGTGAACATGTGTGTGTGTATATGTGCTTGCATGAACACACAAGATTGTGCATTTACACATGTTCATGAGCACATGAGCTTCTGAACAATTGCCTGAACACGTAGATAAATTTGTGTTCAGAGTGCATACACACACTTGTGAGCATGCATATGTGTGTTTGTGTGTGTTGTGGTGGGGTTTATTTTCATGTGCATTTAGGTTCATGTGTATGTTTGTCCCTGTGTACTTTTGTGTATCTGTGTGCATATGATGTGAGCTTGTCTTTCCTCACACCCCAGGAGGCACCAAAGCAAGTGCAAACTACAAGGAACAAAGGAATAATCTGCATAATTTAGGCTTTGATCTCTGCCACCCCTGAATCCTCCCTTGCTCTCACTCCAGCTGCCAAGCTATTTCCTAGCCTAGTGGACTCCATCTTTGAGCTTTGTCTTCCAGAAGCCTCCACCTCTCCTTGCCACCCCACAAGGGGAACAGGGCTATAAAAGGGTAATGAGCATTTATTGAGCACCCACATTGCATCAGGTACCTGAACCAGATACTTTCCATACACTCTCACATCTTCGCAGCAATCCTGCGAAGTATAACAATTGTCCTCACTTGACCTTTGAGGAAGCTGGTGATCAGGGGGATTAGCTATTTGCCTGAGTGATGGAGTCAGAATTTGAACTGGAAGTCTCTGCTCTCTCCATTCCACCAGTGTCTTCCTGGAGTAAGCCCAGCTGCTAGGTACTGAAAGTTGAAGCTGCAGCTGGAGCTCCTGGGAGATGTGGGAGTTCTGTCCTGGGAGATGCAGACAGTCTGATGTGGAGGGAAAGGGGATGTGAGCAGGGAATCAGTAGAGACCCCAGAGGGTTGTACTCGCTCGATGTTCATAAGAAGAATAGGGTAGAGAAATCCCAGGTGTTTTGTGTTGTCCACAAATGGAATGGGCAGAACAAGGGATGAACCAGGAGCAGAAACAGCAGAGATGAAAAAGCGTCATCATTGGCACCTCTGTCTTCAGGACCATGGACAGATCATATCAACGGCCAAGCCTCAGTTTTCTCATCTGTAAAATGTGCAGGGAGGTAGTGTTTTTTTACAAGCTTATTGTTAAAAGTAGTATTTGTGGATTTCTTATGGTGCTGACTCATGTAGGCTTATGATAACTCTATAAGATAGTTAATATTGTTGTCCCCACATGAGGACAGTGAGACTCAGAGTGGTTACATTCCTTGCCCAAGTGGCAGAGCAGGACACAAACCTGGAGGCTGTCTAACTCCAAAGCCCCCCGAGCCTTCCCTGTTTTAAGGTTTAGAGTGTGTAAAATACTAGGCACATAGCAGACATCCAACAAATAATAGCTAATAATAATAATAAGGTAATAAAAATGAAAACGTTTTAATTTTAATTAAATTGTTTTACTGAGGGTTATGGTAGCATTAATTCTTCAGGTGTCAAAATTGCTGGTAAATCCCACACTGTTAGTGACTGTTTTTAGAACAAGTGTTGCTTTCCTCAGGAAGGATGGTGTTGTCTGTTTTTGATCTCCTGAGACAGCCAACCAGACTCAAAGCCCAGCAACCACTTTTTTCTTTCTTTCTTTTTTTTTTTTGAGACAGAGTCTCACTCTGTCGCCCAGGCTGGAGTGCAGTGGCGTGATCTCGGCTCACTGCAAGCTCCACCTCCCGGGTTCACGCCATTCTCTGGCCTCAGCCTCCCGAGTAGCTGGGACTACAGGTGCCCACGACCATGCCCAGCTAATTTTTTGTATTTTTGGTAGAGACGGGGTTTCACTGTGTTAGCCAGGATGGTCTTGATCTCCTGACCTTGTGATCCACCCGCCTTGGCCCCCCAAAGTGCTGGGATTACAGGCATGAGCCACTGTGCCCGGCCAGCAACCACTTTTTAGTTGTATGGCTCTGGGCAACCTAACTTCTCAGGGCCTCATTTCTTTATGTATAACATGAGGATAAAAATGGTTCTACCCAGTTCCTCAAAAGGTTAAACACGGAGTTACCACATGACCTGGCAATCCTACTTCTAGTTACAGTCTCTAGAAAATTGAAAACACAGGCCCCCACAAAAACTTGCCCTCAAATGCATCATTCATAATAGCAGCATCATTCATAACAGCCAAAAAGTGGGAACAGTCCAAATCTCTACCAACTGATGAATGAATAAGAAAATGTGGCATGTCCATACAATGAAATATTATCCAGCCATTAAAAGGAATGAAGTCTGTCAAACCCACAATGAGATACCACCTTATACCTATTGATATGGCTATAATTTTTTTTTAATGGAAAAATAATGGTGAGCATGTAGAGAAATCAGAATGCTCATGCGGGCTGGGCACATTGGCTCATACCTGAAATCCCAGCACTTTGGGAGGCTGAGGTGGGCAGATCTCTTGAGATCAGGAGTTTGAGATCAGCCTGGTCAACATAGTAAAACCCCATCTCTATCAAAAAATACAAAAATTAGCCAGGAGTGGTGGCACATGCCCGTGGTCTCAGTTACTCAGAGGGCTGAGGCACAAGAATCGCTGGCTGGAGGCAGTGGCTCATGCCTGTAATCCTAGCTCTTTGGGAGGCTGAGGTAGGTGGGTCACCTGAGGTCAGGAGTTCGAGACCAGCCTGGCCATCATGGTGAAACCCTGTCTCTACTAAAAATACAAAAAATTAGCTGGGCGTGGTGGCAGGTACCTGTAATCCCAGCTACTCAGGAGGCTGAGGCAGGAGAATTGCTTGAACCCAGGAGGCGGAGGTTGAAGTGAGCCGAGATTGCACCACTGCACTCCAGCCTGGGTGACAGAGCGAGACTCAGTCTTGAAAAGACAGAAAACAGAACCCCCATGTGTTGCTGGTGGGAATGTAAACTGGTGCAGCCACTGTGGAAGACAGTGTGGCAGCTCCTCCAGAAGTTAAGGATAGAACTACCATATGACCCAGCAGTTCCACTCCTAGACGTACATCCAGAAGAATTAAAATCAGGGACTTGAACAGATAAGTGTCACTGATGTTCACAGTAGCATTACTCACAGGAGCCAAAATATGGAAATGACCAAAGCATCCATCAGCAGGTGAGTAGATAAAACAAAATGTGTCACAGGCATGCAAGGGAATATTATTCAGGCACAAAAACAAATGACATTTTGACACTTGCTACAATGTGGATAGGCCTTGAAAACATTATATGAAGTGAAATAAACTAAACCCAAAGAACATGCAAGTGTGGTATGATTTCACTTGTATGAAGTACTTAGAATAGGCAACTTCTGGCCAGGCACGGTGGCTCATGCCTGTAATCCCAGCACTTTGGGAGGCTGAGGCAGGTGGATCACCTGAGATCAGGAGTTTGAGACCAGCCTGACCAACATGGTGAAACCCCGTCTTTACTAAAAATACAAAATTAGCCAGGCATGGTGGTGCCTGCCTGTAATCCCAGCTACTTGGGAGGCTGAGGCAGGAGAATCATTTGAACCTGGGAGGTGGAGGTTGCAGTGAGCCAAGATTTTGCCATTGTACTCCAGCCTGGGCAACAAGAGCAAAACTCCATCTCGGGAAAAAAAGAAAAGAAAAGAAGAAAAAAGAATAGGCAACTTCCTAGGGACAGAAAATAGTACAGATGTTACCAGGGGCAGTGGGGAGAGAGGGATGGGGAGTTATTTGTTTAATTGTTACTGAGTTTATGTTAGAGATTCTGAAAAAGTTTGGGGTATGAATAGTGGTGATGGTTACATAACATTGTAAATGTGTTTAATGCTGCTGAATTCTATATTTACAAATGATTAAAATGATGAATACTTTGTATAATTTACCACAATTTAAAAAAAAAATGGGCTGGGCACGGTGGCTCACGCCTGTAATCACAACATTTTGGGAGGCCGAGGCGGGTGGGTTGCCTGAGGTCAGGAGTTCAAGACCAGTCTGGCCAACATGGTGAAACCCTGTCTCTACTAAAAATACAAAAAAAAAAATTAGCCAGGTGTGGTGGTGTGCGCCTATAATCCCAGCTACTCAGGAGGCTGAGTCAAGGGAATTGCTAGAACCAGGTAGGTGGAGGTTGCAGTAAGCCAAGATCATGCCACTGCACTCCAGCCTGGGCGACAGAGTGAGACTCCGTCTCAAAAAAAAAAAAAAAAAAAAAAAAAAAAAAAAAAAACAACGACATATTACAACATGGATGAACCTTGAAAACATTGTTCTGAGTGAAAAAAGGACAGTCATAAAATACCACATATTTTATAATTCCATTTATATAAAATGTCTGGAATAGGCAAATCCATAGAAACAGAAAGTAGATTCACGGTTGCCAAGGGGTTGGGGGTAGGGGAGAATGGAGAATGAAGGCTAATTTTTTTTTTTTTTTTGAGATGGAGGAGTCTCGTTCTGTCGCCCAGGCTGGAGTGCAGTGGCACAACATCGGCTCACTGCAAGCTCCACCTCCCGGGTTCACGCCATTCTTCTGCCTCAGCCTCCCGAGTAGCTGGGACTACAGGCGCCCGCCACCATGCCCGGCTAATTTTTTTTTATTTAAAAAAATTTTTTTTAGTAGAGTCGGGGTTTCACCATGTTAGCCAGGATGGTCTCGATCTCCTGATCTCGTGATCCACCCGCCTCGGCCTCCCAGAGTGCTGGGATTACAGGTGTGAGCCACCGCGCCCAGCTGATTGAAGGCTAATTAACGGGCACAGGATTTCTATATGGGGTGATGAAAATATTCTGGAATTAAATAGTGGTGATAGTTGCTCAATCCTGTGAATACTCTAAAATCCACTGAAGTGTACACTTTCACGGAGTGAATTTTGTGGTAAGTGAATTATATCTCAATTTAAAAAGTTTTACCTTTTAGGGTTATTGGGAAGTTTAAGTGAGATAATTTATATAAATTCCCTAGCACAGAGACTGCCTTGTAGTAAGAACTCATTAAATGCTAAGTAACTCAAATAAATGTTATCTGTTACTATCATTATTACCGTTGCTATTATTATTATTACTATTAGTAGCTAGTGATTTTCATCTGTTCACCTCTCCAGAGCATCAGACCTCTCACCTGCAAGCAGGCATAACAAGACTTTAATTATTTAGGGTTTTGTAGTCACCAGCAACAGAAACCTACTCAGCCTCATGAGTCAAAAAGGGGATTAATAGCAAGCCTGTGGTGTAGATGACTGAATTAAAGGGACAGACTAAGAACTAGACTCAGAAAGAAAAGGCCCAAGGGACAGAATCTACAGAAAAGACCAGCTGAGAAGCCATGGAGTGACTGCAGAAGCAAGAGGTTCTGCATCGGGCTGTCTATGTTCAAATCTAGCTCTACCCATAAACCTGCACGACCTTGTTTTGTTGCCTTGGTTTGTCCATCTGTTAGGGAAGACAGGGAGTATATCAGGGACTCCTTGAAAGAACTGTTTGCAGGATGAAATGAATTAATATATGTACAACTCTTATTGTGCTCACACTTGTAAATTCCCAATAAATACTATTATTACCATCAACAGGACTTTGTCCCTGGGATAATTCAACTCTGCCCATTTTTTTTTCTGATGATGTATAGCTGTGTTCAAGGTTCAAATTCCTAAAGAGTGTGATGAACACCTCTTGCCCAGAGAAGGGTGAAGCATCCTGATTGACAGCCCTGACAAGACCGAAAATACAGGGGCCTGTAGGATGATACCCAGAAGACAATCCAGAAGAAAGGGGAGGGGTGCCTAACAGCAAAACCGACCCAGGCCCCTGCAAATCCCCTCACACAATGTTGTTAGGAGGATTAGAGATAATATGTGCAAAGTGCCTGGCATTCAGTCGCCCTTAATTACTGGGATCCTTATTCTCAGCTTTCTTTATTAGGGGGTTGTGGATTTTCTTTTTTTTTTTTTTTTGAGATGGAGTCTCACTCTGTCACCCAGGCTGGAGTTTAGTGATGCGATCTCGGCTCACTGCAACCTCTGCCTCCCGGGTTCAAGCGATTCTCATGCCTCAGCCTCCCTAGTAGCTGGGACTACAGGCACGTGCCATCACGCCTAGCTAATTTTTTGTATTTTTAGCAGAGACAAGGTTTCACCATGTTAACCAGGATGGTCTCAATCTCCTGACCTCATGATCTGACTGCCTTGGCCTCTCAAAGTGCTGGGATTCAGGTATGAGCCACTGTGCCCGGCTGGATTTTTTATTACCATTGCAATAAACATTTGGGAAGAATTGCAAAAGGCTTCAAATGCCATATTAAGACATCTGCACTTTATTCTGAGAAACAAGCAGAAGGACCATCTCCTGAAAACCGCATGGCATGCTCAGAGTCCCTGAGGACTGTAGTATCCTTTCCTCATGGTCACACAGCCCTGTCCTCTCTCAGCTGTGTGATCATGACCCTAGGCAACTGACCTAACATCTCTGCCTCAGCTTCCCAGTGCATAAAATATGGTCACATTACTGGTTGCTGTAGGGCTTAAATGAGATAGTATTTGCAAAGTACTTAGAACAGTGGTAAGTGCTCAATAAGTTGTAGCAGTTATGGCACATAAAATGAAGTTAAAAATCTCCACCTCACCAGGTTGATGGAAAGATCAATTGGGATCAAAGAAGTTACAGCACTTTGCACATGGAAAAATGCCATGTCCCAGAAAGATGTTTCTTTGATTGTGATCACTGCTGGCAATAAGAAACACCTTTAGTGAAATTACTAGTTTTCCGTAAAATAAAGAAGCATTAAATGCATACATTCAATAATAAGGTGGAATTTGATCAGAAACATTAGACTATGAAAAGGGTGAGTCTAACACTGAGGAAATAAAATATTGATAAATTGATGTTTCAAATAATTAAAGAATGTTCTCATAGCGTCTATTACCAATTTCCCAAAACTTAAAACACAATATCGCTTACTTAATGCTAAAAGGGCACACAGCATAGTTTAGTCTTTCCTTGAAGCTTTTGAATTTCCTTGAAGGCAAGATCAGCAATTTTAAAATACACTTTTGGATCCTCTAGCTGAATGGTTCTCAACCCTGGGTATATATTAGCATCCACTGGGGAGCTTTTAAAAAATACTGTTGCCCGGGTCCCATTTCAGACCAATTAAATCTGAGTGTCTGGTGCTGGAGCCCGAGCACTGGAATTTTTCGAAGCTCCACAGGTAAACTGTTCCTCCTAGCAGTGGCCTAACTCACAGAGGGTGCCATGGTACTTGGAGATGAGACCAAAGAGGTCTGCAGAGGCTGGGCCACAGAAGGTTTCATACACTACAATTCGGAGGCTCAGTGTTATCTCATAAAATGTGGAGCCACTTCCTGTAATCCCAGTGACTCAGGAGGCTGAGGTGGGAGAATCACTTGAGGCCAGGAGTTCGAGATCAGCTTGGGCAACATAGTGAGACATCCATTTCAACAAAAAAGATTTCTTGAGTCCAGTTGATCCAGCCACTGCACTCTAGCCTGGGGGACAGAGTGAAACCCTGTCTCTAAACAAAAGGAAAAAAAGAAGGAGAGCCACTGAAGACTTCTTTTTCTTTTCTTTTTTCTTTTTTTTTTTTTTTTTTTTTTGAGATGGAGCCTCGCTCTGTCACCCAGGCTTGAGTGCAGTGGCACGATCTTGGCTCACTGCAAGCTCCGCCTCCCAGGTTCATGCCATTCTCCTGCCTCAGCCTCCCGAGTAGCTGGGACTACAGGCGCCCGCTGCCACGTCCGGCTACTTTTTTGTATTTTTAGTAGAGACGGGGTTTCACGGTGTTAGCCAGGATGGTCTCCATCTCCTGACCTCGTGATCCGCCCGCCTCGGCCTCCCAGAGTGCTGGGATTACAGGCGTGAGCCACCGCGCCAGGCTGAGCCACTAAAGACTTTTAACAAAATTTTTAATCCAGTGAGAGTTCAAGTTAGAATGACCATTCTGGTGACACGTGGTGGTGCACTGGAGTTGCAAGACTGGAGAAAAAAAAACCTAGAATGGAGGCCACTGGAACTATCTAGATTGTATCAGTTATTTTTACGGTGAAACAAAAGAGCCCCAAAGCTTAATTGCTTTAAAAAACGATTCATCATTTCTCATGATTCTGTGGAATGCCTGGGCAGCTCTTCTGCAGGTCTCTCCTGTGCACCTCATACAGCTGCTTTCAGCTGGCGGGGTGGCTGGGGGCTGGGCTCACCGGCAACAGCTGTGTCTCTCTCTCCAGCGCAGTCTTTCATCTTTGACTTCTCAGCGTGGAGGACTCAGAGCAGTGTTCTAAGAGAGAGGAGGTAGAAATTGCAAGGATTCTTATTTATTTATTTATTTATTTGTTATTTTTATTTTATTTATTTATATTTTTTTGAGATGGAGTCTCGCTCTGTCATCCGGGCTGGAGTGCAGTGGCACGATCTCAGTTCACTGCAACCTCTGTCTCCTGAGTTCAAGCGATTCTCCTGCCTCAGCCTCCTGAGTAGCTGGGATTACAGGTGCACACCACCACGCCTAGCTATTTTTTGTATTTTTAGTAGAGATGGAGTTTCACCATGTTGGTCAGGCTGGTCTCGAACTCCTGACCTCGTGATCCGCCTGCCTCGGCCTCTCAAAGTGCTGGGATTACAGGCGTGAGCCACTGACCGCCCCTGGCCCTATTTTTTATTTTTTTAATTGAGATAGAGTCTCACTCTGTTGCTCAAGCTGGAGTGCAGTGGCACGATCTCCACTTACTGCAACCTCCCAGGTTCAAGCCTCCTGGGTTCAAGTGATTCTCATGCCCCAGCCTCCCCCCAGTAGCTGGGATTACAGGCATGAGCCACCATGCCCAGCTAATTTTTGTATTTTTAGTGGAGACAGGGTTTTACCATGTTGGCCAGGCTGGTCTCAAACTCCTGACCTCAAGTGATGCACCCGCCTCGGCCTCCCAAAGTGCTGGGATTACAGGCATGAGCCACCGTACCCGGCCTCTTACTTATTTTTGAGACAGGGTCTTGCTCTGTTGCCCAGGCTGCAGTGCAGTGGTGTGATCACGGCTCACTGCAGCCTTGAACTCCTGGGCTCAAGCAGTCTCAAGTACCTGGGACCACAGATGCATGACGTGGCACCTGGCTAATTTTTAAATATTTTTTGTAGGGTTGAGGTCTCCCTATGTTGCCCAGGCTGGGCACTCCAGCCTGGGCGACGGAGTGAGACTCTATTTCAAAAAAAAAAAAAAAAAAAGATTAAAGAGAATTTCAAAGCTTTTGGCATGAGCAACTGGGTGAACTGTGGTGACCTTTATGGAGATATTGGGGACCCTGGTGAAGAAGTAGTGAATCACAAGTTTGGTTTTGAGTATGTTAAGTTTGAGATGCCTTTTAGATCTCCAAGTCCAGATGCTGAGTAGGCACTTAGCCACTGAGCCTGGAGTTCAGAGTGGGGCAGCAGATAGAAATTTGAGTATTGTCGATCGTTCTATCAAATCATGAGACTGGATGGATCACAGAGAGTTTGATAGTGGGGCTGTCGGGAGACTGAGCCTTGGGGTACTCCAACATTAGAGGAAGGGATGACAGGAAGGATCATCCAACTCCTTCACAGCCACAGAGACTGAGAAGCAGTGGCTGGTGAGGTGGAGAGATGAGGAGGGGCTGTAGAGTCCTGGTTACCCCGGAAGAAAGTGTTTGCAGCAAAGAGTGGGATTAATGGTGCTGAATGCTACTGAGTCAGGTAAGCTGAGGCCAAAACCGAATTGACCATTTTGATGTGGCAACATGGAAATTACTGGTGACCTTGACAAGATTAAGTGAGTGGGCAGAGTAGAGTGGGTTGAGCAGAGAATAGAATAAATGCAGAGAAATGGGACTGTGCGTGTGTATGCATGTGTGTGTGTTTGTCCTTAATTGGGAGAAGCACAGAGTATTTGTACATCGGTGGAAATAGAAAGGGTAAATTATCAATGACGCAGGAGAAAGGAGGATAATTGCAGTAATAAAGGGCATGGGATCTGGTGGACACAGGGAGCAGCTGGCCTTAGGTAGCATGAGGACAGTTCTTCCGTTGTAAAGGAGTGAAGGCAGAGCATATGAGTTCAGAGGCAGGTAGACTGAAAGATTTGGCAGTAGAAGGGTGTGGAGAGAGTCAGGAACCTTTTGCAAAGTAGAACGAGGGATGAAAGCAGTCATCTCAGGATTTAAGGCATCTCCCGCTGAGCCTGGAGACCATCTCTTATCAACAACCTTTGCCAACACTCTCCCTGTGCCAGGCCCAATGCCAGGCGGAGGGGTTCACAGATGACTCACCCAGTGTCCCTGCTGCTGAGAAGCTCACAGCCTAGGAAGAGAGACAGACCTGTAAACTGACAACTTCAATACGATGTGCTAATAATAAAGACATGTACAAAGTGTTTTGAGAACAAAGAGGGAGTGAGAAACTCTGCCTGGAGGGGTCAGAGAAGGCTCCACAGAGGTGACATTTAAATTAGGCTTCAAGGAAGGCAAGAACATTATCAAGCTCGCTAGAGGAGGAAGGTCGTTCAAGGTGGAAAGAATAGCGTGTGAAAGCCACAGAGATGAGAAAGAGCCTCCATGCTTTCTCTCTGCTCCACCTGCCTCTTTTCTTCTTTCTGCTCCCCCCGCCTCCCGTTTCCCAAGCTGTCATCTCTCAAGCTCCCATGGTTCAAGAGAAGAATTTTCTTTTTGGGAAGTTTAATAAATTTCCGTTTAGCCCGTACTGAGTCATGACAAAGGTGTGTTTCACACTTAAACAAACATCTCAGATGTTATTTTTTGCACTTGAAGAACAAGCTATTTTTAAAGAAATTCAAACTCACTGGGACCTAGCAAGGACAATTTCTGTGACCTGGTTTTAAGAAGTGAGCTTTGCAAAGGAACATAGTGACCAGCGGCGGCAGAATCAGAGGACCTGGCAATTCTTTCCTTTCAATGTTCAGTGAGCCTGTGAGCAGTTTCACCTTACTAGGTTGCTTGTTTTATCTGGGCTATCTGGCCTTCTGGAAAACTCTCAGGGAGTTTGCAAAAATTAGCCAATAACAGAATGAGGGGAGATGAGGACATCACTCTCCCGGAGTTGGACTAAGATAATGATGGGAGGGATGACGACAAGAGAATAGATTTGAGAGAGGTTTAAAAGGTGGAATGAACAAAGGGGGAAAAGCATCTCCCCATGCTTCAGAATTGTCACTGCGTGTCTGTGGAGCTTGTCTCCTCTCTGGAAGAACCATTGATTCCTTCCTTTTCTGTACATGCATAGAACTCCCCCACTGAGTCTGTTTCTCTATCCCCTTGAATCTGGGCTGAGTCTGTGACTACTTCGACCAACTGAACTTAGGAAAAGTGACACTGCGCTAGTCCTAAGTATTAGTCTAAGCAGCTTGTCAGCTATTGCTGTAAGAAGCTCAAGATATATGAAGAAACTGCATGTGGGTGGTCCAGTGGGGATGTTTTAACTATATTACCTTGAAATACAGTTTATGATGGAAGGCAGGATAAATCCTTAACTTTTTTTTTCTTTTAGAAAACCCTCCAGGTTTTATTAAATTTCCAAGAGAGAATTAAATGCCCTTTCCTAGGGTAATTCCTTGCTTCTTTTTTTTTTTTTTTTTTTTTTTTCTGACACAGAGTTTTGCTCTTTTTGCCCAGGCTGGAGTGCAATGGCCTGATCTCAGCTCACTGTCACCTCCGCCTCCCAGGTTCAAGTGATTCTCCTGCCTCAGCCTCCCAAGAAGCTGGGATTACAGGCGTCCACCACCACACCTGGCTAGTTTTTTGTATTTTTAGTAGAGATGGAGTTTCGCCATGTTGGCCAGGCTGGTTCTCAAACTCCTAACCTCAGGTGATCCACCTGCCTCGGCCTCCCAAAGTGCTGGGATTACAGGCTTGAGCCACCACGCCTGGCCACTTCCCCATTTCTTTAGTGAATCTCAAAGTAGAAGCAGTTTCCTTGCTCTTGCTGGTCTGAAGAGGCTTCTGTATTTCTCAGAGATGCTGAGAACATCCAGATACAAGCTGTGGTGGACTTCAATGAAAAAAGGTATAGGAAAACGCTCTGTAAACTTCAGAGCACTGATTAAATGTCCACTATTAGTATTAGGATTCTTCTTCATGATAAATGCTTAACTCTTTAATGATCAATTTTTAGATAACAAGTTGTTGCCTTAGAAACACCCAGTGGCGGCCGTGCATGGTGGCTCACACCTGTAATCCCAGCACTTTGAGAGGCCGAGGTGGGTGGATCATGAGGTCAAGAGATTGAGACCATCCTGGCCAACATGGTGAAACCCCATCTCTACTAAAAAGACAAAAAATTAGCTGGGCGTGGTGGCATGTGGCTGTAATCCCAGCTACTTGGGAGGCTGAGGCAGGAGGATCGCTTGAACCCAGGAGGCGGAGGTTGCAGTGAGCCGAGATCTCGCCACTGCACTCCAGCCTGTTGACAGAGTGAGACTCTGTCTCAAAAAACAACAACAACAGAAAAGAAACATCCCGTAGTAAATTATTTTGTTTCTTCTTGCCACTAAAAAAAAAAAAAGAGAATCAGCATGACCTCATGGCTTTGTCTATATTCAAAGTCTTTTCATTGTTTGTTATAATTATTCTTCCTGAAGGCCTCGTTGTCCAGTCTTTGCTGGCTTAGGGCCCCCTTAAGCTGGCTCTGATAGCCTTTTGGTGTGACCTCCTTGGCCTTTGAGAACTTCCATGCTTTCTTACATGACAAGACATCCCAGGCTCATCTTATACATTTTCTGTATAAGAGAATGTGGAAAGCCCCGGCCCATTTTTGTGTGGAATGGCATTTAGAGATTTCACTCTGTGCCTGCTGGGGGTACATGTTGCTACTGGGTTGCTATTGCTTCCAGGCCTTTAAAGTATAAAGAGCTAGAGATATGTATTTTTTTTAACTAAGGGGAAAATTACTAAGTGGTGCTGATATTTCCAACTCAAATTTAAGATGATACATTTTTTGCTTAACTGCTTTGATGTCACATTTGTATCTCTTTTGTCCTGACACTCTTGGATCCTAGCAACATTCATATAATTACTAATTTATTTTTTCCCACAATAGACATACTTCAGAATAGTGGTATCAATATTATTACTAGCTGTCTTAGTCCATTTTCTATTGCTATCACTGAATACCTGAGACTGAGTAACTTATAAAGAAAATAAATTTATTTCTTACAGTTCTGGAGGCTGGGAAGTCTGAGGTCAGAGAGCTGCATCTGGTGAAGTCCTTCTTGCTAGTGGGGACTCTGAAGATTCCCAAGGTGGTGAAGGGCATCACGTGGCCAGGGGACTCACGAGGGACAGCAAAACTGGTTTTATAACAGAGCCACTTTTGTGATAATTAACTCACTTCCTCAACAAGATTCCTCAGCAAGAATCAATTTCTTGCTGACCCTTGAACATTTGGCCTCCAATCTAAGATATCTGCATCTGTTAAACTCTGTCACTTTAGGCGATCACTTTGCACAAACGTCATCACTAAATTTTGGGGTGCCAGGGATTGTTTACGAGATGGTTGTCTTAGTGATTCCTACTCATATTATTAATTCATTAATCTATGAATGGGTTAATCCATTTGTATTAGTCCATTTTCATGCTGCTGATAAAGACATACCCAAGACTGGGTAATTTATACAGGAAAAAAGGGTTTAATGGACTTCAGTTCCATGTAGCTGAGGAAGACTCACAATCATGGCAGAAAGCAAGGAGGAGCAAGTCATGTCTTACATGGATGGCAGCAAAGAGAGAGAACTTGTGCAGAGAAACTCCCCCTTACAGAACCATCAGATCTTGTGAGATTTATTCACTATCATGAGAACAGCACGGGAAAGACCTGCCCCCATGATTCAATTACCTCCCACCGGGTCCCTCCCACAACACATGGGAATTCAAGATGAGATTTATGTGGGGACACAGCCAAACCATATTACCATTCACGAAGGCAGAGCCACCACGACCCAATCACCTCCCAGAAGTTCCACCACTCAACACTGTTGCATTGAGGACCAAGTTTCTAACACATGAACTTTTGGTGGGGCACATTTAAACCACAGCACTAGCAATAAGACCACTGAAAGTAGTTTAAGATTTCTTTGTTGTTTTTTTCCCTTTATCTTTAGAACATATCCCACTGAAGATCTATGACCCAAAATACTTTGTTTAAAAGTCACCTAGAGTAATTCTTTGTTTCTGTATGGTCATATTATCAACCTGATATAAATATATGTCTGTGTTTTGGCTTTTCATTTTAGGGATTATTTAAAAATTTATATGACTTAATGATTTAAACATTTTCATGAATCATTTACACTATTTCAAAGTGAAAGCTATCTAACAAGTTTCATTCGGAGAAGCCTTATTTTCAGTCCTTTCCCCTCCACTCTGTTCTTTTTCTCCTCACAGACACGCTTTTAAAGTTTGGGTTTTTCAACTTCACCCACAGTATTGACATTTCAGGTCGGATGAGTCTTTGTTGTGGGGAGCTGTCCTGTGTATTGTAGGATGATTAGAACCATCTCTGGCCCCTACCCCCAGCTGCCAGTTGTTACAACTAAAAATGTCTGGAGATTGCCAAATATGCTGGGGAGAGGAGGTCAAAATCACACCTTGTGGAGAATCACTGTTTTAAAGGAATCAACTTCTTGCTGACCCTTGAAAATTTGGCCTCCAATCTAAGATATCTGCCTCTGTTAAACTCTGTCACTTTAGGCAATCACTTTGCACAAACATCATCACTAAATTTTGGGGTGCCAGAGATTGTTTACAAGATGGTTGTCTTAGTGATTCCTACTCATATTATTATTATTTGTAGATTATAATTGAAACCAAGACATCCATTTAGAAACTTATCTTAGCACTTGTGGACCCCTGAAAATATGTCCACCAAGAAATCCACAGACACCTCAGAACTTTGCCTGGTCTGTGAAATACTGGGGCTGGATGATTTCTTAGGGCTTTCCTGCTGCCTTAAGCCCGTCTTGTTCTAGAAGTCTAGGACCTTGCTGTTCAAACTGGAATGGGCAGCACAGTAATTGAGAACACTGAGCTGAATCCCACGTCTTCCACTTATTGGCTCAGTGATATAGTGCAAATTACTTACCTTCTTGGAGCCTTAGTCTCCTCATCTATAAATTAAGATAAAAATTGTACCTACTTCATAGGACTGTTGCAAGGTTTAAAGACATAATGCATGTTAAGTGCTTAATATATTGCCTGGCACATAATAAGTGCTTAATAAATGTTGGCTGTTAGTATAATTACCACCAGAGCTAGGCGGTGGTATGCCAGGAATTACTCAGAGCCACAGCATGAACAAGAAATGTCTTCCTGGAGTGTGAATTTCTACTTAAAGAGTTGGGAAAACAGGCTTTGAATTTTTCTCCTAAAGGGTGGTAATTAAAAACATTATTTTAATGTTAAAACAAACATGGGAATAAAACATAAAATTTGCATGAATTTTAAAGATAAAATGTGAGACTTCAAAGAATTTTTTTTTTTTTTTTTTTTTTTTTTTTTTTTGAGACAAAGACTCGCTCTGTCACCCAGGCTGGAGTGCAGTGGCGCAAGCTTGGCTCACTGCAACCTCTGCCTCCCGGGTTCAAGCAATTCTCCCTGCTTCAGCCTCCCACGTAGCTGGGATTACAGGTGCCCGCCACCATGCCCAGCTAATTTTTGTATTTTTAGTAGAGATGGTGTTTCGCTATGTTGGCCAGGTCTGGTCTTGAACTCCTGGACTAAAGTGATCTGCTTGCCTCAGCCTCCCAAAGTGCTGGGATTACAGGCATGAGCCACCCCGCCCGGCCAGACTTCAGAGAAATTTTATGCTTGAGGTTGGTGAATCTGGGCCTCTTTTCCAGACCTCCAGTGGGGCTGACTCAATCTTCCCAGCCAGGCGCAAGTACTTTGGTGGGAAAGTTTAAGCAGTAGTTCTGGGCTTTTTTGCATCTTGGGCCAATAGAATTATCAAGGGTATTAGCAGAGATTCTGTAGGAAGCAGGGGCTTCTGACCAAGAGTCTATGCTCTCTTCTTGCAGGTTTCTCCCCTTCCAAATTGTTTTGGGGTTTGTTACTCAAGGTAGGGGAATGGGAAATTTTGCTAGGTATTCATTCAACAAATATTTAATAGTTGACTACTGTATGCCCAGCACTATTCTAAGGGATACAAAAAGAACAAATCAAAAAAAAATTCTACACACATAAGTCCTATACTATCAGTAGCTATAATAGTCTCAATAAGGGAATTGAAAATGGGGAACAGTAGGAGAGATGGTTTTGGAGTTTAGGAGAAAGATTAGGTAATTATGGACAGTTGAGTAGCATGTGACATCCAAGTAGATCCTGAGTTGGCTGTTGAATGAGATTCTAGAGCCATGGTTTTCATTGGGAGCTTTTAGACATTTGTGGTGGAGTTGGGTAATCATAATGGTATTGATTGAGGGGGAGAAGTCTGAGATGCTAGATGTCATATAATGCATGGATAGCATTGCATGATTTTTTTTTTTTTTTTTGAGATGGAGTCTCGCTCTGTCACCCAGGCTGGAGCGCAGTGGCGTGATCTCGGCTCACTGCAAACTCCACCTATCGGGTTCAAGTGATTCTCCTGCCTCAGCCTCCCAAGTAGCTGGGATTACAGGCGCCCACCACCACGCCTGGCTAACTTTTGTATTTTTAGTAGAGACAAGGTTTCACCATGTTGGCCAGGCTGGTCTCAAACTCGTGACCTCAAGTGATCCACCCGCCTTTGCCTCCCAAAGTACTGGGATTACAGGCGTGAGCCACCATGCCTGGCCTCATGTCATATGACTTTTGAATGTCCCACTGGACACTTACATGGGTGAAAGTCCCATATATAATTATGTGAGCTTAACAACTAATTTCCATTTTTAATATAAACACAAAGTACATTCTAGCATGATTTTAATACTCCAGGGAGGCAAATACTATGCAAAGTGAATGAAGATTATATCTTGTTTTGCTTAGACCCTACCAAGAGTTATTCACCATTTCAGACATCATATCAGCAACAGCAATTCTGCTATGGCATTTGAGGCTCTGATTGGCATCTGTACCTGCTGAAATTGGGTCTGTGCTTCTCGAATGGTAAGGTGCAGGTGAATCACCTGGAGATCTTGTTTCTTTCTTTTTTCTTTTTAAACAATGGAAGAGACTGCTTGGATAATAATGGAAATAATCCAGTAGAGAGGGAGAGGCTGGCCATACCAGAGAGGAACAAACTAGGAAGTGTAGTTCCTTAGAGGGCAGGAAAGGAGGGCGTCCAGGCACTGGGGAAGGGAGCTGGCCTTTGTTGAGAGGAGCTGGTTTTGGTAAAAGGAGGGAAGGAGGACAGAATGACTGGAGATGAAAGTTGATTTAGAAATGATGGCAGGAAGTTGAGGAATGTCACATCCTCCATGACCTTACCCCTCACCCACAGCACAACCAGCCAGCTTTTTGTCTTCAGCTGCTTTCTATAGAACTGGGTACAGTTGGGGGAGGGGTGGGAAATAAAGAGTAGAGGAGGCCAGACCAACTTCTCTACCTCCCAGGGCAGGTGCTTTGGAAAAAAATACACAGGTAAGATATTCTTCTTGTGACTACTGCTATGTAATTATTGTTCCTCTAGGTCAGTGCTAACCAATAGGCCTTTCTGCAATGATGAAAATGTTTTCTATCAGTGCTGTCCAGTACAGTAGCCACTAGCCACATGCGGCTATGGAGCACATAAAATGTGCCTCACGCAGCTGAATTTCAAATTTTATTGAAATTTTGACTAATTTAAATTTAAATAGCCACATTTGGTTCGTGTCTGTTGGGTGGATAGCACAGTTCTAGATGTTTACTGCCTCTGTTTCAGTGTGGGTTTTTTTGTGTTTTTGTTTTTTTTTTTTTTTTTTTTGAGACAGAGTTTCACTTCTGTTGCCCAGACTGGAGTGCAACGGCGTGATCTCGGCTCACTGCAACCTCCGCCTCCCGGGTTTAAGCGATTCTCCTGCCTCAGCTTCCCAAGTAGCTGGGATTACAGGCGCCTGCCACCACGCCTGGCTAATTTTTTGTATTTTTAATAGAGACGGGGTTTCACCATGTTGGCCAGGCTGGTCTCAAACTCCTGACCTCAGGTGATCCACCCGCCTCGGCCTCCCAAAGTGTTAGGATTACAGGCATGAGCCACCACGCCTGGCCTTCAGTGTGGTTCTTTAAAGGTGAGCACCTTCTTTGGGTATATACCCAGTAATGGGAATATAAATCATGCTGCTATAAAGACACATGCACACATATGTTTATTGCAGCACTATTCACAATAGCAAAGACTTGGAACCAACCCAAATGTCCAACAATGATAGACTGGATTAAGAAAATGTGGCACATATACACCATGGAATACTATGCAGCCATAAAAAATGATGAGTTCATGTCCTTTGTAGGGACATGGATGAAGCTGGAAACCATCATTCTCAGCAAACTATCTCAAGGACAAAAAACCAAACACCACATGTTCTCACTCACAGGTGGGAATTGAACAATGAGAACACTTGGACACAGGAAGGGGAACATCACACACCGGGGCCTGTTGTGGGGTGGGGGGAGGGGGGAGGGATAGCATTAGGAAATATACCTAACGTAAATGACGAGTTAATGGGTGCAGCACACCAACATGGCACATGTATACATATGTAACAAACCTGCACGTTATGCACATGTACCCTAGAACTTAAAGTGTAATAAAAAAAAAAAAATATATATATATATATATATATATATATAGAAGGTGAGCACCTTCTATAGATGGCAGTGTAGCTTGGGACCAACAGCCCGGAACTGGGAGTTAGACCAGAGCCCACCTTCAGCTGGGGCAGGGTAGCTGTTTGCTTGCTTTTGTATTCCTAGGAACTAGCATGTAATAGGTTTTCAGTAAATATTTGAGCAATAAATGGATAAAACAGGGGGTGCTGGTACTTGAACTTAGGTGTGATTTCAAAGTGCGCTGAACTCAAGAGCTTTACAACGTCTATTACCTTCCCCTATTTATAATAGTGAAAATATTGGAAAGCACCCAAATACCCAACACAGGTACTTGGTTTAATTAAATGTTTCTTAAAATACGACATTATGCAGAAGAATATTTAGTTACACAAAAGGAAGTGTATTCATTTTATATTAAGTGAAAATAATCAAAACAGAAGGCATACAATAATCTCACTTTGTAAAAGAGATATATTTATATGCATAAAAAAGGTTGGAACAATATATATACATAGGAAAAGTTTGGGTTATTATTACTGGTTGAGATTAG
Source organism: Homo sapiens (assembly GCF_000001405.40). Lineage (NCBI taxonomy): Eukaryota > Metazoa > Chordata > Mammalia > Primates > Hominidae > Homo > Homo sapiens. The sequence goes on along the minus strand of NC_000009.12, from coordinate 123,273,750 downwards.
GTGACACTTTTATTCCTTTTTTTCTTTTCTTTTTCTTTTTCCTTTTTTTTTTTTTTTTTTTTTTTGAGACAGAGTTTTCCTCTTGTCACCCAGGCTGGAGTGCAATGGCGTGAACTTGGCTCACTGCAACCTCCGCCTCCTGGGTTCAAGCAATTCTCTTGCCTCAGCCTCCCAAGTATCTGGGATTACAGGTGCCTGCCAACACACCTGGCTAATTTTTTGTATTTTTAGTAGAGACAGGGTTTCACCATGTTGGCCAGGCTGGTCTCGAACTCCTGACCTCAGGTGATCCACCCACCTCAGCCTCCCAAAGTGCTGGGATTACAGGCATGAGCCACAGCACCTGGCCTTTATTCTTTTTTCCTAAAAGGTCTATTTGATTTTTGTTCTTTCTTTCTTTTTTTTTTTTTTTCAAGAGGTTCTGTCACCCAGGCTGGAGTGCAGTGGTGTGATCTTGGCTCCCTGAAAACTCTGTCTCCCAGGTTCAAGTGATTCTCCCACCTCAGCCTCCCAAGTAGTTGGAACTACAGGCATGTGCCACCACACCTGGCTAATTTGTCTATTTTTTGGTAGGGACAAGGTTTCACCATGTTCGCCAGGCTGGTTTCAAATTTCTGGCCTCAAGAGATCCATCCGTCTCGGCATCCAAAAGTGCTGAGATTACAGGTGTGAGCCACTGTGCCAGGCCGAAAAGGTCTACTTTATTTATTTATTTATTTATTTATTTGTTTGTTTGTTTGAGACGGAGTCTTGCTGTGTCTCCCAGGCTGGAGTGCAGTGGCACCATCTTGGCTGACTGTAACCTCCGCCTCCTGGGTTCAAGTGATTCTCCTGCCTCAGCCTCCTGAGTAGCTGGGACTACAGGCACGTGCCACTGCACCCGGCTAATTTTTGTATTTTTAGTAGAGATGGGGTTTCACCATGTTAGCCAGACTGGTCCCTAACTCCTGACCTCAGGCGATCCGCTCACCTCGGCCTCCCAAAGTGCTGGTATTACAGGCATGAGCCCCCGGCACCCAACCAGTCTGTTTGATTTTTTTACAAAAATGTATCAGGCCCTGTGCAGAGGCTCACACCTGTAGTTGCAGCACTTTAGGAGGCTGAGGAGGGAGTATCCCTTGAGCCCAGAGTTTGAGACCAGCCTGGGCAACATGATGAAACCCAGTCTCTACTAAAAAAAATACAAAAAGTTAACCTGGCACAATGGCATGCCTGTAGTCCCAGCTGCTCAGGAGGCTGAGGTGGGAGGATCGCTTGAACCTGGGAGACAGAGGTTTCAGTGAGCCGAGATTGCGCCACTGCACTCCAGCCTGGGTGACAGAACAAAACTCTGTCTAAAAAAAAAGAAGTATCAGATATACCAGAAAAAACAAAAAATAGAGACAGAAAGTAGACTGGTGTTTGCTTGTGGCCAGGGTTGGAAATGGGATTAACACTTAATGAGCATGAGAGTCTTACGGGGGATCCATAAGGTATGCTAAATGTTCTTTTTTTTTTAGACAGAGTTTTCCTCTGTCACCAGGCTGGAGTGCAGTGCCATGATCTTGGCTCACTGTAACCTCTGCCTCCTGGGTTCAAGCCATTCTCCTGGCTCAGCCTCCTGAGTAGCTGGGATTACAGGTGTCCACCACCATGCCCAGCTAATTTTTGTATTTTTAGTAGAGACGGGGTTTCACCATGGTGGTCAGGATGGTCTCGATCTCCTGACCTCGTGATCTGCCCACCTTGGCCTCCCAAAGTGCTGAGCCACCGTGCCCGGCAAGGTATGCTAAATGTTCTGAAACTGACTTATGTTAATGTTGCACCACTTAGTGAAGTTACTGAAAATCATTGGATTGTACATTTTTGAAATGCATAATTTTATGTGTAAACTATACCTCAAGTAAATTGTTAAAAATCTATGTGTGATTACACGCCTGTAATCACAGCACTTTGGGAGGCCAAGGCGGGAGAATCACTTGAGACCAGGAGTTCGAGACCAGCCTGGCCCATCTCTACTAAAAATACAAAAAAAATTAGACGGGTGTGGAGGCACACGCCTGTAATCCCAGCTACTTGGGAGGCTGAGGCAGGAGAATGGCTTGAACCTGGGAGACTGAGGTTGCAGTGAGGCGAGATTGTGCCACTGCACTCCAGACTGGGTGACAGAGTGAGACTCTGTCTCAAAACAAAACAGGCTGGGCACGGTGGTTCACGCCTGTAATCTCAACACTTTGGGAGGCCGAGGCGGGCAGATCATTTGAAGTCAGGAGTTCAAGACTAGCCTGACCAACATGGTGAAACCTCATCTCTACTAAAATACAAAAATTAGCCAGGCATGGTGGCAGGCGCCTGTAATCTCAGCTACTCAGGAAGCTGAGGCAAGAGTATCACTTGAACCCAGGAGGCAGAGGTTACAGTGAGCCAAGATTGCGCCACTGCACTACAGCCTGGGCGACAGAGCAAGACCCCTCTCAAAAACAAAGCAAAACAAAAATCTGCATATGTATCCTTAAAAAATTAAAACAATGCAGAAATTTTTAAGTCCTCCATCCCCACACCCAGTTCTATCTTCCAGGCATAACCAATAGTGGTTGGTGTTTAATCCTTTCTGACGTTTTTCTATGGAGAATCCAACATACACATTACAGATAAATAATTTTCTGCAACTTTCTTTTTTCTTTGGACATGTAATGAGGGACATGAAAAATTAACAGTAACTACTCTGGAGTTGGGATTGGGGTAGTGGGAGTGGAGTCAAGGGCAGGAAGGGAGAGAGACATTAACTTTTTTTTTGAGACGGAGTTTCGCTCTTGTTGTCCAGGCTAGAGTGCAATCACGGGATCTCGGCTCATTGCAACCTCTGCCCCCCGGGTTCAAGCGATTCTCCTGCCTCAGCCTCCCGAGTAGCTAGGATTACAGGTACACACCAACACGTCCGGCTAATTTTCGTATTTTTAGTAGAGATGGGGTTTTGCCCCATTGGCCAGGCTGGTCTTGAACTCCTGACCTCAGGTGATCCACACGCCTCGGCCTCCCAAAAGTGCTAGGATTACCAGCGTGAGCCACTGCGTCTGGCCTAACTTTTTACTTTCTTTCCTTTTATATAATTTGCATGCTTTTGTCTCAGTGTTTGGAGTTACAAACCCAATAAAGATATTGAAACAAGAAATACTATTGAATCCTTAATGCCATGCTGTTCTTCTATTTTAAAAAAATTAAAAATGTAACCAAGTGCTGGACACCGTGCTGAGTGCCTTAGATATACGGTTGCAATGAATCCTTCTAACAACCCTACAATATGCAATACTATTAGTCTCACTTGGCAGATGAGTAAACTTAGACTAGAGAGATTGATTTTCCAAGATCACACAGCTAGTGTGCAGTGAATCTGGATCTTTACAGTGTGGCGCCTCTTCTCCCTCTGATACTTATGGGCATCCTACAAAACCCAGCTTTAATGATCTCATGTCATGTGCACGTGTAGTCTTCCCTAACACACTTAGGCAGGAAGATGACCCTGTCCTCAAGGGACTGAGAGACCAGGGAGGAGACAGACAGCTAAACAATTACAATCTAGTGCCATGAGAATACATATAGCTTAACAGGACTATGTTCAAGCCGAGGGAGCTTAGACCATGTGTCTGAGGCAGCCAAGGATCTCCAGAGAATATACTCTGAGCTGATTGATAAGGATACCCAGGATTTTTTTCAGGAGGGTCAAGGAAGGTGTGAGTGGTCAGAGGTGGGGAGAGGGTTTAGAAAGGGATTTGCGGCCTGGCATCTGTCTCAGGAGACTCAGGCTCCTACACACCTGGGCATACTCTGGAAACAACAGTACTGTAGTTCTGTGTGGCTGGAGGGTCACATTGGCCTGAAGGAGGGGCAAAGGGAAGGGCGTGCACCTTGAAGCTTAAGGCCAGATCACCAAGGCCTTTTCAGTTGAAATTGGGTTTTTTACACTTTATTCTGTGAATGAAACAGAGCTGTTAAAATATTTGAGCCTGGTGTGTTAGAAAGATGAAAAGGGGCCCCAAGGGGGCTGTTGTGGGGAGTCCCTCCTCAACCCCTGGGCTGTTCAAGGTCCTCTGTCTTGGCACTGAGTGGTCAGGTCGTTTCTGCTCCAGGCTGGGAATTGTCTTAGGGCAAAGACATTGTCTCATTTGCCAGTGCATCCCTGCAGCCTGCAAACCCCCCGGTATACAGCAGGGACTGTATACTGGCAAGCAGAATGCTGGGCACCAAGAACTTGAGGCCAGGGACTGTAGAATAGAAAGCGAACCTTTAATTCTTCCCCAGCGCCGCCCCTGGCACAGAGCTGGTAGGTGTTCAGCCAAAGTCTGACCCAACCATAAGGAGGTCAGAGAGGTCCTGGGCCCAAACTCAATCCCAGCGAGGTTCATTATAGGCAGGTGAAGGAGAGGTGATTGTAGCAGCTTCTGTTCAGCGACTGCTGTGTGCCAGGATTCACACCTATTGTCTTATGCCATCTCCCCAACAGCTCCTAAATTGGAATTATTGTCCCAGTTTTCCTGATGAGGAAACTGAGGCTCAGAACGGTTCTTGGTAACTTGGCCAAGGTCACACAGCCAGCAAGTAGGTGGGCGGTGGCACAAGTCAAAGCCTACTGGCCTGCCCCTCTACCTCGGGAGGCAGTGCGACGCCTACTCCATTTGTGTGGCTGCTGGGGTTGGGGGGCATCCCGCACTGGGGTGCGGGGCCCGGGGAAGGCGGCTAGCCGCCGCGGCTCGGCGCAGCTCCCAGGTTCGGAAGTTACGAAGTTTCCGTGCATTTCGCTAGCCTCCCAGCGCAGCTCGTCTCCGCTCCGCCGCAGTTACGCCGCTAGCGCAGCGGGGCTCAGGTGCTGCAGCGAGCGGGGGCCTGGGGCCGGGAGGAAGGCGGGGACGCAGTTTACGTAAGCGTCCGCTGGCAGGTGCATAAGGCCGCCGGCGGCGAGTGCTCCCTGCGCGCTCCCAGGTGCGCACTTGGCGCAGGCGGCGGCACAGCAAGGCGGCGGCGGGCGCTGGCCGGCGCTCTCAGGTGCGGCAGGACGCGCGTGGAGGGGGCGCGCGGCGAACGAGGGGGCGGGCTTTCCGTTCCCCAGCAGCCGCGGGGCCCGCCCCCTGGCCTGGCCAATGGGCGCGCTCGACGGTGTCACGTGCTCGCTGCCGCCGCTGCCGCCGCCGAAGCGGAGACCGGAGCCGCGAGCGCCACCAGGGCAGCAGCCGCCGCAGCCGCCGCCGCTGGGCAGAGGAGCCGGAGACGCGAGCGGGCGAGGTGGCGGCGGCGGCGGAGCGGGAGCGGGTACCGGGCGCGGGCAGAGCGCGGCGGCGCGGGTAGGCTCCGGCGGCGGGGCGGGCGCCTGCGCGGCGGGCCGTCCCGGGCGGGCGGCGGTTAAGGCGGCGGTTGAGGCGGTTGGCGGAGCCGGCCCGGGCCCCGCATTGTTTGTTGTGCGTCCTTAGCAGCGGCGGCGGCGGTGGCGGCCGAGGCGGAGAGCAGGGAGCAATCCCGGCCCCGCGGCTCCGGCATTGTGGCCGCCGCCGCCGCCGCTGCGGTGCCCCGGCCGCTTCGGGCAAGGGCAGCGGGCAGCCTTCCTCACCTTCGCGGGGACGGGGTCCCGGCCGATCAGGGGAGGGCGTGGGCAGGGTTGGGGGACGCGGTGCCGGGAGGTCTTCCGGGACGGAGGGCTCGGGGCTCGGGGCAGGTGTTGGAGGACATTGGGGGCAGGAGCTGGGGAGAGGCTTCGGGGGGCAGGCGGAAGGTGTGGGCAGATTTGGGGGTAAATAGGGGTGCAGAGGGATCCGGCCCAATGGAGGAGGAGAGCCTTCAGGCAGGTTTGGGGGGCCCCCTGGGCCAGGCGAGTGCGAGATGGAGGACATTCCGTCCGGTGGGGGGGGGCACTATATTGTGGGGTTCAAGAGGGAATGAGGGGGCTTTTGGGGAGGGCAGGGACGAGTGGGGTGGGAATGGAGGGAGAAGACTGGGGACTCGAGCAGGACTGGAAGGAGCGCTGCGTGCCAGGGGCAGGGAGTGGGGCGGGTATTAGGAAGGCCACCGGGACGCCCGTGAAGGGGAACGATGGAGGAGGGGGTCGGGGCAGGGGGAAGTGAGGGCAGGCAGGGAGCGCCTGAAAGGGAGGGAGGGGAGCAGGGTGCCTAGGCTTCTGGGGTGATAGGGAAATGAAGGGTAGGCCCAGGGGCTCCAGGAGACCTGCGAGGGGTGTGAGGGAGTGTGTGGCCAGGTGTATAGGGGAGCCTGCAGGGAGGCGGGAGGGGGTTGACATGTAAGGATAAAAAGGCAGGTATCTGGTGCTCAGGGAAGAGGAGTATGGGGTGGAAGGGGGAAGTTCATTGGGGCAGAGACTTAGTTTGAGGGCTTGCAGAGAGAGGTGGGGACAGTAGGAGAAGGGTGATGGGGATGGAGAGCAGGAGGTGTGTGGGGCATTTAAAGGATAGCGGGAGAAGTGCGTGAAATGGAGGGTGTTTATGCAGGAAGTATGGAAGAAGGTGGGATCAGCAAGAGAGGGAATTTTGAGGTAGGACGGAGGGTGAGGGGTTCTTGGCAAGTGTTGGAGGACGTTAGGGGCAGGAGCTGGGGGAGAGGGACAGGTGTGGGGTGGCGTGGAGTGTGTGAGGTGGAGGGCAAAAGGGGGTGGGGAAAGGGAAGTGTTCTTGGAGTGGCAGGTAAAGTGTGGGGACAAATGGAAGGAAAGATTTCTGAGGCGGGAAGTGTGGAGCGGTTGGGGAGGAGGAAGGTGGAGGGGAGGGTGAGAACGAAATCAGTAGAGGGGGACAACGGGATAGACTGGAGGGGAAGGTGGACAGGTCTGGAGTACAGTAGGTGGAGGGAGGGAAGCACAGGTTTGGGGCACTGAATTTTGTGCTGTAGGGAGAAGGGAGGTAGGGAGAAAGAAGGAAGGTAGACAGGCTATTTTGGGGTAGAGGATGTAGAAGAATGCTTAATACCTATAGTGGAGTAAGGGAAGGGCAAGGCAGAGGTGTATGTGGACATGTCTGTAACTAGAAAGGCATAGGTGATGGATTGGAGTGGTGGTGGTGGTGGTGGGGGAAATAGGATGCCCAGGTTTAGGGCAGGAAATGACTGCTTAAGTTGGAGAGAGCTAGGAACACAGGTTGCTTAAGAGAGTATGGAAGATCCAAGGAGTGGAAGTATGGGGAGAGATTGGAACACTTTGAGTTTGAGAGATGAAAGGGGCCAAGATTTTTAGGTCACTGAGAGTCTAAGGAAGATCAGGCAGAGTGCAGAAGTTGGAAAAATAACTAAATGGAGAGGATTAAATTCCATACTGAGAGAAACTGGAGATTGAGGGGTGGGGGGACCTGGATCCTGGAATGATGTTAATGGAAAGTGGAGGACATTAAACTCAGTGTCATATCTGAAAGTTCATACTCCTAGGGTCAGAGAGATCGTTGAGCCTGCTTTTAATTCCAGAACCCAGTAAATGAGGAAGGGGGAAGGGGTAAGGGAGAGCTGAGTGCACATCCCCAAATTTGGGAGAGGTGTGTAGTGGGTATCATCCTAGCATATTGGTTTGACGAGTGGACAGAAGGGCCACACAGGGTCACGAGGAGCGCACCAAGAGTGAATGGAAATGGGATTGCAGCAGGTGCAGGGCAGATGTCTTTGTGAAACTGGAAGAGACCAGGCCCAGTGGCCAGTAGCATTCAAGGGCTATGCATAAGAGAGGAAGAAAGGGATACCTTGGTGCAGTGTCTCAGATACCCTGGTGCTTTCTGGGTAATGGGTCAGTATTCAGGCAGCATGGGGTGATGTAATATCTGAGTCCCATGCTATAGGCAGACAGAAGTAATGTACACCTAGCTCCTAAAAGTGGCAGAATTGGAGCTTTCTGACTCTTAACACTCTTTCAAGGCGTGAATAACTGATCTGGATTGTTGACTTTTTCTCCCAAATGGTTCAGGTAAAATTTAGTTGGAGGCTTTTGGATTCTCTGGTATTTTGATTTGAGTTGGGAAGTGTAATGTTAGCTTTATTGAGGAAAGACACTTATGGGTTGGGCGGACATATGGCCTTCAGCTTGCCAAACACATGGGAAGTAACCTTTAGGGGTTTGAACACAGACATTTATTTCAGTGCAAGTCTCATTCACTGTTCTGTGGCTTGTGTTAGATTCTTAGGGGTTTGAAAGGATTAAGCAAACTACTTTGAGACTGCTTCAGTAAGCAAGGTTTCCTAGAATCTTGGAAAACGATTTCCCTTTTGACAGTTGAAAATTAAGTCTTGTCAGATTTTGCTAAGAAATAAATTTCATCATGTTGCAGAAATAACTTCAATTATCACTCTGTGGGCTTCACGTAATGTGTAGTGTGGTACCTAGTATGATTTCAAATAAAAGGTTCGCTTTGGTAGCTTGGGAGCTTTCTGGGTTGATTAGTTTTCTTCTTTTGTCGATTTAGGAAGTATCTTAATGCAGCCATTGTATGTTCGAATAATAAGTTTGAGTGGAAGTGGGAATCTTGCCTAAACATAATGAGGGCGGAGCAGAACACCAAATTTTAAGTAATCGGAATCCGTTAATATAAATATTAAAAAAAAAACCTGGAAGCAAATGATTCGTAAAATCCAAATTTGAAGTGTGTCATGGCAGCAAAAGAATGCTCTGAAGGCATTACTGTAAGATTTTATTTTTGGAGGGAAAGATTTTTAGAGTATAATGTCCCTTCGATTGAAACTCTGAGTATTTTGAGATTTGATATATGTATACAATATAATATAGGGAGCATGTCTGACCTCATTTGCTTTTTGGCAGAGAATTTGAGCAGTAGGATATAAGATGAATAGAGTGAGCTTTGAAAGTTCTCTCCAACATAGCCATTGTTTCCTCCTTATATTTCTTAAGTCCATTGTGTTCATTTTATTGACTTGGGGTGCGCACTACTTTCTTGCTCAGAATACTCAATTCTGGTATAGTGTTCGGATTATATGTATTGTTCAGTGAAATTCTATGAATTGGGACAATTTGTAGGCACTTTAGATATCCTAAGTTTACGAACCAAGGAAAGCAGGTTATTTAGGCTTTGTAGGCTGAATAATTGGGTTCTGGTTTTATTTTCGCTGGTGACTTGCTGGACAAGATATTTAATCCCTTTGTGCTGGTTTCTTCTCTAGAAATCTGACTCTATCCATCTCCCATGAGAATCAAGGTGGTTTATATAAAACAAGTTTAAGTCTTTCGGGAAGACTGGAGCTACGTAAATACGGGGATAGATGTTACTTAGTTTCTTTTTTCTCCCCTGTGGTTTTTAGACTGGTCAAATGTTAGTACTTCGTAATTTACCATTAGGTGGATTAATTTGTTGTGTGAAAGTTGGATAGAGATGAAACTTATGTGAAAGAGATGTCTGCAAATTGAAGTTTGTTCATTCTTTGCTGTCTGCTTACCTTTCCAATTTCTCAGCTAAGTGTTAGTGCTGGTTTGAATTCTTCAGCCTGAGCAGAAGCTTGTGAGAGACATTGGGTTCTAGCTATAGCCCAAGATTGTTTCTAAGCAGGAATTTCCAGAGACAGAGGCCTTCTTTGGCTCAGTGAATTCAATTCTTTTTTTGGGGGTGGGGAATGCAGTGGCGCTCTGTCGCCAGGCTGGAGTGCAGTAGCACAATCTCGGCTCACTGCAAACTCCGCCTCCCGGGTTCAAGTGATTCTCCTGCCCCAGCCTCCCGAGTAGCTAGGACTACAGGTGCCCGCCACCACGCCCAGCTAATTTTTTGTATTTTTAGTAGAGGCGGGGTTTCACCATGTTGGCCAGGACGGTCTCGATCTCTTGACCTTGTGATCCACCCGCCTCGGCCTCCCAAAGTGCTGGGATTACAGGCGTGAGCCATCGCGCCCAGCCAAATTCAATTCTTATATCAGAAATAATAAACATAATACATTTTCCTATGTATTTTGCAGAAAATTGATTACTGACTGAGTGACTGGAATAGAAAAATAGAGCTATCCCTTCTGCTAGTGACGTCAAGCTTCCTTGTTCTGATTTACTGAATACTCCTTCCTTTTTCAAGTTTTAGTTATCAAATAATTACCCATCATTTGGTATTTCCGTATGCTTTGACAGGTAATGCTCTATTTGAGGGGGAATGATTTTTAAATGCTTTCTTAATGTTGTGTTTGGTTTACAAGTTGTAAAGAGCCTTCCAGGTGTTGGTCATGATTGACACAGCAAAAATGTAAATAGCAAATTGCCTTTTTTTTTTTTTTTTTTTTTTGAGACAGGGTCTTGCTCTGTGGCCCAGGCTGGAGTGTGGTGGTGTGATCATAGCTCATTGTAACCTTGAACTCCAGAGCTCAAGTGATCCTCCCGCCTTAGCATCTCGAGTAGCTGGGACTACAGGCATGTGCCACCACATCTGGCTATTTTTTTTACTTTTAGTAGAGACCAGGTCTCAAGGTCTTGCTGTGTTGCCCAGGCTGATCTTGGACTTCTGGGCTCAAGCGATCCTCCTGTCTCAGCATAGGTTGCTTTATTACACATTAATTTGCCTTGAGCTTGGTGATACCCAGCTCCGATAGTGATCTTTCTTTGCTACGTGATCTACTCTAATAGTTTACTCTCTTAGGTAACATGTTTGGACACTGTTACCCATTTTACTGCTTTTCTGTTTTCATTTGTTTTGCATAGGTCCTTTTATTGGAAGATTGGTTGTTTTTCAAAATTCGTTTAGCTACAGAAACTGTTTCTGACTAGTAATTCTAAGAGGCTAGTGAATCGAGTCTAATTTTAGAAAACTTTATTGAGAGATGTAAGTTTAATGTATGTGTCAGTTAAAATAGAAGTAAAGTAAATAAGGCCAGATTAATGGTGATGTAGATAATTAGGTGATTTGAGCCTGAAAGTTGTGTTAATCTTTAATATAGCTTTTAGTTCTTGCATTGAATAGTGAGGTGACCAAGTGACCTGATTTGTAATTTTCATGTCTAATTTGAATTATTTCTTGTCCTAAGGGTCCATTAAGTGCATCCTATTTGAGAAGTATAGTGCCTGCCTCACAACAGACTCTCCACATGTGCATGTGGCTGAATGAAGCAGTCCTAAATTTTATTTGGTATTCAGATTCTCTTAACTTCTGACATAACTAGCGCTGTGTAAAACATCTGCTTTCTTTAGTTAACTTTAGCATAACTTGAAAGGGTACAGTTGATTACATCAATAATAAAATCACAGCCTTGCATTGTGTGACTTCATGGTTCATTTCCACTTGAAAAGTGAGAATTCTGCAGCAGGTTGTGTAATAAATTCTGAGGCATTTCTGGGTCATGGGTAAGATGTTTCTTACTGCACCTGCAGAATTTCCTGTTCTTTGCAGTTTTCCAGGTGCCAGGATTTTTCACAATATCCTATTGGGCAGATCAGCATTTTGTTTATGATTTTAATTTAACCAATATAGTGCTGTTGACATATAGTGACTAGTAATTGTCCTAAAGGGCTCTGTCTCTATTTTTTTCTTACCATGCTTGTTTTAGTATGCCATTATTAAGCCCGTTTTGCCAGTTAATTCAGCAAGCATAAATTGACATTTAGGCTCAAAGGTGTGTTTTGTACCAGACCTAAGATTTCTTAGTATGCTTCAATAATACTGGTTTGAGTAAAGAATAGATCCTTCTCTAGATATATTGGCCCTTAATATGAAAATGGAGTTTGTAACTGGTTACTTATGTTTAGTCAGCCTAAATGGAAATAAGTACAATTTAAGACAGCTAGGTAGTGATCTAATAAATAAGTGGTTGGTTTGTAAAAGTTAAGATGGAGGCAGTTCATTTTTAAGATGTTTATAGTTCAAGTAAATCTGAAACTCATTAAACATTGCATCTAATCATAGGCTTCTGTATAGCTTAGGCAACCTAAATTTTAACCTAATGAAGTTTTGGATACTGGGTAACTCTTGAGTTAAATAATTCTGAATAACTCACAAAGATAGTGAACTAGAGGGGAAAAGTGTTGCAGTTTTGATGATTAAAAGCTGGAGAGAATAAAATCTCAAGACTTTGGTGTGAATATTTTCGGTTGTTTTTGAAGTAAGCTGTGAATGAGCTTATAATGCCAGGGTTAGCATAGAAGAACAGATAGCAAACATCGTGATGAAGCTTTTAAAAATACGGTATCTTAAAAATAAGTACTAACTGTGATTTTTTTGTTCTGCCAGTTTTGTGGTAAATGTTTTAGAACTATACAACATTGACTTTTGAAGTTGGTCAGTATTATTGTTCCTTTATTTCTAGAGCTCAGAGTTCATATACCTGAACTTTGGTCCCTGTGATGGCTGTATAATGTAGGTGAACAATGGAATATTACATTTAGGGAAATGGAGGCACAAGGAGTTCACTTTAGAGCAGAGATTGGCAGACTGTCAGATCACTGAGAAGTTGTATATCAAATTCATGTTAGTTTCTGAATTTGGCAAGGAAGATTGATGGCTGAGCAAATTTGAAATCTGCCTCTTTTAATCAAGCTGTTGAGTACACAAGTCTTTTCATGGACTGAATGGGATAATGCTTAGTCCTCCCAGGAAGCTCAGAGTCCCAGGATTATGAGATAGTAATGAATCTGAGAAAAAGTACTGGCACTGGGTGGAGTATGGGTATGCACACAGTGCCTGGTGTGCAACCTTAATTGCTGTATTAGAAGAACGTTATTGGTACTATAAGATTTAGCTATGAGATCTGATCCTATTTACTAGTTGTAGATCTCTCTCCTTAAGTCTGAAATAGGAATAATACTCCTAATTTACAGAGTTATATTGAAGATTAAAGAAGATAAGAAAATTGTTTGGAAGCTATAAAGCATATTTTCTTTTTTTGGAAGTGAGCAGAAATTAAGGGCAGGCTTTGAAGTGATAGACTCAAAAGGACCTGGATTTTTATTTTTCATTTTTCATCATGGACATTTCAGATGTATATGAGTGGAAACAGTACAGTAAATTTCCATATAGCCATCAATCAGCTTCACCAATTATCAGCATTTTGCTGCTCAGCCCTCACTCACAATTGCATTTTACTTTTTTTTTGGTAGGGAATTTACAGTCAATCTTAGACATCATATACTTTGATCCATAAATACTTCAGTATATATTTCTGACTGATAAGAACCAAAAAAACCACGTAACCACAACATTATTTTAACCCCCTAAATTAACAATAATTCCTTATCTTCTGCACAGAAGGACGTGGATTTAAAACATACCTCTTAGAAAGTACTTACCAGCTTTGTGAGTTAAGCATATTATTTACTCTCTCTGAGCTTCTGGTTCCTTATCTGTAACATAAAGATAATGCCTCATGAAGTTATTTTGTGCTTAAATGAAATAACATGTAAAATATCTTAACACAAAGGTTCTTGGCAAGTGGTCCAGCCTCTCTTCTGAGCCTCCTGTGACATGTGAATTAGAATTATGGGCTGCTTTCCTCCCTTCTTTAGTATCACAAAGAGTAACAGTACTCTGGAATTATTGCCCACTAGCCTAGTGAAATTTTTCTTCATTGGGTTATTTGACTCTTCTAGTGAAATTCTATTAACAGCTGAAATGATGTCTCTCTCTCTCCTGCAACATCATTATTCCCCTGTCTACTGGCTCATTCCAGTTGGCACACACATACTATATTTCATCTATTTTTTTTAAACAACCATTTCTTGACCACAGTGCCTTTTTTAGCTGCTACCCAATTTCTCTGCTCCCCTTTACAGCAAAACTTCTTGAAAAAGTTTCTTCTGTTCATCTTTAGTTCTCATGTTCTCTCCGGAAACCACTCTAGTGAGATTTTTAACCCCACCACTCTACTGAAAACTGTACCTGTCAAGACTACGAAGTTTATTTCTTATTTGACCTATTAGCTGTGTTTGGCACAAATAGGTGCTTCCTTTTGTGAAACACTTTCTGCTTTGGTTTCTAGGATACCAGATTGCTGGTTTTTCTACCTACTTGGCTTCATAGTCTCTTTTTTGGTTCTTCCTTATTACACCTACCTCTTAATATTGGACTGCCTCGTGGGATCTCTGTTGTTGTTGTTGTTGTTGTTGTTGTTTTGTGAGACAGAGTTTCACTCTTGTTGCCCAGGCTGGAGTGCAATGGCGTGATCTCGGCTTACCGCAACCTCTGCTGCCCGGGTTCAAGCAATTCTCCTGCCTCAGCCTCCTCAGTATCTGGGATTACAGGCATGCGCCACCACGCCCAGCTAATTTTTTGTATTTTTTAGTAGAGACGGGGTTTCTCCATGTTGGTCAGGCTGGTCTCGAACTCCGGACCTCAGGTGATCCACCCGCCTCGGCCTCCCAAAGTGCTGGGATTACAGGCGTGAGCCATTGCGCCTGGCTGACTCTCAAATTTTTATCTCTAGCCTGGAACTCCAGGCTTGTGTATGCTACTGCCTACCTGACATCTCTTATATCTTCTATCCTTATTTCAAATTGAACTTACCCTGTCTCCTCTTCCCCGTGTCCCTTTTATAATCTTCCATATCTCAGTAAATAGCAGCTTCATCTTTCCATTTTCTCAGGTCAAAACCTGGAGACATTCTTGACTCTTCTCACCCATTACATCTGATCCCTTAGGAAATCTTAGCAGCTCTGTTTAAAATATATCCAGAATCTGACCACTTCTCATCACTTGCACTGGCATAAGCCTACATTACCTTCTCCAAATTATTGCAGTAATCCCCCCCCCTTTTTTTTTTTTTGCCCTTTCCTCCTTATAGTCTATTCTTAATACAGTAACAAGAATGATCCTTTAAAAAAGATAAGTCAGATTTTGTCTTCTCTGGTCAAAACCCTCTAGTGATTGCCCATCTTGCTCAGAGTAAAACACAAAGTCCTATCAAGTCCTTCTGTGATCGAATGCCTTCTTTGCTGTCTGACCTCATCATCTCTTACTCTTCTTTTTGCTTACTCCATTCTGGCCACAATGGTCTTCTTACGGATTCTTTTTTTTTTTTTTTTTTTGAGACGGAGTCTCGCTCTGTCACCCAGGCTGGAGTGCAGTGGCCCGATCTTGGCTCACTGCAAGCTCTGCCTCCGGGGTTCACACCATTCTGCCTCAGCCTCCTGAGTAGCTGGGACGACAGGCGCCCGCCACCATGCCTGGCTAATTTTTTTGTATTTTTAATAGAGACAGGGTTTCACTGTGTTAGCCAGGATGGTCTCGATTTCCTGACCTCGTGATCCGCCCGCCTTGGCCTCCCAAAGTGCTGGGATTACAGGCGTGAGCCACCACGCCTGGCCTTCTTGCAGATTCTTTAACATACCAGGCATATTTCTGTCTCAGGTCCTTTGCACTTGTTGTTTACCCTGTCCAGAATGCAGTTTTTCAGACATTTGCTTGGCTCCATCTTGTCTCTCATTTTCAGTGAGGCCTTCTCTTACCACCCTATTAAAATGGCAGCTCCTCCATTTCTGGTTCTCCTTACCCAACCTTTCCCATCCTCTTTTTCTCCATACCACTTTAAACCATTTCACTTATGATATATTTTGCTTATATTGTTTATTGCCTTTTTTTCTCCACCTGATATAAGCTCCATGAAAGCAAGGATTTTTGTTGGTTTTGTTTTCTGTAGATTTCAAGCACCTAGTAGAACAGTGCCTGGCATTTAGTAGGAACCCGAGTATTTGAATGAACTATTTTATTAATTGTAGTCTATACTTGGAAAAGGTTTAATTTTTTTAAAGTTTTAATTTCAGTTTTTCTTTGGAATATTATGCGCCTTGAAGTCGTCTTTTTGCTGTATTTCTGTTTTTCTTCATGAGTATCCTTATTAATTTATTCATCTTGAGTCCTTATTAAGCACTATGCTGGTTGCATGGGGATATACAAAGATATAGATATAATAATTCTATACAATTTTGTAAATAAATATATATACATAAATTATGCATAAATATGTATCTTTTGTATAAGTTATATATATATACAATTATTATTATTTTTTTGAGACAGGGTCTTGTTCTGTTGCCCAGGCTGGAGTGCAGTGGTGTGATCACGGCTCACTGCAGCCTCAACCTCCTAGGCTCAACCAGTCCTCCCATTCAGTCTGCTGAGTAGCTAGGACTACAGACATGTGCCACCATGCCTGGCTAATTAAAAACAAATTATTTTGTAGAGACAAGTCTTGCTGTGTTGCCCAGGTTGGTCTTGAACTGCCGGGCTCAAGCCATCCTCCTGCCTGGGTATCCCAAAGCCCTGGGATTACAGGCATGAGCCAGTGTGCCCAGCCAGAGATAAAGTATTCATGGACTCTGACTTTTATACTTTTATGAGCTTACAGTCTATTAGGGGAGTTGATAGTATGGGATGTGGGTGTGTGTGTCTGTGTGTGTGTGTGTGTGTGTTTGTGTGTTTTAAAAAGGTAAGTACCTAAGAGAGAGTGATCCAGAATTCAGAAGAACAAGAAATTATTTCTAGTGGAGGGGAATAATAGAGCGATTTCAGCGAGGGTGTGTGTAGTGTGTAGTATCAGCCATGGAAAACAAATAGAACTGGATTATGAGAAAAATGGAAAAGAGAATTCCATATGGAGGGAATAGCATTAGCAAAATAAGAATGCTCAAGATTTGTATGGAAAATAAGTGGTTCATTTTGTTGACGATACGATATATGAAAGGAATTAGCAGAGCGTAAGTTTGGAGAGGAATGTTGGAGCTACTGATAGAAGGATTTGAATGCAGGAATAAGGAATTCAAGCCTTACTCTGTTTGAAAGCCCCAGTGATAAAGGACATTATCAGGACTATCTTTATGAGTTTGACAATGTTACGTGGAAAGACAGACTGAAATAAATACGACTGGTTCTCGAATAATGTTTCATTCGATGTTGTTTCATTATAATGTTGACCAAAAAAAAAAAAAAAAGATTCCTGGCTGGAGCCACTGTCTACATGGAGTTTTCACGTTCTCCCCATGTCTGTGTGGGTTTTCTCTGGGTGCTCTGGTTTCCTCCATATCTGAAGGATGCGCAGTTTAGGTTAATTGGTCTGTCTAAATGGTCCCAGGATGAGTGAGTGAGGGTGTGTGTGTGAGTGTGCGCTGTGACGGAATGGTGTTCTGTCTAGGATTGGTGCCCACCTTGTGCCCTGAGTTGTTGGGATAGGCTCTGGCCATCTGCATTCTTGAACTGGAATAATTAAGTAGTCATCTTGTTTTTTGTTAACTTTTCTTACATATATATATAGCTCACATTTATTTCAGTGTTTAATATTACAAGCGTTTTGGTTTTTATTTAGAAGTTTGGTGATGTTTTTGTGACAAGAAGAACTTAACCGTTGTATATATCAATTAGCCTCTGATAAATTGGTTTTATTATATGTTATTTCCTCTAACGTCGCAGTTTCCAAGAACCTATCAAGTACATTAAATGACAACTTACTGTACACTGATTAAAATGCTATTGTAATAATTTGGGGGGAAAGCAATAAAGGTAGTGGAAATAGGTATAGGTAGTGGAAGTAGGTATATATATAATCTCAGCATTTTGGGACACCAAGGCGGAGGATCAGTTGAGCTCAGGAGTTCGAGACCAACCTGGACAACATAATGAGACCACATCTTTATAGAAACAAAGTAGCTGGGTGTGGTGGTGCTTGCCTGTAGTCTCAGTTACTTGGGAGCCTGAGGTTGGAGGATTGCTTGAACCCAAGAGGTTAAAGCCGTAGTGAGCTATGATCATGCCACTGCACTCCACTCTAGGCAACAGAGCAAGACTAGCAAAAAAAAAAAAAAAAAAAAAAAAAAAGAAAGAAAGGATGTCTTGGAACTGTTGCAACTTGGTAACTACTGAATGTGAGGGCTGAGCAACAAGCCTGACAACTACAGGGTTTCAAGCCTACTTGATTGGCAGCCTGGGGTTCCCTCAGTATAAGCAGGGAGCCCAAGAGAAGTGAGATCAGGAGGAAAATTTGTTTGGTTTTGGTATAACGTTTGCAGGTGTGATGGTTATATACAGGTGATGATGATTCTGATAAAAAGAAAATTAGTATTCTCTTTAGAAAGGATGTGCATCTGTTGCTTTCGTGCCTTCATTTTGATATAGCTAACTCCCAGAAAGAGAAGTAAGACTCAGTTGCTGGATCTATTGCTGGCATCAGAATCTAGATAATTGATTTGGAAAACTTTGACACAGTACCTGAATTTTTCTTTTCATCTGTAAGTAGCTCAACCCTTTTCACTAAGTTTGTTAGATAAGTTGCTCTGGTTGTAAAAACACTATGTATTCTCAGTAGCTTGATACAACTTACAGGTTATCCTTTGAAATCTCCTTTACTGCTGCTTCATTGGTTATGGATATCTAAGTAGTGCCTTTCTTACGTCTTTGAAGAAAACAGATGAGCAGTTGAGTGTTCCCAACTAGTAACCTTGATCACCTTGAGATGAAGGCAGTGTTTATTTGAATTAAAAGGTTTGCATGCTTTTGCCATACCATACTCCTGTTTTTCCCCTTAGGACATAGAGCCACATTGGAAGAGGACAAGCCTTTTAACCTAATTAGTGGTAGTTAAGATGTTAGTTGCCAAAACATTTCTTTAACAGCCTACATTTAACAAAATACCAGAAGATATCAGAGGATGTAGCTTTCTATGCCAGGCAGATTCAAGAACAACAGTGTAAGGTTCTTTTAGATTTATAGCATTTTCAGAGCCCTGTAGCAGGAGGTGTTTTTAACCCAAAGATGATAGACAAAAAAATTATTTGCAAAATGATATTGATAATTGTGTACACTTTTTATTTATAGGCTAATGATGTATGATATTTATATATTTAATGCATTTTTTAATAGTTGAAAAAAGACATGATGAGTTTGTTGAAAACTTGCAATTCACCGGCTACGTTTAGAAGGGTGACCTTGAGCTTATCACATTAGTCGTCTCTTTATTAAGTCTTTTTTCTTTGCCCTTAGATAATATTGTCAGTGAACATTATTTTGGCACTGTCATTATAGAGCCTTTTGTTTTCCATTAAATAGGAGTCAGTAGGACCCAACTGTCCTGAAATGAGAAAATTTTCCTATTTAGGATAATTTATATTTTTCACCTCACCGGAGGTGTGATGGCTTTTAGTTTTTCAGATTTGGAGTATATTGTAAATTTTTTTAAATCTTGGCAATTTTATTTCACATGATTGGTTTGCTAAGAATATAAAGTTTTACCCTTGTGAGAAACCTGCGAGATCCTTTTAGTCCTGCTTTGTTCCAGAGAGGTTAAGGCACTAGTTGAAAATCACACACCCAACTAGTGGCAGAGTTGGGGCAAGAGGTAGATTTCTTTTTTGTTCTTTCTTTTTTTTTTTTTTTTTTTTTTTGAGACGGAGTCTCACGTGATCAGGCTGGAGTGCAGTGGCGCGATCTGGGTTCACTGCAGGCTCCGCCTCCCGGGTTCATGCCATTCTTCTGCCTCAGCCTCCCGAGGAGCTGGGACTACAGGTGCCCGCCACCACGCCCGGCTAAGTTTTTGTGTTTTTAGTAGAGATGGGGTTTTACTGTGTTAGCCAGACTGGTCTCGATCTCCTGACTGGCAAGAGGTAGATTTCTTGCCCTTCAGTCTTGGGCTGCTTTCACCATGTCAGGCTGCTGTTTAGAAATGTGTACCAGGAAATCTTAAATGAACGTAGCTGAGTTGGTCACTAACCAGCTTAGTTGGTTGGTCATTATTGGGTGTTATTACACCTAATAATGTTCAATTGGAATAATTAAGATTTTTTCCCCCTCGTTCCTTCTGAAAACGTTTTTTTAAAAGGCTAACCATTTTAAACTGAACGATTCAGTTTAAATGAAACATTCACAATGTTGAGCAACCACCACTTTATGTAGTTCCAAAACATTTTCATCACTTCAAAATAAAACCCCTTACCCATTATGCAGTTTGAAAAGTTTTTAAGCAATTAGAATAAAAATCTTTGCTGTGACAAGTAAGGTCGACTAGGGCAAGTTTGTATTACAGGTCACTCCTAGTGCTTTGTTGCCTGCTTCCGATTTGCCAGTGAGAAACAGAGTATCCTTCTTATGCTATTTAATAGTGATATTACAAACAGCAGCAACATCAAAAAAGAATGTGTCAGGCACATAATGAATAATAATGCTGATAGCAGGCATGCGTTGTGCATATTATTGTTAATCTTCACACTAGCCTTTCAAAGTGGTTACTGTATTTCTGATGAGAAAATGAAGCCTTGTTCAGTAACTCTAGAATCACTTAGCTGATAAGTGGTCAATCTGGGATTCAAATCCATATCTATTTGGCTTGAAAAGTTGGGTGTTCTTGTCACTAAATTTGGGAATGAGCAGGCAAAAAGAAACACATGGAAGGAATCATCTCGTTTGAGGGATTCAGTACTCTCTTAGCAGTACAGTGTGTAAGGGAAGGGGATTTGAGTTTGTTAGTCCTGTTGGTGTTTGTTAGTTGCCACTTTATCCTGTCCCACTATGATTTGTATGCACAGGAGGAAAAACAAAATAGGAAATAATCTTTGGAACTCTTTATGGACATTATCATGAACAATTAGAAGAAATGGCAATGTAGCTTCTGACATTTGTTCTTAGAAATTATCTGTTTCTTTTTTTCTTCTCTTTTAATGAGTCTTTATATGATTTTATTTTAAATTCATAAATTGATTTGCTTGAGTGGTTTAGTCTGAGCAGTATTGGAACTTGATTGATTTCCCATTTTAAGATCCTTTTAAAAAGTGGTGATTCAATTCCAGTGAAGCATAACTCAAATTGTGTGTATTGAAGACTTTTGTAATTACATTTTTGCCCCTATTAAAAAACTTTATTTTAGCTTTTTTAAAGTTTGAAAGAACTTTTGGTAGGCCAGTTGTCAGTCATTCCTTTGAAAGCCCCTAGTAAGTCACCTCATAAACCTTGTCACTTTTCTACTGTGTTTTGGCCCGAATCATGTTACTTCCCTTCAGTAATAGGCCCTGGGGTAATATGTTAAAATATGCTGGCTTTGGGTAAAAAGGATGGTATCATGTAAAATACAGCTCTCTGGCTACTTTGGACAAAGAGATTTTTTTAAGGTTATGTGAGCATAACAAGAATATAAGGTATAGCAATAGCAGCCATCTACAAATGTCTTGAGTGTGTGTATTGATAGTTATCCAAAGAAGTATAGATTTTTGACAGTGACCTTGTGACTTTCGCTAATATCTAAATACTAGGTACTTCCATAAATGGATTTTAAGCTTTTAAAAACTTTTATTTAAAAGTTTTAAAATGCCCTTGTAGCTTGGCTCAAATATTACACATTGCTTTTCTGTTTTGACCTAGTGGTGACATTTCATTCTCTCTGAAACCAGCAGAAATGTACTGTGAAGAGTACAGGCTCTGGAGTTGGTCAGATTTGTTTTCAAGTCTTTGTCACTTACTAGCTGTAAGACCTTTCCTCTTTTAAAATGAATATCTTATGTTACAGCTCTGTAGCGTTAGAGGTGATGTCTCTAAAGGGCTCAGCACAGTATCTGGCACATAGTGAATTGTGTTCAAATGGTCCGTGTTATAGGAAGAAGTCTAAATTTTGATAGCCTAGCCAACATCACGGTGCAAATACAGGAAAACCTCATCTGTATACTGTCCTGCAATCAGCACGTTTCTTCTTGGATTTGTGTTTTGTTTGTGTGTTGAAGTGCCATGTGTCAGTTTTCACCATTTCCTGCAACTTTTCCTTTTTCTCAGAAATGCCTGGCAAATACCTTCATTGGGTATTGTATAATTGAGCTAAAAAAAAAAAAATAGATGGTGCTATGCAAGCTAATGATGAGGGATTTGCTCCCTTATAGCAATCCCTTTCAGTTAGGTATTCCTGTGTAGCATGTTAACAGGTGCTTACCACCCTTAGAGATGTCAGCTGGCCGAATGCCCAAGCTTATGCCAAAGAAGGGAGGGAGCTTTTGTTGTCTGGAATGAAAAGTATACAATGCCTACTAAATGCTTATAGTGTATTTCATGATGATTGTTAATGTTAAAGCATGAAAAGCTATATCTTAGCCTAATAATTTTACTCATTACTTCCCCATTATTTGCATTGTTTCTCTTGTTCTGTTTAGAAAGACATACAAAGGACTTTTACACTGTAACTGTAAGGTTGAGGTTGTGATGAATTGCAATCTAAGAATATTAGCTATGGAGGGGACTTTGGAGATCAGCTATACTAACCCTCTTATCTTGTACATGAAAAAGCTGGCTGAGAGAAGTTGTGACTCACTCAGGGACATAGAAAGTAAGTGACAGGTTTGATTTCCAATCCGGTATTATGAAGGTTACCTGGTAAAGTGGAGAGAGCACTGGACTTTGGAGTCACACAGGCCTGATTTTGAGTCCTGATTCCACCATGTATTAACTGTGTGACCTTTGGCAAGTAAATCTGAGTTAGTTTCCTGCTTTGTGTTACTTTGTGGGGTCTTGAGGGGTCTTGAAGATTATGGGATAATGTAAGTATAGCACAGAGCCTGACATTTGCGATGGGCTCAGTAAGTGCCGTCCGTTCTCTTGTACTATTTTTCTTCTCCTTCTCCTTCTTCTTCTTCTTTGAGAGAGGGAGAGAGAAAAGAAAGAAAGAAAAGAAAAGAAAAGAAGGAAAGAAAGAAAAAAGAAAAGAAAGAAACAGAGACAGAGAAAGAAACAGAGACAGACAGAGAGGTTCTCTCTCTCCACTGCCCAGGCTGGAGTGCAGTGGTACGATCATGGCTCACTGCAGCCTCGAACTCCTAGAGTTCAAGTGGTCTGCCTGCCTCAGCCTCACAAGTAGTTAGGATTACAGGATTACCAGACCTGGCTAATTAAAAAAAAATTTTTTGTTTTTTGTTTTTTTGTAGAAATGGGGTCTCGTTTTGTCACCCTGGTCTTGAACTCTTGGCTACAAGCCATCCTCCTGCTTCAGCCTCCCTAAGTGTTGGGATTATAGGTGTGAGCCACTGTAGCCAGCCCTGCTTTCCTTTAAAACAGATCATATAGCTAAGTGATTACTCGTTATGAAATGGGAATCAAAGAATGGTTGATGTTTTTGCCAAAGCCTTTTGCTGAAAATCTGTTGTTCATTGGAGGAGGATTGCTGATTGCAAAATGAGTGCAAAACATTTGTCAAGAGCTTAAGTGACCACTGCTCCAAGTTGTACAGTGTTGACATGGTTCATTCCTGAGAAATGGCTGCATTTCCCTAGTGAAATGGATAGAAAACCTAGCATTGGGAACACCAAATCAACCTACATATAGTTAGGCCAGCAGTTCTCAAAAAAAACTTTTTTTTTTAACTATAGACCCTTTTACAATCTTAAACATTATCGAGGACCCCAACGATCTCTTGTTTATGTGAGTTGTATCTGTTGATATTTATCGGAAATTATATCTGATAAAAATTTAAATATTTATTTAAAAATGCTAATAAACTATTATATGTTAACACAAGACAAAAGAAAATTAGTGAGAAGACTAGCATTGTTTTACATTTTTGTAATTCTCACTAATGCCTAACTTACTAGAAGACAGCTGGGTTCAGATAGCTGCTTCTGCATTGTCTGTTTTAATATTCTTGATGAAGTATATGAAGAAGAAAATCTGCCTTCACACAGATATGTAGCTGGAAAAGGGAGAAATATTTTAATAGCTTTTTCAGATAATTTTGGATATTCTTCTTTGATACTACACCAAAACTTGACAAATGGTAGTATCCTGATAGAATCTGAAACCAGATCAGTGAACATTTTGTGTCCTGTTACATTAAAATCCATTGGTCTTTGCATTTTGATTGGATCTTTTATCTATACATGGTTTTATAACATTATGCATTGGCCATTGGAAAATATTGATTCATTGAATTATCTTGATCTTCCAAATGTGACCTATTTCATGTTCCGTCTTCAACGTTATATAGCCTCTGGGAAACTCTGTACTCTGGAAAGAATGAGAGTGGAAAAGAAACATAGTGCCTTCATACTACTTGGAAAATAGTTTTGGCCATGCAGACCCCTGAAAAGGTCTTGAGGACCTCCAGGGGTTCCTAAACCACACTTGCAGAACTGCAAAGTTAGAAAAATTGGTAAGCTAAAAGGAGTGACTCGGTTGCTTTATATTTTTTTAATTAAAAATAATTTAAAAACAGATTTAAAAAATAATTTTTATTTTGAGACAGGGTCTTACTGTGCCACCCAGGCTGAAGTGCAGTGGTGCAATCATACCTCACTATAACCTTGAACTCCTGGGCTCAAGTGATCCTCCCACTCCAGCCTCCTTGGTGTCTGGGACTGCAGGCATGCACCATCATGCCCAGCTAGTTTTTTAATTTTTTTGTACAGATGGAGTCTTGCTATGTTGCCCTGGCTGGTCTCAAGCTCGGCTTCAAGTGATCCTCTTGCCTCAGCCTTCCAAAGCGTATTTTTATTTTTTTGAGACAGGGTCTCACTCTGTTGCCCAGGCTGGAGTGCAGTGGCATGATCACAGCTCACTGCAGCCTTGACCTCCTGGGCTCAAGTGATCCTCCCACCTCAGCCTCCCGAGTAGCTGGGACTACAGATGCACACCACCATGCCTGGCTAATTAAAAAAATTTGTGTGTGTGTGGAGATGGGGTCTCATTGTGACCTGCGGTTTCCAACTCCTGAGCTTAAGTGATCCTCCTGTCTCAGCCTCCCAAGGTGTTGGGATTACAGGTGAGAGCCATGTGGCTTGGCCTACAGCCTTAATAAGAGATAATCTGGAAATTACTATGAAATGGATTGCTACTTAAGCCTTAGTCTTAGAAACCATCTTATTCCTTGAAGTAAAGAGCTGCCAAATTTTGAAATGCAGCGAATAGGTCATTAAATATTTGAGTGCTTTTTATAGACAGAGCAGTGTATTAGGTACTGCTAAAGATATGAATTATGAAAAACGGTTCCTTCTCTTTAGTAGTTTATAGTCTAGCTGAAGGGGTAAGACATATAACCTTGTAAAAAGATGACTAATGCAAGTTCTCTATAACAAGGTGACATACAAGGAGAGAGGAAGCCATTCTTTATTATGGGAAAGTACAGACAGTGCTCATTCAGGTAATCATTACATCAGGTTATACTGGAGAATTAACACTGAATAATTATGTTAGGCTTACAAAATTATGTTGCAATTTATATTTTTATTCTCACATTGTTACCCTATTTTTATAGGTTTGTATAGTTTCCAGTATTTTTACAGGTTTTTATTTGCCTTAAAAAAATAATTCGGCTGGGCGCGGTGGCTCATGCCTGTAATCCCAGCACTTTGGGAGGCTGAGGCAGGCGGAACACGAGGTCAGGAGTTCGAGACCAGCCTGGCCAACATGGTAAAACACCGTCTCTACTAAAAATAATAATAAAAAAAATCTGGGCATGGTGGCATGTGCCTGTAATCCCAGCTACTCAGGAGCCTGAGGCAGGAGAATTGTTTGAACCCAGGAGGCAGAGGTTGCAGTGAGCCGAGATCGTGCCATTGCGCTCTAGCCTGGGCAATAGGGTGAGACTCCATCTCAAAAAAAAAAAAAAAAAAAAAAAACACGATAGGGGTGGGAGAAGTCTGTTATTGCTATTTGATAGATGAGAAAAGACTAAGTTAAATATGCCAAGATCACATAGATTTGAGTATTATGTTATTTGCATTTATGTTTCTCATTAGAATAGAATAGAAATACTCAGATACCTTGCTTTGGAGGAAAAATATATACATACACAGAGTAAAGATCTCCACTCAAGACTTCATAGAAATGTTTTAATGCTTCCTAAAGCACCTTGTGTATACCTTGTGCTTAGTTGTTCCTTTACTGAATTATTATAACGATTTAAAAAAACTTACAAAGTGCCTAGCAATAGAAGGCACTCATGGCAACTATTATTATTGTTGTTTTTTTCAACTTTTTCAACTCAGCTCTGATGTTACTTAAGACATCCAAATTCTCAATCCATGTATGTTAAGATATATTTTAGTTACATACGACATCTAAATTCTCCATCCGTGTGGAGATTCTGATTTCTCCATTTACTGAATGCAGTAATTCTGGCCTGTATTTATGGGGTGCTTACTACTTTGTTCAGATACTGTGATATGCATTTTACACACATTGCATCTTTAGATCCTTACAGCAGTTTCACTGTGGGGTGAGTGATGGTGTTTCCATTTTATAAATGAGAAAACTGAGGCCTGGACTAATCAGTTGCCTAGGGTGCTTACTAGTTAAAAGTACAGCTAGGAGGCTGGGCGCAGTGGCTCATGCCTGTAATCCCAGCACTTTGGGAGGCTGAGGTGGGTGGATCACCTGAGGTCTGGAGTTCGAGACCAGCCTGGCCAACATGATAAAACCCTGTCTCTACTAAAAATGCAACAAATTAGCCAGATGGGGTGGCGGGAGCCTGTAATCCCAGCTACTCAGGAGGCTGAGGCAGGAGAATCTTTTGATCGCGGGAGGTGGAGGTTGCAGTCAGCCGAGATTGTGGCACTGTACTCCAGCCTGGGTGACGAGCAAAACTCCGTCTCAAAAAAAAGAAAAAAAGTACAGCTGGGATTTGAATCCACCTCTCTGTCTTCTGTTACCTTTCCATTTGGGCAGTAAGTTGAAAAAAATATTTTTGGATTGTAGAGGAGTTTTTGCTGTTTTTCAAAGGATAGCTTTTTGAGGGGGGCATTGGGTAGTGGCTGTTCTCCCCTTTTATAATAAATTCATTGATTGGTATTTTTTCAATCTGGTTTTTTCAAAACTTTTTTTTAAATTATTGTTGTTATTTAATTAATTGCCTGATGACATTTTGGTAAAATAGTAATGGATTAACATTTTCCAGATCTTGATTTCTA
Source organism: Homo sapiens (assembly GCF_000001405.40). Taxonomy (NCBI): domain Eukaryota; kingdom Metazoa; phylum Chordata; class Mammalia; order Primates; family Hominidae; genus Homo; species Homo sapiens. The sequence goes on along the minus strand of NC_000009.12, from coordinate 123,246,971 downwards.
AGTTCAAGGTGATATTTTACTATATTGGTGAGAAATAGTTTGTTAGTAGGTTTTTACAGGTTGTTTTAGGCCAAGAATTGACTTACCTTTACTGTGTAATAACATTACTACTTGATTGAATAAGATGGTTATAGTCACTTTTGAAACAGTATTTTGGCTTACAAAGCTTTTTTGAGGGGAAAAAATTTGTTTGTATTGGCAGTCAGCCAATATTTTATAAGCTACAATTTTCCTTTGAATAGCTGGTGGTTTGTAGCTCCATAATTTGTGGTTCTTCTGAACTTGTAAAAAGATTACACATATTTAAAAATGGCCTTATCACTTTAATGTTTTAAGCAATACACAACTGTCAAATTCTGTTATGTTATAGTATTGTTGTTTTACTTAATTTTCCTGGGCTGAGAATCTAACTTAATAATTTATACAGTATAATTGGAATCTCATCCCCCTAAACCCCAATGAAACTCCAAACAAACCTAAAAACCAAAAACTACATTAGTAATGTAACAGGCACTGTTAAAGGCAAAGGAAATGTGAGCGACTCTACATCGGTCTGCCAAAATCCTTGCAGTATTCATGCTAGTCCATTATTTAGCCACTGCTGCCCGGATGTGTTGAATTATGTGGTATGTGGGTTTGTTTGGGTGTATATGGTGTTCTTATGTGACATTTAGTTTTAAATTAAGGTTTTTGTGATGCTGTCAATGTTGCCTTTTCACATGCAGTTGGAAAAGAATACTTCATTCGAAATGTTTCATGTTCTGTACCTTGTTCTCCTGGTTTGTCTGTGGGTAGTTAAATTTGTGAAAGTCACGAGGTTATTTTAAATCTTTCCTTTTGATTTTAGGTTAAGTCTAAAATGGAATATTGTAACCTTTTGGCTTGAGAGATTTTGGAAAGCCAGATTAATATATCCATTTTTGTACTTACAGAAGTTTCACAGATAAAGGTGAACCTACCATTCAATTTCAGACTCAAACTCCATTGCCGAGTAGGAACGTTATTTAAAAATAAACCATAATGAACTATTGTCTTTCTTGGGCTAAATCCTTTTGTTTCTGGAAGCTGAGTGAGGTTTGGGTTAAAGTTTCCATTTATCAGTGGGATAATTTTTGTGGCTAAGATTTTAGTGAATTGTTAACAGCCAGATCCTTAACAACTGTTAATAATCTTATTAACATGTTAGTAAAGGTTGCTTTTAAAAAGACTCTCTAGCTCTGGAGGATACTGATTCTCATTCTTGATTGAACGTTAGAATTACCTGAGAGTTAAAAGAAATACAGATGCTTGAGGCCGGACGTGGTGGCTCACGCCTGTAATCCCAGCACTTTGAGAGGCTGAGGAGGGCGGATCACGAGTTCAGGAGATCGAGACCATCCTGGCTAACACAGTGAAACCCCATCTCTACTAAAAATACAAAAACATTAGCTGGGTGTGGTGGCAGCTCCCAGCTACTCAGGAGGCTGAGACAGGAGAATGGTGTGAACCGGGGAGGCGGAGCTTGCAGTGAGCCGAGATCGTGCCACTGCACTCCAGCCTGGGCGACTGAGCGAGACAACGTCTCAAACAAACAAACAAACAAAAACAACAAAAAAAAGAAATACAGATGCTTGGATTTCACCTTGAGGATTCTAATTTAATTGGTTTGGGATGCTACCTAAGCATCTGGATTTTTAGAGGTAATTCCAGTGTGCATATGAGGCTTAGAACTCCCGCTCTGGGAAATTTGTTAGCCCACTCAAGGGGAAAAATTTGGTTTTAGAGAATATATCTTTACCTTTGGAGTTTATAAAACTTTTTTTTTGAGGTAGTTGTGGATTCACATGCTGTTGTAGGAAATAATGTACTGAGTAATCCATCTCTGTAATTTTATCATTTCAAGAATTTTATGTAAATGAAGTAATATAGTATGTAAACTTTTCAGCTTGGCTTTTTCACTCAGGCTAATTCCTTTGAGATCCATCCAAGTTGTTGCATGTGTCAGTAGTTTGTTCCTTTTTATAGTTAAGTAGTATTCCATGGTAGGTAGGGAAGTATCACAGTTTAGTCATTCACCTGTTGAAGGACATTTGGATTGTTTCCATATTGGCTATTACTGTTAAAGCTGCTGTGAACATTTGTGGATGGGCTTTTGAATGGTCATAATTTTCCATTTCTTTGGGATAAATGCCCAAGAGTACAATTGCTGGGTTATGTGATAAATGCATTTTTAGTTTTCTCAGATAGTGCTGTACTTTTTCTGAGTGGCTGTATCACTTTACATTCCCACCAGCAGTGTATGTGTGATCCAGTTTCTCTACATCTTTGCCAGCGTTTGACATCAATACTATTTTTTGAGAAAGATTAGTAGACTTCATTGGAGCAGTTTTAGGTTTACAGAAAGTTGGGCAGATAATTCAGAGAGTTCCCATATACCTTCTTCCCTCATGACTTTCCCCTTTTATTAACATCTGTTACCATGGTAAATTTGTGAAAATTGTTGAACAATAATGCAGTATTAATGCATTATTATTAACTAGTCTATGGCTTATATTAGGACTCTGTGACTTGTACAGGTCTGTGGGTTTTGACAACAAATGTAAAATGACATGTGTCCACTGTTACAGTATCATACAGAATAGTTTTACTGCCCTAAAAATCTGTTCTCTACCTGTTCAGCCCTCCTGTACCCCCAGTTCGTGGCAACCACTGATCCTTTTACTGTTAACATAGTTTTGCCTTTTCCAGAATGTCATATAGTTGAAAGCATATAGTATCTGACCTTTTCACACTGGCTTCTTTTGCTAGGCTATATGCATTTAAGGTTTCTCCATGTCTTTACATGGCTTGATAACTCTTACTCTCCCCCCATCTCTCTTTATTGCTGAATAATATCCTATAGTGGATGAACCACAGTATTCAACTGTGATTATATCACAATTTGTTTATCCATTCACCTATTGAAAAACATCTTGGTTGTTCCCAGTTTTTGGAAATTATGAACAGAACTGCTATAAACATTTGTGTGTGGACTTTTGTGTGGATGTAAGTTTTCAGATCATTTAGATAAATATCTAGGAGCACAATTCCTATTGTATTGTGTTGTAAGACTACATTTAGCCTTGTGAGAAACTTCTAAACTTTTCCAAAGTACCATTTTACATTTCCCTCAGCAATGAATTATTTTTTATTTTAACCATTCCGATACTTATGTAGTAATTCTTTTCATTATGATTGGATTTGCATGTCTCTGGATAATGATTTTGAATATGTTTTCATATGCTTATTTGCCATCTGCTTTTCAGTGAAATGTTTGTTCATGTTTTTGCCCATTTTCTAATTGGATTCTTGTTTTTTAATTTTTATTTGTTTTAACTGTTGAGTTTTGAGGGTTCTTTATATATTCTAGTTAGAAGTCCTTTATTGGGTATGTGGTTTGTAATTATTTTCTCCTAGGCTGTAGCTTGTCTTTATATCCTCTTAATTGTGTCTTTCATAGAACAAAAATTAATTTTGACCAAGTCTAGTTTATCAGGTTTTCCTTTTACGAATCTTGCTTTTGCAAGAACTCTTCAACTAGCCCTGTGCCCCAAAGATTTTTTCCTAAAAGTGTGTTTATTTCTGAAAGTTTTATAGTTTTAAGTCTGTGATTCATTTCAAATTAGGTTTTGTGTAAGGTGTGAAGTTTAGATGAAAGCTCTATTTTTCTTTTTTTTTTTTTTTTTTTGTCTTATTGATGTCTAATTCCTCTAGCTGCATTTGTTGAAAGGGCTATCCTTCTTCCATTTAATTGCTTTGCATTTTTCTAAGAAATTAGTTGGACATGTTTGTGTGGATCTGTTTTTGGCTTCTCTGTTCTACTCCATCGATCTCTGTGTCTGTCCGTCTACCAATACCACGCAATCTTGATTACTGTGGCTATATAATAAGTCTTTAAATTTGGTAGAATTTCTCCAATTTTATTATTTTAAAAATTGTTTTAGCTTTTCTTGGTCTTGTGTCTTTCCATGTAAGTTTTAGAATAAGTTTGGTTATGTCTATAAAAATCCTTGGTAAAAATTTTATTACATCTATAGATAAATTTGGGAAGAATTGACATTTTTACTGTGGAGTGTCTCTACCATTGGATTTTAATAGATTGGAATGAGACTAGAAAGAAGTAGTTCTGTAGAGAAAATACTCAAATTACTTAAATTGTATGGAGAGAATTCTTTGTAATTAGCAAAATGTTAAACTTTTTAGCCCTCCCTCCCTTTTTGGTGTTAAAAACCATAATTAATAGAGCTGTGGAAGTGGAAGCAATTTCATTTCAATTCTGTTTATTTATTTATTTGAGACAGGGTCTCACTCTGTCACCCAGGCGGGAGTGCAGTGGTGTGATCTCTACTTAGTGCAACCTTTTCCTCCTGGGTTCAAGCGATTCTCCTGCCTCAGCCTCCTGAGTAGCTGTGACTACAGGTACATGTCACCATGCCCAGCTAATTTTTTGTATTTTTAGTAGAGACGGGGTTTTGCCATGTTGGCCAGGCTGGTCTCAAACTCCTGGCCTCAAGTGATCTGCCCACCTTGGCCTCTGAAAGTGCTAGGATTACAGGCATGAGCCACCGTGCCTGGCTATTCATTTATTCATAAAATTTTCACTCAACATCTTTATGAACTTCTGTTATGGGCCAGGCACTGTTTTAGGCACCAGAATACAGTGGTAAAGGTCCCTAATCATTGACCTTACATTCTAATGAAGAGATAGTATATGAATAATAACGATATACCTCAATTAAGTGCTATGCAGATAATCGAAACAGGTTGACCTTGAAATAGTGGGGTGGCTAATTGATTGATTAGATCAGGGAAGGCCTCTGAAGAAATCTCATTTGTTTGTGGTGGTGAGATCTGAATGTCAAGAAAGAGCCAGCCTTTTGAAGAAAAGGGAGAAGACTATTCCAGGCAGAGGGAACAGCTAGTGGAACAGCTAGGGACACAGTGGGTGTGTGGAAGGAACTAAAAAGGAGGACAGGGTGTCTGGAGTGTAATGAACAAGAGGGAGAGTAGTACAAATGAGGTTGGTGAGGTAGGCAGGGGCCAGATCACCTGGGACTTTGTAAGCCAAGGTAAGGAGTATGATTTTTATTCTGAGGGTGATGAGAAGCCACTGGAATGTTTCGATTAAGGGAGTGAAAAGGTTGCTGTATGGAGAGAGACCAGAACAAAAGCAGGAGGATGAATTAGGGAGCTATTTCAGACCAGGTGAAAGGTGATTATTCTAGGAAAGGATTCAGGATATATTTTCAAGATAGAGTCAACAGGATGTGTTCTGTATTTCATGGCCACAGGAAAAGGGAATCAAAGATAATGCCTAGATTTTTTTTTTTCTTTTAAAACTTGGTTGGATGATTATTGTTATCCAGTGAGATTGGTAAGACTTGGGAGAGGAACAAGGTATGTTTTGGAGAAAAAAAAATTGATTTTTTTTTTTGTGTGTGCGGGTTGACAAGGTCTTGCTCTGTTACCCTGGCTGGAGTGCAGTGGCACGATCACGGCTCTCTGCAACCTTGAGCTCCTGGGCTCAAGTGACCCTCCCACCTCAGCCTCTTGAGTAGCTGGGATCGTAGGCGTGCGCACCACCACAACCAGCTAATTGAAAAAAATTCTTTTTTGTAGAGACAAATTCTCCATTTGTTGCCCAGGCTAGTCTTGAACTTCTAGACTCTAGGGATTCTGCTGCCTCATCCTCCCAAAGTGCTGAGATTATAGGTGTGCACCACTGTGCCCAGTTGATAGTCCTTTTTAAATCACTTTGTTTTTTTTTTTTTTTTGAGATGGAGTTTTGCTCTTGTTGCCCAGGCTGGAGTACCATGGTGTGATCTTGGCTCACCGCAACCTCCGCCACCTGGGTTCAAGTGATTCTCCTGCCTCAGCCTCCCGAGTAGCTGGGATTACAGGCATGTGCCACCATGCCCAGCTAATTTTGTATTTTTAGTAAAGATCGAGTTTCTCCATGTTGGTCAGGCTGGTCATGAACTCCCAACCACAGATGATCCACTCGCCTCAGCCTCCCAAAGTGCTGGGATTACAGGTGTGAGCCACCATGCCCGGCCAATCACTTTATATTTTAACTGATGTTTGCCATCAATTGGATATACAAGTTTGGAGTCCAGGCGGAGGTCAGGATTGTTGATATAGTGTGGTGATTTGTATATAGACATTATACAGAGTTATAAAACTGGGAGAGGCCACTTAGAAGACAGTGTGATACCAGAGAAGGGGGCCTGGGACAGAGCCTTGGAGCACTGGCACATTATGAGGTCTGGAGGAGGGGAAGGCAGAGCCAACAAAGCCTAGGAAGGTTTAGCCATTGATGCTCTTGTATGTTTGCGACTAAAGTTATAGAAAGATAAGGATATAGAAAAATGAATTCTATCAATGCCTTCTCTGAAACCTGAATTTTGTGATATCCATTGATTCTATCAATCCTGTTGAAAGATAAGAGGAGACAAATAATAGAAACTACTTTTTGTGAGAAAATTAGCTAGTGATATTTGCTTTTAGTGAAATGCTAGTAAAATACGTCTCTGTGTTTCTCTCTCTTTTTGGCTTGCCTCTTTGAATTCAAAGACTTGATAACATTAAAGAAAATGCAGGATCTCTAGATTTCGGTGTGGTGGGCAGACAATAACATTTTTATACATAATAATATAATGGTTTCATGAAGAAAGCATCATACAGTATATTAAGTGGTTGAGTAACTACTCTGGGTCTAGCATAATGCTAAATTGAAGGAGAAAAAAGGAATGTTAAATATAGACCTTGCTTTCATTGAATTTTGATGAAAAGAGAGGTAAAAAAGAATAAGCTATGGTAGTTGAAAAGGATTTCTTGGAGGAGTTGGAACTTGAAGAATAAGTAGGACTTAGGTGGGTAGAGGAGAAGAGCAAATCCCATAATATAGTAAGATATGGTGGAAAGAAAATGGGCTTATTTTTTTGGTCAGAAGACCTGGTTTGAGTGAGGACTCACTTAATAGTTTGTGACATTGGATGAATCACTTGACTTCTTTGAGCCTGTATTCCCTTAGGGGCATACCTGTACTTGCCTCATAGGTCTGCTGTGAAGATAAGACTGTTTATAGCTTCAACAATAATAGTAATGTAGTACTTCTCGTGTCAGGTGGCTAGTTTGCAGATACTCATTTTAGGAACATTTCATAAATTCAGATGCTACACTGAATAATTTGTATTTATCAAATATTTTATAACTATCCTTTAAAACTTATGTGTATAGTTCCTAGGTCAGTGCCAGACATTTAGTAAATTGTAGGTGATATTGTTACTCTGCTCCTGTTATAAGAATAGCATAGGAAAAAGAGATGACAGTCCTTGTCCTTCAGGAGTTCTTGCTTTCAGTAATAAGTCATATTCATAAGAAGCTGGGGGAAAATGCAAGACGTTCTGTGCCCTGGTCCTAAGTTTGTGATATCAGGTACAAATGAGGTCAGAGTAGGCTTGTCATTGGGACAGGCCTTTGTTTTGGCAGTGAGTCTAAATGTGGCCCAGGAAAAAAGGTAAGATTTGGATAGACAAGAGGAAAGCCCGATAGGCATTCCATTTTTTTTTTTGTTTTTGAGACAGAGTCTCGCTCTGTCACCCAGGCCAGAGTGCAGTGGCGCGATCTCGGCTCACTGCAAGCTCTGCCTCCCGGGTTCACGCCATTCTCCCGCCTCAGCCTCCTGAGTAGCTGGGACTACAGGCGCCCGCCACCATGCCTGGCTAATGTTTTGTATTTTTAGTGGAGACAGGGTTTCACCGTGTTAGCCAGGATGGTCTCAATCTCCTGACCTCATGATCCGCCTGCCTCAGCCTCCCAGAGTGCTGGGATTACAGGCGTGAGCTACCGCGCCCAGCCTAGGCATTCCATATTAAGAAGATGTTTATTTTATGTATTTTTATTTTTAGGGGCAGGAAAGCATAAATGTTACTGCCACTGCTAAGGAAATCTTTAATAATAACTTAAAAATTCTCATTCTGAAACTTTTGTAATGTTATGATCGAATTTACCTTCCTGCCTTTACAATTCATTGAACTTTTGCCTGCTCCCAGATGGCATTCTAACGTGGAATTTATTGTGGGGGGGTGTCTCTTTTTTAAAAATATGGAAATGTTTTTATTATATACTTAAGTTTAATTCTGTTATAGCTTTTCTCTTTTGTGTGTAAAAATAATAAAGCTCTGTTTCATGCTGTGAGATTTATTGTTAGAAAGACAGGGCAAATTTCTGAAATTTCCTTGGGTAGTCTCCCTTCTCATCTTTAGCTTATTTGAATCTTAACTATTTATCAATTCATTTGCATACGTGGGATGTTAGGATGACTCTTTGTTTTGAAAAACAGTGCTGTCAGAGTTCCTGTACAGTCCGTGCTGAAATTAGGGTGCCCTAGTACAATGTACTGTTCTCTCTTAGTCACTATAATGGTTTTGTAAGTAGCTAAACCCTAGGTCATGCTGCTTTTATGCAGCTGTCTTCCTTGGTTACTGAAAGTTGGATGGCGCTTAGTTTGCCTTTAAGGGAATCTAGGTTTAATTGTATATCTCCTAGAACATTTTGCACCACCAAGTAGGTTGTAGAGAATCTTTGTTAGCATTCTGCTAGCCTTATTGATACGTGATCACCTCACTGAAATTGTGCAGTATCATGTATTCTTTGATTGTATTTTTTAGAAATGGGAGTCTTGCTATGTTGCCTAGGCTGGTCTTGAATTCCTGGCGTCAAGCGATCCTCCGGTCTTGGTCTCCCAAAGTGCTGGGATTACTGGCGTGAGCTACCTCATTTGGCCAAATTTTAAATAAGAAATGCTAACGTTTACTGTTACTGCTGTGTGCTATGCACTTTGCTAAGCAGCTTTAAACTGTGGAGTTTTCTTTTCATTTAAACATCACAACAATTAAGTGAGGTGAGTCCTGCTTTTATTCTCATTTTACAGAGACAGAAAGGTTAAGTTCCGATCTCAAGGTTACACAGGTGGCAAGTGGTGGAGAAGGGATTTGAACCCAGGCAATCTGACTTTAGGGCCTATTCTCTTATCTACTATGCTTTAACACTCCCCTGAGGTAACACCTTTCTGGGAAACTGTCCTATTGAGAACTTTACTTTTTATGTGTTACCTTGTGTGAAGGCATTAAAAGCTTGTGCCTGTTTGGGATTTTATAGTTGCACCTTTCTCCCGCTGTAAGGGGTTTGCCATTGTATTACTTAAGTAACCCAGTTGCTGAAATAGAGCCCTGAAATACAATGGCTGAAACCCCAGAATTCAGCGCACAGTAGTTGAGAGCAGGTGTTCCACATCAGCATGTGGCTGTCCTTTATGCAGGCATTTGGGGACGTAGGTGAATGGGGACTGTATCATCTCGAATGCACAGCTTTCAAGGTTGTTCTTGTTGGAAGCACAGGGTAAGAAATTTTGTCTTAAGCAAGTGAGGTGAAAGTTGTACAAATATAATTTCTCCTCCCATTGCTGAAGGCTTAGTCTCATTGCCTCATCTAGCTGCAGGGGATTGGGAATTGGAGTGTTCTTTCTCTTTGCTGACACTAAGAGGTAAGGTGTCATTCTGTACTATTTTGAGTATTTCATCAGTGTTGAAATGTTCTTGGGAGTGCATTTTCAGTTACAGAATGTAAAGGTGAGAGCCTTGTCCTAGCTACAACTCTGTTATTTGGAAGAAACAGGGTGGATTTTGGTAGTTAGCAATTTTCTGCCGCAGCTGTAACACTGTAGATTTCAGTAGGAATGTTAGAATAGCTCACTGCTGTGGTTTGCAAAGTATTATTACACACATTCAACTCTTGCTTTTTTGTTGTTGTTATTGAGATGGAGTCTGGCTCTGTTGCCCAGGCTGGAGTGCAGAGGCTCAATCTCGGCTCTGTACTACAACCTCTGCCTCCTGGGTTCAAGTGATTCTCCTGCCTCAGCCTCCCGAGTAGCTGGAATTACAGGTGTGCGCCACCACGCCCAGCTAATTTTTGTATTTTTAGTAGAGACGGGGTTTTGCCATGTTGACCTGGCTGGTCTCGAACTCCTGAACGCAAGTGATCCGCCTGCCTCAGCCTCCCAAGGTGCTGGGATTACAGGCACGAGCCACTGTGCCTGGCCTCAACTGTTGCTTCTTATAAAGGTAAGTAGATAAAGTAAGTGATGGTATTCCCTTCGTAAAGGAGAAAATCGAGACATAGGTGGTTAAACATTGAATGAAACCAGCTAGAAAGTTGAAGAGCTGGGACTTAAATCCAGACATCATGGCTCCAGAGTCAGTGAAGTTTGTATGACACACTTTTTTTTTTTTTTTTAGAAAATCCTATTCAATTTTTATATTTACTGTGGTCACTACTCTTGTATCCTTTCTTAGGGTGTCTAATATCACCAATGTCCAATATACTATGCTGGCAAATTACTATCATTTGATGAGAATTATTGATAATTTGATGTCATTTTGAAGATTCAGAAAGTACGTTAAGAACTTGTATTGCCTCACTGTCATCATGATGTTCACAAATGACGCCATGTTTTAGATATGTCAGTTTATGTAATACCGGGTAGCAGAGATTTTACTCTCTTTAAAAATTATACTTTTATAGACTTGCTTACGGTAAAGTGACATGTAAAATGAGCAAATGAAATAGAAATAAAATAGGAAATAAAAATAGAAATTAAATATTGGGGCACTTAATGTTTTTTTCTTAGTAAGTAGCATGTATTGTGAAATACAGTGTTCATATAATTTCACCAATAATTTTGCTGTACTATGTGATAAAACCACTTTATACTATATGGTACTCAAGAAATTGGGAACATTTTCTACTTTAGAGCAGCTGGAGGAGTCCTTTCTCCTTGCTGACACTAGAAGGTAAGGTACCATTCCTCAGTATTTTGAGTATTTTTGTATTCAAAGTGTGTTGAAATGTTCTTGCTAGTGCATGTTAAGTTGTAGAGTTTGTGGTAATCTGATTTAGAGATTGGAAGCTGTGGACTATGACACATATTAAGTATTTGTGCAGATGGATTATTAATCAGAAAGTAAGATGGAGCCTTTTACACATTCCTATTTTAATAGAACAGGTAGCAAACTCATTCTGGTGTTCTTATTTTTGATTATTTTTCTTGGAAGTTTATTTTGCTGAGCGCTCTATTCCTAAATCATTTCAGAAGTGACTTTAGTATAGCTGAATTTTAATAGATAGAAATAACATGACTTCAATTTAATTTTCCATAGACTACCCTTTAGACATTCTTTACAGCTTCAGTTTTGCTATGAAAGGGAAGAGATCAGACAAAGAGTGCCATTCTTTTTGCATGTGGTTAATGACCAACCAATAGCTCTCTGGGATAACTTTTTTTTTTTTTTTTTTTTTTTTTTTTTTTTGCTGAACTTGTCTCTTCATCCAGATTCTACTTAGATTTTCAGTTGTCTTTGGGATAACTTTTTTTTTTTTTTTTTTCCTGAAGTTGCTCTTAGTTCATACAGATTTTAATTAGATTTTCAGTTGTCTGACAATCACAATAGAAATAAAAGTGGTTGTATCATAAATTCAGTGAAGTCTAACTGGGACTAGCATTCTTTCAGTGGTTTTGCAAGGATACAGTTATCTGTATCTCTGTAATCCATTATTTTAACATACACATATTGATTTATTTGCAAAATGAAAAAAAAAAACCTAAATTAAAAAAGGCTTATCCTTCAACTTCTGTAGCTTTGTGTTACCTACTTTTTAGAAAAGTTACATGCAAAATTTTGGCCTTCTACCACAGACAAGGAATGCTGGCAAGTGTGTTGTTAAAATTCTGTCATTGCCTCTTTATTTGCCTAAATTGATGGAAAAACACTTTCAGGTCATTTTAGTGAAGTTCAGTTTCAGTGGTTACATAAGGTATGTCATTTGAATACTGGTTGTAATGTGTTTCCGGTGTTCACTTGTATTTATAACCTGAATACCCAGTACCCCCCCCCCCCAAAAAAAAAGCCAGTTGAACAGATACAAAAAAAATTTTTTTAAACTTTTTTTTTATTTTTTGAGATGGAGTCTGTGTTGCCCAGGCTCAGCTGACTGCGACCTCTGCCTCCCAGGTTCAAGCGAGTCTCCTGCCTTGGCCTCCCAAGTAGCTGGGATAACAGGTGTGCACCCCCATGCCTGGCTAATTTTTGTATTTTTAGTAGAGGTAGGGTTTTACCATCTTGGCCAGGCTGGTCTTGAACTCCTGACCTCAAGTGATCTGCTTCCCTCAACTTCCCAATGTGCTGGGATTACAGGCATCAGCCACCTCGCTCGGCCTGAACAAATACAAAATGTTTATGCTGAGACTAGGCACTTTATATACTATTACTTTTGAAAAAACAAAACAAAACAGGATTTAAGACTACCAACTAGGATGGGAAGAACACTAGATTTTTAGTGATAAGTCCAGGTTTTGAGTCTGAGCCTTGCTACAAAGTTACTTGGTGGTCTTGGGCAGGATATTTTATCTCTTTGGGTCTTAGTTTTCTTTTTGGGAAGTAAGGATCCTGTACAGTATTAGTCTTTTTGACCAGTTTTAACAGTCTGTGATTCTCAGTTTTTTCTGTCTTGTGAAGAGAAACTTAACAGTATTAAAGTTGCCAGCTCTTTTTTTTTTTTGTCTTCTGAATAGTCTTGGTAACAGAAAACTGGTTTGAATTAGCCTATCTAATTTTAATGTTTTCCAAAACTAGTTTTAAAGGAGACATGAAATTAGAAGTATTTAGTTTTACTTCTTTTTTTTTTTTTTTTTTTGACACGGCGTCTCGCTCTGTCGCCCAGGCTGGAGTGCAGTGGTGTGATCTCTGCTCACCACAAACTCTGCCTCCCGGGTTCATGCCATTCTCCTGCCTCAGCCTCCTGAGTAGCTGGGACTACAGGCGCCCGCCACCACGCCTGGCTAATTTTTTTGTATTTTTAATAGAGACGGGATTTCACCGTATTAGCCAGGATGGTCTCAATCTCCTGACCTCGTGATCTGCCCGCCTTGGCCTCCCAAAGTGCTGGTATTACAGGCGTGAGCCACCGCGCCCGGCCTAGTTTTACATTTTAATTGTGCCTTGCTGTTGTCACTTTAAAAGAAGCATGTGAACTGAAAAGACAAAACACTTTGAAAATGTACTGTGCAATGAAAGGAGAGTCACCTATTATTAAAGTTCTTTGAATTCCCATTTCATGGCAGAGGGCAGTGAAATGAGCTAACATGAGCATGTTTATTTATGTAGACTTTCCCATGTAAATCAATGCAGATGTATTGCTGTTACATTTTTCTCCAAACATTTTATTATGAAAAAGCTTAAACATGCAAAAAGTTGGAAGAGTTGTATAGTGAACCTCCATATATTCTGCAATTAGTGCAGCCTATATTCTGCAATTAACATTATCTTTCATTAACTGTATCTTACATCTATGCATCTATTCACTCCACTATTTAACCTTCATTACATCTTACTTTTTGCTTCATTTCAAAATAAGCTGCAGACATCCTTACAGTTTACCCCTAAACATTTTGACATACATATAATTAGCTGGAGTTTGATACTTGTTAACACTTCTTAAAGTTCAAATTTATATACATAAGCCTGGCATAGGGGCTCAGGCCTGTAACCCTAATGACTCTTGGGAAGCTGATGCGGGAGGATTGTTTGAGGCCAGGGGTTTGAGACTAGCCTGGGCAACGTAGTGAGACCCCCCCATCTCTAAAAAAATAAAGAAATTAGCCAGATGTGGTGGTATGCGCCTGTAGTCCAGCTACTTGGGAAGCTGATGTGAGAGGATCACTTGAGCCCAGGAGTACTAGGCTGCCATGAGCTATGTTCACGCCACTGCACTCCCAGCATAGATGACAAAGCAAGACCCTGTCTTTAAAAAGGAGGAAAAAATTTACATACATAAAAATGTATAACTGTTAGTGTGCCATGGATGACAGTCATTAATTGAGCATCTGGCATTTTTCAGGGTCTTTGCTAGTCTTGCAGATAGAGAGATGAGTAAGACACAGTTTCTGCCTTCATGGTGCTAGTAGGATAAATAGAAGAGATGTCTAAAAACGTAGTGTTTTATTTGGAGCTTTTAGTTGCAAATAAGAATCAGCTGTCTTCTACAGATAATCGGTCTTCCTTACAGAACCTGAGGGCAGGAATTCAGTGGGGCTTTGGGAAGGGCTGGAACCAAGAACCAGAAGGCTCACAGGACTGTTTTTTCCTAACTCTGCCCATTTCGTTCTTTTTCTTCGAAGATGTACTTTTTTCTCTTTTTAGTACAAATGGTAGAACATGGCTGTCCGTAGAGCTTTTATTTTACATCTAACAATTCTCAGCCACATAGACATACCAGTTTTCTCTGTTAATTTCATTCCAAATTCCTGGGAGGTAGAATCTGGCCCCACCCTGGTTCAGCTTGCCTGAGGGCTGAGCTGTTGGAAGCTCACTTTTGTGAATGGAATGAAGTAGGAGGGATGGAAGAGACAATTCCCAGAACAAGTATGGGGCTGTTGTAACCTGGGCTGACACTGAAAATGGTTTATAACTACAATGTGATAAATACTGGTGCAGACAAGAACAGGCTATAGAAATAGATGGAATAGGGGCAGGGTCAGCTTCCTGGAGAAATTGTCGGCTAAGGTTTTTTTGTTTCTTTTTTCTTGAGATGGAGTCTTACTCTGTCACCCAGGCTGGAGTGCAGTGGTGTGATTTCGGCTCACTGCAACCTCCGCCTCCTGGTTCAAGCGATTCTCCTGCGTCAGCCTCCCAAGTAGCTGGAATTTCAAGCATGTACCACCAAGCCTGGCTAATTTTTGTATTTTTAGTAGAGCCGAGGTTTCACCATGTTGACCAGGCTGGTCTCGAATTCCCGACCTCAAGTGATCCACCTGCCTCAGCCTCCCAAAGTGCTGTGATTACAGGTGTGAGCCACTGCATCCAGCTGGCTAAGTTGGGTTTTGAAAGATGAATTCAAGTACAACAGTGGGAAGGAAGGATATTCCTTATAGAAGAACAGTAGGAGAAAGATAGGAAATGGCATAGTGTGTTTAGGTAACTGTAAGGAGATTGGTACATTCGCAGTATAAGTTTTGAAGTGGGGTAGGTTCATTAGAGACCAGAGAGAGGGAGATCCAGGCCAGTTTATGAAGAACTCTATCTTGTTAAGATATGGGGAGTCAGGGAAGGTGGGTGACAGATTTATTTCCTTAAGAGATCATTTCATGGAATGAACTGGAGGCAAGTGGGGCAGAGACAGAAAATCTTTTGAGGACTTAGACTAAGAAAATGGCAGTAAAAAAGAGGAGGGGAGATAATTTGGTAGTAAAATCTTTAGTACTTGTGATTTATTTGATGTCAGGAGAAGGGGAGGAATCTTAAGATGATGTCCCTGGTCTCCTGACTTGAGTAACTGGATTAATTGGTATACTAGCCAAGATAAGAAATATGGGAGACTGTGGTGCTGGCAGTGTTATATTTCTTGATTTGGCTGATAACTATGAGGGTACTGTTTAAGGATTATTAAATTGCGCTTATATGTTTTATGCATTTTTCCATCTGTAAGTTATATTTCACAATCTAAAAGACCAGAAAGGAACAAGAGAAAATAAGTTTGGGAAAGAAGATACTGACTTTAGGATTGGACTTTTATATTTGGAGTCAACCCTCCAGATGGAGATGTGTGGAAGGCAGTTGGAAGTGCAGTAAAATTGGAAGTGCAATAGAGGAGTATAGGCTGCTAATAACAGGTGAAAGGATTAGGTTAGGTCTGTAGTTCTCAGGCCTCGTTGTACATTAAAATCTCTGTAGAGTTAAAAAAAAAATACTGATAACCTGGATCCCACCCCAGATTAATTAAATTGACCTCTAGGGGTGTGAGGGTACCATGTCTAGCTTAAAAAGCTCCCTGTGCATTTTCTTATAATACACAGAGTTGAAGAACCACTGGGTTGCAGAAAGATCACTTACTCCCTACATTCTGTTACTGACAGAGTTCTGCAAAGAGGATTTTGTAATTGCTTTAGAACTCAATATAGGTTTAACCTTTTTGTTTTGGGTACAATTATTATACCCTGTGCTTTCCCCCTACTAATACCAGAAATTTAAAAAAGTGTGTACGCTTTTCATTAAAATAATGATGCACATGTGTTCTTGAAAAAAGTATGTGGAAGACACAAGCTGTTTAGTTAAAGCAATTTTAAAACAGAAACTTTCCTGTGATTAACTGAAATGGCCATGTCTTACCTAGTTTTAATTATTAATAGTGTATAGCTTTTGCAGCCAAACATAGATTGCCTCATCACCTACAGTGTCTTTGAAAAATAAATATGAAAGACAGTGATTGGTAAATGAATTGGGTGATGTAGTCTGGAAGGCAGATAGCTGTAAATGGTGAGCAGCTGTCTGTGATATATCTGATACGGAAAGGACGGTTGCTTACTTGTCTGTCCTCAGGGTCCTGTATCTGTATCCATCAATAAGTATTTATTAGCACTTACTATCTTCCCAGAAGTGTATTAGGAAATGTATGTAAGTTACTAAATAAGTAACTAGATAAAATAGACAAAAATGCATGGGACTTGCACTAGGTTTGCCAGTGTTTGGGTTGGGGAAGGCTGTGTAAATGACAATTCAATGTCAAGTTACGTGATAATTATAAGAATACAGTTGCTGCTCGGAGACTGGAATTATTTCTTGCGCTTGAGTGTAAAGAGTGATTCTTGCAACACATTGGCCTCCTATTTTCTTGAGCTCCATTCATCTAGTGATCTTATTTTCTGTGGACATCTGTCAGACCATGGACCCCAGATCTGTTGATCCTACTGCTTTTTCATCGTCCTTTATATCCCTGATGTTCACATTCCCTTCCTCACTCAGCTTAAATTCCATAGTCATTATGCTAACTCCTCTGTATAGTCTGTATAGTCCCACACTTTAATCATACTTACTTGGCAAAACTTACAACCCTGGTTAAATCTGACTCTCCTCCTAATCTGCACCTGTACCTGTGCATCTGAACATAGCTGGAAAACACATACCTTCATACACCCTATGCTGAATGATCTTATTTATTTTTTAAAATTCATAACCTTGAACCTCAAATGGGTCCTTAATGCTCCTAGGCAATCATATGTACCTGGCCCATTCACTCTGTCACTCTGTTAGACAGTTGTTTGATTATTCCGACCCCTTCCTTTTAAAATCCATAATACCCTCTCTCCCATTCAACTGATGACCTTGCTACTTACTTCACTAAGGAAATTGAAGCATGTACTTGTGCCTTCTGCCCTCATTCCTCTCACCATAGATAAACTACATGTGCTTCTATCAAAAACAAGCTCTTCACTTGTGTATTAGATATTATCCTCTATCAACTACTCAAGGATATTGCCCTGAGAATCCCCCTCCAGATTTTCCTGCATCATCAATATTTTGTTTTCTGTTGGATCATTCATCAACATTTAAACATGTTATTTTTCCAGTGTTAAAAATACTTGATCCCACTTTGATTGCCAGCTACTGTCTCATTTCTTTGCCCTTCTTTGTAGTGAAACATCTAGAAGTAGTCTCTATTCAACTGTTTTTAATTTCCTTCCTCATATGATCCCTCTTCTATTTCTTTATTGAGATATAATTCACATGCCCTAAAATTCGCTATTTAAAATGTACAATTCAGTGGTTTTTAGTATATTTACAGAGTCGTGCATCCATTACCACTGTCTAAATTCCAGAACATTTTCATCATTGAAAAAGAAACTCTGTACCCCTTAGTGGCCACTCCCTGTTTCACCCTTCCTCCAGTTCCTGGCAGCTACTAATCTACTTTCTGTCTGTGTGGATTTGCCTATTCTGGATGTTTCACGTAAATGGAATCATACAATATGTGGTCTTTTGTGACTAGCTTCTTTCCCTTAGCATAATGTTTTCAAGGTTCATGCGTATTATAACATGTATGAGTGTTTCATTCCTTTTTATGGCTAATATTCCATTTATGAATATGCCACATTTTGTTTGTGCATTCATCAGTCGATGGACGTTTAGGTGGTTCCACATTTTGGCTGTTACAAAAAATGCCGCCGTGAACATTTGTGTTCAGATTTTTGTGTGGATGTATCTTTTCAATTATCTTGGCTACATACTTAGTAGGGTAGACTTTCTGGGTCATATTATAGCCCTGTGTTTAACATTTTGAGGAACTGCCAAATTGTTTTTCAAAAATGGCTGTACCATTTTACATTTCCACCAGAGTTCAAGTTTCTTCATCTTGTTCTCTCTTAAGCCAACTTTAATCAGGTTTTTCCTCTATTTCCCAAACTTCTTAGCTGAACGTGCCCTTGACAAGGTCATTAGTAACATCAAAGTGCCTAAATTCAACAGTCAGTTCACAGTCCTCATTTTGTTTGACCTATGCCCAGCATTTGACACAATTATTCATTCCTCCGTAATACACTTTATTCACTTTTGGCTTCCAGGATACTGCATGTTGTGTGCAGCTCCCCCTGTCCCCCAACCCCACACACACATTTTATTGGTCAATCCTTGTCAGTTTCCTTTGTTATTTACTCCTTTCTCTCCTGCCTTTAAAAATTGGCGTGTCCATTGGAGATCTTTATCTAGACTTACACATCTTTAAGTACTATCCTTGAACTGGCTCCCAAGTTGATATCTCTAACCTAGATCTCTTCTTTTTGTCCTTCCGAGCCATGTGTCCAGCTGCCTGCCCACCAGGATGTTAGACATTTTAAATGGAACATGTCTAAAACCCAACTCCTTTTCTTTCTTTAAAAATATGTGCCACCCATAGGTCTCCCCATCTCTGATCAAGGCAATGCCATCCTCCGGTTGTTTAGGCCAAAACCGATGGAGTTAACCTACACTCCTTTTCTCACATCCCACATCCAATCTGCTAGGAAGTCTCGTTGACCTCACCTTAAAATATCTGCAGTGTCGTAACACTTCTTACCATCTCTGCCGTTGCCATTACCCTCGTCTGATTATCATGTCTCACCTGCATCGTTGTGATGGATTTCTAATTAGATCCTCTGCTGTATGTTTACCTCCAACAGTCTAGCTCAACACAGTAGCCAGAATAATCCTTTAGAAATATGTCAGATCAGGCCGGGTGCAGTGGCCTGTAATCCCAGCACTTTGGGAGGCTGAGGTGGGTGAATGACCTGAGGTTGGGAGTTTGAGACCAGCCTGGCCAACATGGTGAAACCTTGTCTCTACTAAAAATACAAAAATTAGCCAGGTGTGGGGTGCATACCTGTAATCCCAGCTACTTGGGAGGCTGAGGCTCAAGAACAGCTTGAACCTGGGAGGCGGAGGTTGCAGTGAGCCAAGATTGCACCACTGCACTCCAGCCTGAGCGACAGAGTGAGACTCTATCTCAAAAAAAAAAAAAAAAGAAAAAAAAAAAAAGAGAAAACAATAAATATGTCAGATCATATGCATTTTCTGCTCAAAACCCTGCATTGCCTCCCTGTTTCACTCAGTAACAGCCAAACTAGGCCCTACTTCATCTGACCCTGTTACCTCTCTGACCACATCTGTTGTTGTTATCCTTTGGCTTACTGCATTCACCTCCTTGCTCTTCTTCAAACAGGTGTGTGTTAGACTCAGGGCCTTTGCACTTGATGTTCTTTCTGTTGGAAATGTTCTTTACCATTTTCAGATCTCCTCAAAGCTCACCATATTCAGTAAGCTTACCCTGGTTACCTTTAATTATGTAACTTGCTCCTCCTACATTCTGGATTCTCCTCTTTTAAATTTTTGCATAACATTTAACATTGATTGAGTACATTATTGACTTATGTTTATGATTGCCGTGGTTTGAATGCGTCTCCCAAAAAGCATGTGTTGGAAACTTAATCCCCGCAGCAACTTGGGGAGGTGAGACCTAGTAGGAGGTGTTTAGATCATGAGGAATTTACTCTCACGAATGGATTAATGCTGATTATAAAAGAACTTGAGGCTGTGAATTAGATCTCTTTCTCTCGCTCATGTGATGCCTTCCACCATGTTATGACGTGGCAAGAAAGCTCTCACCAGATGTGGCCCCTTAGTCTTGGATTTCCAAGACTCTAGAACCATGAGCCAAATATATTTTTATTCATTATAAATTACCAAATCTGTGGTATTCTGTTATAATAGCATAAAATGGACTGAGACAGTGATACATTGCTCTTCCTCCCCACCCCGCCACCCCCTCACTCCCCAACACCGCTAAGCTGAAGCTCCATGAGGGCAGGGATTTCTGTTTTGTTTACAGATGTAACCTAAAGTGTCACAGTGCGTGGCACATAGTAACCATTCAAGATATATTTGTGGAATAAGTAAATGGATGGCTGTATGGCAGAGGTGGGGGTCTGAGGCAGGCCTTGAAAAATTTTGATTAGGTTTTGGGGAGAAAAGGACAACTTAGTTTCCCTTATCTTTCCCAATCTTCTCTTTTCTGTGCCTTTAGCAAGATCTCTTTAACCTTCAAGGCATGGCATCTGAATTAGAACCTGAGTTTGAATCTGCTTAGTATATATGTGACCTTGAGGAAGATTTCTGGCCATTCTTGAGTCCCTTTTAATAATAAAAAAGTCATTTTTATTGACGTATACTTTGAATATAGTAAAATACATTTTTTTTGAATATACGGTTCTATGAATTTTGACAGACTTAGTCATGTAACCACCATCAAGATATATCCATTACTACAAAACGTTCCTTTCAGTGCCATGTAGTCAGTTCCCTCTCTTCACCTCCTGCTCCTGGAAACCATTGATCTGATTTCTTAAGTGTGACTCATTTTTAGTCAAACCTCTTTCATTTAGCCTCTGTGCTTTCGAGATGCATCTGTGTAATTGCATGTATCAGGAGTGCATTTCTTTTTATTGCCCAGAAGTATTCCAGTGTATGGATTTACCACAGTTTATTCATTTACCAGTTGATGGATTTTGGGGTTATTTCTAGTTTTTGGCCATTATGAGTAAATTTGCTATAAACATTTTCATTTCTGTTGGGCAAATACCTTGGGTGTGGGAGCGCTGGATTGTATGATAAGTGAATTTAACTTTATAAAAAACCACCAAACTGTTTTTCAAAGTTATTAGCTTTTTTTCACATTTATCAAATGGGGTAATAGTCAAGACTTTTAGTTGTGAGCAACAGAAATTGAGTCTGGGAAAGGAACTTATGAACAGGGTGTTAGGTGGCTCACAGAATCTCTTGGAGGGCTGGAGAAATAGGCTGAGAAGTTAGCATCCAGGAACAAGATTCTAGGCACAGACGAGGTTGAATCGCCAATACCATCAGGGGGTGCTAGACACTGTAGGTAGAATTACTGTCTCTGGAAACTGGATGAAGCTGCTGTGCTTGCTGCTTTCACTTGCCAGAATAGATTTTCTGAGGACCCAGCTTCTTTGAGTCATTTGCTTTTGAATCACCATCTGGAGGTAGGCGCTGCCTCATAAGGTGGGGGATTCCCCAAACATAGGAAAGAGGATTCAGATGTGGGGCTGAAAAAGGAAATAACACGTGTATACCACAACCTCCAGAGGTGGCTGTGATTAGATAGAATAATTTCCATGGTGTCTAGGAACTTACTAGAATATAAATGCTAGTTTACTTTTCTGTTTTCCTTTTTCCCCATCTGTCTTTTGTAAGTAAAATTTTTGTTAAAGTGTAAAACAAACTACATAAATCATAAGTGTGTATAGCTTGATGAATTTTCTTGAAGTGAATTCATCCTTATAACCGGTACCCAGAAGAAATAGAACGTTGCCAGCACCCAGAAACTTCTCCCGTGTCCTCATCTTCATCACTGCACACTCCCCACTCCACCACTGAATCACTGGTTTTGACTAGTTTTGCCTGTTTTCAAACTTTATGTAATCAAAATTGTGTGTGTATGGTTTCTTTCTTTCAGCATTTCTTTCAATATTTGTGGACTTCATTTTTTGTTGATTTCATATTGTTTCATTGTGTGAGTATAACACTATCCATTGTACTATTGATGGACACATAGGCTATTTCCAGTTTTTGACTAATGCAAGTAAGTACTGCTATGAACATATTTGCACGTCCTCTGGTTTAAATATATATGTTTCTCTAGGTATGTAACATGGAGTGAAACTAATGGGTCATGGGTTCTGTGTATGTTCAGCTTTAGGAGAGTCTGCTGAAAAGTTTTAAGTATCTTTTTTTCACTTTCCACTACTACCAGCAGTACATGTAAGTTCCAATTGGTCACTTCTTTTTGACATCTTCCTCTGTTTTCAATAGGACTTTGTACCCCAGTATAGTACTTGTTTGAGTCTACCTAATCAGTTACAAGTATCTCTTTCCTATAATGTTATTAACTCTTTGAGGTGGGATTTCTTGTTTTGTCTTTCTCCTCTTAGTATCGAGTACAGGCCTAGAACACGTAGTAAATGCTCCGTGAAAGTTGCGTGAAAAGATGAATCGTGAGTATGTCTGTGGGTGGGAATTATCTTGGCATTTTTTAGAACAGAGAACTCACTGGTCTGACTGGAATTAGAAGTGATGGGAACAATGGGTGATAGGATTGAATTAAGTCAGGTGAAATCTGATTCAGGAGGTAATAGGTAGCCCTGTTTAGTTCCTGAACTGCGAGAGAGTTAATGAAAGCTGTTTTGTTCTGTGAGTGAAGAATTGTGTTTTTGTTACAGGTGTGTCCAGCTGTTAGGAAATAGTTACAAAAAAGATTTGGGCCCATGATTGGAGACAAGATTAGACAAGGCATGAGTGGGTGTGAATTTGGTTAGCTTAATCTCTTAGTTTTTAGTTTCTTTATAAAATGGGGCTCCACCTTGTAAAGATTAGAGCTAATATATAAATATGAGTAGATGTTTTCTTTTTTATTCACTGTGTATTTTGTTTTGTGGCATTTGAATTTTGTGGAACTCGGAATTTTGAAACATGTTGTGAAGTGTAATTCTGCCAGTGTAAATCCATGTGGAATTTTTCTAACTATAGCATCTCTGGAGCACCTTGCGTACTCTTCTTTGCTTCTACTTTGTTGCTCTACTCTAGCACCTTTGGTTCTGCCTGTGTCAGAAGTAAAAAATAAACCATTAATAAAGTGGCTTCTTGCCTCTGAGAGCTTATCCCGCAAAGAAATGTTGAACTGTTCCCTGTAATTTCTGTTAATTATAAAGCACATATATGAATATAAATAAATACTAAGAATCAAGATTTTTAGTGGAAGAGGAAAAAAATCCAAGAGGTTCATAAAAAAAAATTGTAACGTTGAATTGGAATTATCTATATGAACTCATGCTTTTGTGTTTCTTTTTTCCAATTTTGCTTCACATTTAATAATAATGTTTTGAGCTCATAATGTCTAGATATTACCTGATTGTTGAACATTAGTATGAAGAGATCTCCCTGAAACAGTGGTACTATATTATTATTTTAAAAACTAATGTATTTCTTTAACTGGAGAGTTTTAGATTGACATAAAAATTGAGCATGTAATACAAAAAGTTTTCATATCATTCTATCCCCTCACTCCCACCTCATAATTCCACCTATTTTTAACATCTTACATTACTGTTGGCACGTTTGCTAAAATTAATGAGCAAATATTGATATGTTATTATTTAAAGTATAATTTGCATAATGTTCATTCTGTTATACAGTTCTGTGAATTTTGAAATATTTATAATGTTATGGTTACCATTATGGTCTCATAAAGAATACTTTCATGCTTTAAAAATCCCGTTTCCACTTATTAACCTCTGTCCTCTTTCTCCAGAAATCTTGGCAACTATTGATATTTTTATTGTCTTTAGTTCTGCCCTTTCTGGAATGTCATATAGTTGGAATAATATATTACATAGCTTTTTTTAGATGAGCTCATTTTTATCTATCTATCTATCTATCTATCTATCTATCTATCTATCTATCTATCATCTATCTATCTGAGCTTCCTTCATGTCTTTTTTATGCTTTGATGGTGAACTCCATTAAATCACTGAATAATATTGCTATCATTTGCCTTTTTTTTTTGGTATTCACCTCGAAAGACATCTTTTTTGCTTCCAGTTCTGATGATTATAAATAAAGCTGTCATAAACGTTCCTGTGCAGGTCAACTGGGTAAATACTTAAGCACAATTTTTGGATCATATTGTAAAAGTAGATTGTGATTCCTAAAATTTGGTAGATTTCATAAGAGAAACTATCTGGGTTTGGTGCCTTCTCCTTTTGGAATATTCTTAATGTTAATTCAACTTCTTTAAGAGGCATAGGCTTATTCTGATGATCTGTGTTTCTACTGTGACCTTCGGAAGAGTATGCCTTTCCAAGGAATTGATACATTTTACTGAGGTTATCGATCAGTGGCCGTAGAATTGTTCATAGTACTCCTTGATTATCTTTTTAATTCCCAACAGTTTAGTATAGGTGGCTCCTCTTTTATTTCTGATATTAGTAATTTGTTGAACTCATGGTTTTAAAAATATTTACTTGCTCTATTGACTGAAAGGGCCTAAAAGCAATGGCAGCCAGCAGAGATGAGCATATCTAGTGCCCATATATTGTTTTTTTAATACCATTTGCCACTAAAAGGAACCTCGGAGAAGTGGCTGATTCCAGGTGTGGGACCAGAAGAGTGCTGTCTAAGTCTGGAACATCTTGTGTCAAAAAGCAAGGGAGCTGTGAAAGGCTCGGGGCACATGTCTGAAGAACACAGGAACTCACTTGTAAAGGCTACCACAGGCCAAATTTGAGACAACTTGAACATTACAAAATGGTAATAGACATTGAGTGGAAAAAAAAAAAAGAAAACACTGCCATGATTTCATAGTGAGAAAGAGAAGGAAAGAGCGAGGAGAGGGGTAGGAAGGGAGGTGAAGAGAAAGAGAGAAAAGCGAAATCTTCTTTGCAGAAGATTGCCAGGTGATAAATGTAAAAGGAATTATATAATGAGAAAATCACCTTTTTGTATACCCCACATAATAATCTGGTTCAGGTAAGGACGATCACTGGATGCCATAACTATTAGGTGAAAGACTGTTGGGAGAAGAAAATATTTACACAGTCTCAAAGTATCACTTTACAGGTTACTTTCTACTTAATAAAGGGAAAATAATTTTACAATATAGAGATCTGTCATTCACCACCTTAATGAAGTGACTAAAACTTAAGATCAAGGAGCTGGTATCAAGTACCCCCTGACTTGATGCAGTAAGAGCTATGCACCATCACCTTTGTTTAAATCATTGCCGGAAATGAAGAAACAATCAGAGAAATCAGAATGTGGAGCGTTCTTTAAAACCCTTGGTCTGGATTCTTAAAAAAGACGCTGAAGTATTTATTTAGGGGTGAAGTCAAGATGTCTGCAACTTACTTTCAAATGGTTTCACAAAACACAGAGATACAGCAAATGTAGCAAAACGTTAACTATTGATGAACCTAAATGAAGAGTACACAAGTGTTAATTTTAATAGTCTTTTAATTTTCCTGTTTTCAAAGTGTAGATTTTTAACAGTTAATTGATAATAAAATATGACTCTGAAGGGTCTTAAGAGATCTTCTAATCCAACCCCTTGTTTTTACAAATGAGGAAAGTGCGACCCAGGGAGACTTGTCTGAGGACACATCAGCTGGTTACTGATAGAGCGTGAAGAGCATGCCTATTCTGTCTTTTGCCACCACCCGTGGAGGATGTGAGTGGCAAGATGTGGGAGGAATGGCAAAGGGACAGAGAGAGGGTCTTTGGGAGGAAGGGCTCTCCGGAGTCATGGTAGGAAAGGGGCACCCCTTAGTAGGAGCATGTTGTGGGTCACAGCCACAGCCAAGATGAAGGAGATTATGACCTGAAACACAGGCAGGCCCGAGAGACCCAACGCTTCACCCAGCTTAGCTCCTCCTTTTCTCTTTTTAAAAATTCTTTGTTGTTTTCTTTCTCTAATTATTCTTTCCACTACCTTAAAAAAAATCTCTATAAACAAAAAACAAACGTCTCTATTTTATTGTCAGTTGGTCATTTTGCTTTTTCCACCAAGAATTAACGTGATGTCATGGAAATAATATAAATTTTGGAGCTAGATAGACCTGATTTCAAATTCCAATCCTGCGTACTAGCTCTGCAACTTGGAAGTCACTTAACCCTGCTAAGTCTTGGTTTCTTCATTTTTGACAAGTTATTTCTTCCTACTTTGAAAGGAAGTGGCATTGTACTGGGGCATTTTAAAAAATAAATCATGTTTTCTCCTCAGTTATTTGGAGGTTAGTTATACAGTCCTGTTAGTGGGTTTCTTAAAAAAATACAGTGATACATTGTTGACTTGTTGGAGTCTATTGTTAATTGGTAACTGGTAGTACTGACAATGTCTGCATCTTAGAATACTTTAACTTCCTTTACCCTGTTCTCCACCTACATGCCATTTTAGTTGTTTACATTAT